>NC_000016.10:1885000-2510000 GCF_000001405.40 Homo sapiens
CGGCCTGTTTTCCATCTTCTTAATGTGATGGGTTCTCATAAGGGTGAACAGGTGGGCGTGAGCAACCTGGACCCATACAGGTGAAGCCACAGCAAATCATAGACGGTCCCTGGGTTTCATGGGTTTGGGAACAGCAAATCGCAGACAGTCCCTGGCTTTCCTGGGTTTGGGAACTTTATTTAGGATGTTTGACACAGTTGAGTGTAAAAGAATGATACATTTTCTCACAACTTGTAAGATTTGAGAAGTGCTGAAAGCCCTAGAGAGGAGAAAGAGAATGGTGGTGTCTATTAAAATGCAGTGTGAGATCATCTATGATTCATTTACATAAGATTTAAAAATAAGCAGAACAAATACATAGCTTTACAAGGTCCAGTCGTGGTTACTCTTGCTGAGGAGGGGTAGGCAGAGGAAGGGGAGTGAGGGGGGTTCTGGGGTGCTGGTTACCTTCTGTTCCTTGGTCTGAGCAATGGTAAATGGTCACCTTTGTGAAAATTCATTGAGTTGTACACTGATGGCTTGGGCACTTCTATGTGTATAATATTCAATACATTTTTTGAAAATGTAAAAATGGGCCAGACACAGTGGTTCACACCTGTAATCCCAGCACTTTGGGAGGTGGAAGCGGATGGATTGCTTGAGCTCAGGAGTTTGAGACTAGCCTGGGCAACATGGTGAAATCCCATCTCTACAAAAAATAGCCAGGGGTGGTGGCTCACCTGTAGTCCCAGCTACTTGGGAGCCTGAGGTGGGACAATCACCTGAGCCCAGGGAAGTTGAGGCTGCAGTGAGCTGTGATTGTGCCGCTGCACTCCAGCCTGGGTGACAGAGCGAGACCTTGTCTCAAAAAAAAAAAAAAAAAAAAAGGGCTGGGCACGGTGGCGGCTCGTGCCTGTCATCGCAGCACTTTGGGAGGCTGAGCCGGGTGGATCACCTGAGATCAGGAGTTTGAGACCAGCCTGGCCAACATGGAGAAACCCCGTCTCTACTAAAAATACAATATTAGCCAGGAGTTGTGGTGCATGGTGCTCACACCTGTAATCCCAGCTACCCGGAGGCTGAGGCAGGAGAATTGCTTGAACCCAGGAGGCAGAGGTTGTGGTGAGCCGAGATCGTGCCATTGCACTCCACTGGGCAACAAGAGCAAAACTCCGTCTCAAAAAAAAAAAAAAAAAAAAAGTAAAAATGTAGTATAGAAGAATCTTTGTCAGTCCTTTACAGAAAGTTGATATGAGAATTGTCTAATAGAATTTTAAAAATAGATGTTATTTTTTAGAAGAGTTTTAGATTTATAGAAAAATTGAGAAGCTAGTTCAGGGAGTTTCTATATGCCCTATGCCCAGTTTCCCCTATTATTAACATATTAGTGTGGGCCAGGCACAGTGGCTCACGCCTGTCGTCCCACCACTTTGGGAGGCTGAGGCGGGGGGATCACCTGAGGTCAGGAGTTCGACTATCCTGACCAACATGGTGAAACCCTATCTCTAGTAAAAATACAAAAATTAGCTCGGTATGGTGGCATGCACCTGTAATCCCAGCTACTCCAGAGGCTGAGGCAGGAGAATCACTTGAACCCAGGAGGCAGAGGTTGCAGTGAACCGAGATCGAGCCACTGCACTCCAGCCTGGGCGACAGAGCAAGGCTCAGTCTCAAAAATAAATAAATAAATAAAATAAAAAAAAAATATATTAGTATGGTACATTTATTACAATGAATAAACCCATATTGCTACATTAGTACTAACCAAAGTCGGTAGTTGATTCAGGTTTGCTTACTCTTCCCCTAATTTTCTTTTCTGCTCCAGGCCCCCACATCGCCTTTGGTCACCATGTCTCACTGGGCTCCTCTGGGCTGTGACAGTGTTTCTGGTGACCTGGACGGTTTTGAGGAATGCTGGTGTGGGATCGTATAGGAGTTCGAGACCAGCCTGGCCAACATGGTGAGATCCTGTCTCCACTAAAAATACAAAAATTAACTGGGCCTGGTGGTGTGTGCCTGTAATCCCAGTTCAGGCGATTCTCCTGCCTCAGTCTCCCAAGTAGCTGGGATTACAGGCACCCGCCACCACGCCCGGCTAATTTTTGTATTTTTAGTAAAGACAGGGTTTCACCATGTTGTTCAGGCTGGTCTCAAACTCCCGACCTCAGGTGATCCACCCGGCCTTGGCCTTTAAAGTGCTGGGATTACAGGCGTGAGCCACCCCGCCCAGTTTGTAATTAAATTTTTTTCAGTCCACGTAGAAGACGGTGGTGCTGTCAGATGAAGCTGTCCTATGCAGGGGTGCTGTTTTTTGTTTTTTGTGTTTTGTTTTGTTTTGAGATGGAGTCTTGCTCTTGTTGCCTAGGCTGGCTGGAGTGCAGTGAGCCAAGATGGCACCACTGCTTTCCAGCCTGGGTGACAGAGTGAGACCCTGTCTCAAAAGAAAAAAAAAAACTTCTAAAAGAACATCATGGGGGAATAACTACGTTTTATTCAACTTCTCTACATGTAAAGTACCATTTAATGTTTTTAAAATTTTGAGTTGTCCGGGTGTGGTGGCTCACGCCTGTAATCCCAGCACTTTGGGAAGCCGAGGCGGGCAGATCATCTGAGGTCAGGAGTTCAAGACCAGCCTGATCAACATGACAAAACCCTATCTCTATAAAAATACAAAAAAATAGCCAGGCGTGGTGGTGGGTGCCTGTAATCCCAGCTGCTTGGGAGGCTGAGGCGGGAGAATCGCTTGAACCTGGGATGCAGTGGTTGTAGTGAGCCAAGATCTCGCCACTGCACTCCAGCCTGGGTGACAGAGTAAGACTCTGTCTCAAAAAAAAAAAAATTTAACTGGGAGCCCTACATTTTATCCGACAACCTGGGCTCAGGACCTCCCCCAGCAAGGCCTGGGACGCCCTGCCTCTGTGACTTCCTCACCAAAGCTCAGCAAGCCCAGCATTCTGGATTTCTTCCAGTGCTGGCAACAATTCAAGTTCTTTCCCGGCCCGGGGCCTTTGGGCAGCATGTTCTGTATTGCTGGAACCCTCTTCACATGCCTGGCTGCTTCTCACTCACAAGGTTTCAGCTTAAATGTCTCCTCCTTAGAACGCCCTTTCCTGAGCCAGCTGTGGTGGCGCCCTGTAGTTCCAGCTACTTGGGAGGCTGAGGCGGGAAGATTGCTTGAGCATAGGAGTTCCAGGCTGCAGTGACCCATGATTGCATCACTACACTCCAGCCTGAGTGATAGAGCGAGACCCTGTCTCTAAAAATAAAAAATAATAATTAATTAACTAAAAATTAAAAAGGGCCGGGCAAGGTGGCTCACGCCTATAATCCTAGCACTTTGGAAGGCCGAGGTGGGGGAGAACACTTAAGCCCAGGAGTTTGAGACCAACCTAGGCAACATAGCGAGACCCCATCTCTACAAAATAAGATGTGAAGTTTTCATTTAACATCATCAGTGGATCTTTGGAAACTGACTTTAAGCAAAACAAAGTAAAACAGGTCTTCAGATTAGGTTGTTTGTTGTTTCATTATAATGTTAACAAGGAAAAAAAATAGTTTTTGTTACATGTCGTTTTCCTTAAAGTTGCAGTTTCCAAAAGCCTATAGTGAGGACTGGCTGTAATTAGTGAAGAAGAGGACGTGCTGGATTCGAGCGGGCTCTGCCGCCAACGGCTGATGCTTTAGAAGAAGGACGTGCGAGGTCCAGCGTGGTGGCTCACGCCTGTAATCCCAGCACTTTGGGAGGCTGAGGTGGGTGGATCACCTGAGGTCGGGAGTTCGAGACCAGCCTGACCAACATGGTGAAACCCCGTCTCTACTAAAAATACCAAAATTAACCAGGTGTGGTGGCGCGTGCCTGTAATCCCAGCTACTCAGGAGGCTAAGGCAGAAAATCGCTTGAACCTGGGAGGCGGAGGTTGCAGTAAGCTGAGATTGCACCATTGCACTCCAGCCTGGGTGACAGAGCAAGACTCCATCTCAAAAACAAACAAAAAAATTAAGTTATGTCGAATTATATTTTCCTAGGCATCCAGAACCTTCCAACATGAATTCATGGTAAAGGAAACACCTAAATATTGTTTCTGGCAATCTCCTGTTTTGTAAAGTCTGTGTTAAACTTTTATTCCCCGACTAGCATTGGAATCACTGTAGAACACATAGATTTGGCGTGAGATGGCTTCATTGTGAACGAGTTCCCGTTTATTGTGTCAAAGTCAAGCCATTGAGCAGCCAGGTACGGATGGGCCAACTGCCGAGCCACGGTGGAGAAGGTGGAGAAGAGCGATGGAGTTCTCAGCGAAATCAGAGCTGCCTCGGTGGGTTTCGAATCAGAAATTCCTAAGGGTAACCCTACAGTGAGTGCATAAAGCCACTCAGTGTAATCAGTAGCGTACGACGTCTGTACAATTTGCATAAGATGCACAAGTTGCAATTTGGTTTCAGACTTTTTGTTTCTTTCTTTTTTTTTTTTTTTTTTTTTGAGTCAGGGTCTGGCTCTGTTGCCCAGGCTGGAGTGCACTGGTGTGATCTCGGCTCACTGCAACCTCTGCCTCCTGGGCTCAAGCCATCCTCCCATCTCAGCCTCTCAAGTAGCGGGGACTACAGGCACACACCACCACACCTGGCTAATTTTTGTATTTTTTGCAAAGAAAGGATTTTGCCATGTTGCCCAGGTTGGTCTTGAACCATTGAGCTCAAGCTATCCTCCGGCCTCAACCTCCCAAAGTGCTGGGATTACAGGCATGAGCCACCACGCCCAGCCTGGTTTCAGACTTTTATAAATAACGTGTGTATTATTTCCTCTAAATAGCTTGATTGTTTTTCTTTCCTTTTTTTTTTTTTTTTTTGAGACGGAGTCTCACTTTGTCACCCAGGCTGGAGTGCAGTGGCGCGATCTTGGCTCACTGCAGCCTCAACCCCACAAGCTCAAGCAATCCTCCTGCCTCAGCCACCTGAGTAGCTGAGACTACAGGCATGCGCCATCACACCCGGCTAAGTTTTATATTTTTAGTAGAGACAGGGGCTTCACTATGTTGGCCAGGCTGGTCTCGATCTCCTCACCTCAAGTGATCCACCCACCTCGGCCTCCGAAAGTGCTGGGATTACAGGTGTGAGCCACTGCACACAGCCCTAAATTGGGTTTTTTGTTACAGGTGGATGGAGCTGAATTCCTGAGGAAAAGCTCAACTCAGTTATGGACGGATCTTGTTCCTCCCTATCAGGGGATCCCCAAGGAGAACGCTTGGCGTGTCCTCCTTTGGTCCAGCCTGGGTTGCAGCTTCGATGCTCCCTCTGTGCAGGGGGGAAGGTACCTGCAGATTGCCCATCTGTACCCCAGGATTTAGGGGACACCTGATGAGGTATTTGTGTTTAATCATCATCTTGATGCGGACGCTTTTAGGAACAAGGACTGAGACTGGGAGGGATTATAAATAAACACTCAAATGACAGGAAATCTTCAGCTGTCTTCCACCATCACTCTTCTAAAACATTAGTGCTTCATCTCGATAACGAAACAATGTCAGTGCATCCTGAGAGCATGTGGCTCACGTCTGCATTCGAGGCTGTGCACATTTAACCAGGCTGTTTTGAATATTAGACTCTTTTATCAGATCTTCCGACCATCCGCTTTCTGCTGCTCACAGACCTTAGGTTTCAGAGAAAAGGCTCCTGGATTTCAACGCAATCCATTATCTTCTGTGGACACATGAGGCAAGCAACCTATGGGAGACTTTTTTCTCTTTTTTCTTTTTTCTTTGCCTTAAAAAAAATCTTTTGTTGGAGCTTGCTTCACTAGTAGGAAAGCTGACACCTGTGTAGACAGGTTGTCTGCACCCACTCACAAATTCATTCATGCGTCATGTGCTTTTTGGAGCCGGCATTGCCCTCATCTTTGAGGAGCTCACAATTGGAAGGGAGGGGAGTATCCACACGGTGGAGGTCCCCAGTGGCTTAGTTACATTTGGTTGGGGGTTAGGAAGTAGAGCAAACACAGGGCTTGGCTTAGCACTGCTCCCAAGTTGCTGACATTTATTTTTACTAATCGTCCCTTAAAAAAAGAATCAGGAGGCTGGGTGCAGTGGCTCATGCCTGTAATCCCAGCACTTTGGGAGGCTGAGGCGGGCAGATCACCTGAGGTCAGGAGTTCAAGACTAGCCTGGCCAACATGGTGAAACCCCGTCTCTACTAAAATATAAAATTAGCCAGGCGTGGTGGTGCACACCTGTAATCCCAGTTACTCAAGAGGCTGAGGCAGGAGAATCGCTTGAACCCAGGAGGCAGAGATTGCAGTGAGCCAAGATCACGCCATTGCACTCAAGCCTAGGCAACAGAGCAAGACTCGGTCTAAAAAATAAAAAAATAAGAATTACACTGGGTATGGTGGCTCACACCTATAATCCCAGCACCTTGGGAAGCCAAGACAAGAGGATCACTTGAGCCCAGGAGTTTGAGACCAACCTGGGCAACATAGCAAGCCCTCATCTCTTAAAAAAAGTTAAACTTTAGCCAGGCATGGTGGTGCACACTTGTAGTCCCAGCTACTTGGGAGGGTGAAGTGAGAGAATCGTTTGAGCCCATGATTTCGAATTCCACATGATCAATTGCAAACTGACTTTTTTTTTTTTTTTTAGATGGAGTCTCACTCTGTCTCCCAGGCTGGAGTGCAGTGGCGCGATCTCAGCTCAATGCAACTTCCGCCTTCTGGGATCAAGCGATTCTCCTGCCTCAGCCTCACCAGTAGCTAGGATTACAGGCACCCGCTACCACAGCCGGCTAATTTTTGTATTTTTAGTACAGATGGGGTTTCACCATATTGACCAGGCTGGTCTCGAATTCCTGACCTTGTGATCCGCCTCCCTCGGCTTCCCAAAGGGCTGGGATTACAGGCGTGAGCCACTGCGCCCGGCCACTGATTTGTTGTTGATGTTGTTGTTGTTATCAGTGTTTTCTTTTTTTTCATTATTATTATTATTTATTTTATTTTATTTTATCATGCTTTAAGTTTTAGGGTACTGTACTGATTTTATACCCAACTCATTCCAGGATTCTTGCAACACACTATGCTGATGTACAAAGATGAATAAGACATGGTCTCGGCCGGGCACGGTGGCTCACGCCTGTCATCCCAGCACTTTGGGAGGCTGAGATGGGCAGATCAGGAGGTCAGGAGATCGAGACCATCCTGGCTAACACGGTGCAACCCCGTCTCTATTAAAAATACAAAAAATTAGCCAGATGTGGTGGCACATGCCTGTAGTCCCAGCTACTCGGGAGGCTGAGGCAGGAGAATCACTTGAACCCAGGAGGCAGAGGTTGCAGTGAGCCGAGATTGTGCCACTGCACTCCAGTCTGGGCGACAGAGCGAGACTCCATCTCAAAAAAAAAAAAAAAAAAGACATGGTCTTACTGATCAGAGGGTAAAGCAGGGAAAATTTGGGTTGCCCCATCATCGAGCATCAAGTAGCATTCCTGGGACTTGTATGCAAAGACGAGAAAGCCTGGGAGATGTGATGTGCAGATACAGTATGGGCTGTGCTGGCTTGTGGAAAAAGACAGAATAGCTGGGTGCAGTGGCTCACATCTGTAATCCCAGCACTTTGGGAGGCCGAGGTGGGCAGATCACCTGAGGCCAGGAGTTTGAGACCAGCCTGGCCAACATGGCAAAACCCCATCTCTACTAAAAATACAAAAATTAGCCTGCGTGGTGACGAGTGCCTGTAATCCCAGCTATTCGGGAGGCTGAGGCAGGAGAATCAATTGAACCCGGGAGGTGGAGGTTGCAGTGAGCCAAGATCGTGCCACTGCACCCCAGCCTGGGCAACAGAGCGAGACTCTGTCTCAAAAAAAGAAAATGAAAAAGACATGCTTAAATTTTAGCTTCCATTTCTCATCTTCTAAAGCCATGCTTCTCAAACATGAGTGAGCAGACCCAGGAATCTTGTTAAAATGCGGATTCCGATTCAAGGGGCCTGGGAGGAGCCTGAGGTCCTGCCTTTCAAACCAGCTCCCAGATGGGGCTGATGCTGACACCAGTAAACTCCCTTTGCACACAAGCCTGTTTAGGCTGGGTCTTCTCCAATTTGCACACACAGTATCCCAGCTATGACATTCAGAAACATCAAGCTTGTTCTTTCCTGCCCCTTGATGCTGCTTTTTGTTCTGTGTCTTCTCTTGAGCCCCTTGGTGGTGCTTTTTGTTCTGTGCCTTCTCTTAAGCCCTGCCCTCTGCTTGGAATGCTCTCTGCCACCTCTTCACTCCTCCTCCAGGAAACCTTCCTTGACTGCCTGCTCTCTGCCCTGCGAGGACTCTCGGGAGCAGACTTTGAGGAGCAGGCTCCAGGGCAGAGGTTCTTGGCCTTGGCTACAAATTAGAATCACCTGGGAGCTTTAAACCACCCACTGTCACACCCCAGACCAATAGAACCAGAATTTCTAGGAGTGGGACCCAGCACCGGTGTGAGAAGTAGGTCACAGGTGTCTCTCATGCACAACATTTACAAAGTATCGACGGCATCTGATGTCTCCAAACCAGTTGGTAAAATTCACTGTAGCAGTTCATCACAGTCAGGTGCCGCGGCTCATGCCTATAATCCCAGCACTTTGGGAGGCTGAGGCAGGTGGATCACTTGGAGCCCAGGAGTTCAAGACCAGCCTGGGCAACATGGTGAGACTCCCATCTCTACAAAAAACACAGAAATTAGCCAGGCGTGGTGGTGCACGCCTATTGTCCCAGCTACTCAGGAAGCTGAGGTGGGAGAATTGCTTGAGCTTGGGAGGTGGAGGCTGCAATGAGCCGAGACTGCACCACTGCACTCCAGACTGGGTGACAGAGCAAGACCCTGTCTCAGAAAATAAAATAAAATTTAATTTTTTTAAAAAAAGGCCAAGTGTGGTGGCTTACACCTGTAATTCCAGCACTTTGGGAGGCTAAGGCAGGCAGATCACTTGAGGTCAGGAGTTTGAGACCAGCCTGGCCAACATGGCAAAACTCTGTCTCTACCAAAAATATAAAAAATTAGGCAGGCGGCTGGGCGTGGTGGCTTATGCCTGTAGTCCCAGCACTTTGGGAGGCCAAGGCAGGCGGATCAGGAGGTCAGGAAATCGAGACCATCCTGTCTAATATGGTGAAACCCCATCTCTACTAAAAATACAAACCATTAGCCAGGTGTGGTGGCTCGTGCCTGTAGTCCCAGTTACACGGGAGGCTGAGGCAGGAGAATCGCTCGAACCCGGGAGGTGGAGGTTGCAGTGAGTCGAGATCATGCCACTGCACTCAAGCTTGGGTGACAGGCAAGACTCCGTCTCAAAAAAAAAAAAAAAGGCCCCAAGGCCCTCATCTGCCCCTTCTGCCATGCGAGGACAGTGAAAAGATGGCCATCGAGGAGGGGGCCCTCACCAGACACGGACCTGCCTGTCCTGGAGTGTGGGTGTCTGGCCTCCAGAGCGTGAGAAAGGCATTTCTGTTGCTTACATACCCCTCAGTTGATCTTGAAACAAGGAATTGTTTAAGGAAGGAATTAGGGCTGGGCACAGTGGGTCACACCTGTAATCCCAGCACTTTGGGAAGCCGGGGTGGGAGGATCACTTAAGCTCAGGGTTTCAAGGCCAGCCTGGGCAACGTAGGGAGACCTCACCTCTACAAAAAATTTAAAAATTAACTGGGTGCAATGGTGCATGCTGTGATCCCAGCTACATGGGAGGCAGAGGCAGGAGGATTGTTTGATCCCAGGAGGTGGTGGCTGCAGTGAGCTGTGTTTGCTCCACTGCACTCCAGCCTGGGCAACAGAGAAAGAGCCAGTCTTTTTTTTTTTGAGACGGAGTCTCACTCCGTCACCCAGGCTGGAGTGCAGTGGCACAATCTTGGCTCACTGCAAACTCCGCCTCCCAGGTTCAAGCCATTCTCCTGCCTCAGCCTCCTGAGTAGCTGGGACTACAGGCACCCCCCACCACGCCCAGCTAATTGTTTTTGGATTTTTGGTAGAGACAGGGTTTTACTGTGTTAGCCAGGATGGTCTCGATCTCCTGACCTCGTGGTCCGCCTGCCTCGGCCTCCCAAAGCGCTGGGATTACAGGCGTGAGCCACTGTGCCCAGCCAGAAAGAGCCAATCTTAAAAAAAAAAAAAAAAAAGTAATTTCCTATCTTTATAAAGGCCATAAAGGTAGGCCTTTATCAGTAGGAAGGAGGCAGAAGAGCCAAGGTCCAAGGGGAGCTGAAGACAGAAGTGCCCCTTTACTCTGATGGTCCTGAAATTAGCCCAGGAGCTCTGGCCAGCAACATGCTTTGGTTCAGGTGCAGACGACTGGGCCCAGCCTGGCGAAAGGGAACTCCCAATGCAGTGAGTAGACTCTGGTGGTGGCCTGCTACCACAGTGGCCTAGCTGGGTTCTAGGCCTGCTCTACCGTGAGCCTCTCCAGTCCACGGAAGGGAGGGGCACAGCTCTCCCTCCACACCCGTCCCAGGAACATCAACTCATTCCATCAACTAATTCGAAAAATGTTCTGGACAATCCGCAGTGGCTCACACCTGTAAGCCCAGCACTTTGGGAGGCTGAGGTGGGTGGCTCACCTGAGGTCAAGAGTTCGAGACCAGCCTGGCCAACATGGTGAAACCCCATCTCTACTAAAAATACAAAAATTAGCTGGGTGTGGTGGTGGCATCTATGATCCCAGCTACTCAGGAGGCTGAGGCAGGAGAATCGCTTGAACCCAGGAGGTGGAGGTTGCAGTGAGCCGAGATCGCACCACTGCACTCCAGCCTGTGCGACAGAGCAAAAACTCCATCTCAAAAAAAAAGAAAAAAAGAAAGAAAGAAAAGAAAAATGTTCTGGCCCCTCCCCTGAAAGCCGCCTGGAAGAACATCTGCCATTTGCTCTAATTAGATTAAGACACATGCAAGTGTCCTAGTCCCTGGAATAACCGCTGTTAAGAGTTCCCTTTGACATTTGCAAGGGAAGAATCCACACCCACATGTTCAGCCCGACCTGCTCTCAATGGTTTCCCTCCCGTGGGGCCTGTGTCTGGCCTGTCCTGGCCCCACAGGTAATGCCCCCGACCCGGAAGGCATTGTGGACCCAGATGTGCAACTGACCTGGAACACAGCTGAGTGATATCAGACTCAACATCAGGTGCAGAGCTGTTTGTTCTGTTGGAGAACATTCCAGAGGTTCCAGAAGCTGGCAGGGCTTGGGGCTCACCCGTGTTTCTGTGCCAGGAGCTCTCCCCAAGCACCTGCTGTGACTCAACAAAGCTGCACTGAGCACAAGCTTGGGTCAGGCCCCGCAAGGGGATCCAGGGAGGAAACACACAGACAGGGGGTCGCTGCCGTGGGGCAGAGAACAAACTGGTGCTGCCTGTGCCTGGTGGGCAGAGCCCGGGTTGTCGGAGGCACGTTCAGAAGCTGGGTTCACTCAGTCTGTTCCGTCATGGGATCAATGGGCCCCCTTGGAAAGTTCTGGAGTGAGGGAACCATCACTGAGGGTGTGCTAGTGGCAGTCCCGCTCTGTCCCCCAGGCTGGGTGCGTGGCGGTGGCAGTCCCGCTCTGTCCCCCAGGCTGGGTGCGTGGCGGTGGCAGTCCCGCTCTGTCCCCCAGGCTGTGAGTGCAGTGGCACGATCTCGGTTCACTGCACCCTCCTCCTCGCAGGTTCAAGCGATTCTCCGGCCTCAGCCTCCTGAGCGGCTGGGATGACAGGCGTGCGCCGCTGCACCTGGCCTACACGGCTTTTAAATCTTACATTGTGCACCAGAGAAGAGTCAAACAAAGCAAAATTAGCGGCAGAAAGCACCCCCTTGCTTCTCTGTACACACGACCCAGGTGTATCGCAGAGCAAACACAGTGAAAGTGTGCACGCTCGGGAAAGGCGCAGGAACTGACATTTTACCAAGGTCTCTGAAGGGGCAGAAAACAGGCCCCGAGAGGCACAGATGCCAACAATGATTGTCAGGAATCAATGGGAAAGCGTGTTTGTGCAGCGCTATTGGCATCTGATGTGTTTGTTATAATTGGCTCCCGCCAGCCCTGTCTCCTTTATTAATTGCACATATTCCTCTTGACGAAAGTGACATGCCGATGGCAGCGTTGTGGGCTTGAAGACGAGGGTGCCTTTCGATCTAAGCCTAAAGTCACATTTGTGACCCGAACCTAAGACAGAGAGGAGCCCAAAGGTCACTTCTCCTCCAGGAATGTCTGGATGGGTGACTTATTGGAGCCGCTCGCTTAATTGTACCACCTTGAGGTAGCCACATAGTGACAGTTTTCCTGGGTCCCTTAAACCATGATGTTCCATAGGATGACTCTGCCTGAAGCCCTCTGGCAGCTGGAGTTTCATTCTGCAGACGAGGAAAACAAGGCCATTCCGAGAACTTCCAGAATTCAACCACTCAATCCACCAATGAATGCTAAGATCGTGGGCTCAAGTTCAAGGAGAAACACGATGTGCACCTGATACCAAAGTATCAAAACAGAAACAGTGATCTGGCCGGGGGCGGTGGCTCACACCTGTAATCCCAGCACTTTGGGAGGCTGAGGTGGGCGGATCACCTGAGGCCAGGAGTTCGAGACCAGCTTGGCCAACAAGGCAAAACCCTGTCTCTACTAAAAATACAAAAATTAGCTGGGCGTGGTGGCGCATGCCTGTAATTTCAGCTACTCAGGAGGCTGAGGCAGGAGAATTCCTTGAACCCGGGAGGCGGAAGTTGCAGTGAGCCGAGACTGCGCCACTGCACTCCAGCCTGGGTGACACAGCAAGACTGTGTCTCAAAACAAAAACAAACAAAAAAGACATTGATCTTCTTTGAGGCTGGGCACAGTTGCTCATGCCTATAATCCCAACACTTTGGGAAGCCAAGGCAGGAAGATTGCTTGAAGCCAGGAGTTCAGGACCAGCCTGGACAATGTAGCAAGACCCTGTCACCACAAAAAATACAAAAGTGAGCTGGGTGTAGTGGCAGGTGCCTATAGTCCCAGCTACTTGGGAGGCTGAGGTGGGAGGATTGCCTGAGCCCAGGGAAGTCGAGGCTGCAGTGAGCTGAGATTGCACCACTGCACTCTAGCCTGGGGCACAAGGAGAGCTTGTCTCAAAAAAAAAAAAAAAGAAGAAGAAGAAAAGAAAAGAAAAAGTGTGACTGGGCACAGTGACTCACGCCTGTAATCCCAGCACTTTGGAGGCCACAGCAGGCAGATCATCCGAGGTCAGGAGTTCGAGACCAGCCCGGCCAACATGGCGAAACCCATCTCTACTAAAAATACAAAAATTAGCTGGGCATGGTGGTGGGTGCCTGTAATCTCAGCTACTCGGGAGGCTGAACGGGGAGAATCACTTGAATCTGGGAGTTGGAGGTTGCAGTGAGCCGAGATTGTGCTACTACACTCCAGCCTACGTGACAGAGCGAGACTCTGTCTCAAAAAAAAAAAAAAAAGAAAGAAAGAAAAGAAACAACGCTATGTCTAAGTGGACCCAGGCACTTCAAACCTGTGTTGGTCACAGGTCAACTGCACTGCATAAGAAAAAGGTTTTTTGATTTTGTTTTGAGACGCAGTCTCACTCTGTTGCGCAGGCTGGAGTGCAGTGGCGCGATCTCAGCTCACTGCAACCTCCGCCTCCCAGGTTCAAGCGATTCTCCTGCCTCAGCCTCCTGAGTAGCTGGGATTACAGGCGCGAGCCACCACGCCCGGCTAATTTTTGCATTTTTAGTAGAGATGGGTTTCCCATGTTGGTCAGGCTGGTCTTGAAGTTCCGACCTCGGGTGATCCGCCTGCCTTGGCTTCCCAAAGTGCTGGGATTACAGGCATGAGCCTCTGCGCCTGGCCAGAAAAAGGTTTTAAAATGTTTACAAAAGAGAAAGAAAAACAGCTAGGCTTTCCCATCACCTTCTGGAGAAAGCAGGCCACCTGATGTCAGTGCCTTCCTGCACTTCATCCTCATAACTGCTCAATCGATACTACGTCTTTATAGTAAATAATTGTGTCCATGGGGCTTTATTGGTCTCCGGCACAGGAGTTGTCCGGACCACTTTCATCAGCAGAGCAAAACCATTGATTTTTCTGCCCACCCGTCCAGGGCACAAACTGACCAGTTGCCGGTCGGTGGCCAGGATCAGAACTGGAGGGACCAGCCCCAGAACCCAGAACCCCTCCCAGCACTGGTCCCAGCCAGGGTGGATGAAACGTTCTCTCCCCAGTGAATCGCATTCCGGTGCAGTGTAACTTCCAAGAAAGAGGCCAGGCAAGGCCAGGCGTGGTGGCTCACGCCTGTAATCCCAGCACTTTACGAGGCTGAGGCGGGCGGATCACTTGAGGTCAGGAGTTCAAGACCAGCCTGTCCAACCAACATGGTGAAACCCCGTCTCCACTAAAAATACAAAAATTAGCCGGCGTGGTGGCGCACGCCTATAATCCCAGCTACTCGGAAGTCTGAGGCAGGAAAATCTCTTGAACCTGGGAGGTGAAGGTTGCAGTGAGCCAAGATTGCACCACTGCACTCCAGCCTGGGCAATAGCGTGGGACTCAATCTCAAAAAAAAAAAAAAAAAAGGCCGTGCATGGTGGCTCATTCCTGTAATCCCAGCACTTTATGAGACCGAGGCAGGTGGATCACTTGAGGTCAGGAGTTCAAGACCAGCCTGGCCAACATGATGAAACCCTGTCTCTACTAAAAATACAAAAAAAAATTATCCGGCGTGGTGGCAGGCGCCTGTAATCCCAGCTACTTGGGAGGCTGAGGCAGAGAATTGCTTGAATCCAGGGGGCGGAAGTTGCAGTCAGCTGAGATTGCGCCACTGCACTCCAGCCTAGCAACAGACCAAGACTCCATCTCAAAAAAAGAAAAAAAAAAAAGAGGCCAGGCACAGTAGCTCATGTCTGTAATCCCAGCAGTTTGGGAGCCTGAGGCAGGTGAACTGCTTGAGCCCAGGAGTTTGAGGCTAGCCTGGGCAACACAGTGAGACCCTATCTCTACCAAAAATGTAAAAATTAGTCAGGCATGGTGTCGCAAGCCTGTGGTCCCAGCTACCCAGGAGGCTGAGGTGGGAGGATTGCTTGAACCTGGGAGGCAGAGGCTGAAGTAAACCGAGATCGCACCACTGCACTCCAGCCTGGGCAATAGAGTGAGACCCTGTTTCAAAAAAAAGAAAACGAAGGAAAGAAAGGGTAAAGCACCTTTGGTCCAAAGAGGATCTCAGGGAATCACAGGAGGGTTGTTTTGCCATTTTGGGGGGGCCTGAGCCCTGGAGGCCAGTGAGCACCAGAACACCGGGCGGGGCAGCAGCCGGCTGTGCTGCTGGCTGGAAGCACCAGGTGAGGCTGCAACCCACGTGTGCACTGAAAGCTCCTGGCTGGCAAACGCACACTCTCATGACTGACTGTGAACCATTCCTGACAGTTGTGATGTGTTCCTGATTGCACTGTGTTGTTCTTAGTCGCTTTGTAAATAGAACCTGTGTGTGCGTGCTGTGCAGGTGAACATAGATGGTGCCTGTCCCTGCGGAGAGCAAAAGAATTAAACCTCGGAGTTTGAGAGACATGCTCTTCTCCAGAACGCAGCCCCGGCGGCAACCCCAGGCGGCCGAAGGGACATGGCAGCAGCAGGCTGGGCTGACCACAAATATTTGCACAGGTGAACACTTTAGAAAAGGAAGTCAAATGTAGCATGCGGGTGGCTGGGGAGGAGAGGATGAGCCTCATGGAGCCCCACACCCTGAGCTTTTGCAGGGAGCAGCCACAGCCTGTGTTCACACACAGACCCAGCAGCCAGCCCCTGTTCACCCCACAAACCAGCCACAGACAGGCCAAGGTCACC
Organism: Homo sapiens; assembly: GCF_000001405.40. Classification (NCBI taxonomy): domain Eukaryota; kingdom Metazoa; phylum Chordata; class Mammalia; order Primates; family Hominidae; genus Homo; species Homo sapiens. Next base: position 1,900,773 of record NC_000016.10, read on the forward strand.
CGTGGCCTTGTGGCGTGGAGCCCGGGGTTAATTCAGACCCAATGGCCAGGCACAGTGGCTCACGCCTGTAAATCCAGCCCTTTGGAAGGGCAAGGCAGGAGGATCACTTAAACCAAGGGGTTCCAGACCAGCCTGGGCAACATAGTGAGACCCCATCTCTATAAAAATTAAAATTAAAAAGTAGCCAGGCTGGGGTGCAGTGGCTCACACCTGTAATCCTGGCACTTTGGGAAGCTGAGGTGGGCAGATCACCTGAGGTCAGGAGTTCAAGACCAGCCTGCCCAACAACATGGTGAAACCCCATCTCTACAAAAATACAAAAATTAGCCAGGCGTGATGGCAGGTTCCCATAATCCCAGCTACCTGGGAGGCTGAGGCGAGAGAATCGCTTGAACCGGGGAGGCAGAGGTTGCAGTGAGCTGAGATCACGCCATTGCACTCTAGCCTAGGCGACAGAGTGAGAGTCCGTCTCAAAAAAAAAAAAAAAAAAAAGGGTGCTGGGCGTGGTGACGTGCGCCTGTAGTCCCAGCTACTCAGGAGGCTGACGTAGGAGGATCGCTTGAGCCCAGGAGGCCAATGCCATAGTGAGCTGAGTTTGCGCCACTGCACTCCAGCCCAGGTGACAGAGTGAAACCCTGTCTCAAAAAAACAAAACAAAAAAAGGATGGGCCAGGCGAGGTGGCTCACGCCTGTAATCCCAGCACTTTGGGAGGCCAAGGCGGGTGGATCACCTGAGGTCAGCAGATCGAGACCATCCTGGCTAACACGGTGAAACCCCATCTTTACTAAAAATACAAAAAATTAGCTGGATGCGGTGGTGCGCACCTGTAGTCCCAGCCACTCAGGAGGCCGAGGCAGGAGAATGGCGTGAACCCGGAAGGTGGAGGCTGCAGTGAGCCAGTAAGCCAACATCACGCCACTGCACTCCAGCCTGGGCAACAGAGCAAGACTCCATCTCAAAAAAAAAAAAAAAAAAAAAAGGCTGGGCATGGTAGCCCATGCCTGTAATCCCAGCACTTTGGGAGGCCGAGGAGGGTGGATCATGAGGTCAGGAATTCGAGACCAGCCTGGCCAAGATGGTGAAACCCTGTCTCTACTAAAAAATACAAAAATTAGCCTGGCGTGGTGGCAGGCGCCTGTAATCCCATCTACTTGGGAGGCTGAGGCAGGAGAATCGCTTGAACCCGGGAGGCAGAGTCTGCAGTGAGCCAAGATCGCGCCACTGTACTCCAGCGTGGGTGACAGAGCAAGACTCCGCCTCAAAAAAAAAATGAATTGTAAAGTGTTTGTTAATATTTTAAATGTTTATTTTTCTTTACTTAGAATGACATTAAGTAGCAAACAGAACCACCATGACAAGCTGAGAGAGGAAGGAGAGAAGGAAAAAGGGATCATGGAAAAAGGGCAAAGCTTTCTGTTAGCACCTTTCACAGCAGTTTTTTTTCTTTCATTTTGTGCTAGGCCCTGAAGATTATTTATGTAGCCAGCCTTGGATATAATTCACACACAAAAGCTCTTTGGGGCTTCCAGTAATTTTTTTTCTTTTCTGTTTTTTTTTTTTTTTTTTTGAGACAGAGTCTCACTCTGTTGCCCAGACTGGAGTGCAGTGGCACAATCTCAGCTCGCTGCAACCTCCGTCTCCCAGATTCAGGTGATTCTTGTGCCTCAGCCTCCTACGTAGCTGGGATTACTGGTGCATACCACCACGCCCAACTAAATTTTGTATTTTTAGTTTCACCATGTTGGCCAGGCTGGTCTCGAGCTCCTGACCTCAAGTGATCCACCCACCTTGGCCTCCCAAAGTGCTGGGATTACGGGTGTGAGTCACCACACCTGGCCATTCTGGGCTCTTTCTGAGCTCACCGAGAGTCAGGCAGTGACCTCCCCGAGACCAGGGGAGTCCTGAATATGCGTCCTTTGGCTCGTCCAAGGCTTGCCAGCAATTCTGGGCCCTTTGCCGTGCTCTCCCCAGGCCTGCATGCGTCCCCCAACTGTGCACCCCAACAGGGCCAGCCAGTGATGGACGCCCTAGAACCTCTGATCACTCCCACAAAAGGGGGCTGCCCCCCTTCCCAACCAGAGTCCAGACTGTGAAACCAGGGGCCAGTCTCCAGATGCTTCTCCCCAAAAACTCCGCATGCTTGACAGGAGTCCCCTCCCCTGCTGCACAGCTGCGCATCCATCCTCAGCAGGAGACTGGCTTTCCATCAGATAGGCCGTCGTCCTCCCTTGTGGGAGACAGAAAAGATGATAGTATCTGACCGTGTGAGGCTGTCAGGTCTGGCCAGCAATCCCCCTGCACGCGGGGCCCGCTCACGGAGTGCTGGGAGCAGAGACCAGGAGAACAAGATCCACAATTGTTCTCTGCGGCCCCACGGTGGAGCTTGCCTCCCGTCATCAGAACACTTGAGTATGGCATCCTTCTGGCAATAGTTTTGTGTTAACTGTTTTGGTTGACCGACTGTTTTCGGGGGCTTCTCCAGTGAAAACCATACACAATGTGGCTGAGATTAGGCAGCATGAAAGGAATTCCTCTGCCTCCGAGCCAGAGCCTGGCTTTGAGAGGGAGGATCTTGTCCTGTATGTCCCTGGAAGCCTCAGCAGCGCTCGTTGTTGGCGACTGCATCAGAAGAGTCTCATCGTTCCTCAAGAGGTGGGGCTGGCCCGCTCACGCCTGTAATCACAACACTTTGGGAGGCCGAGGTGGGCGGATCACTTGAGGTCAGGAGGTCGAGACCAGCCTGGACAACATGGTGAAACACCGTCTCTACTGAAAATACAAAAATTATCCAGACATGGTGGCGGGCGCCTGTAATCTCAGCTACTCGGGAGGCTGAGGCAGGAGAATCGTTTGAACCCAGGAAGCAGAGGTTGCAGTGAGCCGAGATCGCGCCACTGCACTCCAGCTTGGGCGACAGAGTGAGACCCTGTCTCAAAAAAAAAAAGAGGTGGGGCTGAACGTCCAGGCCCCAGGGCTCCAGAGCAGGGTATCGTCTGCAGGTGGCACATGCACCTGAGGGTCTCCGTGGCCTCGGTGGTCTGCTCTTTGTCCTGTTTCCCCAGTGGCCGCCATGCCGGAGTCCTCTGAGAGCCAAGACCTACCCCCAGCCCAGGTGGAGATGCAGGGCTTGGCACCCTGGTCCAGAGGGTGGAGCCCTGCCTGTGAACCCCAGCAGACAGGCAGCCTCCAGGGACCACCGTGGGCCCTGCCTGGCATATCCATCCTCACCCACCCAGGGTTTTGACCAAACCTCTTTTACCCAGGCCAGCGTGCTCGGCACAAGCCATGCCCCCAACTCACCCACGGTCTTCCCTGGACTCCCTGCCCCCGCCCTGGGAGACCACCAGTGGGATGGGGTATGGCAGGACCAGCCCTGCTCAGGGAGGGGCCGCCCCCTACCAACATGGGCCCAGCCCTGGGACCAGAATGAACCTGAGCACAGTTCACATCTGAGACGCGTCCCCGGGACGGGGGCTGCGGTCCATGGTTTGGCAAGGGGCCGGGGCTACAGAGGGAATGGCTTCCGGTACAGAGCCTTGGACACAAGCCTGGTGTTGTGTGTTTTCTCAGATGCGGCATTTGTCCATTTGGCATCCATTAATCACAGGGCCGAACTAACAGCTACATTGTTTCTATCTTCCCTGCCCTCCAGAACCTGCCTCTGAACCACCTCCTTATCTAACTCTCACACCACAAGCTCATGTCCCCTGCCCTCAGTCACCAAGGGCCAAGCACCAAACAAGTAGGGAGAGCCGAGGTCCCAGAGCCCACCGGAATTACTCAGACTGACCAGGCCCAAGCTATTTCCCCGCCCTGCCCTGCCTTTCCCCTGGAAACCCCTGGAAAGGCTCTGACCTTGGCTTGCCTGGCTCGTGTCTGCTCCTGACCAGCCCTGGAGCTCCCTGCACTGGCCCCGGGCAGCCCAGCCCAGCATGCACCCTCCTCCAATTAAGTGCCTCACACCTCACACACCCTCCTCCAATTAAGTGCCTCACACACCCTCCTCCAATTAAGTGCCTCACTTAACGACAGGTTATGGTCTGAAAAATGCATCATGAGGTGACTTTGTGTCATGAAAACATCACAGAGTTCACTGGCATGAATTTAGATGGCCAGGCACAGCGGCTCACGCCTGCAATCCCAGCGCTTTGGGAGACTTCAGGCAGGAGAATCACTTGAGCCCAGGAGTTTGAGACCAGCCTGAGCAACAGAGCGAGACCCCATTTCTACAAAAAGAAACAAATAGAAAAAATTAGCCAGGCGTGGTAGCACGTGCCTGTAGCCCCAACTCTCAGAAAGCTGAGGCAGGAAGATTGCTTGAACCCAGGACTTCAAGGCTGCACTGAGCTGCGATAGCACCACTGCACTCCAGCCTGGGCGGCAGAGCAAGACCCTGTCTCTACAGAGAAAAAAGAAAAGGCCAGACGCAGTGGCTCACCCTGTAATCACAACATTTTGGGAGGCCAAGGCGGGTGGATCACCTGAGGTCTTGAGTTCTAGACCAGCATGACCAACATGGCCAAACCCTGTCTCTACTAAAAATACAAAAATTAGCTGGGCATGGTGGTGGGCGCCTGTAATCCCAGCTACTCGGGAGGCTGAGGCAAGAAAATCGCTTGAACCTGGGAGGCAGAGGTTGCAGTGAGCCAAGATCACGCCACTGCACTCACAGCCTGGGCAACAAGAACGAAACTCCTCAGAAAAAGAAAAAGAAAAAGAAAAACCAAAAATCCTATATGGCATAGCCTACTACACACCTTGGCTACATAAATTAAAATCTGGAGGGTGCATTTTGAGATCCTGGTTTTTAACCTAGGTCTCTGGCCCTCATTCCCTCATTTTGGGCCCAGGATCTTCACTGTCAGATGGATAGTCCTGAGAAAGAACCATCTTGAGGCAGTATCTGCAGAGAATTCTAAGTCAGGAAACAAAACTCTTGCCTTCAGAAATACTAAGTGCCCCAGCAGCGCAGTGGGGCTCAGATGTGCCCTATCCAGCGTGCTGGAAAAGTGGGTCCCTTATGCCACCTGGGCCAGCCCTTCCGTCCCCACTTTGCTTTTTTTTTTTCTGAGATGGAGTCTGACTCTGTTGCCCAGGCTAAAGTGCAGTGGTGCGATCTCGGCTCACTGCAACCTCTGCCTCCTGGGTTCAAGCGATTCTGCCTCAGGCTCCCAAGTAGCTGGGATTACCGGCACAGGCCACCATGCCCGGCTAATGTTTGTATTTTTAGTAGAGAGGGAGTTTCGCCATGTTGGCCAGGCTGGTCTCGAACCCCTGACCTCAAGTGATCCGCCCGCCTCAACCTCCCAAGGTGCTGAGATGACAGGCGTGAGCCACCGCGCCCGGCCCAGAATGTTTCTTAGCCAGCCTCCATCACCCCACCCCATTTGTCCGTCTCCCCGGCACCTTGATGCACTGGCAGTCTGCCTGACCGTCATGGCTGGTCCCACTCCAGGGTGCAGGTAAACGTCATCTCTGCACCAGGCTCTCCTGCCGGGGCTCTTCCCAGCTTCAGCTCCCCGCCCCAGCCCTGTGCCGTGTCCCTCTGCAGTTCATGCTTTGCTTTCTTGGCAGCTGGGCGGTTCGCTCGTCTCGCCAATGCTGGGCCTCCGTGTGGTCCCCCCAGCTTGCCCTGTGAGTTCTCAGAAGCACACACTCTAGCCCTGGGTGCCTGTTGGTGGAAGGAAGTCCACTGTGGGGCTCTCTCAGCCACTGTCCCTGAGCCTCCTCCTCTTTCTCCAGACCCTCAGTCGGGCTCCACCCCGACTCCTAGAGCCTCAGCGCTGCACCCGGGAGCACAGACGGAGGAGGGGCTCACGTGCCAGCCAAGGGAATAAGGCAGGCATGCAGGACACAGGAAGGGCAAGCTCAGAACCCGAGAGCCCCTGAGGACACGAAAGGAGTCTGGGCCTCAGGAGTGGGGACTTCCTGCAGGGGCGCTGGCGCTGGCCCTGCCCAGGGGCACTGATGGCTCCCGGCTGCCCAGAGCTGCCCCCAGGGCTACAATGGATAAAGCAGAATAAAACGGATTCATCCAGGAACCCGAGGCTGCTCCTGCACCCCTGCCTTCCACCTCACCCTCCAGCATAAGTGTTGGTCCCAATGACAGAGACCTCAGAAGTCAGCCCTTGCCAGTTTGAGAGGAACCTTCTAGAAAGGGAGCATCTCGCAGAAATGAAACACCACATTCCTGAGGTCAGCAAATTTGCAGCCCCTCCCTGCATAGCTTCTGCAGGGACAGAGACTAGTGTAGCAGCGGGCTGCTGTGGCCGCCCTGGAGAAAGCATCTCAGGCCTTCATGGGGTCCCTGGCCTCTCCTGGGCCATGGCCGAGCCCCTGCAGAGGGACCCATGTGGAAATCACAACCCCGCAGCTCCTTAGGGGAACAAGGCGCCCGGGACAGTCTGGCAGATAGGAGAAGGGGCTCAGGCCTGGGGAGCCAGGAAAGGAGTGAGGACAGGAGCTCCAAGGGGACTCAATTCATTTTAAGTCACTCAAGCCCCTCTCACCTGTGGCCCGGCCCCCTCCTGGAGCCTGGGATCTAGACCATCTCAGGCTTGTGAGGGGCCTCTAGATCTGGCCACATGGCCCAGGGGAAACACGCCTTTCCCCAAAGCACCCCTCCTCCTGGACAAAGGGGACTCACAGGCGCTGCCCACATGGCACCCCATAATCCAGGCTTCACCCCGGAGGCCGGCTTCCCCTTCCCTTCCCTGGCTCTGCCCTGCACGGCCACACTGAGGAGCCCGGGAGGGAGGAAGCCAGAGCCCGCCTCACCCTGACCCTCCAGCCCCATGCCCCGGGCAGAGAGGCATGCCCCAGGCAGAGAGGCCGTCCAGAACCAGGGGCCCCAGGCCTGTCCCCCCACAGAGGGCAGGGGTCAGCAGCCCCAACTGAGCTCTGAGGACCCCCCAGTCAGGCGATCAACCCAGTGAGGACCCCTGCCCCAGGGGAGGGAGGGAGCCAGGTTGCCCCCACGTGCCGACTCCCTGCACACGGGGGATCTCAGAGCTCCCCAGGGTTGGGCCTCGCAGGAAGCGCTGGTGCAGTGAGAGGCGGGCAAGCTGCTGGCCCTCTCTAGTCTCCTCTCTTCCTCTACGACGGGGCTTCATAAATATTTTCAGGCCTGTGGAGAGGGTGGGTGCAGGGGCTGACCCTTCCCTGTGTCCCCTTTGGGGCTGGGCTGCTGGGACCAGGGCATGCTCAGGGCTTCCATGCCCGTGTGTGCAAGGCTTAGGGCGGAGAGCACGGCCACCTGGTCCCACCCACCCATCCCAGCAGGCCAGGAGGGCAGGGGCTTTGTGAGAACCCTCGAGGCGGAAGCAGCCTCCTCCCCAGGCTTCTCCGAGCCCCTTCCTGGACTCCCAGGGCTGTGAGGACCCCAACCCGTGGCCCACGCCATCCTGGTCTGGCTGGGGTAGGAGGGCTGGAGATGGGCTCCCAGGCCCCTTCCCCTCCACCGGGCGGAACAGGAAGAGGGTAATTGAATCAGCGCTTCTCGCCCCATCTGGAACATTCCAACATGGAAAACCCACGGAGCGGCTGGGGAAGCAATTTAGGGACTTTAATTAAAGGCTGATGACTCTCCCAGGGAGCGCCTCCCTGCACGCAGCCCGTAGGTCCCCACCGACATCTGCCCTCCGTGTGTTCGGAGGCCCAGCTGGGCACCTCACCCGCATTGAGTGCTGGTGGTTAGGCGGAGTTCCTGCTCAGCGGGTGCAGAATACGCCAGCCCACCCCTCGCTGCTTCCAGAGTCTGCCCCCCCAGGCCCTGGGTTCAGGCCCCAAAGCCAGCCAAACCAGTGCCCCACCCCTCACAGCTCTGTGTCGGGACGGAAACAATGGGGTCATTTGGTGGACTCAGAAAAGGAACTCTAAACGGAGGGAGGAAAGTAGCAGAGCCTCAGTGAGAGCAGCTGCCCCTCCATCCCGTCAGCACCTTCTGCAGGGAAAGGCATTCCAGACAGAGGGAATAGCACATGCAAAGCCCATGAGGTTGGACAGGCCACGGCAGGTGGAAGGAGCTGGCAGGTGCCAGTGTGGTGGGCGTGCTGGAATAAGGAGCGCATGTAGGACGGAGGGGCAAGCCGTAGAGGGCTGTAACAGCTGTGATCTGGAGTTTGGTTTTCATCCTAGAAGCAATAAGGGGAAAAGGTGGGGATCAGAGAGTTTTAAAACAATAGGATCTGGTTTATTCCGCGACGGCCCTCCAGCTGCCATGCGGAGAGCTCACTGTAGAACAAAAGAGGTGGTGGGATGATGGTGAGCAGCCCCTGAAACGGCCCAGGCATGAGAAGGGTGTGTCCAGGAAGAAGAAATCCACATGCACCGGGCTGGGAACTGGGTCACCAGGGGCCAGGGGCTGTCCTGTATTCCTTCCCACCCCCAGGCCTGGGGCAGGCAGTTGGCCCGGTCTTCACAGAGGGCACCCGTGCAGGGGGTGGGGACAGAGCAGCCCAGCCCAGTGATCCCCTCCTGGCAGGGATCCGAGGTGGAGTCTGTTCCCTCTTCCCAAAGCTGCTGTCAGTCGGGGGGGCCCTTTCCCCTCCACCCACATCAGAGCTTCGAGGTAGGACGGAGGCTGTGCCTGTGACTTGTCCACATCTGGGCCCACATCTGCCCACCATGTTGCCACTGCAGTCTCTGGGTGGGTGCTCGGAGGGGAGCTCAGAACCGGCCTCCAGCCCTGCCTCTGTCCTGGCCTGGGATGGAGAGGCCTGTGGGAAGTGCCTGCCCCTCAGGGCAGCTGCAGAGCAGAGTGTCCACTGGGCCCAGAAACTAGCAGGAGGCGGGGTGGGTGTCCAGACGCAGCCCCTCCTGCAAATCCTTCCTCACTGCCTGCATTCCCAAAACAGGGAGTGGCTCCAAGTAGCTGAGAGGCAGAAAGACCATATCAGGGCCTGTGGGACTCAGCGGGGCTGTGGAGACCACAGCTAGGCCTTGCGACAGACCTGGGGCTAAGCCCAAGCAGCCCCGGAGGTCATCGTCAGGGCAGCTGGTGGGCACCTGGCAGACAGCACGTGGCCACAAGCAGGTGAGGGTCATTACTGAGGAGTCCCTCCTACTCCCAGGACACAGGGGCGGACAGGGCACCCCAGCCTGCCTGAGTCTGGCCTCAGTTATGAGCGGGCAGCTGGACTGCAGATGGCCACTGATCCCAGCCCTATCCCCAGGGGAGGGCACAGAACAAATACCACGGAACTGGGGCAGCAGGGGCCTGGGGGAGTGGGTGGGGCCAGAGAGTGGGTGGTGCCTGAATGGGTGGGCCTCTACAGGGAAGGCTAAGAGGCTATTAATCCGTCTCCCTGTGCACACACCCAACACTCGCTGACCTCACCAACACTCAGGCAATTCCACAAGGCTCCAGAAGGAAGCGTCCACTGCGCACCTGGATTCCGGATGAGCCAAGGTGGTGGGTGCGGACCCGACTTTAATCCTGCCCCACCACTCCACAGCGAGGCCTGCAGCCTCACTTTCCTCATCCTGAACATGAGGACAGCCCTGCCCAGCCTCCCAGGGCTGAGAAGAGAGCCTGAGCATGGCCCCCAGCATCACTAGGGCTAAGCTGCATGTCGCTGGGCGGGCCCTACGCCTCTCCGAGCTCACAGGCTAGACCTGACCAGGCGCACTGCCCACCTCTGAGGGTGTATAAAGAATGAGTTTTGGGCCAGGTGTGGTGGCTCCTGCCTGTAATCCCAGCACTTTGGGAAGCCAAGATGGGCGGATCACTTGAGGTCAGGAGTTCGAGACCAGCCTGGCCAACATGGTGAAACCCCATCTCTACTAAAAATACCAAAAAAAATTAGCTGGGCATGTTGGCGCATGCCTGTAATCCCAGCTACCTGGGAGGCTGAGGTAGGAAAATCGCTGGAACCCAGGAGGTGGAGGCTGCAGTGAGCTGAGATCACACCACTGCACTCCAGCCTGGGCCACAGAGGGTGACTCTGTCCTAAGAAAAAATTAAAATTGGCTGGGTGTGGTGGTTCACGCCTGTAATCCCAGCACTTTGGGAGGCCAAGGCGAGTGGATCACCAGGTCAGGAGATACAGACCATCCTGGCTAACATGGTGAAACCCTGTCTGTACTAAAAAAAAAAAAAAAAAAAAAAAAAACACAAAATTACCCAGGTGTGGTGGCACACGCCTGTAATCCCAGCTACTTGGGAGGCTGAGACAGGAGAATTGCTTGAACCTGGGAGGCGGAGGTTGCAATGAGCTGAGATCACACCACTGCACTCCAGCATGGTGACAGAGCAAGACTCCATCTCAAAAAAAAAAAAAAAAAAAAAATAGCTGGGTGCGGTGGCTCACGCCTGTAATCCCAGCACTTTGGGAGGCTGAGGCGGGTAGATCACGAGGTCAGGAGATCGTAGCCATCCTGGCTAACACGGTGAAACCCCGTCTCTACTAAAAATACAAAAAGAAATTAGCTGGGCGTGGTGGTGGGCGCCTGTAGTCCCAGCTACTCGGGAGGCTGAGGCAGGAGAATGGCGTGAACCCGGGAGGTGGAGCTTGCAGTGAGTCGAGATCACGCCACTGCACTCCAGCCTGGGCGACAGAGCGAGACTCGATCTCAAAAAAAAAAAAAAAAAAAAAGTGCGACACGAGGCACACAGTCAGTGCCCAGTGGAGTTCGCTGATATGGTTACCACATCCCTGGGGACAGCGCCTCCACCCTCCAACCTCGAGGTTTGTGGAAAAATCTGGGTCCAAGCTTTATTTCTTAAATATTCCTCTCTGCCCAGCATGTGCACGCAGCCCGCTCTGGCCAGGCGAGCGGGTGTCAATCAAGGTGCTGAGCATCCCCAGGGTGCCGCTCAGCCCCAGCCGAAGTCCTGGCCCGTCATCTGGTAGAACCTGCGGTTGAAGGGCCGGTAGAACTCCTGCAGGCGCCGGACCAGGGCCTGGGGCACGCGTGGGTGTGGCCGGCCCTTGGACTTGCCCAGGCAGCGGGGACGGCTGCCGCCCTGGGCCTTCTTGAGGCAGGGGAAGCCCTTGGTGGCGTTGAAGTAGAAGTGCTTGTCCGTGACGACCCGTTTCAGGCCCAGGAAGTCCTGCACGCGGCCGACCTCTCCGGCCGGGTCGCTGACCAGACGCTCCCCGCTGACGAACAGGAAGTGGGACAGGGGGAAGTAGCGCAGCCAGTGGTCCAGGTGCTGGGCGTACAGGCCGATGCGGACGGCGCTCCAGGCTGTGTCCACGGGGCCCAGGCCGTGGCGGAAGGCCAGGGCGCGGAAGCTGGGCAGGCCCGGGGTCTTGGAGAGCGTCTGGGCGTAGTCGGAGATGGCCCGGGTCACGGGGTTCCGCACCACCACGATCAGCTTCGTGTCCGGGGACATGGCGTGGATGCGGCGGGGGGCCTCTCGCGTCACGAAGTAGCTGGGGGTCTTCTCCATGGTGATCTGCCCATCCAGGGTTCGGGGCATCAGACTCCTGCGGGACGGGTGCAAGGAGAGGGGGCCTGAGCCTCCCCAGCCCTAGACCGGCCCCCAGGGGCCCGGGACCAAGGCCCCCTTATGCCCGGGAAGCCCAGGCCTCCAGGGCGAGCAAGTCTTCCTCCCTGCTCGGGCCCACCCCTGCTAGCGTGCGCGGCTGGGCAGCCTGGAACATGGACTGTGAGGGTGCCCAGCCCGGCACCTGCCTGCAGCCCGGCCTGTTCCGCCGGCCTGCCCCGCCTGCTGCTGCACTGAGGATTAGGGTGACGGTCGCTGGTCGGGAGGCCCAAATGCTCCTCACCACCCACATATCTTCCCTGTGCAATCCCTGCCGTCCTCGCTTCCAGAGCCAGCTCCCTCCCACCGGACCCACACTTTCCTGGAACTAGGCTGCCCCCAGCTCCTTTCTCATCCCAGACCAAGTACCCCGAGGCCCGCCCGCCTAGATCACTTGAGGTCACCCGTTCACTCAGTGGCTGACAGCATCCCCTAAATCAGCCCTTCACCAATTATTGACAGTGTGTCCTCAACCAAAAGTAGTCCTCCCTGCTCCCTCCCTCCCCTGATGTAATTACATCTCTTCCCATCTTTATTTATTTTTTGAGACGGAGTCTTGCTCTGTCACCCAGGCTGGAGTGTAGTGGTGCAATCTCGGCTCACTGCAACCTCTGCCTCCCGGGTTCAAGCGATTTTCCTGCCTCAGCCCCCGGAGTAGCTGGGATTACAGGTGCCCGCCACCACACCCAGCTAATTTTTGTATTTTTAGTAGAGACGGGGTTTCGCCATGTTGGCCAGGCTGGTCTCGAACTCCTGACCTCAGGTGATCCGCCTGCCTCAGCCTCCCAAAGTGCTGGGATTACAGACGTGAGCCACTGCGGCTGGCCTCTCTCCCCGTCTTTAACTGTAGCCCTGTGAATTCTCATCAGCCTGGGCCTGGACTCAGCAGGCCAAAAAGTTACCAGCAGAGCCCAGCACATGTGAGGAAAGTCGGAGACGTGGCGGCGCCGGCCGGAGGATCCTTCCCAAGACCCTGGGCCGCTGTGGCCCCCTAGATCTTGCAGGTTGCCAGGGTGCCAGGCCAGGGAGGGGGCCTTTCTGAGATTCTCCTCATTCTGACACAGGAGAGGAGGGCACTGACCCAGTCCCAAGGTCCCGGGGGAATCAGCCGACCACAGCCCAGGACTGTCCCACCTGGGCAGAGAGCCCATTCTGGGTGCCCAGCCCGGGCAGGCCCAGGCACCCCCAGCAGTGCCCCGGGCAGCACCTGCCAGCCAGGTAGTGCAGGGTGAGGTTGGGCAGGGCAGGGCGTGGTAGGTCAGCTGAGCAAACAGCTCGGAGGGAGAGCTGGGGAGGGCTGGGAACTAGGTCGATAGAAACACAGGGACTGTGTTAGGGAGGGGATGCCTTGCCAGTCACGCCCAGCCCTGACTCCTGCCCTCTGAGGGGGCTTCCCCCACCCCTGCTGACAGCCCCAGGACCGGCCCCTGCCAGGAGGCTGACCTGCCAGGAGTGACCGCCCCAGACTTGAGCCCTTGGGAGGCAGGTTCTGAGTCCCCTTTTCCTGCTCAGACCCCCAGGGAAACGCAGGCTGGGCCAGAGGCAGCTGCACAGACCCCTGCAGTGGGGTGCTCGGTGGAGAGCGCTGGAGGTGGGAGGGAGGATGTGTGAGGCAGCGGGAGAGAATCCAGGCTTCCCCCACAACACCCACCATGAGCGGTGCAGAGTAGGGGTGGGCGGCACGGGAGCCTTCCCACCCCGCAGAACCAGGCCCTGGGCAGAGCTGGCCTACAGACGATACCGGACAAGTCCTCCTCCGTCTTGGTGACAGAGGGAGCTGGGACTCCCTCCACCCACCCACTGCCACTTCAGAAGCAGCCACAGGGAGACTGGGAGGGGCAGGGGTGCTGGGGATGAGCGTGGGGCTCAGCCCTCCCTCTTCCCACCCTGGAGGGCTGCCTCCTTCCAGCCCACCTGGAAGGGTGGTGTCAGTCCCAGAGCCCCTGCACTCCCCGCCCCACCTCCTGCAGCTGGAACCCGCGTGGGAGCCGCACCCAGCGTCCCAGGGACAAACACAGAGGCCTTGGGTGGTGGCGGTACCAAGGTCTGAGGCCTGGCAGCTCAGGGGCACCCCCGTCCCTGAGAGAGGTCAAGAAGGGGAGGCACCACCCCCCACCACGGGACCTCGCTGACGATGCCCATAGAGAGAAACCAGGCCAGTGCTGGGAGGGGAAAGACCCCAGGCCTCATGAGAAGTCACTGCCTGCTTTTCCCCTCGGCCAGGAAGGAAGCCCCAGGCCCTTCCCTCCCGTCTCGGGCATACTGACCCCAGGCACCAAGCGAGACCAGGAGCCCACCCCTTTCCTTTCCCAGATGGCACACCAGTGACTCTGAATATCCTCCTCTTCCTGCCTGCTGGAGGGACCAGCACCAAAACAGGAAAGTTCACCCTGCCAGGCCTTCTCTCCAAAGAGTCAGAGGGAGCTCCGTAGGGGGATGGGGTTCCCGGACCCCCTGCCGTGGAAGGGGAGTGGGAACACAGACAGGCGGCAAGGGCTTTCGAGGCCCCCTCTTGCACAAACCAGCTCAGAGATCGGAGATCTTTGGGATCAATTACTTTCCCTCCCCAGGCATCCGAAGCCTATCCTAGCCCAGGTGTGGATGAGGGTGGGAGAGACGGGGGAGGAGGGAGAGGAGCAGGACTGGACCCCCGTGTGACAAACATCTGACAAGTTGCTCTGAGGACTGCCCCCCTCCTTGTGGAGCCCACCTCATCTGGTGTGCATTTCCCTGCGGCTTTCATCCAGCCCTGGGCGACCCTCCCTCCTCCATCTCAGCCTCCCTCCTCCTGCCCCACACCTCAGGCCTGGGACTCGCAGATGCCAAAAGGGCCTGGCAGATGCCAAAGCCAGAAAGTGCAGGGGGACTGCATCCCCCACAGGAGACCGGGTTCTTCCCCACTACATACTCAGACCCCACTCCCTGCACCCACTGCTCTTGCAAACCAGGAACTAAGGGGTTCCCCTACCCACCCCGCTCCTTGCCTCCTCTTGCTTTTCTTTTGTTTTGTTTGTTTTTGAGACAGAGCTGCACTCCAGCTGACTCTTGTCGCCCAGGCTGGAGTGCAGTGGCACAATCTCAGCTCACTACAACCTCTGCCTCCCGGGTTCAAGCGATTCTCCTGCCTCAGCCTCCCAAGTAGCTGGGAATACAGGCACCCATCACCACGCCTGGCTAATTTTTGTATTTTTAGTAGAGATGGGGTTTCACCATGTTAGTCAGGCTGGTCTCAAACTCCTGACCTCAGGTAATCTGCCCACCTCAGCCTCCCAAAGGGCTGGGATTACAGGCGTGAGCCACTGTGCCCCACCCTCCTCTTGCTTTTCTAAAAGATGATGGTCAAAGTACAGCCCCCATTTGCCCCCAGACAGGGCACCCTTCCCAGATCGAGACCTTGGGGAGTCTGCGTGACCCCCACACCTGGCAGACACAGGTGCTTCACTAGTGGGGGAACGGCTGAGCATGTGCTGAGCTCGGGGGCACTAGTGGGCTACAGTCCCCAAGTGGGAGGCCCCTCAAGAGCCTGGATGAGCTGACTGACGGTGGAGAGGAGGGAAGGAGGGCCTATGGCCAAAGTCAATCCAGGACCCAACTGCCGAGGCCACAGGAAGGCCGGGTCACCGCCTGGAACTAGGTCGGTCACAGCCCAGTGGGAGCCGTGGCCCGGAGACTCAACTGGGGGCCCTGGTTACTCTGCTCGCCTCCCCGCGTCGGCACCCAGAACAGAGCTTGCAGGCACTGGGGGCCCAGTCCAGGGTCTCAAGAGCAGACAATGCTGCCTTGCAGTTGGGGAAACTGAGACAGGGTGAGAACTTTCAGAGGCTCATTGCAGGCTCCTAGCAGGCTGAAAGGACGGAGGCACAGGCACCTAGGAGCACACCAGCCCCACGTGGCCACGGCCCCTCGGAGAGCATGAGGACACTTGCAATGCGGAAGCTCAGCAGGCCCAGCTCTACTGGCTCTGCACCGCCCAGTGAGGGGTCAGCACAGTTGGTCCAAGGGACAATACCAGATTAATGAGGCAGAAGCCACGGGACTGACCCCTTGGAATTCTCCACACCCACCCCTCCCCCTTCTAAAAAATGAGGACGTCAAGAATCTACCAGAGCAGTCACTCTCCTGTACCCCCCTCCAACCCTGGGCACGTCAGTGTCCCCGGAACCCCACCCCCAGGCTAAGGAGCTGACTCCCAAGTTGGGCCTGGCCTTGGCTGCCTCTCATCCTCCCCAAACTGATCCCCCAGCGCTGGACACATGCCCAGGGCGGGCCTGGACTGGCCTCAGGAGCCTGGGCTCTTCCAGAACCCTTTAGGGCTAAACCCAACCCTAGCTTCCCCTGTGGCTCCTCACGGCCCAGCTCAGATCCCACCCCCAGTCTCTTGCTGTCAAAGCTCATGGGGCTCAGGGGTGGCTCTGAAGTGTTTACTCCAGTTAACTGTGCATCCTTAACCCAAAGCCCTTTCTCCCCTTCCCCCTCCCGCCTCTCCCCTCCTCCCCCGTCTCGCCACTCCCCTCCTCCCCAGCTTCTAGCTTGGTAGCCCCTCCTACCCTCCTCCCTGCAGCAGGGATTAGGGATGCATTCTGACCCCTGCCTGCCGTCAGGGGAGTGAGGTCTCTCCCTGGAGCCTGAGCTGAGGATGCCCAATTCAGCCAGGTGAGCCCCGGGATGGACTCCATGTCCCCTAGCCACCACCTGACTTCCCCAGCACCCCACACTGGCACCAGCCCTTCAGATCTCAGAAGCGAGCCACCCTATTCTCACGGAGCCCCTTCCTGCCTGCCCTCCAAACCCAAGAGTAGTTTTAGTACAAAAGGCAAAGTTAACAAATAGGGGTAGGCGTCAGGGAAGGAAGAGGATCAGAGGATCGGGAACGGAGAAACTGGAGCACCTGGAGAAGCGTCTGGGTCCTGCCACCCCCACTGACTCCCCAACTGGCCTTGGGCAGGGTCCTCTCTGCAGGCGCTGGGTCCAAGCTTGGGGATGAGCAGCCACCAGCGCGGGCTGCTTCAGCTGAGGCTGCCGCACCCCCACGTCCATCCTGGGTAGAGGCAGGACAGCCACAGAGCCCCATGCACGGGGCTGGACTCACCCTGGGCACTCACCTAAAGGCAGTCTCCTCCTTTCCAAAGCCCAGACTTTCTCCGGACTCCCAGGACCACCAACAAGGGTTCCTGTGCGCAGACTCGGGGGTCTTGGGGAGGAAGGACGCTTTCTAGGTGGCTGCCTGGAACCTGGAGGCCCCTTTCTACAGTACCTGGCCAGCGGTCGGTCACACCTGAGTGCCCAGAGTGAGCGGGCGGCAGAGGCATTTCTGACGCTGCCAGGTAATCCCACGGGCTGGAAACGACCTCTGGGCTGGGAAGCCACCGCCTCCCCCAGTCCTGCTGGGTCCCTCAGCAGAGAGAACGGAACCGGGGCTTTCCCCACAGTTTTCAAAGTTTCAGGGAATCCTAGCCAAGTATCATTCCTTCTTCCGGAGCCGGGACCCCAGGTCAAGCCTGGGGCCCCCACAGGGCGGTCCCAACCCCACTGCCCGGAGCGCACCCCTGCTCCCTGGGAGGCAGGATATCGTGCCGCTGCTCCCTGGGGCGCACGATACCCTCCCCAGGAAGGCGCCGGTCAGGGCGGACGGGCCAGGGTGCTCACCGGTACCAGGCGAGGCCGCGCTCGTAGCACCTGTCGAAGAAGTGGGGCTCAGAGCCCAGCGCGCGGACGTCGGGGTGCAGCCGCAGAAACTCCAGCAGGGCGCGCGTGCCGCCCTTCTTCACGCCAACGATGAGCGCTTGCGGGAAGCGCCGGCGGCCGGGACCGCTGGCCAAAGGCAGGCCGGGTGCTCCCGGGCGGTGGACGGAGCTGGACGGCTCGGAGGGCGCGGGGGCCGGCGCGGGGGCGCGGGCGGCCGGCGGGCAGCGGCCGGGGAGGGCGCAGAGGCAGTAGGCGCCGAGCACCAGGGCCACGAGCAGCATCGGCGCGCGGGACGCCCGCAGAGCGGCCCCTTGCCCGGCCCCTGCGCCCTGGCCGCCCCCGGCCCCGCCGCCCAGGCCGCCGCTACCTGCCATGGGGTCGCGCCGCTCCAGGCCCGGGAGCGGGGGCAGCAGGCGGGCGCGCATCTCGGCCCGCGCGCCGCTCAGTCCGTGGGTGCCCGGCTTGTGCTCTGCGCCCGGCGGTCCCGCAGCCTGGGAGCGGGCGCGGGGCGGGACCGGGGGCGGGGTCTGGACGCCCTCCCCCCTCCCCCTCCCCCGCCCACTCCGCCTCCGAGGCCACTGCCTGGGCTGGACCCGCCGGCAGCCGCCACCACCCGGGCGCGACTCGAGCTGCCGGGACCACCAGGACGCTCCTGCTCCGAGATCCCAGGCCCTGGCTCGCTTGACTCCGGCATCTTCACCTCTGCGCGGGGAGGATGCGGCGGCGGTGGCCGTTCGGGACGCAGGGCAGGGACAGGGCGGCGCGCGGGCCTCGGGACCCTCTGTTTGAAGACCGATCCCCTTCCCCCCCCACCCCACTCCGGGACGTGCGCGGCAGGTGCATAGGCCAAGCCTTGGCCTGCAGGAGCGGGAGCCTCATCGCCAGGCCAAGGGGACCCAGGAAAAGCGTCGATCCGGGCACTCGGCCTGCCAAGGGAGAAAGAGGCCGGGACAGCACCCTAGTGTGCAGAGAGGGATCCCAGAACGTGTGGGGGGAGTCTGCGGCCGGGAATGGCGTGCGTCCTGCACTCCCAGCTGACAGTCACACATCGGGTCACAGCCTGGCCGCTGAGAGGTCAAGTCACCTCTGGTTACTGTTTTAGAATGGAGGGGACAGGCTCAGAGAAAATAGGTTTCCCTCCCAGGGGCCCAGTGGTGAACTGAATTCAGGCCTGAGACATACTCTGTCTACTAAGTCACCCCATCTGCCCAGCCTTGGTCCACCTGGCACTGCCCAGAGACATCAGTGATGCATTTCGGAAGCTGGCAAAGTGGACCCCACTGGAGTACAAAGGACTCAGGGACCCCTGTGCTGGGGAAGAGAAGGAGCCCAGGACCTCCCCCAGGGGCTGCCTCTGAGGGGCGTGAGATTCAGGGGCCTCTCGGGTGGGACCTGCGGGGGCCGCTAGACACTGCGGGAACTTCACATCCCCAACGCCCAGCAGCAGCCTGCAGGGAAGGCAGGGGAGGCGAGCCGGGCTCAGAGAGGGCGAGCAACTTGCCCCATCCGAAGGCAAAGGTGGTATGAGACCCGGGTCCTCTCTCCACCTCTGCCCCAGCCTTCCTGGCCACAGGGCTGGCGCCAGGCAGGCACGGCACAGGCTCCCGGCAGAGGCCCAGCCTCTTCCCAGCCAAGGGCTTGCGGCCCCTGTCCTGGGCTCTGCTGCGTTAATGAGCCGTTCCAGCCCTGATGGCATCTGGACAAGTCCCAGCAGCCGGGCTGCCTCAAGGGGCCGAAGGCCTCCACGACCCACAGACATTCCGGAGCTCCTACCCAGCAGCAGCCCTGGCCAGAGGGGGCCACACGGGGCTGACGGGGTGAAGACCACTGACCAGTCCCCCAGCCCCGGCTCCAGACATGCGGGCTGCACCTGCTCATCTGGGCAAGCCTCTGCAGGAGCCCCGTGGGCAGGCAGCGGGCACAATGCGAGGAGAGCATGCTGGCTTATGCTGGGTCACAGGAAATTCTTCTTCTGGTCTAGCTTGAAACGGTATTGTTCCCAACGGGCTGGCTCGGGGTGGGGGCTGGGGTCCCACCCTGCAGCATCCACCCCACAGTCTCAGCAGTCCCCACGGTCTCAGGAGTCCTCACGGTCTCAGGAGTCCCCACGGTCTCAGCATCCCCATGGTCTCAGCTGTCCCCAGGGTCTCAGGAGTCCCCACGGTCTCAGCCGTCCCCATGGTCTCAGCCGTCCCCAGGGTCTCAGGAGTCCCCACGGTCTCAGCCGTCCCCACGGTCTCAGCAGTCCCCACGGTCTCAGGAGCCCCCACGGTCTCAGCCATCCCCACGGTCTCAGGAGTCCCCACGGTCTCAGCAGTCCCCACGGTCTCAGGAGCCCCCACGGTCTCAGCCATCCCCACGGTCTCAGGAGTCCCCACGGTCTCAGCCGTCCCCACGGTCTGAGTCCCCACGGTCTCAGCTGTTCCCACGGTCTCAGGAGTCCCCACAGGTTCAGCAGTCCCCACGGTCTCAGCCATCCCCACGGTCTCAGCCGTCCCCACAGTCTCAGCCATCCCCACGGTCTCAGCAGTCCCTACTCAGGACTTGAAATTCCAGCACTGGTTCCGTGATGGCTCCTCCAGCCCCCTGCCCAGCCCAGCATGGTCATTTCCATCTCCTGGCCTTTCCGCTGCCGTCTCTCTGCTGGATGCTTTATCCTTAGTCCCCGCTGAGGGCAGAAGGACTTTCCAGGAGGAATTGACCAGAACGCAGAACAGCAGGATGTGGAATGGACTGGGGACAGGGAGAGAGAGATGCAGGGACCAGGAGTCGGCTCGGAGGGTTCTCCTGGAAGCTGACCCCTCCCTCCATCAGGCACTCGGCTGACGGTGGCTACACACCTCGGGGCGCCCAGGATGGCAGCACTGGGGCTGTTCATTCACCAGTGGATCCCCAGCACCTAACAGAGCCTGGCACGCAGTGGACATTCCATTAATGTCGCTCAGTGGAAGGGTATACGTGGGAGGAGAGGTCGGGAAGGCTTTCTGGAGGTGACGGCCAGGTGAAGACGAGGAGAACAGCATTCCAGGCCAAGGAACCGTGTGGGTGAAGGCTCAGCAGCAGAGAGCCCGGGCAGTAGAGGATGGGGTGGAGCTTAAGGCCCTGCGGGAACAGGGGCGGGGCTTAGAGTCTGGCCTGAGGCTGGTCCAGCCCCGCCTCCTCCTCAGGCTCCCACCAACTCTGAGCCACCAGACCCTCCTTTGTAAAATGAAGACCTCAGTCATGACTCGCATGAGTCTCTGAAGAGTAACAGCTTTATTGTGATGTAATTCACACACCACTCAATCCAGCCATTTGTCGCATGCAAATCAATGGTTTTCAGTATATTCATAGTCGTGCAATCACAATCAATTTTAGAACATTTCTATCACCCCAAAAAGAAATCCTGTGTCCATTAGCAATGACGCCCTCTTCTCCCCTTCCCACAGCCCCTGGCAACCACGAATCTACTTTCTGTCTCTATGGGTTTGCCTATTCTGGACATTTCACAAAAAGAGAATCATTGCTTGAAGCCAGGAGTTCAAGACCAACCTGGGCAACAAAGCGAGAACCCCGTCTGTACAAAATATTTTAAATTTAGCCAGGCACAGTGGCGCACACCAGTAGTCCCAGCACTTTGGAAGTCTGAGGCAGGAGGTTCACTTGAGGCGGGGAATTCAAAACCAGCCTGGGCAACATAGGGAGTACCAGTCTCTACAAAAAATTTCAAAATTTGCCAAGCGTGATGGTATGCACCTATAGTCCTAGCTTACTCAGGAGGCTGAGGTGGGAGGATCGCTTGAGCCCAGGAGTACGAGGCTGCAGTGAGCCATGATCATACCACTGCATTCCAGCCTGGGCGACAGAGTGAGAGCCCATCTCTAAAACAGAAAGAAAGAAAGAAAGAAATATGGCCAGTCACAGTGGCTCATGCCTGTAATCCCAGCATTTTGGGAGGCCAAGGCAGGTGGATCACTTGAGGTCAGGAGTTCGAGACCAGCCTGGCCAACATGGTGAAACCCTGTCTCTACCAAAAATACATAAATTAGCCAGGTGTGGGCCAGGCGCCATGGCTTACACTTGTAATCCCAGCACTTTGGGAGGCCGAGGTGGGCAGATCACCTGAGGTTGAGAGTTCGAGACCAGCCTGACCAACATGAAGAAACCCTGTCTCTACTAAAAATACAAAAAATTAGCTGGGTGTGGTGGTGCATGCCTGTAATCTCAGCTACTTGGGAGGCTGAGGAAGGAGAATGGCTTGAACCCGGGAGGCAGAGGTTGTGGTGAGCCGAGATCGCGCGATTGCACTCCAGCCTGGGCAACAACAGCAAAACTCCATCTCAAATAATAATAATAATAAATTAGCCAGGTGTGGTGGTGCACGCCTGTAGTCCCAGCTACTCGGGAGGCTGAGGCACAAGAAACCCTTGAACCCGGGAGGCAGAGGTTGCAGTGAAGCTGAAATTGCACCATTCCACTCCAGCCTGGGAGACAGAGTGAGACACCATCTCTAAAATGAAAAAAAAAAAAGAGAATCATACAATGTTCGTCCTTTTGTGTCTGGGTCTCTTACTCAGCATGTTCTCCAGGTTCATCAACACTGTGGCATGTGCCAGTACCTCCTTCCTCTTCCTGACTGAGTAATACTCCATCGTATGGATGGACCACCTTTTGTTGATTCCCTCATTCGTTGATGGACATCTAGGTTGTTTCCACTGCGGGGTTCTTATGAATAACGCTGCCATGAACATTCAGGTATACGGTTTTGAGTGGACATACGTTTCATGTCTCTAGGGAATATACCTAGGAGTGAAATTGCTCAATCATATGGTAACTCTGTGTTGAGTGCCTTATGAAGGTTAAATCTGATAATTTCAGGAACTTCTTCTCCATGCTCCTCACACACAAACTTCCTTCCCTCTGCCCCAGGACACCTGAGCAACCAGACTGTAGGGACAAAGGGTGTGGGCTGTCCCTGCACCCTGAGAGGGTCCCTCGCCTCCTGCTCTCTGTCTGAATGTCCTCCTCCGCCAAGAAACAGACATCAACAAGTTCCTTCTGCCTAGCCGGATCTCCCAAGGCCCCAGGGGTTTTGAGGGTCCACACTGCCCGAGCTCATCTTGACCCCTGTATAAGCCAGACAGCCAGGCAGATGGTCTGTCCACCCTCCAGCTGACGAACATGTGGATGGTCGGCCTGATGTAGTGGCTGGGAGGAGAGGATCTGGGAGGGGAGATGGGCTGTGCTGCCCCAGCTGCTGGGCCCAGTAAACGTTGTCCCTTGGAGAGGTGACAAGGAGGGCCAGGGCAGGAGGGGATGGAGAGGGGAAGAGGTGGGGAGTCCTGGGGAGCAAGGCCGTGCTAGGAGGAATGCCCTGCCCGGCGTCAGATCCTCAACCAGCGTCCTGGCTACATTTGTGCCCCCTTCACAGTCTGTAACTATTTCTTTGTGGGTGATTTTGATCCCTGTCTCCACCTACCCATGATCTCTACAAGGGCAGAGACGGGGTCAGTCTTGATCCCTTTTGTGGCTCCACGCCTGACCAGGATGACAGCTCATGTTTGTTGAGCAACTAAGTGACTGTGTGTGTGTGTCTGTGTGTGTCCCTCCCTGACACCCCTCTCCACCTCTTTCCCAGTCTGTCCCCTCCCCGGGGTGGGCAGCCCCAGCCTGGGCCCTCACAAGCGAGGGCAGGACCGCGGCCCCACTCTGGAAAGTGATTAGCGGCCCCGCCCTCCGCCGAAGACAGCTAGGGTAGATTTCACACAGCCAGGAGGAGCTCCAGGAACTCCCTCCCTGAGAACCACACCCTTCATCCCTGAGACTGGCTCTGCCCCGCTCCGTGCCTCCTGCCAGGATTCCTGCGAGGGGAGCAAGCGGAGGGGGCTGCCGCCAGAGGGCGGGCCCAGCTGTCCTTGATTTGTGTGGGGTTTTTCCACTTCAGATGCCTGATTTGCCCGAGCTCATAAAGGATGTGGTTCCCTCCCAGGGAGGGGCCCCTCAGAGAGGCCAGTCCCCCATCCTACCCTCCCCGAGGGCCCGCTGTTCCCAGTTCACCCTGGTGGGGACCGAGGCGGGGCAGGAGCCCCTTGCTAGGATGGGGCAACGGTAACAGCAAAGGCTGTAGGGACCTTCAAGGCTGATTCAAGGCCAGCACTGTGGCCGGGCGTGGTGGCTCACGCTTGTAATTCCAGCACTTTGGGAAGCTGAGGTAGAAGGATTACTTGAGCCCAGGAGTTTGACACCTGCTTGGGCAACATAGGGAGATCTCATCTCTAAAGAAAAAAAACTATTTTAATTGGCCAGGCATGGTGGTGCACACCCGCGGTCCCAGCTACTCAGGAGGCTGAGGTGGGAGGAACTCTTGAGCCCAGGAGGTCAAGGCTGCAGTGAACTATAATTGCACCACTGCACTCCAGCTTGGGCCACAGAGCAAGACCCAATCTCAAAAAAAACCAGCCAGCTCTGCCCCCTCCTAGCGGGTGACCTTAGCAGGAGTCCAGGCCTGTGATCCTCACTTCCCTACTGTATTAAACAAAGTTGACACTCACCCCCACCTCCCTTTGTACCCAGCTCCTAAGTGCTTGGTGAATGTTCTTTACGACAAGGACCCAGAGAACGTGCGGCAGGGGCCACAGAAGGGGTGCTCGGAGGCTGCTCCCGCGCTGGGGAAACTGAGGACCTATCTCATAATTCCGTCTTCCCTGCAGACAAGGCTGGAGCACAAAGGCATCACTGGCCTCACGGTGGCAAGCAAGCCTGGCTTGCCGAACCCTGGATCTTGTTCCTGGTGACCCAGGGACACTGTGACAGAGAAGGGTTGTGGGGCTTCCCAGGATTTGCCAAGGCAGACCAGATTCCCAGCATCGGGAAGGACGCTTCCCCACTGTCTTCAGTCCCCTGCCTGCTGGGAGCCTGCCTGGGGTTGCAGGGTTTGCCAGAGGAGCCAGAATCCTCTCCTGCAGAGGGGTGGCCCCAGCCTGCTTCCAGCCACCCTCAATCCTCTCCCTTGGGTCTTCCTGGAGGAATCAGCACAGAGAGAAGGCGATTTGCTACTCTTTCCTGTTCCCTCCCCCAACCTCCATGAATAACTGGGCCCTGCAAACTGCCTCTTGCCCACCAGCCTGGCCAGTTCAATTTATAAAAATGTAGCAATCAGGCCGGGCACAGTGGCTCACACCTGTAATCCCAGTACTTTGGGAGGCTGAGGCGGGTGATCATCTGAGGTCGAGAGTTCAAGACCAACCTGGCCAACATGGCGAAACCCCGTCTCTACTAAAAATACAAAAATTAGCTGGGCACAGTGGCTCGTGCATGTAATCCCAGCCCCTTGGGAGGCTGAGGCAGGAGAATCGCTTGAACCTGGGAGGCAGAGGTTGCAATAAGCCAAGATTGCACCATTGCACTCCAGCCTGGGTGACAGAGCTAGACACTGTCTCCAAAAAAACAAAACAAAAAACAATGTAGCAATCCTTCTTCCAGGCTGGTAGTCCCATTTGTGCCTCTATCTCCAGGGTGGATCTGAACAGGACAAGAGGAGGGTCCCACAGAAACAGGGCTCTCCTTGCCCTCCCCCAGCCCCACCTCCTCCAGTTTCATAGCCCTAAGCCAGGCCTTTGGGCATGGAAGTCTCCCAGCCCTGTGGGGAGGGCAGAGCAGCGTTCAATCAACCCCAAGAGAGTCCTCTGTGGCCAGGTCTGTCCAGCCCTGTCGATGGTCTCCATGGACTGGAAGGCCACCAGGAGCATGTTCGTCAGGAGCAAGGGGACTGGACACAGGCCCAGGAGTCCCATGCGCTGCACAGGAGATGGGACTCTGTGTGCCTGTCTGTGGACCCTGGTGAGTGTACACATCTTCTGTGAGTGTGCACGTGGGCACAGGTGGAGGGGGGTTCAGAGGCCTGCAGCCAGGCCCCAGGCACCTTCACACAGTGTGGAAAGCCCCAAGTGACACCCCACACCACTTTTGGAGCCTGTAAGCCCCCTTCTGTTTTTTGTTTGTTTGTTTGTTTTTGAGAGGGAGTCTCGCTCTGTTGCCCAGGCTTGAGTGCAATGGCGCGATCTCGGCTCACTGCAACCTCCGCCTTCCAGGTTCAAGTGAATCTCCTGCCTCAGCCTCCCGAGTAGCTGGGATTACAGGCATGTGCCACCATGTCCAGCTAATTTTTTGTATTTTTAGTAGAGATGGGGTTTCACCATGTTGGCCAGGATGGTCTCGATCTCATGACCTCAGGTGATCCGTCTGCCTCGGCCTCCCAAAGTGCTGGGATTACAGGCACGAGCCACCGTGCGCGCCTGCCTGTAAGCCCCTTTTGAAGAGTTAGTCCCCCCTGGCCAGCAGACAGGATCCCCAGCAAGGGCACCTCCATT
This sequence comes from Homo sapiens, assembly GCF_000001405.40. Lineage (NCBI taxonomy): Eukaryota > Metazoa > Chordata > Mammalia > Primates > Hominidae > Homo > Homo sapiens. The sequence goes on from NC_000016.10 coordinate 1,926,298, forward strand.
TGCCCTACTTCCGGGGGCAGCACCTCACCCCCGCAGTGGACCAGACAGGCATGTGGCCTGTCTTACTCGGTTCAACGCTCAGGAGGACTCAGAACCTGCAGTCAGGCCGAGAGCTCTAAATTCCTCTTCCCAACCCCCACCCCTGCCTCGCCCCTCTTAGGCTTCACAGCCTTCAAAGTCAACCCCTCCCCCTCCCCCCACCCCTCTGGCCGAGAGCCAGGACTCCATCCCTCATCTCCCAGGCTGGTCACTGCTGTCCTCTCTCTGACTCCAGTTGCCCTCCCTCGCCTTAGACCTGGATACACACCAGGGGCTCCCCGGCTTGGAGTTCTGGGGCCCAGCAAAGAATCATACTCCGAGAGAGACTTCGAGACCAAAAAGGCCATGGAGTTGAGGTGGAAGGGGAAGCCCAGGGCCAGCAGGCCTAGTCCATGGCTGGAAGCAGACCCCAGGGGTCCTGGCACCCAGCCCACCTGGTTCTGGCCACCCTCTCCTCCCCTCTCCTGCATTGCAGCCACCAAACCCTTCGAAGCCAAGAGTAGCTTATAAATGTCCTGGAGATGAAACTCGGTAAGACAGGAAGTCAGGGGCTGAACCATGAATAACCTCCAAGGTTTTACAAGGAGACAGGGAGTGGAGGGCCGTGAGGGGTTGGAAGTGGAGAAAGCTTATCCACAGGTAACCCTGAGCCCCTCCCCAGCCGCCTCCTGGCCCTCTGTCACTGAAGCCCCACCAACCTTCTTCCCAGGGCTTCTTACCCCAAGCTCTGTTAACCACAGCCTTAGTGCCCAGGCCCTGGAGAGGGTGATAGGTGGCTTGAGGACCCTGCATTCCCCAGACCGCCAACACATCCATGTAGATGTGGGGTACACATCTGGCACCCCTCCCAAGATTGTGCAACCCTGAAGGGGAGTACGGAGCAGGTGGTGTGAGTGGGTGAACATTTCTTCATCTGCTGCTGCCGTACGCAGCACCCCGAGGGCTCAGCATTTAAGAAACAGAATGAGGGCCAGACATGGTGGCTCACGCCTGTAATCCCAGCACTTTGGGAGACCGAACTACTGCGCCTGGCCCGAATCAACTAGGTTCTAAACCAGGTTATCACAGTACTGAAGGTGAGGAATGACTGAGCCTTGGGCTGGGGAGGTGGCATTGGTGATAGAGAAAAGGAGACACTTAAAATATATTTGGGGCTGAGTGTGGAGGCTCATGCCTGTAATCCCAGTACTTTGGGAGGCTGAGGCAGGCGGATCACCTAAGGTCAGGAGTTCAAGACCAGCCTGGTCAACATGGCGAACCCCATCTCTGATAAAAATACAAAAAAAAAAAAATTAGCTGGATGTAGTGGTGCATGCCTGTAGTCCCAGCTACTCGAGATGCTGAGGCAGAAGAATCACTTGAACCCGGGGGAGGCACAGGTTGCAGTGAGCCGAGATTGTGCCACTGTACTCCAGCCTGGGCAAAAGAGCAAGACTCCATCTCAAAAAAAAAAAAAAAAAAAAAAGACTGGGCATGGTGGCTCACGCCTGTAATCCCAGCACTTTGGGAGGCCAAGGCAGGCAGATCACGAGGTCAAGAGACCAAGACCATCCTGGCGAACATGGTGAAACCCCCTCTCTACTAAAAATACAAAAATTAGCCGGCGTGATGGCGCGCGCCTGTAATCCCAGCTACTCAGGAGGCTGAGGCAGGAGAATCGCTTGAATCTGGGAGGCGGAGGTTGCAGTGAGCCGAGATTGTGCCACTGCACTCCAGCCTGGGCGACAGAGCAAGACTCCATCTCAAAAAAAAAAAGAGAGAGAGAGAATGAGATGAAGGTGCTGTGGTTGATGGCTTTGAGGAGCTCCTTGACCTAGGATGGGTGAGGCCTGCAAGAGGGTAACAGGGGCCCAGTCTGCATGCACAGAGGAGGCCCACCCAGGCCCCTGCTGTGGGGGAAGGAGAGGACCACTGGGGCAGAGCCCCCAAGAAAAGCTTCTAGAAGGGTTGTGATGCGTGTGGAAGGACAAAACAGAAGAAGGAAAAACAAACTCTAGGAATGCAAGGATGTGTTTCTAGAGTGGGGTCTGGTTTGCCTGGAGGTGCAGGTGAAAGGGTTTGGGTTCAGGTGATGCGGGCAGTAACAACAACATAATTGACTGGGCTGAGGAGCTCACACCTATAATCCCAGCATTCTGGGAAGCCGAGGTGGGGGATCCCTTGAGCCCAGGAATTCAAGATCAGCCTGGGCAACAAAGCCAGAGCACGTCTCTACAAAAAGTTTTTTTAAAAAATTAGCCAGGCACAGTGGCTCATGCCTGTAATCCCAGCACTTTGGGAGACCAAAGCGGGAGTGTCACTTGAGCCCAGGCGTTCCAGACTAGCCTGGACAACATGGCAAAACCCTGTCTCTACTAAAAATACAAAAATTAGCGGGGCGTAGTAGCACACCTGTAGTCCTAGCTATTCGGGAGGTTGACCTGGGAGGATCGCTTGAGTCCAGGAATTCAAGGCTGCAGTGATCCATGGTCATGCCACTGCACTCCAGCCCAGGCAACAGAGAAACCCCCTTCTCAAGAAGAAACAACCAGGCCCGGCGCGGTAGCTCATGCCTGTAATCCCAGCACTTTGGGAGGCCCTGCTGGGCGGATCATGAGGTCAGGAGATCGAGACCATCCTGGCTAACACAGTGAAACCCCGGCTCTACCAAAAATACAAAAAAATTAGCCGGGCGCAGTGGTGGGCGCCTGTAGTCCCAGCTACTCGGGAGGCTGAGGCACGAGAATGGCGTGAACCCGGGAGGCGGAGCTTGCAGTGAGCCGAGATCGCGCCACTGCACTCCAGCCTGGGCGGCAGTGCCAGACTCCGTCTCAAAAAAAAAAAAAAAAAGAAACAACCCCAAACTGTAATTATGATAAACAACACCGATCTCATTTATGGAGTAGGAAATCAAGCTGGAGAGGTGGGGTCAGCCTAGGTCAGAGCAGGCAAGGACTGTGGGAACCTCTGAGGGAGGGACCTGGTCTGGTTATTATTTTGCAGAGAGGACTCTGGTTGGGGGAAGGCAGCCAGGAGCTGCCTGGGTTGTAGCGGGGAGAGGTGGGCGGAGGAAAGAGGCCTGGGATGTGGAACCCTAGGATCTAGCCCTGAGGGCGGGCCAGGTCCGGGCAGCCTGGGTCCCACGCAGCTGCCCTGAAGAAGGGGCTGGGGGCGTCCTGCCTCCACCCGCGCCCCCAACCACGCCTGCCGTTCCCACCGGCCGCGCCACCCCCGCCCCCGCCCCTGGCTCTGTCCTCCGGTGACCCTGGAAGGGGCACCCGTGGCTGCGACTGCACTCCCTGTAGCGGTCACTTCGTGAAGCCCGGCAAACCCCCTGCAGCTGCCCCTGGCACCCTCAGACGACCAGAGGCCTCGGCCTGGGTCCCCAGCACCGGCCCAAGGGCGGGCGTGGCCGAGGCGGTTTCTCTGCGCGGACGCTCGCTGCCTCCGCCGCAACCCCCGCGGCCACCCGGGGAACTGCAGCGCCGTCAGGCCCCCCGCCGCGCCTGCGCACGCAGACCACCCGGCCTGGCAGCACCGAGCGAGCGTGCCCCCTGCTGGTCAGTCCTGCGCACGGTCCCGCGCCCGGGCCCGGGAGGCCGCCTCGAGGGCCGGGGCTTGCACGTGGCCTCGGCGCCTTCGCCGACCCTACCGGACGCCCCCTCCTCCCACCTGCCGACCCGTCCGCGGGTAGGAGCCTCCCGGGAGCTGCCCACGGCCCCCACCCCCACCAGGGGCCACAGCCCCACCAGGGCCAGGCTCTGCGCGGCACCTGCCACTGAGAGAGCGGAAAGCGGTGGTTGAGCAAGGGTCTGAAGTATGGTCTGTTCCCCCATACGGGCCGCAGACGCTTCCTGGTGGCTGCTCTGAGCCAGGCCTGGGCCCCGGCGAGGGATCACGGTGTCTCAGACAGAGTTCCTTTTTATTCCCCATCCCTCGCCCGAGGTGACGGCCCAGCCGTGCCCAGGCCTGCCCGCTGCCCCTGAACCCAACCCTTGAGGGGCAAGGCCGTGCCCTGGGGAGGAAGGGGCTGCCCCCTCAGAGTCTGCTGTTCCTCAAGGAAGACGCGGGGGCAGCCGCAAGGATGGGGTATCACCCAGCAGGAGCGGGAGGGTAAGGTGACTGATTCCACACCAGACGCTCCATTGCTGGAAACACCACCCCCTCCTCCGGTGACCTGGCATACAGACCTTGCCCACAGCCATCCCTCCCTGGACTCTCAATGTGAGGGGGCCTTGGGGTCCTGCGGTTCACCCGTCTCCCCACTCAAGCAGTCTGCTTGCCGGCACCCCCCCCACCTCCTGAGCCCACTTGCCCCCTCCCACCCCCACCTCCCTACCACATCTTTTTTTTTTTTTTTTTCCTGAGACGGAGATTTGCTCTTGTTGCCCAGGCTGGAGTACAATGGTGTCATCTCGGCTCACCACAACCTCCCTGAGCCTCAGCCTCCCAGGCTGAGCCTGAGCCTCCCAGGTTCAAGCGATTCTCCTGCCTCAGCCTCCCGAGTAGCTGGTGTAGGGAAAAGAAAGAGAGATCAGACTGTTACTGTGTCTATGTAGAAAGGGAAGACATAAGAGACTCCATTTGAAAAAGACCTGTACTTTAAATAATTGCTTTGCTGAGATGTTGTTAATTTGTAGCTTTGCCCCAGCCACTTTGACCCAACCACTTTGATCCAATCTGGAGCTCACAAAAACATGTGCTGTATGAAATCAAGGTTTAAGGGATGTAGGGCTGTGCAGGACGTGCCTTGTTAACAAAATGCTTACAAGCAGTATACTTGGTAAAAGTCATTGCCATTCTCCAGTCTCAATAAACCAGGGGCACAATGCACTGTGGAAAGCTGCAGGGACCTCTGCCCTTGAAAGCAGGGTATTGTCCAAGGTTTCTCCCCATGTGATAGTCTGAAATATGGCCTCGTGGTATGAGAAAGACCTGACCGTCCCCGAGCCCGACACCTGTAAAGGGTCTGTGCTGAGGTGGATTAGTCAAAGAGGAAAGCCTCTTGTAGTTGAGATAGAGGAAGGCCACTGTCTCCTGCCTGCCCCTGGGAACTGAATGTCTCGGTATAAAACCCAATTGTACATTTGTTCAGTTCTGAGATAGGAGAAAAACCACCCTATGGTGGGAGGTGAGACATGTTTGCAGTAATGCTGCCTTGTTATTCTTTACTCTGCTGAGATGTTTGGGTGGAGAGAAACATAAATCTGGCCTACGTGCACATCCAGGCATAGTACCTTCCCTTGAACTTAATTATGATATAGATTCTTTTGTTCACATGTTTTTTGCTGACCTTCTCCTTATGATCATCCTGCTCTCCTACTACATTCCTTTTTACTGAAATAACGAAAATAATAATCAATAAAAACTGAGGGAACTCAGAGACCGGTGCCAGTGCAGGTCCTTAGTATGCTGAGCGCCGGTCCCCTGGGCCCACTGTTGTTTCTCTATACTTTGTCTCTGTGTCTTATTTCTTTTCTCAGTCTCTCGTCCCACCCGACTGGAAATACCCACAGGTGTGGAGGGGCAGTCCTCCCCTTCAGCTGGGATTACAGGCATGGGTCACCACGCCCGGGTAATCCGGGTAATTCTGTATTTTAGTAGAGATGGGGTTTCTCCATGTTGGTCAGGCTGGTCTAGAACTCATAACCTCAGGTGATCCACCTGCCTCGGCCTCCCAAAGTGCTGGGATTACAGGCGTGAGCCACTGTGTCCGGCCCACCACCTTAACATGGATGTTTGGATGAGCCTGGGGCCCTGGGATGCAGGCAGGAGGCACTACTCCCCAGCCCCCACCAGGATCACCACCCCTGCACTGCTGTGGCTGAGATCCCCAGGCGCCAGCAGGCCTCCAGCCACCCAGCTACCGGCCTGAGCCTGGTAGACAGCCCTGGGGACAAAACCCTGCACACAGGGGCCCAGTTTGCAGGCGAAGGCCAGTCTGCTCTTGGGCCTGAGTCCACTCTCGGGGAAACACTGGCCCCAGGTGCAGAGCTGGGAGTGCTGGGAGAAGGCAGCACAGCCCAGGCCCCTGCCTGGCCCTGTGCCTGGGAAGCCTGCTGCCCATTCAGCAGCTCCCTCCCTGCCGCAGCAGAGCCGCCTTCCACAGGACCTGCCCACAGAGCCCTTCCCAGAGCCACTGCTCCTCCTGCAGGGAGAAGCAGAAAGGGACAGGTGTGGGCATAGAGGACCTGAACTGGCTGCCTAGAACAGTATTGGGAGCCCTGTGCACCCCCTGCCAGACCCGCCATCACCAAATGACTCAGCATGGCAGGACAAGGACCCTGATCAGAGGCCACTGGCAGCCGGCCACATGTGGCCTGGAGTGGCTCAGGTCCCTGGCGGCAGAGGACACAGGGCTTCTCCCAGCTGTGTGGCCTCAGACTAATCGCGTTCTCTGAGTCCCCCTTGTCTCCCCAGAAGAATGAGGCTAAGGAGAGTACCTGCTGCACTGGGGTCAGTCGCTGCAGCGGGCCTGCTCTCACCTGCTGGACTAGGGGGTGGGCAGGCCACAGGCTGGGCTAGGACAGTGCCCGAGAGCCAACGAAGACACTGGGTGGCCAGGGCAGCCCCAGAGCGGGCTCCACTTTAGCTGGTGGCCAGCGTCGGACACACTGGGGTCCAGGTGTAAAAAAATCAGGGCATGGGTGGGAGCTGGAATCAGGGGTTGAGAGACACCCCCCTGCTCTCCGCAGCTCCAGGGAGATTCTGGCAGCTAGCCTCAGTTCTGGCCCCCAGCAGGGCAGAGATGGAGACATTTGCTAGAACAGGAGGCTGCCACAGCACATGCTGGGGGAGGGGCAAGCAGCAGGAAGCCCCTTCTGGGTACGGTCCTCCCCGAAGGGCCCTTGGTGCTTTCATCAACACTGACTCTTCCCAGCACCCGCCCCACGCGCCCCTACCTCTAGACGGAGAGCCCACTGGCCAGCAGCGCCAGGAGTCAGGCCTCTGACCCACAGGGCAGTGCACACAGCACCCATTCAACTGTAGCATCCCCTGCCCGCCCCGGGTGGCTCTCCTGTGCCCTCATCCAACCGGAAGACAGGCTGGGTGCCACTAAGGGAGGCACAAAGAGAGGAAAGTCGAATGTCCCGCCCAAGATCAGGGTCACGCAAGCAGTCCGAGGCCAGCAAGGGAGACAGCGGCCTCTGCCACGGCACTGACTCCACGTCAGAGCAGGGACTGCTAGACCGGGCTGCGGAGGGGCTGGCAGGTGACAGAGTCAGCTCCGTGAGGGGTGAGCAGGCTGAAGGGGCTGGCAGCACGGCTGGCCTCTCCCCGGTCTCCACTGTGGCCTGTACTGCAGGCACTGCCCCTCCTGTGGGGGGACGCTGCCTTCCATTGAGGGTGCCTCTTCCAATTGTACACCCGGAACCGGGGATGACCACGGGACAGGTCCACTGGGATCGGACCCGAGCCAACGCTCCCTCAGTCACTGGGCCTTCATAAGCCCCTACTCTGACCCAGTGACGTCTGACTCCAGAGTTAGCATCGGTTCAGAGCCAGCATCCAGGAGTCCCCAGAAGGTCTCATGATCTCCTTTTCCCCAGTGCACTGCCATAGAGATCCCTTTGGAGAAGGCTGGGAAAAGACGAACAGGATAAATTTGGGGGGTCCTTCCTCAAGGCACCCTGGTCCCCTCCATACAGCGGTGTGGGTCTGAATGGAGGTTTTAGGTCTGTGACCTGGCTCCAGTCTGGGAATTCACTGAGGGCCGTGGTTCTGGTTTTTCTCGGGAGATGGGTTTTTTGTTTGTTTGATTGGTTGGGGTTTTTTTTTTTTTTTTTTTTTTTTGAGACGGAGTCCCGCTCTGTTGCCCAGGCTGGAGTGCGGTGGCGCGATCTCCGCTCACTGCAAGCTCCGCCTCCCGGGTTCACGCCATCCTCCTGCCTCAGCCTCCGGAGTAGCTGGGACTACAGGCGCCCGCCACCACGCCCGGCTAATTTTTTTGTATTTTTAGTACAGATGGGGTTTCACCGTGTTAGCCAGGATGGTCTCGATCTCCTGACCTCGTGATCCACCTGCTTCAGCCTCCCAAAGTGCTGGGATTACAGGCGTGAGCCACCGCGCCTGGATGTTTTGTTGTTGTTGTTGTTGTTTTTGTTTTTGTTTTTGACGGAGTCTCGCTCTTGTTCCCCAGGCTGGAGTGCAATGGCGCAACCTCAGCTCACTGCAACCTCCACCTCCCAGCTTCAAGCAATTCTCTTGCCTCAGCCTCCCGAGTAGCTGGGATTACAGGCACCCGCCACCACGCCCGGCTAATTTTTGTATTTTTAGTAGAGACTGGGTTTCACCATTTTGGCCAGGCTGGTCTAGAACTCCTAACTTCAGGTGATCCTCCCACCTTGGCCTCCCAAAGTGCTGGGATTACAGGGGTGAGCCACCACGTCCGGCTGGAGGGTTGTTTTTTTTTGAGACAGGGTCTCACTCTGTCACCCAGGCTGGACTGCAGTGGCATGATCAAGGCTCACTGCAGCCTCAGCCTCCTGGGCTCAAGCAATTCTCCTGCCTCAGCCTCCTGAGTAGCTGGGACTACAGGTGTGTGCCACCGTGCCTAGTTAATTTTTGTATTTTTTGTAGAGATGGCAGGGGTGGGGGTCTCAGTATGTTGCCTAGGCCGGTCTCAAGCTCCTGGGCTCAAGTGATCCTCCTTCCCCGGCCTCCCAAAGTGCTGAGATTACAGGCGTGAGCCACCATGCCCAGCCTAACTCTGGGTTTTTTATTTGTCTTAGACTTTTGTTCACTTGACCTAGAACTCTTCTGCTTACACAGATTAAGTAAGATTCAGTCAGCCTGGTGCGGTGGCTCATGTAATCCCTGCACTTTGGGAGGCCGAGGCAGGAGGATCACCTGAGGTCAGGAGTTCGAGACCAGCCTGGCCAACTTGGTGAAACCGCGTCTCTACTAAAAATACAAGAATTAGCCGGGAGTGGTGGCGCATTCCTGTAGTCCCAGCTACTCCGGAGGCTGAGGCAGGAGAATTGCTTGAACCCGGGAGGCAGAGGTTGCAGTGAGCGAAGATCGCGCCCCTACACTCCAGCCAGGGCGACAGAGTGAGAATCTGTCTCCAGGAAAAAAAAAAAAAAAAAAAAAGAGTTCAGTCGGCTTCTGTCTATTTCACTTCTGGGAACACCATGATCCACAAGTCAACGCTGTGGGTCTCTGTGAGTCAGACTATTGTGATCGCTGGTTCACCTCTGCTGTGCACTGCAGCGGCCACGCCCACCTTGTTTTGAGCCTTTGAGCCCTGCCACCTGGCCCCTGCCCCCCAGGGGATCCACTTATTCCCCTGCACGTAGGTTTCCCAACCCAGGGACTGCAGTTGCCACTGTAATTCCAGATCTGCTGGAGAAAGGCCATCACAGAGCTCATGAAGGAGGAGTGTTCCCCTCACAAATTTATTTCTCGTGGGGGTGGTAAGAGGTGTGTCCTCTCTCCTCTCCAGGGGTGGGTGAGTAGGTCTCAAAAGATAAATCCACTCTGACACTCCAACCTCCCCAAGCCTTTGAGTCCCATCCTCTGCCACGCAGAGAGGCAGGCCTGGCATTTCAGCCTCACTTTGTGTAGGTCACTTTTTGGTCTGTGTTGTAGCTCACCAACCAACCAGTCAAACCCCAGCAGTGGTAGCACGAGGTCCAGAACCTCTGCTTAGTGGGCCCGTATCAATAAACGCAACCTGACCCAATTTTTTGTTCCTTTCCCCATTATCCCTACTGTAGGGTCTCCTGGTTCCCCCTGCTTTTTTTTTCTTTTCTTTTCTTTTTTTTTTTTTTTTGAGACAGAGTCTCGCTCTGTCGCCCAGGCTGGAGTGCAGTGGTGTAATCTCAGCTCACTGCAACCTCCACCTCCCAGATTCAAGTGATTCTCATCCCTCAGCCTCCCAAGTAGCTGGGATTACAGGCATGCGCCACCACACCCAGCTAATTTTTGTATTTTTAGTAGAGATAGGGTTTCACCGTGTTGGCCAGGCTGGTCTTGAACTCCCGACCTCAGGTGATCCACCCATCTCAGCCTCCCAAAGTGCTGGGATGACGGGCATGAGCCACCACACCTGGCCTCCCCTGCTTTCTTTCTGTGTCCTGACCAAGAATCACAAAGTGCAGCCAGGCATGTGGCTCACGCCTGTAATCCCAGCACTTTGGGGGACTGAGGCAGGAGGATTGTTTGAGCCTAGGAATTCAAGACCAGCCTGGGTGAGATGGTAAGGCCCTATCTCTAATTTTTTAAAAATTAAATTAAAAAATTCTAGGCTGGGTGCAGTGTTCGAGATCAGCCTCGCCAACATGGCGAAACCCTATCTCTACTAAAAATACAAAAATTAGCCAGGCATACTGGCGAGCGCCTGTAATCCCAGCTACTCAAGAGGCTGAGGCACAAGAATTGCTTGAACCCAGGCGTGAGACGGAGGCTGCAGTGAGCCGAGATCTCACCACTGCACTCCAGCCTAAATGACAGACCAAGACTCTGTCTCCAAAAAAAAAAAAAAAAAAAAAAATCTAGGTTGTGGGCTAAAACACTGAAAGAAACTGGCCCAGCCCTGAGCCAAATCCCTTAAACTTCCATATCCACTCCACACCGTGTCCCCTTGCTGCAGAGATATCAAGGGAGGGCACCTCTTCTCTCTCGCTTTTGTTGCAAGGATACGCTGCGGCCTTCTGTAAGTCCCCCTAATAAATGCTCTGGAGTGCTCACCCTGGCGTTTAGCGTTCCTTAGTTCAGATCCCAACTGGCCCCATCTTGCAATGCTTTGGGGCCATCCTGTGCCCTTTGGGGCACTCCTGGCCACCGCTTTTGGGGCGATGCCAGCTGTGGGTTCTGCAGGGTGAAACATCCACCCTTAAAATCCACTCCCACATGCTCCCCGGATTTCTGTGGGTATAAATTGGGAAAATGGTGCATTTCTTGTGGAGCCTTGTTCCGTGCCCTCCAGGGCCTGGGGCAGGCCCCATGTGTGCTGAGCCTGTGCACATGCTGTGCCCATCACTGCTGAGCTAAGCCCTCCTGAGTCCCCCTCCCTGACCCCTGGAGCTTCCTCCACACATCCTAGCATCATTACTCTGCTGCAGTTGCTCCCAGCCCTATCATCTTCTGACACTACCTCACTACCAGGTCTCCCCAGCTATGCTGTGAGACCTTGAGCGCGGGGTCTCACCTATCTCGTTCACAGCTGCACCCCCAGCCATATTTTTTTTTGCAAATATTTACTGAAAGGATACTCAGTAAATATTTGCAAAAAAAGGTTTTTGGGGGGTTTTTTTTGGAGGCACAGTCTCTGTTGCCCAGGCTGGAATGCAGTGGCAGGATCTCATGTCACTGCAACCTCTGCCTCCTGGGTTCAAGCCATTCTCCCACCTCAGCCTCCCGAGTAGCCAGGATTACAGGTGTGTGCCACCACGCCTGGCTAATTTTCATATTTTTTAAGTAGAGACGGGGTTTCCTCATGTTGGCCAGGCTGGTTTTGAACCCCTGACCTCAGGTGATCCTCCTGCCTCGGCCTCCCGAAGTGCTAGGATTACAGGCGTGAGCCACCATGCCTGCCTTTTTTAACTATATAAAGGCCTGACACTCATGTCCTGGCATCTCTGATGTTGTTAATAAAGACAGCAGGGCCGGGGCAAGGTGGCTTACATGTGTAATCCTAGCATTTTGGGAGGCCAAGGTGAGAGGATCATTTGAGTCCAGGAGTTCAAGACCAGCCTCGGCAACATAGTGAGACCCCATCTCTACAGAAAAATGTAAAAATTATCCAGCATGGTGGTGCCCACCTGTGGTCCCAGCTACTTGGGAGGCTGAGGTGGGAGAATCACTTGAACCTGCGAGGTCAGTGCTGCAGTGAGCCACGCTGCACCACTGTACTCCAGCCTGGATGTCAGAGCAAGACCCCACCCCATCTCAAAACAAAAAAAAAGACAGTACATCTGAATGTTTCATTTGTCTATGGATTTCCACCTGATTACTCCAGAAAGTAATTACTTAAGATGGGGGGTGATTTCAGCATCACCCACCCTCCTATATGGCCAGGCCTCCGAGCATGTACAGTAAGGCACAGTCACCACACCTTGGGAAGGGCCTCCCTGCAGGTGTGCACTGCAGGCCTCAGCCCTGTGCTGGTTAGAGTTATGGAGCAACAGCCGCTTTCCTAAGCAGAAGTGAGGCAAGCTACTTCCGCACAGATTGTGAAACAGGGTTTAGGTTTCTCCCCTCGTGGACGAGAGGCCAAGGGTGTGCCCCATCAGCCTGCCTTCCCAGCAGGTCACAGACCATCCCCACTCTGGCTGGCCTGGAAGGGTTTGACCAGAGCGGATCATGCAGTGACCAGGGCCAGGGCGGCTGGCAGGGGCGGCCTCCGTTTCCATTCTGTCTCCTAAGCAGCCTGGGAGATGTGGGCCTAAGCTTCGGTGAGGACGAGAGTCTGTCTTGGAATTGGGCCTCACAGGGGAGAGTCCAGAGACAGGGCCAGGAAAAGAAGGTGAGGGTGTAACGTCATTCAGAGACCAGCTGCACCCAGGGCTCACCTCCTGGAGGCACCTAGAGTGAGCAGGGGGCTAAGTCAGCCGACAGTGTGGCTGCACAGCCCAGGCCTGTCCCAGCAGAAGGCATGAACCATCAGCAAATGAGTCTCTTTTCCAAGAAACGAAAAGGTCTTGTTCAGAGCCGGGGCCTTGGGAGTGTCCTGATGTTTCAACCACTGCGCCCTGCCTTCCTGTCTCGACGCCCAGGGTTCCAACTCCAAGGTGGAATGGCCAACGTGTGGCCTCAGTGTGGTGGCCGTCTGGGGTGGGTGTGGGCTGCCCGCCTAGTGACCCTGGGAGGCAGAAGTTTCTTTGCCTGAAAGAGAGGAGAGGGGGCGGAAAGTATGCGGGGACAGAAAGCAAGCAGGGGCGGAAAGCCGGGCGCGGGGGCGGTGGAAAGCCAGGGTAGGGGCAGAAAGCAAGTCACTGCAAGGCAGAGCTTCAGGTGCCGTTCCCTGCGCTTTCACACTCTGCCCTGGCCTGCAGGCCACAGGGGAGCTGAAAAGACCAGATGCCCGACTCAGGGGAGTCTGTGTACCCCATTTTGTTCTGACATCCACAGGAGAACCCAGAATCTCTTCTCCCTCCACTCACACGGAGGACAAATAACAACAAAAGGACGAAAACATCGCAGGTTTACCACGCACCAGATCCTGACAGGCTGCTCGCTCAACCCCACAGCACGGTGATGGCCACAAGCGTGTGCTGTTAACAGCCCCATTTCAGGCGAGGCAGTGGCTCAAGCCTGTAATCCCAGCACCTTGGGAGGCCAAGGCCCAGAGGAGTTCAAGACCAGCCTGGGCCACATAGTGAGACCCCCATCTCTATAAAAATTTTAAAAATTGGCTGGGTGCGGTAGCTCACGCCTATAATCCCGGCACTTTGGGAGGTTGAGACAGGCAGATCACCTCAGGTCAGGAGTTCCAGACCAGCCTGGCTAACATGGTGAAACCCCGTCTCTACTAAAAAATCAAAAATTAGCCAGGCGCGGTAGTGGGAGCCTGTAATCCCAGCTACTCGGGAGGCTGAGGCAGAAGAATCACTTGAACCTGGGAAGCAGAGGCTACATTGAGCTGAGATTGGCCATTGCACTCCAGCCTGGGTGACAGAACAAGACTCTGTCACCAAAAAAAAAAAAAAAATTAAAAATTAACCAGGTGTGGGCTGGGCGTGGTGGCTCATGCCTATAATTCGAGCACTTTGAGAGGCCAAGGTGGGCAGATCACCTGAGGTCAGGAGTTTAAGACCAGCCTGGCCACCATGGTGAAACCCCGTATCTACTAAAAATACAAAAATTAGCTGGGCGTGGTGATGCGTGCCTGCAATCCCAGCTACTTGGGAGGCCAAGACAGGAGAATTGCTTGAACCAGGAGGCAGAGGTTGCAGTGAGCTGAGATCGCGCCACTGCACACCAGCCTGCACGACAGAGCAAGACTCCATCTCAGAAAAAAAAAAAAAAAGGATGAGGATTCATCAAGCTATTATTGTGTGCCAGGCCCAGGTGCACGTGACACGCAGCTGTCCTCACAGCCCTGCTACCACCGCCACTCTGCAGAGGAGGAGGCAGGCTCTGAGCGGCTAAGAAGCAAGGCCACAGTCCTAGCCAGTGGGAGACACAGCCGCACAGACTGGGGCCTCAGGCTCTGCCTGCCCCGCCCCTGACTCTAGCCTCTGGGAAAGGCCAGGCCTCTGAGGAAAACCATTTGCCACATTCTCACGCTGAAGCCCCTTTTTGGGACAGTCATGATCAACCAAGCGAGGAAGCGGAACACCAGCTCCTTTGCCCCTGCGCTGCAGCCACCTTTCTGGGGGATCCTGGACAGTTCCCAGGCAGCGTGACTTGGTGGCCCCATACCTTGTCATGGTAAGTGGACAAGCACAAACACTGGGCCCCCCAGCCTGGGCTCAAAGGCCAACAGGCCTGGCCCCAGCTGTGCAAAGCAAGCTCACCTTTAGGGACAAACTTCAGCGAGCTGCTGAATATTCAGAATCGGGACTGCCCCGGCTTGGGGCCGTCGTTCAGGAACTCGTGGCCCAACCCATTGCCACACTTGCCACAGGACACCTGGAAAGATCACAAGGCAGCTGGGTGAGCTTCTGGCCATGATACAGCCACAGTGAAGGCCCTTACTGGGGCTGGCAGATGGTGTTTCTTCCCACACGCCTATTTCCCAAGCTGACCGCCGACATAAGAGGTTGACCTTTGTCCTGGAGCCCGTACAGGAAACCTGTCCTGTTTCCCACATTTGCACCAGAAGGCCAGGCTCTCCCGATAGCCTGGGGTGGCAGCTCCCTGGCAGAGGCAACAGGCCTGGAATAGACGCCTCTAAGCCCCTGGAGCTGTGGGGCAAGCAGAGGGAGGAAGGTGGGACTGGCTCTCTGCTCTCCCTGGCCGCCCCCGTCCCTCCCCCACCCCTGTGGCCTCTCACCTTCAAGGCTTCAGATCTATTGTGCTCCGGACGCTTGGCCACGCTGTCGGCGTGAATGGTCTCGGTGAACGCCGGCCATGGAGACGAGTGTGCATACTTCGAGCGGCTGGAGAACAGCTCATAGCCACACTTGGCACACACGTAAACGCCTGTGGTGGAAGGAGAGGCAAATGTGGAGTCATCAGCTCCCGCCTTTCCGGGGTCAAGCTCCCAAATCCACCAACCCAGGCAAAGACAGCGCTGCCCCCGTTCCGAGGGTAGGCTGTGCTCCTTCCCCAGGCACCCGCCACGGGAGGCGCTGTGCTGAGCTCACGTTTAGTAGATGTGCCAGAGACCAGGGGAGTCACCTTTCACAATTATCTCCTTGATTCTTCTCATAGCCCCGTGACGGGGCATATCCTAACATTTCCATCTTTGCTTGGTGATGCAGACACTCAGCTACAAGTGTGTGCAGCGTGAAGGAACCTGGGTAGTCCAATGAGGACACGGAGCTCCCCCTCGCCCCCCTAGTTCCCCCAGGAACATAGAGGGCAGGGGCCCTGATGTGGCCCAACCACCTGGTCCCTCTCCTTTCTCAAGTGGTCCTCCCTGCTGCCCAACGAGGCCCTAAGCTGGATACCCAGGCACTGCTCTGCTCTCCAGGCAGGAAGAGAACAGTCCCAGAGAAAAGGCCTCCAGGCCACACAGGAGCCCAGGAAGAAAGAGGGCTGGGGACAACAGATTTCAGCCTACCCACAAAGGATCCCTTTGGAGTGGAGGGGGTGGGAAAGTTGCAAAACTGACTTGCAGAACTGTTTTAAGGACTGAAAACAGGAACCTCCAGGGGTGCTGAGTCACCTCTCACCCATCACCTGGGGACAGCCTCCCCTGGAGACTGTAAACTACCCAGCCTTTTCCAGGAACTGGAGAAAAAAGCAAAGAGAAGCCAGCAGCTGCTGTGGAAGTGGAGTTTCTGGCTTGGCAGAGCAGCCTGAGGACAACTGGGATCTAAAGCCAGAGAGTCTTGCTGGGGGAGGCTTTGCCGGGATGGTCCTGTGTCACAGCCCAACCCGCTACAGGGGTGCCACCCAGCAGATCCGCCCAAGGAGACCAGTGCACTCAGACTTGCCTGTGGATGTGTTTTTACCAAATTAGTCCACTACCAGGCGAGCCCAGCCCAGAAGGGATTCATCAGGGCCAGTGTGGAGGGCTGGCCATGCCCCAAACCACCCCATCCTGCCTGCCTGGTCAAACTTCACGGGCTGTTGGCAGGTGCCTGGTGGCACTCCTGGTTCCCCAATTTGGAGTCCCTGGGCAGGTGGGGAGGCACCTGGGCCGGCACATTAGGATCTGAAGGGGACATTCTATGCTTGCCAGACTCCTCCCAGAGATCCCGGACTCGGGGGAATGGGAAGGGCCAGGGTAACACCTGCGGGATGACCCGCGAAGGGGCGCCCCGGCCACAGGAGCTGGCCCTGGACAAGAACCTGGCCTCTCCGAAGCCCCGACCCTAACCCGAATTCCCCCAGCGCCATCACTTTGGAGTGTAGGGGGTAGGGAAGGGGTACCACCCCCACGTATCCCGATCCCTTAGACCCACCCCCGAAACGGCACGTTCACACTCGAGGCCTGCCCCCTCCAGGACGGTGAGCCCCAAGGCCCCCTCTCCTCGGGTACCCCACTCTCCTCGCCCCCAGGCTCCCCACTCCTCCGCAGTCCTTTTGACCCCTGTTCGCTTCTCCCCGGCAGCCACATTCGCCCCCATTCCCGGCTTGGGAGAGACATCACCCCCGGACGACGGCGGCGCCCCCGCTAATGCGCGCCCCCCGCCGCGCTGCCCTCCCAGCGAGAGGCCGCAGGACCAACCAGGTTCAAAGTGATTCTGGAAAACCTCGCCCCCGAAGAAGCTGCAGAACGACATGGCGCCACCGGAACCGCAGCGCGCTTGCCGCTGCCAACTGACCAAAGGCTGCCGACCCGACGACCGCCGGTACCCGCGTCCACCTCCCCGCCCCTCCCGAGGACCAATCGCTCCCCGGAGGGCGAATCCCGGCTTCCGCCTCCGGGAGGCCCCGCCCCTCCTCAGGGCTGGTCCAATACGATCTTCCCAGCTGGCCCCGCCCACGTTGACTCCTTGGGACCACTCCTGGGCCACTTCCCCAAGGCCCCGCCCCCCGGTGCCAGTCCAATCGCATCTCCCCAGCAGGCCCCGCCCATGGAAACTCCCAGGGACCACCCCTAGGCCGCTTCCCCAAGGCCCCGCCCCTGCCGCCCCTCGCGCCCTGGTGGCTAGGGGCGCACATGGGGCCTGGCCAGGTGGGCGACGGCGCGAATCCGTAGGGTCGTGTCCCCCCAGTCCAGTCCCTGGTACTAAGCCCGGAGCTGCCGGAGGTCATGCAGCCTTTCCGCGCCCAGGTGAAACCGCCTTTGCAAAATGATGACTGAAACAGTGAAAGAGATCTAACTCAGCCGACTCTATCTTGCTTCTAACCTCCAAGCTGTCCTTATTCATCCCTGCTGGTAGGTTGAAATAACTTTGGGAGAAACTCAGTTTATAGTTTTTTGTTTTTTTCTTTCTTTCTTTCTTTCTTTTGAGACGGAGTCTTACTCTGTTTCCAGGCTGGAGTGCAGTAGCGCGATCTCAGCTCACTGCAACCTCCAACTCGCTGGTTCAAGCAATTCTCCTGCCTCAGCCTCCCGAGTAGATGGGATTACAATCATGCGCCACCACGCCCAGCTAATTTTGTATTTTTAATAGAGACGAGGTTTCTCGATGTTGGCCAGGCTGGTCTTGAACTCCCGACCTCAGGTGATCCGCCCATCTTGGCCTCCCAAAGTGCTGGGATTACAGGCGTGAGCCACCGCGCCCAGCCAGTTTATAGTTTAAAACAAAGACAGTAACAGCCCTTTCCCAAAGCAGACCACCTCCTTGCCTGGGGACTAGATTGCATTTTTAGGACTAACATTAGCCACAATATTGGGAATTATGGTTT
This sequence comes from Homo sapiens, assembly GCF_000001405.40. Taxonomy (NCBI): domain Eukaryota; kingdom Metazoa; phylum Chordata; class Mammalia; order Primates; family Hominidae; genus Homo; species Homo sapiens. The sequence goes on from NC_000016.10 coordinate 1,944,229, forward strand.
AGGAGTCGTGCATCTGGAGGCTACAAGATTCTGACCCTCCCTAAGCTGCCCCTAAGATCAGTGCTTGAGATATTTTGCCGACCCTGCAACTTGATGGATCTGCTGGCACCAACCAGATTGATAAACTGGCTCATCTGATCTTGTGGCCACCACCCAGGAGCTGACTCAGCGCAAGAAGACAGCTGACTCCCTGTGATTTCCTCCCTGACCAATCGGCTCTCCTGGCTCACTGGCTCTCCCCACCCGCCAAGTTATCCTTAAAAACTCTGCTCCCCGGCACTCCAGCAGCCTGGGCGACAAGATCAAGACTCTCTCAAAAAAAAAAAAAAAAAAAACCTCTGCTCCGCAAATGCTCAAAGAGATCGATTTGAGTAATAATAAAACATAAAACTCCGGTCTCCCGCACAGCCAGCTCTGTGTGAATTACTCTTTCTCTATTGCAATTCCCCTGTCTTAATGAATCGGCTTTGTCTAGGCAGCAGGCAAGGTGAACCCCTTGGGCGGTTACACAGCGCTCTGAGACCTCGCAGGAAGAGTCGCCTCCGGCCTTTGTTAGACATTGGGGCAGACAGTGCGGTGCGCTTCAGGGTTCATCCACCCCACACAGCCTACAAGTCTCCCGAGGTCTCCGGCGTTTCCTTCTCCAGATGCTTCTTTTGGGGGCCCTGGTTGAGAGGGTGGTGCAGGAGGAGCCTTAGTCACTCTGGCCAGAAACACGCCCTCCCCCAGCCAGGCTCTAGATCACTCAGGGCCGGCCCTACTGCCCCCCTAAGGCTGCTTCCTCCCCCACCTTCTCTTCTAAAGAATCAGTGCCCAGGGATAGACCCTTAAGAGTCTCTCCTGCAGGCCGGGCACGGTGGCTCATGTCTGTAATCCCAGCACTTTGGGAGGCCGAGGCGGTCGGATCATGAGGTCAGGAGATAGAGACCATCCTGGCTAATACGATGAAACCCCATCCCTACTAAAAATACAGAAAATTAGCCTGGCGTGGTGGCACGTGCCTGTAGTACCAACGACTGGGTAGGCTGAATCTGGAGAATTGCTTGAACCCAGGAGGTGGAGGTGGCAGTGAGCCAAGATCACGGCACAGCACTCCAGCCTGGGTGACAGAGCGAGACTCCATCTCAAAAAATAAAATAAATAAAAAAAAAAGAGTCTCTCCTGCAGTTGAGCTCAGGGGAGTCCCTGCCAGCTCCAGCTCCCTACTCGGGCAGGCTGGATGTGGAGCTGGAGCCCCAGAGAAGAACAAGGATGGGGGCGGTGAGCTCACCATGAAGGCCCTCTTCTCTTGGGCTGTCTGGAAGCGGCCATGGCCGAACTTGGAGGTGGTGTCAATGAACTTGAGCTCAATATTCTCCACGGCTTGGCGACTGTGATGCACCAGGAGGGACTGGGGAATCCATGGTAAAGTAAACATCAAGTGTGGGGATCCCCCACACCCTGCTGTGAACCTCCAAGCCCCACCAGGAAGGTCTTGCTCACCTAGTTCCTACCAGAGCCCTCCCCTTCTGCTCCCACCACTCCATCCCGCTCGTAGCAGGCCGCAGGGCAGGACAGGCTGGCAGCCCTCGGGCACCCACTCCCCAGCCCACCCAGCACTGCCAACCTTTCTCAGCGTAATGACCCGCTTCTTGGTACCAGCAATACAACCCTTCAGCATGACGAAGTCGTTGTTCACTTCCCCGTAGTGGGGGAAGCCACCCTGCAGAGGACACAGGTCAGAGGCCAGGCCCGGAAAGGGCTTCTGAGTTAGTGGGTGGCTGGGGGCCCTAGCAGAACCCCCAGAGGGGGCAGTGATAGGCAGGAGCCCCGTGCCCAGCCCCCAGATGTAGGGGTGACTATCACGCCGCCCCTACTGAGGGCAGCATCTGAGTCACAAGCTAAGTCCTTTTCATGCATTATCTCACTTGACAGTCTGCATTTTTGTTGGGGGAGACTGAGGATCAGAGGAGTGGAGTCACTTGCTCCAGCCTCTACAGCTGCTAAGTCCTGGAGATGCGGTTTGAGCCCAGGTGGCCTGACTCCCAGGCCACAGTAGGAGCTGCCGCACTCCACACCCACATGACAGCAGCTGGAGTGGAAGCTGCCTCCAGAGGAGGCTCGGAGGATGTGGGACGCAGCAGAGATTTCTTGCTTGTGACTATATCCAAATGTTTTGGACAGCCAAGGCAAGGGTCCCACATCACTGCCCAGCTGTCAAGGTCTTCTGTCCAGTGTGCCTGGCGGGGCAGCGTCCAGCTGTGGGGCAAAAATCTTGAGCCCTTGGGGCAGGGAGCGTCCAGCTGAGGCTGGGGCATGCCCCCTACATGTATACCAGGCCCCCCGGCCAGCCTGACCCCACTCCAGCCATCATCAGCGGTGTGATGGGCCTGGCAGTCGCCCCCTCCCAGCCTCACCAGCGGTGTGATGGACTTGGCAGTCACGTCGTAGCTGGTGGATGCATTGTTCTTCACCAGCTTCCCGTCCTCCATGTGCGGGCCCCTGCCGATGCGGAAGATCTGCCAGAAGGGGGCACATGCCAGGGGCAGGAAGTGGCCTCTGAGGCCAGCAGCCCATCCAGGCCCATCCGCCCACATGCTCAGACTCAGTGCTGGTGGGGGCATCTTGTGTCCCCGGCAGTGTCTGGGTCATGCACCCCACCCACTGAGGCCAGTACTGAGGGCTGGGGTCCGACCACACAGTGTCCCCGTACCCCGGCTGAGGACGCACCTTCTTGTTGAGCTCCGTGCGGTGGTGATAGCCCTTCTGCCCGGCCCGAGCAATGGAGCAGCCCACGCGGGCGGGGTGCCAGGCGCCAATGCAGGCCACCTTGCGCAGGCCCTTATGGGTCTTCCGCGGCAGCTTCTTGGTATGCCAGCGGCTTGTGACCCCTGTGAGTGAGAGGGGCTGGTGGCTGAGAGGCCAGGCTGGTCCCCACTGCCTCCAGGCAGCCTGCCCTGGAGCTGCCATCCTCACTGAGCCCTACCTTTGACGCCTCGACCCTTGGTGACAGCAATGACATCAATGACCTCACTCTGGCTGAACACGCTGTGCACGGGCACCTGCTTCTCCAGCCGGGCCTGGGCCCAGGCCACCTTCTCGGCCACCGTGCCACCGTTCAGCTGGATCTCCATGATGTGGGCCTTCTTCTGCCGGAAGGGCAGCAGTTTCATCTGCAGGACATGGCCGGAGGTCACGCCACGGCCCACGGGATCACACCCCCACCTGAAACATGGCATGGCCAGCAGTGACCCCTGCCGCCTTCCACGCATGCATTCATTCACAGGTGTTCCCAGGATCAGGTTGCAACCCATGTGTTGTGCTAGGCACTGCGGATCCGGTGCAGAATGAGGCAGACAGAGTCCCACACCTCGGGAGCCACCATCTCACTGGGGGACAGAAGGAAACCAAGTAACTCTTGGAGAGGACAGAGTGCTCTGATGGGCTATGGGGGCTGGTGTTTCAGATACAGTGGTCAGGGCAGAGAGGGCTTCTCTGAGAAGGTGCCGCTGCTAACAAGTAGGAGCCACGAGGCAAACATTGGAGAGGCTCTGGGCAGCAGGACCCCGCATTTGCACAGGCCTGGTGGCAGAGGAGGCCTTGGAAAGTTGGTGGGACAGAGAGGAGACCAGTGTGGGCAGACGGTGGGGAGCAAGGGGCGTGGGCCAGCACCTGGGAGTGGGGAGCTCGGACTTTCTTCCAAGTGCAGGCTGCGATGTGATCTGATTGGATTTTTTTTTTTTTTTTTTTTTTTGAGTCTCGCTCTATCGCCCAGGCTGGAGTGCAATGGCATGATCTCGGCTCACTGCAAGCTCTGCCTCCCGGGTTCACGCCATTCCCCTGCCTCAGCCTCCTGAGTAGCTGGGACTACAGGTGCCCGCCACCTCGACCAGCTAATTTTTTGTATTTTTAGTTGAGACAGGGTTTCACTGTGTTGGCCCGGATGGTCTGCATCTCCTGACCTCATGATCCGCCCGCCTCAGCCTCCCAAAGTGCTGGGATTACAGGCGTGAGCCACCACGCCCGGCCTTTTTTTAATGGAGTCTCGCTCTGTTGCCCAGACTGGAGTACAGTGGGGCGATCTCGGCTCACTGCAACCTCTGCCTCCCTGAATCAAGTGATTCTCCTGCCTCAGCTTCTTGAGTAACTGGGATTACAGGTGTGTGCCACCATGCCCGGCTAATTTTTTTGTATTTTTAGTACAGTTGGGGTTTCCCATGTTGGCCAGGCTGGTTTCAAACTCCTGACTTCAAGCGATCCACCCACCTTGACCTCCCAAAGTGCTAGGGTTCAGGCATGAGCCACTGCACCTGGCCTGATTTTTATTTTTTTATATTTTTATTTTGAGACAGGGTCTCGCTCTGTCACCCAGGCTGGAGTGCAGTGGCATGATCAAGGCTCACTGCAGCCTCAGCCTCCCGGGCCGAAGCAATCCTCCCACCTTAGCCTCCTGAGTAGCTGGGATGACAGGCACTCACCACCATGCCCAGTTGTTTTTTTTTTGTTTGTTTGTTTGTTTGTTTTTTGAGACGGAGTTTTGCTCTGTCGCCCAGGCTGGAGTGCAGTGGCGCAATCTCGGCTCACTGCAAGCTCTGCCTCCTGGGTTCACGCCATTCTCCTACCTCAGCCTCCCGAGTAGCTGGGACTACAGGTTGTGCCACTACGCCTGGCTAATTTTTTGTATTTTTAGTAGAGACGGGGTTTCACCGCGTTAGCTAGGATGGTCTCAATCTCCTGACCTGATCTGCCTGCCTCGGCCTCCCAAAGTGCTGGAATTACAGACGTGAGCCACCGCGCCTGGCTTTTTTTTTTTTTTTTTGTAGAGATGGGGATCTCCCTATGTTGCCAAGACTGGTCTCGAAGTCCTCCTGCCTCAGCACCCCTCTCCAAGTAGCTGGAACTACAGGCATGCACCACCATGCCCAGCCAATTTTTAATTTTTTTGTAGAGATGAGGTCTCGTTAAGTTGCCCGGGCTGCCACCTTGTCCTCCCACAGTGCTAGGATCACTGGTGTAAGCCACTGGGCCTGATTTTTGTTTTTTTTTTTTTTCTTTTTTTTTTTTTTTTTTTTTTGAGACTCTATCGCCCGGGCTGGAGTGCCATGGTGCGATCTTGGCTCACTGCAACCTCCACCTCCCAGTTTCAAGTGATTCTCCTGCCTCAGTCTCCCAAGTAGCTGGGATTGCAGGCGCCCACCATGCCCAGCTAATTTGTTTGTATTTTTACTAGAGATGGGGTTTTGCCATGTTGGCCAGGCTGGTCTCGAACTCCTGACCTCAGGTGATCCGCCTGCCTTGGCCTCCCAAAGTGCTGGGGTTACAGGCGTGATCCACCATGTCTGGCTTGATTTTTTTTTTTTTTTTTTGGTAAGGTCTCTGGCTGGTGCTGTGTGAAGCACAGGCTGTGCAATGTAGAGGTGGAGACAGAGAGGCCAGCGGGGAACACATAGTGACCCATAGGTATGTATGGGGCAGGTATGTATGAGGCAGGTATGTACGGGGCAGGTATGGACGGGGCAGTATGTACGGGGCAGGTATGTACGGGGCAGGTATGTAGGGGGCAGGTATGTAGGGGGCAGGTATGGACGGGGCAGGTATGGACGGGGCAGGTATGGACGGGGCAGGTATGGACGGGGTAGGTATGGACGGGGTAGGTATGTAGGGGGCAGGTATGTAGGGGGCAGGTATGTAGGGGGCAGGTATGTAGGGGGCAGGTATGTAAGGGGCAGGTATGTAAGGGGCAGGTATGTAAGGGGCAGGTATGGACGGGGCAGGTATGGACAGGGCAGGTATGTAGGGGGCAGGTATGTAGGGAGCAGGTATGGACGGGGCAGGTATAGACAGAGCAGGTATGTAGGGGGCAGGTATGGACGGGGCAGGTATGTAGGGGGCAGGTATGGACGGGGCAGGTATGTAGGGGGCAGGTATGGACAGGGCAGGTATGTATGGGGTGGGTATGTATGGGGTGGGTATGTATGGGGCGGGTATGTATGGGGCAGGTATTTACAGAGCACCTCCTGCATACCAGGCTCTTGGTGGCAGCTGTGGCCCCGCCCAGGGCCTCTGCCTGCCTGGAGTCTGTCCAGGGAGATGAACACACACCAGTGACTGGCCCAGGCATGGTGTACAAGTGTGCGAGCAGCTGGGGGCAGTGTGGGGGCTGTGGGAAGCTCAGGGTCGGGGGCACTGCTCTAGGGCCTCGGGAAGCCTTCCCTGAGGACAAAGATGCCAAAGAGTGTTCCAGAATAAGCTGGAGGGTGCCGCCTGCCTGTCAGCCTACAGCAAGCCAGACCCATGTACAAACACGGATTCCTGTGCACACTTACGCTGGAAACCGAAGAGAGGTGACCAGCCCTCCACACAGCACACTTGGCTGGGGACCCGGCTCTTCAGGGCGTGCCAGGGTCTTAGTTGACTAGCCGGCGTGGCTGATGCCCCTGGCACCCCAGAAGGCACCGATGCCTTTCAGCAGCCATGCCTGGGGCTGCACGTGGCCAGCGAGGCTGGTCAGCCGCTCCTCTGGGTCTGTGCCGAGGCTCGGGTATTTTTAGGCTGACATTTGCCACAGCTCCTGGAAGCTGGGGTGAGGGAGCGTGGTCCTAGGGACTGACCGACAGCGGAGGGCCGGGGGCTGACCTGAGTGTGGACAATGACCCGAATGACCTTGCAGTACTTCTTCATGGCGGCGAAGTCCTTCTGTAGCTGCTTTTTCCCGTCTGTGTCCCGCCACCTCTTGCAGGCCTTGGTGAAGGCTTTCTTCTTGCTCTTGTGCCTGAGCCATGCACAGGAGGGTGCTCAGAAGCCCCCAACCGGGGCAGCTCCCCAGGCCTATCCTGCCCCCACCTCACCCCCAGCCCACCAAGCAGGGGTCCTACCTCTGGGACCGCCCCCCACCCGGAGGCCTCTGAGCTGGTTCCAGCCACCATCTTTGAACATAGACTGTCTCTCCCCCTCTAGGCCCCGGTTTCCTCCTCTGTAAAGTAGGTACCCTCCCTGTTTCCCGGGGCCTGAGAGTGAGTGGCAGAGGTGCAGAAGCTCAGAGAAGGCGGCTGGCCAGCCCTGCAGTCCAGGCACCTAGAGACCACCCCACCTGCCACATGGCTCAGACTGCTGGTCCCACTTCTCAAGGGTGCAGTGGGTGCCATGGCCAGGCACCTCGGGCTTGGGAGCCATCCTTTCTTTTTTGTTTTTGGAGATAGGGTCTCACTTTCTCTCCCAGGCTGGAGTGCAGTGGCACAAACACAGCTCACTGCAGCCTGGAGCTCCCAGACTCAAGCAATCCTCCCACCTCACCCCCCATGTAGCTGAGACCACAGGCATGCGCCACCGTGCCCGGCTAATTTTTTGTATTTTTTTGTAGAGACGGGTTTCGTCATGTTGCCCAGGCTGGTCTCGAAGCCCTGAGCTCAAACGGTCTGCCTGCCTTAGCCTCCCAAAGTGCTGGAATTATAGGAATGAACCATTGTGCCCAGCCAGAAGCCATAGTTTCTAACCCTCAGCAGAGTTCTGGGAGGTGGACATTATTATTATTATTATTATTATTATTATTATTATTATTATTATTCCCATTCTATAGGTGAAGAAACCAAGGTTTCTTTCAGGACTTACTGCCAGGGAAGATTTGAGGCCCGAGAATACCTTTCTATGTGTAAGAGCTTCTCAGCTGGCTATTTCACTTTTCACAATGGCTGCTAGGAAACTCAGAGCCAATGCTAACATTCCATCAAATTAGCCTTTTGGTTTTTTGTTTGTTTGTTTTTTGACAGGGTCTCACTCTGTCGCTCACACTGGAGTGCAGCGGCACAATCTCAGCTCACTACAATCTCCACCTCCCAGGCTCAAGCGATTCTCCTGCCTCAGCCTCCCAAGTAGCTGGGATTACAGGTGTCTGCCACCACGCCCAGCTTATTTTTTTATTTTTATTTTTTTTTTTGTATTTTTAGTAGAGACGGGTTTTCACCATGTTGGCCAGGCTGGTCTCGAACTCCTGACCTCAAATGAGCCACCCGCCTTGGCCTCCCAAAGTGCTGGGACTACTACAGTCGTGAGCCACCACAAGCCGCCCAAATTAGCCTTTTAATTAACCCTGAGGATTAGAATATTTGTTTCCTCTTTTTCCTCCATCCTGATTTCATCTCCAGCCTTCTAGTACTCATGTTTTTTGTTTTTTGTGTTTTTCTTGAGATTGAGACAGGGTTTCACTCTGCCACCCAGGCTGCAGTGCAGTGGCACGATCTCAGCTCACTGCAACCTTCACCTCCCAGTTCAAGTGATTCTCCCACCTCAGCCTCCTGAGTAGCTGGACTACAGGTGCGCACCACCCCAGCCAGCTAATTTTTGTATTTTTTGGTAGAGATGGGGTTTCACCATGTTGGCCAAGCTGGTCTCAAACTCCTGACCTCAAGTGATCCACCCGCCTCGGCCTCCCAAAGTGCTGGGATTACAGGCGTGAGCCAGCACGCCCAGCCTACTCATCTTTTATTGAAATGAAGGCAACCACACAACACACACACACACACACACAGACACTCCTACCTCCCACAGACGGTTGAGACTTCGCTTCCTACTCACCCACACCTATCATTTCAGCAAGAGCTAGAGCCTCAGGCACCCAACTTCTGTGGTCCCAGCAGCCCTTGGACGGCCCAGCCAAGGGCGGTGCTCACCAGTCCTTGTAGAATCGGCGCCGGCACTCATCACTGAGGTGTTCTGCAAAGATGGTCTTGAAGCTCCGGAGACCTCGAGGGGTGGCCACGTAGCCCACCACGCCCACCACCACTAGGGGCGGCGTTTCTACAATTGTCACCGCCTCCACCTCCTCCCGTTTGGAAATTTCTGGATGAGACACAGGGATGGGGCATGAAGGGGGACCTCCTGAGGCCTGTGGGGGAGGGAGTGGAGAGCCGCCCACATAGGGGCAGGACAGGAGAGTGTGGGGCCAGCCAGGACAGCATTCCCCAGAGGGTGGGGCTGAGCCCAAATGAGCATTTGTTATTCTAATGATTACAATGGATTTCTTTTTCTGTTTTTGAGACAGGGTCTCACTCTGTCACCCAGGCTGCAATGCAGTGGTGCAATCATAGCTCACTGCAGCCTTGACTTCCCAAGCTCAAGTGATCCTCCCACCTCAGCCTCCCAAGTAGCTGCGACTACAGGCACTCGCCACAACGCCCAGCTAATTTTTGTATTTTTTGTAGAGATAGGGTTTCACGATGCCGTCCAGGTTGGTCTGCAACTCCTGGCCTCAAATGATCCTCCTGCCTCGGCCTCCCAAAGTGCTGGGATTACAGGCGTGAGCCACCATGCCCGGCCTGCATTATTTCTTACAACTACTTGTGAATCTACGATTAAAACAACAAAAACTAACTATATACATAGGCGTACATATGAAATAATGGTACATGAAATAGACCCGAAATGGCCAAAAAGTGCAGATGTCCTGGCAGGTGGTTTGAACCGAGGGCTTGGGGCGCTGGCCTTTGAATCCTAGCTCCTGCGCTTACCGCCCCGGTGACTGGACCAGGTTCCTCACTGCTTTGTGCCTCAATGTCCTCATCTGCGAGCTGGGGCCATGACAGAACCCGCCCGGAAGCCCTGCCTGTGCTCAGCGTCCACCCCAATTCCCGGGGGCGAGGCCTGGTGCTCCCTGGGACTGTGGCCCTGTCTGGACCAAAAGCGTGAGTTCTGGCTCCGAGCATCTGGAAGGTTCAGCCCTCCCCCTCCCCCAAGGGTCCCAACTGTGACTCACTGAGCCCCGGCCGGTGCACCTCCCGCAGGGTGTGGGTCATGCCCGCCTTGTAGCCCAGGAAGGCCGTGAGGTGCACGGGCTGGCTGGGGTCATCCCGCGGCCACGTCTTCACCTTGCCCCGGTGCCGGTGGCTCCTCTTATGGGGCAGGAAGCCCAGGTGTCCGTGCCGAGGGGCGGAAAACTTCCGGTGGGACTGGGGGGCAGGAAGGAAGGAGGTCAGACCTGGGGTGTCCCTGGTGGTAGAGCTGGATGGTCCCAGAACCCATACCTGGAGAAATGGACTACAGGCTTCAGACTGAGGCCTGTGCTCAGCACCTCCCCTGTCTGCCTACAGGAGGGGAGAGGAAGGTTCACCAAGGGGCAGCGTCTTTGGGATGGGGTCTCCATAGCCACAGGCTTCCTGCCTCTGTGGGCTCAGCCTGGGGCCCAGGAGGGTCGCACCCATACTGCAGCCAAGGGCTCCTGGGGCAGGTGGCCGCTGCCATCTGTTCATCTCCAGGGCCCTCCCAGGCCCAGGAGCCCAGCCCTCGTCCCCTTGTTTCCCCCTCCAGCCTCCCATCCCCTCACAGGCTGGGAGACTGTCCCTCTGAGGGAGCATCCAGAAGCCCAGCTGTCCCACCCCCCCAGAGTTCCAGCTCCAACCCCAGCCCACCCTCACCCTGGTCCCACCAACCATGGTGGCCGATCCCTGAAGGTCAGGAAGGGGCCTCGCCGCTAGCCGCCAGAGGTCGAGTGGCAGGGCCAGGACTCACAGCTGCCAGTTCCCAGATTAGCCCCTGGCACAGTCAGCAGGGTCTCCGGTGCCAGGAGCAGGCAGGGGCGGGGCAGTGTTGGGGGCATCAGATAGACAGCCTGAGTGGGGCACCCGGAGCCAGGGCTGGCACTCCTTTCCTCGATGGCCCTGGGGCTGGGTCATGACCCTCCCAGGACAGGACTGGCCAGGCAAGGTGGGGGCCAAGGTAGCCGGTGGGGGCCTTCTCCCAGGCAGCGGCCAAGAGGAGGGGTCTGGAGCAGTTTGCCGACTTGGAGGCAGAGGGGGTTCCTGTCCTGAGGGCTGGGAGACAGCTGGATAAACAGCGGGGAGCAGGGCTGGGGACAGGGCAGACGAGGGGGAGGGCTGACTGCACCTTGAGGATCACCAGAGCTGTGCTTCCAGATTGAGATCCCTGGCTGAGTGCAGTGGCTCATGCCTGTAATCCCAGCACTTTGGGAGGCTGAGGCAGGAGGATCACTTGAGCCCAGGATGTCAGGCCGCAGTGAACCTTGACTGCACTCCAGCCTGCGTGACTGAGCGAGACACTGTCTTAAAAACAAAAAAAAAGCCAGCCTGGCCAACATGGTGAAACCCCATCTCTACTAAAAATATAAAAATTAGCCGGGCGTGGTGGTGTGGGCCTGTTAATTCCAGCTACTTGGGAGGCTGAGGCAGGAGAATCACTTGAACCTGGGAGGCAGAGGTTGCAGGTTGCAGTGAGGCGAGATCGCGCCGCTGCACTCCAGCCTGGGCAATAGGGTAAGACTCCGTCTCAAAAAAAAAAAAAAAATCAAGATCTGACTCCTGTCATTCACAATCATTGAAATACTTTTATGAATTTATCTTTTTTATTTTTTTGAGATGGAGTCGCTCTGTTGCCCAGGCTGGAGTGCAGAGGCGTGATCTCGGCTCACTGCAAGCTCCCCCTCCCGGGTTCACACCATTCTCCTGCCTCAGCCTCCCAAGTAGCTGGGACTACAGGCGCCTGCCACCACACCCGGCTACCTTTTTGTATTTTTGGTAGAGACGAGGTTTCACTGTGTTAGCCAGGATGTTCTCGATCTCCTGACCTTGTGATCTGCCTACCTCAGCCTCCCAAAGTGCTGGGATTACAGGCATGAGCCACCGCGCCTGGCCTTATTTAAAGAGACAATGTCTCATTCCATGGCTCAGGCTGGAATGCAGCGGTGTGATCATACCTCACTTGCAGCCTCAACCTTTTGGGCTTAAGTGGTCCTTCTGCCTCAGCAGGACCTAATTTTTAAATGTGTCTTGTTGTAGAGGCGGGCGTCTCACCATGTTGCCTAGGCTGGTCTGAAACTCCTGGCCTCAAGTGATTCTCCTGCCTCAGCCTCTCAAAGTGCTGAGATTACAGGTATAAGCCACAGCACCTGGCCAAATTTAAATTTTGAATTTAAGTTTTGAATGAAGAGGGGGTTGAAATCTTATTTTTTTTTCTTTTTTTTTTTTTTTTTTTGAGACAGGGTTTCTCTCTGGTGCCCAGGCTAAAATGTAGTGGCACAGTAATAGCTCACTGCAGCCTCAGTCTCCTGGGTTCAAGCAATCCTCCTGCCTTCATCCCCCTGAGTAGCTGAGACCACAGGCACTTACCACCATGCCTCACTAATTTTTGTATTGTTTATAGAGATGGGGATCTCATTATGTTGCCCAGGCTGGTCTCGAACTCCTGAGCTCAAGCAATCTGCCTGCCTTGGCCTCCTAGAGTGCTAGGATTACAGATGTGAGCCACTGCGCCCCTCAAAATCTTTTTCAATTCAAAGATTCTATGGTTGTAAAGTTTTGTTTTTTTTGTTTTTGTTTTGAGATGGAGTCTCATTCTGTTGCCCAGGCTGGAGTTCAGTGGCACAATCTCGGCTCACTGTAACCTCTGCTTCCTGGGTTCAAGCTATCCTCCTGCCTCAGCCCCACTAGTAACTGGGATTACAGGTGTGTGCCACCATGCCCAGCTGATTTTTGTATTTTTAGTAGAGATGGGGTTTTGCCATGTTGGCCAGGCTGGTCTTAAACTCCTGACCTCAGGTGATCCACCCGCCTCGGCCTCCCAAAGTGCTGGGATTACAGGTGTGAGCCACCCCGCCCAGCCAGTTGTAAAGTTCTATAGCAGTGGAATTCTAGAGTTTTTCAGGCCTATGACATCTCTAAGATACGTGGTTCTTACATCAATAGATACTAAGATTCTAGGCTACTAAAATGTCAAGATTGTTTGGGTCTCATGGTTCATATTTCTTTCCAAGACTTTGGCCAGGCACAGTGGCTCATGTCTGTAATCTCAGAACTTTGGGAGGCCGAGGTGGGCAGATCACGTAAGGTCAGGAGTTTGAGACCAGAAACATGGTGAAACCCTGTCTCTACTAAAAATACAAAAAATTAGCCGGGCGTAGTGGCAGACACCTGTAGTCTCAGCTACTCAGGAGGCTGAGACAGGAGAATCACTTGAAACTGGGAGGAGGAGGAGGTTGCAGTGAGCCGAGATTACGCGCTGCACTCCAGCCTGGGCAACAGAGCGAGAGAACTGTCTCAAAAAAAAAAAAACAAAAACAAAAACAAAAAAAGAAAAAAAAGTTCATAATGTGAAGACCGAACGTTTCTGTGACCGTAGATCCTGTTGTGTCCGGAATTGGTGAGTTCTTGGTCTCACTGACTTCAAGAATGAAGCCACGGACCCTCGCGGTGAGTGTTGCAGTTCCTAAAGGCGGGGTGTCCGGAGTTTGCTCGTTCTGATGTTCCGATGTGTTCGGAGTTTCTTCCTTCTGGTAGGTTCGCGCTCTCGCTAGCTCAGGAATGAAGCTACAGACCTTCGCGGTGTTACAGCTCTTAAGGCGCCGCGCGTCTGGAGTTGTTCATCCTGCCAGTGGGCTCGTAATCTCACTGGCTTCAGGAGTGAAGCTGCAAATCTTCGCGGTTGAGTGTTACAGCTCATAAAGGCACTGTGACCCCAAAGAGTGAGCAGCAGCAAGACTTACTGGAAAGAGAGAAAGAACAAAGCTTCCACACTGTGGAAGGGGACCTGAGTGAGTTACCACTGCTGGCTCCCGCAGCCTGCTTTTATTCTCTTATCTGGCCCCACCCACATCCTGCTGATTGGTAGAGTCCAGTGGTCTGTTTTGACAGGGCGCTGATTGGTGCGTTTACAATCCCTGAGCTAGACACAAAGCTTCTCCACATCCTCACCAGATTAGCTAGATACAGAGTGTCCACACAAAGGTTCTCCAAGTCCCCACCAGAGTAGCTAGATACAAAGTGTCGATTGGTGCATTCACAAACCCTGAGCTAGACACAGAGTGCTGATTGGTGTGTTTACAAACCTTGTGCTAGATACAGAGTGCCGATTGGTGTATTTACAATCCCTGAGCTAGACATAAAGGTTCTCCACGTCTCCACCAGACTCAGGAGCCCAGCTGGCTTCACCCGGTGGATCCCGCACGGGGGCTGCAGGTGGAGCTGCCTGCCAGTCCCGCGCCGTACGCCCGCACTCCTCAGCCCTTGGGTGGTTGATGGGATTGGGCGCCCTGGAGCAGGGGGCGGCGCTCGTCGGGGAGGTTCGGGCCGCACAGGAGCCCACGGAGTGGGGGAGGCTCAGGCATGGCGGGCTGTAGGTCCCGAGCCCTGCCCCGCGGGGAGGCAGCTAAGGCCTGGCGAGAGAAATCGAGCGCAGCGCCGGTGGGCCGGCCTGCTGGGGGACCCAGCACACCCTCCGCAGCCGCTGGCCCGGGTGCTAAGCCCCTCATTGCCCAGGGCCGGCAGGGCCGGCCAGGCTCTCCGAGTGCGGGGCCCGCCGAGCCCACACCCACCTGGAATTCGCGCTGGCCCGCAAAGCACCGCGCGCAGCCCCGGTTCCCGCCTGCGCCTCTCCCTCCACACCTCCCCGCAAGCTGAGGGAGCCCGCTCTGGCCTTGGCCAGCCCAGAAAGGGGCTCCTCAAGTGCCGCCAAAGTGGGAGCCCAGGCAGAGGAGGCGCCGAGAGCGAGCGAGGGCTCTGAGGACTGCCAGCACGCTGTCACCTCTCACTGTTTGTCTGTAGGGTTGATGGTTCTGTGTCGCTGGCCTCAACCTCAGGACAGGACATGACCAGTGTCCCCCCTGGATAGCAGCCAGGGGCCGTGCCAGGTGTGGAGACTGAAGATGTGGCCAGCAGGACCCTGCTCAGTGGAGCTGCCTAGAAGCACCAGAGTGCCCCAGGGCCAGGATGGAACCATCAAAGCCGGCCAGAGGGCCCTGTGCCCAGGGTAGGTGCCTTCTCCCTATGAGCCGCCTAAGGGCAAGCCCTGCCTCCTGGTCTGCTCCCTGCCCTCCCCCAGACAGGCTCCCAAGTTAACTGGCACCAGCCAGTCCATGAGGGGCCCTTGTAGAGAGCGGGGCCCAGAGAAGTCTGTAGGGACTAGGCAATCCAGGAAAGCTTCCTGGAGGAGTAGGGTGTTTGGAATCGCGTGCTATTTGTTCACTTTGTCGTGTGCGCTCTAACGGCCTGTGTTCTCCATCACAGTTTATCTTATTCCCTGCTGCACTCAGCACAGTGCCTGGCGCGCAGTGGGAACCGAATGACCCCCTCCTATTCCTTATGTCAGTTGCCTTTTGTCTGTTTCTTTCATCGTAAGCAGGAATCTGTCCGGTTCGCGGCTGCTTCCCAGGCGCCCAGACCAGCGACCAGCACCGCGTAGGCGCTCGGCACAGACCGAGAACGGAGGCCCCACGCGGGGGCGCCCTGCGGCGAGGCGGGTCCCGGCCGCGCCCGGCGGAGCCGGGGAACTACAAGTCCCATGGTGCATCGCGGCGCCAGCGCGCAGACGCAGCCGCCCTCGGCGTCCTCTGTAGCGGGCGACCTAGGCCGCGGGACCCGGACGGAGGTAGAGGCCAGGGCAGCGCGTCCGGGAGCGGAGTCCGCGCCCGCCGCCGCCATGCCGGACAGCTGGGACAAGGATGTGTACCCTGAGCCCCCGCGCCGCACGCCGGTGCAGCCCAATCCCATCGTCTACATGATGAAAGCGTTCGACCTCATCGTGGACCGACCCGTGACCCTCGTGAGAGGTACGAAGCCCCAGCCCGGGGCTCCCTCGCCGGCCTCTGGGGACCCCTGGATCCCACACCCTGCCTGGATCCTCCAATGCCTCCGGGGTCCCGTCTGCCTGAGACCGCCCCCCGCTGCACCCCGGGGACAACTCCCCACCCCCGGAGACCTCCGAGCTCCGTCGCCTCCTTTGGCCTCCCACTGCACCCCGGACCTCACCTCCCAGGATCCCTTACTCTCCCCTGCACCCCGGGATGCCCCGCTTCTTCCCAGGACTCTTCCCTCCCTGCCGCACCCAGCGCCCACTGCCCCAGGACCCCGCACTGCTCTCCGCCCCCCGCCGCCCCGGGCACCCCTCCACTGCACCGCTGGCCTCAGGCCTCTCTCAAATGTCTCTCTGCCGGATGACCAAGTGTCGGGGTGATGGCCGAGATGCCCAAATTCAGCATCTCTGGAACGAACCGGGAAAATGCCCAGTTCAGTTTTTGTTGTTTTTTTTTTTCCTGAGACAGTCTCACTCTGTTGCCCAGGCTGGAGTGCAGTGGCGCGATCTCGGCTCACTGCAACCTCTGCCCCACCCCGGGTTCAAGCGATTCTCCTGCCTCAGCCTCCCCAGTACTAGGATTACAGGCGCACCACCACCACGCCCAGCTAATTTTTATATTTTTAGTAGACACGGGGTTTCACCATGTTGGCCAGGCTGGTCTCGAACTCCTGACCTCAGGTGATCCTCCCACCTTGGCCCCCAGGTGCTGGGATTACAGGCCTGAGCCACCGTGTCCAGCCTGGTTCAGTTCTTTTTGAACACTTGGGGTGCATAGCATGCTCTGGTGGTTCTTCCGTAAGAGGGTGAAGTCTCCAAATCAAACCCCCAAAGATCTGGAAACCGTGCAACAGCGGACCCAGCTCCCTCTCTTTTGTAGCAGTTGTAGAGCATGTCTGTCCTATGTGTCTGGATGTTCGAGCTCTCCTTTTAGCTCGTTCATTTCCCAGTGAGGAAGCTGAGGCCGTAAGGTGGTAAGTTCTGCTTGCTGGAGGCTCCCTGTTGGAGCCTCTTTGCGCACCCAGCAGGGTCCCTGTGCAGCTGGGGGAGGTGCACTGGCAGAGCTGCGTCCCAGTCCTTGCCATCTGTGAGAAGCAGCTGCCTGTAGGCTTGTGTGGGGGACAGAGTAAGGTAATGCATGTGGAACTCTGAGGATGATGCCTGGTACTCGGGAGCTCTCCATCAGCTGTAGCCTAGGCCTTCACAGGCCTGCCTGGCTGGCCACATCCCTTAGAGAGACGAATTGCTGTTTTCTAAACGCTGGAACACTCAGGAAGTTCTCCTCTCTCCCCTCCAAAGGGCTTATGAGAAATAAGAAAGCTAAAAGCCTGTCCAAACCGATGAGGCATTTGAGTCTGTGGCTTTGTCTTTGCAGAATTTATAGAGCGGCAGCACGCAAAGAACAGGTATTACTACTACCACCGGCAGTACCGCCGCGTGCCAGACATCACTGAGTGCAAGGAGGAGGACATCATGTGCATGTATGAAGCCGAAATGCAGTGGAAGAGGGACTAGTACGTGAGCCATGCTGGGAGTGTGGAGATCTGCACCGTGTGCTGCTGGGACACTAGTCCCTGGGATGCCACAGGGTGGCATGCCCAGATTTTAGGGGTGACATGGGAGGAGCCAGACCCCAGGGCTCTTGCTTTCAATTGTTCTCACAGGGTACAGGAAAAGGATTCCTTGTGATTAGCCTCTCTTGCTCCTTTTCTCCACCAGCAAAGTCGACCAAGAAATTATCAACATTATGCAGGATCGGCTCAAAGCCTGTCAGCAGAGGGAAGGACAGAACTACCAGCAGAACTGTATCAAGGAAGTGGAGCAGTTCACCCAGGTGGCCAAGGCCTACCAGGACCGCTGTGCGTGCCCCACCCACCCCCAACCCCCCACCATCCTCCTGAGGCCTGGGGGCCAGAACCATTGCAAATCTTCCCTCCCCTCCCTTGTGCTCACTTGACTTTGCCCCCTTTGCATGTAGCAGAGGCCTCGGTTCCCAGCTTGTTTCCATTGCTTCCCCAGATCAGGACCTGGGGGCCTACAGTTCTGCCAGGAAGTGCCTGGCCAAACAGAGGCAGAGGATGCTGCAAGAGAGAAAAGCTGCAAAAGAGGCCGCCGCTGCCACCTCCTGAGGCAGCTGTGGGTGCCCCTGCTGTGTGGCTCTGTATGACTGTTGCTGAAATATAAAGCCCTGCAACCTGCCTGTGTGTCTGGTGTGATCTATTGGCCCCACGCCCCAGATTCAAACCACCACTAACCATGCAGGACACGGGAAAAAAACAGTAACACGCTTAATTCACTTTATTTTTCTTGTATAAAAACCCTATGTTGTAGCCACAGCTGGAGCCTGAGTCCGCTGCACGGAGACTCTGGTGTGGGTCTTGACGAGGTGGTCAGTGAACTCCTGATAGGGAGACTTGGTGAATACAGTCTCCTTCCAGAGGTCGGGGGTCAGGTAGCTGTAGGTCTTAGAAATGGCATCAAAGGTGGCCTTGGCTGCAAAACAAAAGAACCCCAGGAGGGTCAGTGGTGTGCTTGAGGCAAGTCCCCCAACCCAAAAATTGTCGCACTCCTAGGAACAGAGAGGCCATTCTGGGCGGGTCTGTCGTGCATTAGGAGAGCCTTTCTCTGCCTCCCTGAAAACACGCCAAGCACACACTGGACCCGTGTGGTTAAGCGGAGCTGAGAGACCATGGCTATGCCCCATGTGTGGACCACCTACCGAAGTTGCCCAGGGTGGCAGTGCAGCCCCGGGCTGAGGTGTAGCAGTCATCGATACCAGCCATCATGAGCAGCTTCTTAGGCACAGGTGCGGAGACGATGCCAGTGCCCCTGGGTGCAGGGATGAGGCGTACCAGCACAGAGCCGCAGCGGCCTGTCACCTGGTGAGGGAAGGAGTCAGGAGACGGGGGCCCGAGGGAGCCTGCCCCACGGCAGGCCCATCACCTGCCACCAGCCTACCTTGCAAGGGACAGTGTGGGGCTTGCCGATCTTGTTCCCCCAGTAGCCTCTGCGCACGGGGACGATGGAGAGCTTGGCCAGGATGATGGCCCCACGGATGGCGGTGGCCACCTCCTTGGAGCACTTAACACCCAGACCGACGTGGCCATTGTAGTCCCCGATAGCAACAAATGCCTGCGAAAAGATGTGTGTGAGGCAGCTGGTGGCCCTACACCCAATCACTGCCCACCGCCCAGGGCCTGTTGCACCCCTCAAGGAAAGAGAGGCCACAGTAAGGCCCATCCGAGGTCCTGAGGAGATCTTTTCTCTCTCTCCCCGTTACGAAAGTCACACGGGTGAAGCCAAGTGCAACTATGCAGAGCCGAGAGAGTCCCGGCAAGCCCAGCGCAGCCCCCTCCAGGACAGCCGGGTACCTTGAACCTGGTGCGCTGGCCGGCACGGGTCTGCTTCTGCACTGGCATAATCTTCAAAACCTCATCCTTGAGAGAGGCCCCCAGGAAGAAATCAATGATCTCTGATTCCTGAAACAAACAAGAAAATTGTAGGGAGAGCATTAAAAAAAAACTTAATACCATTATGATATTCAAGAACCAAAGTCACGGCCGGGGGCGGTGGCTCAAGCCTGTAATCCCAGCACTTTGGGAGACTGAGGTGGGCGGATCACAAGGTCAGGAGTCCGATACCAGCCTGGCCACATGGTGAAACCCCACCTCTATTAAAGACACAAAAAATTAGCCGGGCATGGTGGAGTGCGCCTGTAACCCCAGCTATTCAGGAGGCTGAGGCAGGAGAATCGCTTGAACCTGGGAGGTGGAGGTTGCAGTGAGCCGAGATCACGCCAGCCTAGGCGATAGGGCGAAACTGTGTAACCGCCCACCCCGCCCAAAAAAAACCGAAGAAGTCATGAACCCCCTCACCTGGCTTCCCCCCGATCTGTCCCCTTCGTTTCGTTTTTGGAAGCTTGTATGTAAGGTTACCCTATTTCTGCATCTCAATCGTTTCTTCCTATTTGCCCTTTTTCTCTTGTTTGGTGAGATGTGGCTTTCCACTCAGATTTCCTTTTGCTTTGTCCAGCTTTGGCCTAGCCATGACCACCGTACCTTGCTAGGGCGAACGCTCACATGACAAATATGCCATTAGCCTTTCCCCACTGCACCCGCTGGATGCAGATGACAGCTGTCCCGTACACGCGGACTATGACAGTTTGCTAACCCTTACAGTGTCCTCCCACAACCTGAACTTCATCATCCTCTCGGATGGCATGAACCAAGCGCTGCTTCTCTTTCAGTTCTTTCGAAATGAATTCGCTGCGAATGTGGGAAGATGCGCTGAAATGCCTTTTGTGGCTCTGGCTTCGCTCAGGTATCCATCCAACCTCTAAGTGGAATCCTCTCCTCAGCCAGCCCGCAACACAACCTCAACCTCTCACGCGAGACGCTGGGCCCTTTAATGCGAGTCAATGGCAGATGCTAATCCTCCAACCCCAGCCCAAATGACTCCGGGGTCGCACTTGCTCAACGCCCCAACGACCGACGCGTACCTTAATAGGCAGGGAGAAGAGATAGATCTCCTCCAGGGACTTGATCTTCATGTCCTTGACCAAGCGGCCCAACTTGGTGACGGGCATCCACTAAAGGGAGAAAAGGCGCCAGTGACCAGGACCGCTCTCCGGCGCCGCCCAGGGGCCCGACCCCGAGCGTGGCTGATACCTACCTCCTTATCCTCGGCCTTGCCTCCGCGAGCTCCGCGGCCTCGGCCCCGGCCCCGTCCACGGCCGCGACCCCGGCCCCGGATGCCACTGCCGAAACCTCCGCGGAAGCCACCGCGGTTCCCCATCCCAGGGCCACCAGGGCCCCCGGGCCCCCCCGCTGCACCGGCGTCATCCGCCATTTGCTGGGAAAAGCGACAAGAAGGAACTAGTCAGTGTGGCCTACGCATCTGGCAGCCCCCCGCGAGACCCAGACAAGGGCTCCCGCCCAGGAGCGCGGACTCGGGAGCCTAGACCCGACCCGATGTCCGCGGATTCCCGCCGCCCACGCAGAGGCCCGCTGCAGCGACCAACAGGACTCACGTGTTTTGTCGGAAAAGAAGAACGAGACCTACTGGGAAGCAGCTTTTATAGCACGCCAAGCGCCGCGAGATCTCCGCAGCCCCGCCCCAAGCGGGAGCGGGCCGAGCTCCTATAAGACAACCTGTGATTGGCTCCGCGGTGCCCCGCCCTCACCGGGCTCTGAGTGCTCTTGCCCGTCCGGCCCCAGCCGCGGCCCGGGAATCTACGTCACCCGAAAAGCGACTATAAACGCCGGCGCCTCCGTCCCCAGCCGCGGCTCGGGAATCCACCCGAAGAGTGGCTATAAACGTCCGCGCCTCCATTGCGCTCTCCTCTTCACTTAGGTAGGTCCTGCCGCGTTGACCACTGGCGTCTCGCTGGTGGTCTTCGAGACCGGCGTTGGTTGAAAATCGCCCCCGGCTTTGGCCGTGGCCGCGGGTGAGATTCGGCGCCCAGAGCCCCCGGGGGCCTCAGCTCACCGCGCGCTGCCCCATGTGCGGCGGTGAAACCCAGGCCCCGACAGGCGCTGCCGCCTCCCCCCCGGGTGCGGTCGCTCGCGAGGTCTGGCCCCTGACTCCTGACCCCGACTGCAGACCCCTAACCTTGTTCTTTCTCCGCAGGACACTGGTCCTCCCACGCCTGACACCGACGTCGCCAGGACCGCGGGGTTGGGGGAACTTGGCTGTCCCACGTCTTTCAAATAAAGCTGTTTTGTCTAACTCACTGCATGCGGGTGTTCTTGGGGCCCCGACTCGCCTATCAGCCTGGCGGCAAGTGCATATGTTCACGCTGTGGCGGGGAGAACCCTAGCGAGATGCCTCCTCTTCTTTCCTGGCTTTGGACACAAGGGTAGGATATGGGAGGTTGGCAGGTGATGTGTAAGGTCCGACGCCTCTTAAGTGGAGGAGCCAGACTACGAACAGTCTTGTGGCCATGCGCATCTCAAGTGAACTACACTGGCAGGTAAAATGCCTTGGTCCAAAGGGCTCCAGGTGGAGCCAGCAGAGCACTAGCAAGGATGGGAAGCTCAGAGGCTTCCAGTGGCTTCCTTGTGAGACCAGGTGAGATTCTAAAGGATTTGACCAACTAGGCCTAGATGAACTCAGCGCCCCCGTGGTGCTAGGCTGGAGTGGATCAGACACCTGGTTTGGGAGGCTGGGCCCCCTGCTCTGGGGCGGCAGGTTACCCGGGAGTTTAGTTGTCACTGCCGTGGAGCTAGCACCTGAGTATCAGATCCTAAGTGAAGACCCCCAGTGAGTCAATGCCTAAAACCCCTAAGCCTTAGGATCTCCAGCCACCTGGGCCGCAGTATTGGAGAGAAGAGGGTGGCAATCCCTGTGATCCCACTGAAGCCCTGGCCTGGGGGAGACAGCTCCATGAAGCTTGGTTCTGACCCAGTGCTTCTGGGGAAACGCTGTCAGCCACTCTCAAGCCCCAGGCGCTTCATAGACCTATCTCAGGTCAAGAGCTGCTCTCTTTTATTTTTATTTTATTTTATTTATTTTTTTGAGACGGAGTCTCGCTGTCACCCAGGCTGGAGTGCAGTGACACCATCTCAGCTTACTACAACTTCCGCCTCCCGGGTTCAAGCAATTCTGCCTCAGCCTCCCAAGTAGCTGGGACTACAAGCAACTGCCACCACACTTGGCTAATTTTCTTGTATTTTTAGTAGCGATGGGGTTTCACCATGTTGGCCAGGCTGGTTCGAACTCCTGACCTTAAGTGATCTGCCTGCCTCGGCCTCCCAAAGTGTTAGGCTTACAGGCATGAGCCACTGCAGCTAGCCGTATGGCTTTTTTTTTTTTTAAGAGGTGGGGTCTCACTGAGTTGCCCAGGCTGGTCTCCTGGGCTCAAGTGATCCTCCTGCCTTGGCCTCCCAAACTGCTGGGATTACAGGTGTGAGCCACCGCGCCTGGCTACCTGTGATCCTTCAGAGAAGGGGGCAAGGGCTGGGCTGTACGGGGTCTCTGGGTCCTGAACCAGGGTTGTGACTGGCTTGAGCTGGACAATGCTATTGTGATGTCAGCCCACACCCACTGTGAAATGCAGGCTCCTGAGCTCTGGGGGCCTGTGGAGCTGCTGTCTAGACGCAGATCATGGTGAGCCTGGGGCCCTCTTGCTTCCAGCCCTGAGATGTGTGCCCAACTCCAGAAACCTGCCCAGTTGTCCAGGGATCGACCCCACTCCACTCGGAAAGGGTGGGCAATGGGTTGCAGACCCCCATATGGTACAAGGAAACCTTCTGGAAGGCTCTGGCTAGGTCTAATTCCAGGCTAAGGCCCCCGTCTCCAGCCAGAGATTAGTAGTCCTGGGGTGGGGGGCCCTAACCCCCACAGCTGCCCCCTCAAAGTGGGCGCTGAGCCAACCCCTTTACTTGAAGTTCTGTGGCCCACCTCCCTGCCAAAAGCTTGCTGGGCTCTCTTGCTCGGTATGTGGACCAGGGACTGGATCACTGTCCCAGCCAGGTGCTGACACCTGGCCTTTGCAGGGTGGCGGGTATGATCTCAACCTCTTCGCCAGCCCTCCTGACAGCAACTTCGTGTGCTCCGTCTGCCATGGGGTTCTCAAGAGGCCAGCAAGGTTGCCATGCAGCCACATCTTCTGCAAAAAGTGCATCCTCCGGTGGCTAGCCAGGTGCCAGCGGGTACCCAAGGGGCTGGGAGGGCAGGAGTGAGACTGGGGGCCATTGCTGTGGCCCAGAACAGAGGGGAAAGTCAGCCAAAAGACTCAGCCACCAAATCTCCCTAAACTAAAATGTGTGTACCCTCACTCAGTAGTGTCTGCAGACCCCGGCCCCACCCTCAGAGCTGAGAGCGCCCTGTAATATGCCCTAATGCCTCATCCAGCTAATGAAGGGACCACCTGGGTCACCGAGTGAGGGCTTGACCAGGGCTCCCTTCCCACTCCCAACACTCACCCCTACTCATGCCTCCTTCCAGACAAAAGACCTGTCCGTGCTGTAGGAAAGAGGTGAAAAGGAAAAAGGTTGTCCACATGAATAAACTCCGGAAAACCATTGGCCGCCTGGAAGTCAAGGTAGCTCAAAGTACCCACTCCCCTGACCCTCAACCCTTCTCACCCTTGTAGGGGTGGGGCAGGGCTAGGAGAGAAGGCAGGAGAATCCCATCTTCAGAGAGAAACAAGTGCAGCCTTGGGACGACCAGACATAGCTGAGTTTGGATCGTGGCTCTACTGCTTAGTTGCTGTGTGACTTTAGGCAAGTCACCTAACTTTTCCAAGCCCCTGGGTTAGAAAATGGAGATTTTAGAGGACTTTTAAAATGGAGATTACAGAGGATTTTTAGAGGATCAAGTGCCCAGTGTGCCTGCCACTACTCTCTAGTCCCCTAGTTTTACAGATGGGTAAACCGAGGTTAAAAAGGAAAGCCTGGCATCCATACCACTCACCAGACCAACCCAACTGTGTACCTTCCAGTTCCCCAAGACTCAGGCCTCACCCTCTCCCCTGGAACTTCTAGCTTCTTCCCACGTCTAGGCATTTGCCCCAGTGTTCTCTCCACCAACTCACCAGAGTCAGAAAAGCGTGGGAGGCTCCCGGTTCCCTGGTTCCTGGCGAATGGAAAGCCAGGGGTGGGGGATTCCGTGGGTGTCCTGCCCGGTTTCTTCACACGTTCTCCTTCACCCTCAGTGCAAGAACGCCGACGCTGGCTGCATAGTGACATGCCCCCTGGCCCATCGCAAGGGGCACCAGGACTCATGCCCCTTTGAGCTAACGGCCTGCCCCAACGAGGGCTGCACCTCGCAGGTGCCGCGTGGGACCCTGGCAGAGCACCGGCAGCATTGCCAGCAAGGGTCCCAGCAGCGCTGCCCCCTGGGCTGCGGGGCCACCCTGGACCCGGCCGAGCGTGCTCGCCACAACTGCTACCGGGAGCTGCACAACGCCTGGAGCGTGCGCCAGGAGCGCCGTCGGCCCCTGCTGCTGTCCCTCCTGCGGCGTGTGCGCTGGCTGGACCAAGCCACCAGTGTCGTTCGTAGAGAGCTGGCGGAGCTCAGCAACTTCCTGGAGGAAGACACCGCTCTGCTGGAGGGTGCCCCACAGGAGGAGGCCGAGGCTGCCCCAGAAGGCAACGTTGGGGCTGAGGTGGTGGGGGAGCCCAGGGCCAACATACCTTGTAAATAGGTAAATAAAAGCAGACCCCCGGCCTGCCTGCCTCTGTGCCTGCGGCCCTCACAACTGTCACCGGTGCATCCCTGCTGCCCTCTCCAGGCATTTGCCTGCTCTCTTTCATCTTTTCTTTTTCAAAGGAAGGAGGCCGGGCGTGGGTGGCTCACGCCTGTAATCCCAGCACTTTGGGAGGCTGAGGTGGGTGGATCACCTGAGGTCAGGAGTTCGAGACCAACCTGACCAACATGGCGACACCCCGTCTCTACTAAAAATACAAAAATTAGCTGGGCGTGGTGGCAGGCGCCTGTAGTCCCAGCTACTCGGGAGGCTGAGGCAGGAGAATGGTGTGAACCCGGGAGGTGGAGGTTGCAGTGAGCCAAGATCACACCACTTCACTCCAGCCTGGGCGACAAGAGTGAGACTCCGTCTCATAAAAATAAATCAATAAATAGGCCAGGCGCGGTGGCTCACGCCTATAATCCCAGCACTTTGGGAGGCCGAGGCAGGCGGATCACAAGGTCAGGAGATCAAGACCATCCTGGCTAACACAGTGAAATCCCGTCTTTACTAAAAAATACAAAAAATTAGTCAGGCATGGTGGCGGGCGCCTGTAGCCCCAGCTACTCGCGAGGCTGAGGTAGGAGAATGGCCTGAACCCGGGAGGCGGAGCTTCCAGTGAGCGGAAACCGTGCCACTGCACTCCAGCCTGGGCGACAGAGCAAGATTCCGTCTCAAAAAACGAGGCCGGGCGCGGGGGCTCACGCCTGTAATCCCAGCACTTTGGGAGGCCGAGGTGGGCCGATCACGAGGTCAGGAGATTGAGACCATCCTGGATAACACAGTGAAACCCCGTCTCTACTAAAAAATACAAAAAATTAGCCAGACGTGGTGGCAGGCGCCTGTAGTCCCAGCTACTCGGGAGGCTGAGGCAGGAGAATGGTGTGAACCCGGGAGGCGGAGCTTGCAGTGAGCCGAGATCACGCCACTGCATTCCAGCCTGGGCAACAGACCCAGACTGTCTCAAAAAATAAATAAATAAAAATAAATAAATAAGGGGAATACAAGAATGGCTACTCCATAGACAGAATACCTTTTTCTTCTTTTTTGAGACTGGGTCTTGCTCTGGCACCCAGGCTGGAGTGCAGTCACGTGATTACGGCTCACTGCAGCCTCAACCTCCCTGGGCTCAAGCAATCCTCCCACCTCAGCCTCCTGAGTAGCTGGGACTACAGGCACGCACCACGACTGCCGGCTAATTTTTGTGTTTATTTTAGAGATGGGGTTTCACTGTGTTATCCAGACTGGTCTCAAACTTCTGGGCTCAAGTGATCCTCCTGCCTCCAAAGTGTTGGGATCACAGGTGTGAGCCACCATGATGGCCTACTTTCTTTCCCTCAAATATCTCTCCTCTCAGAGATTTTCCCTGATCATACTTCTCAGTTCTCCTTCTCAGTTACTTTCGTTTTTTCATTTTTTTCTTTTCTATTTTTTGAGATAGGGTCTCTGTTGCCCAGGCTGGAGTGCAGAGGCCCAATCACAGCTCACTAGAAACTCAGCTTCCCAGGCTCAAGCAGCCCTCTCACCTCAGCCTCCAGAGTAGCTGGGACTACAGGCACACCACCACCCCTACTAAATTTTCTGTGTGTGTGTGTGTGTATGTGGAGACAGGGTCTCGCCATGATGCCCAGACTGGCCCAGTTACTTTTTTTTTTTTCTCTGAGACAGTCTTGCTCTATCGCCCAGGCTGGAGTGCAGTGACGTTGCGATCTTGGCTCACTGCAACCTCCGCCTCCGGGTTCAAGCGATTCTCCTACCTCAGCCTCCCGAGTAGCTGGGATTACAGGCACCCGCCACCACACCAGGCTAATTTTTGTATTTTTAGCAGAGACTGGGTTTCACCATGCTGGCCAGGCTGGTCTCGAACTCCTGACCTCGTGATCCACCGGCCTCGGCCACCCAAAGTGCTAGGATTACAGGCGTGAGCCATCGCGCCCGGCCTGGCTGTTACTTTCTACCAGCTTCAGAGCCAGTAGCACAAATGGCTCAAAACCTTGAACTCAGAGTAAAAGCTAACTCCTCGCCACGGCGCACAGGCAACTGCATGCCCTCTGCCCTCTGCACCCACTCCCTGCAGCCACCCGGCTTGTTGCTACTCAATGCTTGGCACCCCCAGTCCTAGGCCTGTGCCCTGGCTGTTCTCAACACCATTCGTTCCACAGGGCTCCCTGCTTCGCGAACTTGTGTCTGCTCAGGCGTCACCTTCTCAATACAGCCTCCTCCTTCCTCCCTTCCGCTCCCTCCCTTCTGTTTTTTTTTCTTTCTTTCTTTCTTTTTTTCTGAGACGGAGTCTCACGCTGTCACCCAGGCTGGAGTCCAGTGGCGCAATCTCAGCTCACTGCAGCCTCCGCCTCCGGGGTTCAAGCGATTCTCCTGCCTCAGCCTCCCAAGTAGCTGGGATTACAGGCATGTGCCACCACGCCCAGCTAATTTTTTTTTTCTGTTTTTAGTAGAGACGGGGTTTCTCCACGTTGGTCAGGCTGGTCTCGAACTTCCGACCTCAGGTGATCCACCCGCCTCGGCCTCCCAAAGTGCTGGGACTACTGGCGTGAGCCAACGCGCCCGGCCCTCCTCCTTTTTCCATCGCGCTCAGCAACTATCACTCGTCGCCCGTTCTGTTTCTTCTCTGGTGTCCGCCAAGTGCCGATTACAGTGCTTTGCACACAGAAGGTGCTCAATACATGAATGCCTTTGAGATTACCCGGTTTATTCATTTACCTACGTTATTTATCAAGAGCCACACTGCGAGCCCAGGGGCAGGGTCAGGTTGACGGCTCTACGCACGGACCGCACCCGACAGCTGGTACCCCCACATCCCAGAACGCCGAAAAGCAGGAGTAAACGCTGGCTACAAATGCCTTTTTATACTGGTATCAAAGAGCCAGGCCACCAGCGATGCCACATCCGCCGGTCTACCCCCACCGACCCGCGAAGCACCCTCACAGCTCACGGCCCTCCCTCCAGGCCGGAAACGTCTCCGCCCGCTTCCGCTTCCCGATGCAGCCGCCACTGCCCGAAGCAAAGATGGCGCCAAGTGCGCGGCGCCGGCGGGGACGTCACAGTGGTCGCGCGCGGTGACGCCATCGCAGCGCGCCGGGAGTGTGGCGTTCTGTGAAGAGTTCGGTGCTAACCTCCCTCACGCGGCGGTGGCTGCCGGGACCCTAGCAGGTTTCAGCTGGAGCGGCGGCGGCGGCAACATGGCAGAGACCGCGGCCGGAGTGGGCCGCTTCAAGACCAAGTGAGCCCGGAGCTCTGGGGCCGTGCGGGGAGGGAGCTGGGTTTGCAGCCGGCATAGCGGAGGCGCGCGTGGGGTGGGCACGCATTGGGGTCCGTGGAGGCGAGAGGCTGTGTGTGCGCCGGCCCGCGGGGTCGCGGAGGCTGCGGTGATACTAGGCGGGAGAGCCGGCCCCGGCTGCTCTCGGGGAGGACGGCGATCGGAGCCCGGCCGCCGGGAGCAGCAGCGTGGGCTCATCGAGAAGCCGGCTATGGGGTGGAGTGGGGACCAGAAGTCCCGATGAGGGGAGGAGAGGGCTGAGCCTAGGTCGGGGCTGGTCCCGGGAGGCGGCGGGGGCGAAGAACCACCTCTGAGCAGTCGGCCTGGGGACCTTTCATCCGCGATCCGTCTTCTCCAGGGAGCAGGGAGAATGCAGGAGAGGGGCGGGTCCGCAGAAGCCCAGGAGGCCCTGAGTGCTGTGCCCCGTCACTCCCCAAGCCTTTGCCGAACAGCAGTGCTGGTGCCCCCGCCCTGGCAGCGCAGCCTCATGGGATTATCGTTTCCACTGGCGGCTGTGGGGCTTTGGTTGTGCCAAGCACTGGTAAAGGAAAGTCCCAGGCTGGCAGCACCGTCGTGGGAGGGTCAACTGGGTGCGGGGGCTGAGGGGCCGCTTTCGTTTTGGCAGTCAGGCTTCCAGAAGCGCAGTGAGCCAGGCCTTGACATCTGGGAAGAGAAGCCCAGGCCGCGTACAGGGAATAGGGGGAAGATAGGAAACCCGTCCCAGAGGCTGGGACAGGAGCAGTGGGGTGCACTGTGGGCCATGAGAAGGAAAGAAAGCAGAGGCAAGGGTGGCAGAGGCTCTTCTGGGCAAGGTCTGGGAGGTGTGTGGGCAGAAGGGAGGGGCTAACGCAGGGCAGTGACATCTTCAGTTATGTTCTGAAAGGTACCTGGCAGCAGGGTTAAGAGGTAGGTAGGGGAGGCCGGGCGCGGTGGCTCACGCCTGTAATCCCAGCGCTTTTGGAGGCCGAAGCGGGCGGATCACGAGGTCAGGAGATTGAGACCACGGTGAAACCCCGTCTCTACTAAAAATACAAAAAATTAGCTGGGCGCAGTGGCGGGCACCTGTAGTCCCAGCTACTCGGAGAGGCTGAGGCAGGAGAATGGCGTGAACCCGGGAGGTGGAGCTTGCAGTGAGCTGAGATCGTGCCACTGCACTCCAGCCTGGGCTGGAGACCCCTTCTCAGATCGAGACCCCTTCTCAAAAAATAAATAAGTAAAAAGAGGTAGGTAGGGGGTCCAGTGAAGAGGCCAGAGTGGCTGGCCAGAGACTGTGATGGGCTGGACCAGGTGGAGGCAGTGGAGAAGGAAGGAGAAGGGGCACGAGTGAGGTCACAGAAATGACAGCTGCTCGTGGGACCCGGGCTCTGGGCAAGCCTGGGGATGGAGAGAGGAGTCAGGGAGGGGAAGAGGTATGCCAGACCTCAGGGATGAAGACACTGGGAGGATGTGCTCTGGGCTGGCTACCCAGGCCTGGCCACCCACCGCCGGCAGGGGTGTTCCCAAGGAGCCCCCTGGCTCTCACTGGGGAATCCCTGGAAGCCCTGGGCTGTTGGGCTGACTCCACCTGACACAGGCCCACCCCCTACTGCCTCAGGGATCACCAGCCAGCTGCGGGTCTCTACTTCTCAGTGACGACGGTAGCTACAGCCCCCTGCAGTACTGCTGGTTCCACCCCATGCCCTGTCCCTGCTGTTGCCCAGAAACTCAAGGGCAGGGGCCATTGGGGTCACTTGGAGAGGAGCACCTAGCACAGGGCGGGGCCCTGGGGACTGAGGGGGTGGGTGGTGCTCATTCGCCTCCCGCTCTCCTTCCAGCTATGCTGTGGAGCGCAAAATTGAGCCTTTCTACAAGGGCGGAAAAGCACAGGTACCAGCCTGGGGAAGGGCAGTGGGGCGGGCAGCCAGAGGCCGCGGGGGGTGCTGAATGTTGCCTGGCTGAGACCTCTCTGTCCCCAGCTGGACCAGACTGGCCAGCACCTCTTCTGCGTCTGTGGCACCAGAGTCAACATTCTGGAAGTGGCCTCGGGGGCCGTGCTGCGGAGTCTGGAGCAGGTGAGGGCAGCCTGGGTGGGTGAGGGGCAAGTGGAGAGGGCAGCCCACTCACACCGTGCTCGGCACACCACTCTTTCTCCTAGGAGGACCAGGAGGACATCACTGCCTTTGACCTCAGCCCTGACAACGAGGTATGTGGGGCGGGGCCTGGAGGGG
Source organism: Homo sapiens (assembly GCF_000001405.40). NCBI lineage: Eukaryota > Metazoa > Chordata > Mammalia > Primates > Hominidae > Homo > Homo sapiens. Next base: position 1,974,449 of record NC_000016.10, read on the forward strand.
ACCCGCTCCAGCGCCTCCCTCCCAGACTGAGTCCAGGAAGATGTGAGCAGGGTATTGCTGCCCCTCTGCTGACCTGTACCCTCCCCCAGGTGCTGGTGACAGCCAGTCGGGCATTGCTGCTGGCTCAGTGGGCCTGGCAAGAGGGCAGCGTTACCCGCCTGTGGAAGGCGATACACACGGCCCCCGTGGCCACCATGGCCTTCGACCCCACCTCCACTCTGCTAGCCACAGGTAGGGCCCTGCCGTGCAGGTGGGTCGTGGGCACAGATGCAGGGGCTTTGGGCATTCCACCCCCTCACCTTGCTTCCCCGCAGGTGGCTGTGATGGGGCCGTGCGCGTCTGGGACATCGTGCGGCACTACGGGACACACCACTTCCGAGGCTCGCCCGGTGTCGTGCAGTGAGTTGGAAGGTGGAGGGGGAGGGCAGAGGCACCACCCAGGCTGCACAGCTCACCCATCCTGTCCCGTCCGCCCACAGCCTAGTGGCCTTCCACCCGGACCCTACACGCCTGCTGCTCTTCTCCTCGGCCACGGATGCCGCCATCCGCGTGTGGTCACTGCAGGACCGGTCATGCCTGGCTGTGCTGACTGCCCACTACAGCGCCGTCACCTCACTGGCCTTCAGCGCCGACGGCCACACCATGCTCAGGTCAGCAGTGGGCCCTGGTAGGAGGGGGAGGCTTGGAAAGTGGGGGCTGAGGCTAAGACTTGACCTGAGGTTGCCGTTGCTCCTTCAGCTCCGGCCGTGACAAGATATGTATCATCTGGGACCTTCAGAGCTGCCAGGCCACGAGGACCGTGCCTGTGTTTGAGGTGGGGATGCCTGGAGGCCAGGGCTGGTTGAGTTGGGTGGGGAGGGGGCATGATAGCAGCCTGTGACCCAATTCGTCTCCAGAGCGTGGAGGCTGCTGTGCTGTTGCCAGAGGAGCCAGTGTCCCAGCTGGGTGTGAAGTCCCCAGGGCTGTACTTTCTGACAGCTGGCGACCAAGGTGTGTTGGGCCGGGACATGGGCAGGCGGTAGGGGCTGGGGAAGGCCTGTGGACCTGAGAGTCTCAGCAGCCCTGTCCCCACCCACACAGGCACTCTGCGCGTGTGGGAGGCAGCTTCTGGGCAGTGTGTGTACACGCAGGCCCAGCCGCCGGGCCCTGGGCAGGAGCTGACCCACTGCACCCTGGCACACACCGCCGGCGTGGTCCTCACCGCCACCGCCGACCACAACCTGTTGCTCTACGAGGCTCGCTCCCTGCGGCTGCAGAAACAGGTGCACACCTGCCCTTGCTCAGTCTGGAGGCTGCGGGCACCAGCCCTCCTCTTACACAGGTCCTGGCTCACATCTCCTGCTCCCTGCCACCCCGCAGTTCGCTGGCTACAGTGAGGAGGTTTTGGATGTCCGGTTTCTTGGGCCCGAGGACTCCCACGTTGTCGTGGCCTCCAATAGCCCCTGCCTAAAAGTGTTTGAGCTGCAGACGTCAGCCTGCCAGATCCTCCACGGCCACACGGGTGAGTGGGGCCAGCCCACCTGACACCCTGGGAGCCGCCTCGGTCCCTTGCTTGCTTCCCTTCCCCCGTCTTGCTGTGTGACCTATACCTCCCCACAACATCTCAGATATCGTCCTGGCCCTGGATGTGTTCCGGAAGGGGTGGCTCTTTGCCAGCTGTGCCAAGGTGAGGCACCCTGAGAGGTAGGGGCAGGGGCACCAGGCGGGGAGGCCACGCAGTAGGCCCATGGACCAGCCTCTCTCCTCAACTCCCTGTCCCCAGGATCAGAGCGTCCGTATCTGGAGAATGAACAAGGCTGGCCAGGTGATGTGCGTGGCTCAGGGTTCCGGTCACACACACAGTGTGGGCACCGTCTGCTGCTCTAGGTAGTGAGTCGGGGCTGGGCCCAGGGGTGTCAGGGAGGTGGAGGCCCAGGCCTGCCAGCAGGGCTGCCGCTCAGGGAGCTGGGGAGGCAGTGGCAGCTTTGGCTTGCTCTGAGGCTCCAGCCCAAAGATGTGGAACAGAACAGGACAGGAGAGTCCCTAGGTGCCTCGGGGTCAGTCCTCAGAAGTAGCCCTGGTGAAGTGGTTAAAGGGGGAAGGGCATTAGGCAGAGAGAATGACCCTGCACGAGGCCCAGGTGGAGAGGTGACCCCTGCATGTAGGCACAGGGTCCTGTGGCTAGGGCTGAGCCACCCGGTGCTGCGGGTGGACAATGTAGACAGGGCTTGATCCTACAGGTGCCTGGGGGTGACCCAGGCCAACCCGCATCCTGGGACAGGCCCCGTGGTCTGGACCGTGGGCTCCCAGCCTGGCCCTGTGGGGAGCTGGCCATCAGGGCTGGCTGGGGCTCAGCTGTGTCTCCTCCTCTCCTGTTGGGTCACAGGCTGAAGGAGTCCTTCCTGGTGACAGGCAGCCAGGACTGCACTGTGAAGCTGTGGCCTCTTCCCAAAGCCTTGCTGTCCAAGAACACAGCCCCAGACAACGGCCCTATCCTCCTGCAGGCCCAGACCACTCAGCGCTGCCATGATAAGGTGACTCCATAGCCACTGGGGTGGGGGTGTGGCCAAGCCCTTGCTGGGGGAAGATGGGGGATTGCTGAGCCACCACCTTCTCCCATTGCCAGGACATCAACAGCGTGGCTATTGCCCCCAACGACAAGCTGCTGGCCACAGGCTCACAGGACCGCACGGCCAAGCTCTGGGCCCTGCCACAGTGCCAGCTGCTGGGTGTCTTCTCAGGCCACCGGCGTGGCCTCTGGTGCGTCCAGTTCTCTCCCATGGACCAGGTGCTGGCCACGGCCTCAGCTGATGGCACCATCAAGCTCTGGGCACTCCAGGACTTCAGCTGTCTCAAGGTAAGTGGCGCTCCAGACCCTCCCCACTTCCCGCCCTGGTGACATCTCATGCCCTACCCCCCACCTTGCAGACATTTGAGGGGCACGATGCTTCTGTGCTGAAGGTGGCCTTTGTGAGCCGTGGCACGCAGCTGCTGTCCAGGTGAGTGGGCTGGGGTGGGGCAGCGATGGAGTGGGGGGTGGCGGGGGGACCTGCCTGACGCTGAGCCTCTCCCCACCCCAAACCCAGCGGTTCGGATGGCCTCGTGAAGCTCTGGACCATCAAGAACAACGAGTGTGTGCGGACGCTGGATGCCCACGAGGACAAGGTCTGGGGGCTGCACTGCAGCCGGCTGGACGACCACGCCCTCACTGGGGCCAGTGACTCCCGAGTCATCCTCTGGAAGGTTGTGGGCCCCAAGGGCAGGGAAGAGTCGGGGTGGAGTGGAGGCCCCATCTGACCCTAGTCTAACCCCAGGATGTGACCGAGGCGGAGCAGGCAGAGGAGCAGGCCAGGCAAGAGGAGCAGGTGGTCAGGTAAGGCCAGGGCAGTGGCGCCCCTCCCCGCATCAGCCCTGCTCTGTGCTGTAGGGAAAACGAGGCTGAGTGCCAGGCTCCCTGCCTGCTGACTCCGATGGCTCTGCCTGCAGCCCCAGCCAGCGGCCCTCAGTGGCCTCTCCTCCCCTCCCCACAGGCAGCAAGAGCTGGACAACCTGCTGCATGAGAAGCGGTACCTGCGGGCGCTGGGCCTGGCCATCTCCCTGGATCGGCCCCACACCGTGCTGACTGTCATCCAGGGTCAGTGCCCACCCCGGGGGGCGAGGGGCTGGGTCTTCGGACCACTGGGCTCTGCTTTCCCCAGCTCAGCCTTCCCTTCTCCCACAGCCATCCGGAGGGACCCTGAGGCCTGCGAGAAGCTGGAAGCCACCATGCTCCGACTGCGGCGCGACCAGAAAGGTTGGCGGCCAGTCAGGGTGGGTGGCCCGGTGGGCAAGGGCCAGTCATGGCAGATTGGCTGGGCAAGACGATGAGGGTCCTGTTGCCCACAGAGGCCCTGCTGCGCTTCTGCGTCACGTGGAACACCAACTCGCGGCACTGCCACGAGGCCCAGGCCGTGCTGGGTGTGCTCTTGAGGCGAGAGGCCCCCGAGGAGCTGCTGGCCTACGAAGGCGTGCGGGCAGCGCTTGAGGCCCTGCTGCCCTACACTGGTATGTGGGCACAGCCTGGGGTTGGGGGATCCTGGTGGGCGTGTGGACCACCCCCCTGACCTCCCTCTGTCCAACCCCAGAGCGGCACTTTCAGCGGCTCAGCAGGACCCTCCAGGCCGCCGCTTTCTTGGACTTCCTGTGGCACAACATGAAGCTCCCTGTGCCGGCCGCCGCCCCCACCCCCTGGGAAACCCATAAAGGCGCACTGCCCTAGCCGGTCCGGCCTCTCTCCAGTCCATCCTGAACCCCTGGAAAACCCATAAAGGCCGCTCTCCTGGCCGGCTCTGTCTCTCTGGACTGCAGTCCAGCCCCCCACCCTGGCCAACACCCTACCTAGCCAGCCAGAAGGGCACTGGAGCTGATGGTCTCGGCCCTGCCACGCCCATCCCGCACCCTGGCCTGGCAGAGATCCAGCCCGCGGCTCCGCACGCTTAGACGGTGGGGGTCATGCAGAACAAGCTTTACTCAGAGGAACAGCAAATGGCCCCCTCCCATCCCTGCTGGCCAGGGAGATCCGCCCTCCCCGCTCCTCCCCAGCCCTGGGATGGCGCGGTCCATCCCCTCATCGGGATCCTCGCGCTCACTGCTCCGTCGTGGGGTGCGGCACAGAGTCCACGCACCCTCGAGGGCGGCCCTGGCGCCGTGGGCGCCGCTCCAGGGCCCTGCGTGTGACGGTGCAGCAGCGGCTCTGGATGGCGCCCGGCGAAGGTCGGGTGGGCACGGTGGGGGGAGGGGCGGTGGCCTGGGAGGGTTCAGGGAAGCCCCGGGCCTCACCCGCCGGGTCGTCTCCTCCACGGAACCCCGTCCCGCTCAGGAGAGCGCCCAGCCCTTCCGGCCGCAGCAGCACCGCGGGGAGTAGGCCCGCCCGGTCGCCGTACCTGCGAGGGGCGGGGTGTGGTTAGGGCCCCGCCCGCCTCGGCTAGCCTGCCCTGCCCACGCCCGCTCCCGCGTACCTGCATAGCCACCAGCCGCGGTCTGACGTTTCCAACACGCGCACGCGCGCCCCCGCGGGCACGGACAGCTCATCTGCGCGGCTGCTCTCGTAGGCGCGGGAAGCACAGAACTGGGGACCTGGTGGGAGTGGGTGTTTGGAGTCACCGCGGGGCCACAGAGGACGAGGCCCGCCCGCACCCTTCTCCACATTCTCCTTGCTTGAGTCTGCTGACGGCGGGGCCGCTCTAAGACCGGTTCGGGGCTTCCTCTAGGTGCGGAGACCAAGCACGGGCTCCTGGCCCGCCCTGCCCGCGGTGCTTCTGGCCCAGTCTTGCCACACGGTCAAGCCGCAGTGGTGGCGTGAGGGGTGGGGTTAGGCGCATACCGCTGCTCCCTAGGGACGGGCCTCCCTCCCGGCCTTGGCCCGGGGCCGCCTCCTCCAGGTAGGGCGCTGGAAACCAGGCGGTCTGCCGGTCTTCGTTCTCCACCAGCCACCAGCCTGTGCGCAAGAAGCGGGCAGGGACTCAAATCTCGAGGCTCCCTCGGGTCCAGGAGCAGAGGAGCAAATCCCTGGGTTCTTGGGGGGCCCTACCTGAGGGGTGCCGCAGCAGCACGTCCAGGCTCTCCTGGGCCTGCGCCTGAAAAGGCCTATCCCGCGTGTCCTGGGTACAGAAGGGCTGCAGGCAGCGCAGGCTCTGAGCCTCCAGACTGTGGATGGAGAGGCGGCCCGCAGCGCGAGAAAGAGGCTGCTCCTCTGGGGTGGGCAGGATCACCCGGCTGGGAAGGGCAGCCCGTACGAGTGAGAGGTAGGCGGATGGGGAGGGTGAAACTGGGGGCGCCACCCCGGCAAGACCGCCAGCCTCCCACTCTCTGCCCCTATTCGCTGGCTGTTCCCCCCCACCCTGGACCTCTCCCAGCTCCAAACGCCGCTGCATGCTGGGAGTTTGGGGCGAGTCAGGCACCTGCCGGGTGGCAGCGCGGGCTCCAGGTCCAGGGGTTGCGGTGCGAAGAAGCCAGTGATCGTCGGGCTCCGTGCCACGCGCTCTGCAGTCGCCAGCAGCCTCCGAGAATAGGTTTCCAACAGCTGCAGGCGCGCCAGGCCGCGGCTCGTGCGCCCCACGCGTCCCAACAGTGGTGCATCTTAAGGCACCACAAAAACGTACTGTGATACGCCGCTTTGGGCTTCACTGGTCCCTGGCGCCCCCAGGCAAGCCACCGCCTTCCCCGCTCCCGTACCCAGGCTGGCCTGACCGAGAAGCTTTGGGAGAACGCGGTCAGATCTCCGCAGCAGGCCCGCCTCCACCGGGAAGGTCTCCTTGAGGGTCTTCTGAGGGCGGGAACCAGGGCATTGGTCTTCCAGAGCCCACTGTGCACCCTTGAGAGGGCGGGGTCCCTCACCCGGATGGCAGGGGCTGGGAGCTTCAGCAGGGACGAAGGGCCTCCAGTGGGAGTCACTGATGGGAGGCAGTCCAGTGGGAGGCAGCCGCGTGGGGAAGCCGCCACCGCGGCATCAGGGTGGCCCAGGGTCACTCACCTTGAGCTGCCTGAATTCGTCCCAACTCCTGCGCACGAAGGTGTCGCTGCCGTCTGACCAGCGCACAGAGAAGGCAAACGTCTGGGGGACAAAAAGTTGGGAGTGCCGTGGAGGTGCTGGTCCAGGCACCCCCTTCCTATCCCTTGGGGCCACTAAGGACCCAGCCAGGTCTTACTTGGAGCCTCTTGATCTGCACCAGGGCTGCCCCTTGCACTGAAACTGGGTATCGGGGGCCTGCCATGGCTGTGGCTTCCAGGCTGCAGATTCCTGAAATGGGCGAGGACCCTTCTGCCTCCCCGTGCTTGAGAGGGCTCTGGGGGACCCAGAAAACCCCCTGGGATAGAATCCTGGCAACACCTCAAGCCTGTGGGGTCCTTGTGGAGCCGCCCCAGCTGAGTCCTTTGCAGCTTTCTTGCTGTCCCCCAAGCCCACGATCTGGGGGCAGGAGCACAGGGATTGGGGGACTTCCAGGCAGAGCTGCTGGGAGGAAGAAGAAGAATGAGCTTTCCAGCCCTGGAGGCGTGCAAGACTGAAGAAGGGGCGAAGGGTAGGCGGGACTGCTGCCTGGGGCCCTCCTGCCTGCCTCTGGCCACAGGAGGAGGGAGGAGAAGGCAGGGCTAATCAAAGCGCCACCTGTCCTGCCCACCTCTCTGGATTCCCCTACCCTGTGAGGTAATTGCCCTGCCAGGGTGCGCCCAACAACTTTGAACTGGCCTGGGGATTTCTGTGCAGAACCAAGGACTCAGTGCTTACAGCTTTAAGTGCTTTGTCTGACTTAATCCTAATGCTGGAGGAAAGGTCTCTTAATGTCCCCAACTCATAGAGGAGGAAATGTGTGTTAAATGCGTAATTATTGTGAGCTGTTCTATACATGCTGGGGGAGGGGCAGACCTCACAGGCTCACCCCAGGGGTTCCCCTGCAGTGAGGAGACTTGGGGTAGGAGAAAGAGGGCCCATCTGTGCAGTCACTGGCATTTGGTGGGTGGGGGTGGTGGTCAGGGAAGTGGTCACTAGGGCTGTTTTGAGAACCACCTCTCAATTCACGATTTGCCATGACTTACTGCAAACATGGCCTGGGCAGAGGCTCGCCCAGGTGCCCCACCTCTCTGGCTGCTTCCTTATAGTTCGGGCTTCGGAAGCCACATTCAACCCTGGCACACAGTGGTTTTTCCTCGTGCTGGGGCCACCAGTTCTGTGTTGGGATGCACCTACTCCAGCCCCTTCAGGGAGCAGTCAGCCTCTAAGGCATCCCTCCAGGAAGCTGCCCTGGCTGCAACAAAGGGCCTTTGTGTGTCTGTCCCACCAGCACTCTCTCTCATGCCCTCAAGCTGTCCCTGGTCTTGGCATGGGCAATGAACACCTGCTCACATAGGGCTGATTTGCAGGGTTCCCCCAGCCAGCTGTCACCTTCTCCCTGTCTCAGCTGAGGGCCCAGCTGACCTGGTGGGGTCCAGCGTGTGAACCCAGGGGAGACCTTGCTCCCCTGGAAGACAGGAGAAGCTGGGGAGGATTTATTCACAAGCAGAGGCCTAGAGGGATTCTGAGGCCACCTGCCTACCCCAGCTGACAGCTCCTGCCCCACACCCCATCAGCCCTGCATGGTTTCCACTTTTTCCTCCCCTACCCTCTTTTCTTGCCTGAATAGTACACCCCACCCTCCATCTGTATGCTCCTCACTTGCCCCTACAAAATCCACTCCAAGGACAGACACAGTGCCTCACCTGTAATCCAAGTACTTTGGGAGGCCGAGGCAGGGGGATTGCTTGAGCTCAGGAGTTCGAGACCAGTCTGGGCAACATGTTGAGACCTCCATCTGTGCCCCCCAAAAATACAAAAATTAGCTGGGCGTGGTGGCGTGTGCCTGTAGTCTACTTGGGAGGCTGAGGTGGGAGATCACTTGAGCCTAAGCAGTCGCGGCTGCAGTGAACAAGATCGCGCCACTGCACTCCACCCTGGGTAACGGAACAAGACCCTGTCTCAAAAAAAAAAAAGAAATCCACTCCCCATATGATAGCCAGCGGAATCTGCAGCAAACTGAAATGGGATCAGATTGGGTAACCTTGCCCAAAACTGTCTAGCATCTTCCCTCCTACCGTTATAATAAATTCCCAATCCCCGAAGCTGCCGACCAAGTCTTTGGTGGGCCCCTGTCCGTCCCTGGATCTCCCCTCCCACCTTACAACCCTCCCTAGCGTCCCACTGGCGTTTTTGTTCCTGCAAAATGCCAAGACCCTGCCACCTTGGGCTTGGTCTCGAAGGCGCTCCTCAGCTGATTCCTCATCCTTCAGAAAGGGTCACCTCCTCAAGGAGGCCTTCCAGATTTACTACACCCTTGCATGGACCCACCAGTTTGTACGTGAACATTTATGAGTGTGAGTCCTTGTTTTTTTTTCCTGTCTTGACCACTGGATTATGAACAGAGAAGGTCAGGGAACAGAATTGTGTTCCCTGCTCTGCCCAGCACTTGGAACAGCGCTTGGAACAGAGCGGTCACTGCGCAAATAATAGCGGAATGGATAAATGAACGCAAGGAGGCACAGGAATCCCAGAGGCCGCTCCAACCGGGAGCCCGACCCCTCATCCCAGGCTCTAGGATCCGCGACAGCCGGCGAGGGGCGCCAGGGAGCCCAAGGCACGCGCCAACCCTCTGCGGCCGCGCCGCGCCCTGCGTTGCCAGACGCCCGTTGCCATGGCGCCAGGGAGGGGACAAGAGCCCAGGACCCTAGCGCGCGCCGCAATCTGTGCGGTCACGCCCGGCCCGCGTTGAGAGAGCGCTTGGCAGCCAGCGGGTGGACGCGCCCCTCAGCGGAGGGCACAAAGCCTGGCCGCAGGCACGCAGGACACTCAGAACGGAGCGATGGGGACGTCGCGGGCCGCAACACGGACTTTGCCTGGGTGTCAGCTCGGGTCCACAGCGCGGCCGAGGCGCACCTTGCGCCACACACTGCTCTTTTACTGGAGAAAGCGGGACGGCCGCCACGGACGGCGCAACCCCTGCGTGCGCCGCGGATCGACGCCTGAGGGCGCCAGCAGGGTCCGACCCTCCTGCTCCGTCCCCGCCCCTGTCCTCGGGCCCGGCCAGCGCCGCGGCCTCTGGCTCCGCCTCCACACGGGCCCGCAAGCAGGCACCGCCCCCGACTCTGCCCCCAGCCCCGGCTCGGGCCCGGCCCCCGCGAGCACGGCGCGCGCCTCCGGCTCCTGTGGCCGCGCGCTGGCCTGGAGGCTGACCTGGAGGCTCATCTGGAGGCCGAGCTGACCCGGCAGGCCTTGCGCGGGCAACATGGCGGCGCCCGGCGAGCGGGGCCGCTTCCACGGCGGGAACCTCTTCTTCCTGCCGGGGGGCGCGCGCTCCGAGATGATGGACGACCTGGCGACCGACGCGCGGGGCCGGGGCGCGGGGCGGAGAGACGCGGCCGCCTCGGCCTCGACGCCAGCCCAGGCGCCGACCTCCGATTCTCCTGTCGCCGAGGACGCCTCCCGGAGGCGGCCGTGCCGGGCCTGCGTCGACTTCAAGACGTGGATGCGGACGCAGCAGAAGGTGCAGTTCCCTGCCCGATTTCTCCCAGCCCCGCGCAGCCCCTGTCCCCGCCCCCGCCCAGGTACCCCGGCAGAGCTTCCCAGGGTTGCCTGTCCCTGAACCTTGCCCCCCGGGTAGGCCCGGCCTTACAGCCTTCATCCGCGCGTGGGTTGGATCGTCTGCAGGACTTTGGCCGGAGTCCAGTGGGCCACCGGCTGGGCCGTACAGTGGGGAGCTTTGGGCGCCTTTGTTCGGAGAATGAACTCACTCTCGGTCGGCCTGCTTCCGCAGCGGGACACCAAGTTTAGGGAGGACTGCCCGCCGGATCGCGAGGAACTGGGCCGCCACAGCTGGGCTGTCCTCCACACCCTGGCCGCCTACTACCCCGACCTGCCCACCCCAGAACAGCAGCAAGACATGGCCCAGTTCATACATTTATTTTCTAAGTTTTACCCCTGTGAGGAGTGTGCTGAAGACCTAAGAAAAAGGTAAGATGTGTTTGCACGCAGCAGAGCTTTGCACTGGAGCCTGGGCCTGGGGCTCCTGGCTGACGTTATAGCGGGGAACGTAGAGAAACGGATGCAGAGGTGGCAGAAGTTTGCTGAGGAGCAGGGACCTCCAACAGGTGAGGACTGGGGCTATCTGAGCCTCCTCCTCTCGTCTCAGAAGCCAAGCTGTCGGGATCTGCTGCTGGGTACTGCTCCTGCCACAGCCACAGGGCTTCCAGGAAGGGATTCCCTGCCTTGTCTGGCACTGAAGGCGGTTTCCCGCAAGTTAGGGAAGACTCCACTTTGCCTGACTTCTAGAGTAGGACTTCTGGTTTTAAAATCTTGGAAATCCACTGCTTTTGCTCCCAAGAGCCATCTCTTCCTCACTGAGGGATCCAAGAGCCAGCACTGGCCCTTGCAGGTGTTTCTAGGCCAGATGTATAGGGTAGAGCCGCCATTGTTGCTATAAGGCTGGTCAGTTAGAATGAAGTCTCTTGCTGAACTGACGCACCAGGGCCTGCCCTCAGATGCTAAGAAACAAGTCCAGTTTTCAGTTACAAGGCTGTGCCCAGCCCCACCCAGGCCACACTCTGCCTGAGGCCAGGGACACTGGATGCCGCTTCCTGGGTGTTAGGAGCTTATAAAATTGCCAGGTCTGTGCTGTAATGTGTTGCCTTGAGGCCTCGTTGGAGTTTGCCAAGCTGTCCAGGTGGGTGTTTGCGCAGCCCTGGGAGTTCATCACACCCGGGGAGCTGCAGGGTCAGCCCTGTTCTGGGAGTGCCTGTACCTTGGAGCATAAGGGCACTCCCAGGTGTAGTTCACAGCAGTGCCCCAGCTCTCCTTCCTTGACAGCAGACAGGGAACTGGCAGGGGCAGTGGAGCCGCTGCGTCCTCTCATTCTTTACCTGCTCTCCCTACACAGGCTGTGCAGGAACCACCCAGACACCCGCACCCGGGCATGCTTCACACAGTGGCTGTGCCACCTGCACAATGAAGTGAACCGCAAGCTGGGCAAGCCTGACTTCGACTGCTCAAAAGTGGATGAGCGCTGGCGCGACGGCTGGAAGGATGGCTCCTGTGACTAGAGGGTGGTCAGCCAGAGCTCATGGGACAGCTAGCCAGGCATGGTTGGATAGGGGCAGGGCACTCATTAAAGTGCATCACAGCCAGAGCCTGTTGTGTCTCAGTTGGGTGGTCCCCAGGACACTGCCTGTGGGGACCTGCCCTGCCCCTCTTAGGTTTGGAGCAGAAGTGGAGGTGCCCACAGCAGGTACCCACTGGCCCCCTCCTCAGTGGAGACCCCAAGGAGCTGCAGCTGAACTGCAGGGGAGGGAAGGAGGAGCAGCCTGGGCTGCCCCTTGACATTCAGGATGTAGCTTCCTGCCCACCGCATACCCTGGCGCCTCACTCCTCACACGGGAAGACAGCGGGCCTGGCTGGGCATCCCTGTGCCTGTCCCTGGCGGCCAGGCCATTGCCTTCCCACTATGCAGCCAGGGATGCCCCTGCCCCCCATGGCTCTGTGCTGCTCACTTTAGGGGGCTCAATTCTCCACTCTGCTCAGTCCCTACAGGGAAAGCTCAGGTCGGGTCTTTCTGAGGGTCCACCAGCCATCCTACCCTCTCCCTGCCTGGCACATGCCTGCCAGCGTTGTGTCATGCCTGTCCACAGGGGATTCGTGGGGCTCACTTCATCAGAGTTTGAAGCCCAAATGAAACGCTGAAGTGACTGAGAACCTGGCTTCAGTATATTTTCTGCTGGGGCTTAATAAAGCAGTAGACAGGGCTTGTTCCATCCCTCTGTGCTCAGCTGCATTTCCTGCTGGGGTCCTGGTTCCTCAGGAGAGAGAGACCACAGGGTGAGAGTGAGCCAGGAACAGCAAGGACGTTGATTGGTTGGGGCAGGGGGGCCAGAGTAGCTGATGTAGGAGTACTGGGAGGCCAGACGGCACGAGGTCTCCAAGGCCCCAGCAAAGCCATGGCTTCTACCCCTAGTTCCCCTGACAGGAAGTTCTTGGCGGGTTTGGAGCCAGGGGATGGCATGGAGTGATGTGGCTTTGAAGGGTCCTCTGGCTGCTGAGCTGGGATGAGGCAGGTAAGGGTGGAACAGGAGGGGTGGGGAGGAAGCCGGGGCAGTCACCGAGTGACCACCAAGAGGAAGACCCACCCCACGGCGGGGACAGATGCGGGGTACGTTAAAGGGAGAGCCAGAGAACTCATGGGGTGAGGATGGAGTCCGAGGAGACTGCTGGGAGCCGCCGTGTGGGTCAGAGATGGAGAAGGCTGAGTGCAGCAAGGTGGGGGGTGACTGGGACCCAGCCTTTGGGCCTCCCCAGCCAGAGCAGCCCAGCAACAGTGTGTCCTGTGGTCATAAAACTCCAGGGACCTCTATCCTCCAGGAGTCTCAGCCTTTCCCTGGGCGCAGGCCCACCTTGGCATGGCCGCCTCAGGCCTCCATGGAGGGAGCTGCTATGTCCCCACCAGATTGGCCCCGTGCGGCTGCTGGCTTCTGTAGAGGCTGCCCAGAGGGGCCAGGTGGCACAAATAAGAGAGGGGAGATGGGGGGCAGCCAGGAGAGGAGGTGTCCCTTCCTCGCCCAGACACAGCGCGCTTCTCTCTGGCCTTTCCCGAGGCCTGTGAGTGCCTCAGGAAGCAGCTGGGCCCTCTGGGAAGGCTGTGTTCAGCTTAGGAACATACCGCCTGTATCTGCTGTCCCTCCCCTGCCCCCCTGCCCCCCCCACCGCCTTCCCTTTTTCCCTGTCTTCCTTAAAGTTTCACTCCTGAATAAAACTTCACTTTGCCTTAGAATCTGTTTTTCTTTTTGTTGTTGTTTTGTTTTTCTGAGACAGAGTCTAGCTCTGTCGCCCAGGCTGGAGTGCAGTGGAGCAGTCTCGGCTCACTGCAACCTCCATCTCCCGGGTTCAAGCAATTTCTCCTGCCTCAGCCTCCCGAGCAGCTGGGATCACAGGCGCCCACCACCACCCCCTGCTAATTTTTGTATTTTTAGTAGAGACAGGGTTTCACTGTGTTGGCCAGGCTGGTCTTGAACTCCTGACCTCATGAACCACCCACCTCAGCTTCCCAAGGTGCTGAGATTACAAGCGTGAGCCACTGCGCCAGGCCAGAGTCTGTTTTTGAAGGCATCCAGGCCAGTGGAACTCTAGTGCAAGGAAAAGTTCTGGCTTGAGCTGGTGTTCCAGAGCTGTTGACACGCAGACCAAAGGAGTTAGCACAGAGGGAGAGACCTCCCCAGGATCGCGCCCTGGGCTCCTAAGGCTCACAGGTCACAGAGGAAGGACCCATGAGGGAGGAGGACCTCCAGGAGGGGCATAGTGGCTCACGCCTGTAATCCCAGCACTTTGGGAAACCAAGGTGGGCAGATCACTTGAAGTCAGGAGTTCGAGACCAGCCTGGTCAACATGGCGAAACCCCGTCTCTACTAAAAATACAAAAAAAAAAAAAAAAAAAATTAGCTGGGTGCGGTGGCACACCTGGAATCCCAGCTACTCCAGTGGCTGAGGTAGGAGAATCACTTGAGCCCCTGAGGCAAAGCTTGCAGTGAGCCAAGATTGCGCCACTGCACTCCAGCCTGGGTAACAGAGTGCGACTGTAACTCAAAAAATAAATAAATAACTAAAGAAATAAATGAGTCGACAGCAGCATCAGACTTGCCCTTGGGATTGGCACGGAGAGGTCAGTGGCAACCTTGAGTTTAGGTGGCGGTGGGAGCTGATTCTGCCGGGTCAGAGGGAGAGAGAGGAGGGTGTTGCAGGCAGAGTTTGCTGCTAAAGGAAGCAGTAACGTAAGGCAGCTGGAGGGGAGGTGGGGTCAACAGTGTTTGGCTTTTAGGAGAAAGTGCAGCATGTCTGGGTGCTGATGTTAGTGATGAAGTAGAGAATGAATGACACAGAGGGGAGGTCTGTGGCCAACAGGTGAGAGGGGTTGTGATCGGACGCACAGTGTGATGGACTTGGAACACAGTGAGTAGCGCCTCTGGCAACACCTGCTCTGCCCACCTGTGCCCAGCAAGGCTGAAGAATGAGCTCCAGGGGGGCTGGGCCACGCAGCACCATCTGTGCACCCGGCTCGTGTAGCAGGGACCTGGGTTGCTTATTATCTGAAGTACAGGGTGGTAACAGTCTCCGCCACTACACAGGTCAAGCGCTTGGCGCTGTAAATGTCAGTGCAGACATCTCAGTGCTCTAGACAGAAACCTAGGAGTCATCTGAACTTCCAGCCTGCTAGGAACATGAGGAGAGGGACCTTGTTGCACCCAAGGCTGGGGTCTGTGGAGGGGACTCAGCGGGACACAGGGCAGCCAGGCACCACCCCCACCCGACTCCTAGTCTCTGATGCCGCTCCCTGCCCTCCATTCCAGACTAGGCGCCGCAAGTACGCTGGGGAGACCCAGGAGTAGGGAGGGCATTGGGAGCACCACCACCTGGCCACGGGCAAGGAGCGGAGACACCGAAACCAACACTCCCAGCGGCGCTGGCCACGGTGGCTCTGTCCCCTCCCTCAACAGGTGCTCCTGGGGCCAACGCCTTTCTTCCCACCAGATCCTCCCCGCCAGAGGCTAGAAGCTGTGATAGCAGCTAGAGCACAGTGGGGGGCCATGAGAAAGACCCCAGTTATCCATCTGGTCTTCTTGGGACCAGGGCCAGGGAGCCGGTCCCCTCTCCCGTGGGTTGGGGGAAGATGCTGCAGCCCGTGGACCTCCTACCCCTTTACTCCCTCACCCAAGTGCCCTTCCCAGAGGAGCGGACTCCTCCTGTCTGTCCTCCCGGCTCTAGCAAAGTCTGCGCCCAGCACCCGAGCCCCACCCTGCCCCCGGGGACCTGGCTGGTGGGTTCCTGAGGATGGTCTCCATCTCGGGACCGGGGCAGGCAGGTGAGGGTGGGGGATGGGAGGTGGGCGCGGCGGAGGGAGAGGAGGGACCCGGCCCCGCGCGCATGGACCCAGTGGGGGGCGCGGGCGCGGCCCCGCCCCGTCCCGCGCGTCCCCGCCGCGGCCGGCGCGCGCTCCCGGGAGGCGGCAGCGGCTGCAGCGTTGGTAGCATCAGCATCAGCATCAGCGGCAGCGGCAGCGGCCTCGGGCGGGGCCGGCCGGACGGACAGGCGGACAGAAGGCGCCAGGGGCGCGCGTCCCGCCCGGGCCGGCCATGGAGGGCGCCTCCTTCGGCGCGGGCCGCGCAGGGGCCGCCCTGGACCCCGTGAGCTTTGCGCGGCGGCCCCAGACCCTGCTCCGGGTCGCGTCCTGGGTGAGTGGTCCCTGCCCGGGCCCCCGCTCCCGCCCCTGCCTCGCGACCTTCAGGCCCCTACCAGCCCCCTGCCCCCTACCCCCTGCCCCCTGCTTCTCGCCCCCCGACCTCACTCACTCTCATCCTCGCCGGCCCCTCCCCCGCCGGCCTCAGGTTGGGGTGACGTCACCGGGCAGGGCGCGCCCACCTGCGGGCGGAGGAGGGGCCGGCGGCGCCGGAGAGGGACCTTGAGAGGTCACCGCCGGTCGCCTCTACCCCTACCTCCTCCCCGGGTCTAATTTCAGTCCCTTTCCGCAGCCCTTACTCCGTTTTTCCTGTTCTCGTGACCTGGAAGCAGGGACGGGGTGGGGACGGAATTCTCCGAGGGGCAGGAGGGGGCTACGGGAACCGAGAAGCGCCTCCCCTTCCCCCGCACACACACCCTCGGGTCTCCTTGGCAGGGAGCCTGTCCCCTGGCCCCCAGTTCCAGCTGTGAGTTGAGGGAGGAGAGGCTCTGGGCTGGGAGGGCTTCCTGGCGGCGGTGTGGAAGGCAGGTTTGGGAGCAGCCTAGCCCACTGGGGCGTCCCTGGGAGGGCCCTGCTGCTCCTTCCCTCCGGCAGGGGAGGTGGCAGTTGGGTGCCGAGCTCTGGGTTTTGTCCAGGTGGCAACCTCTGGGCCAGCCGCACCTCGGCGCCTGTCTTGGAGGAGGGCGGTGCCCACGGTGGGGCAGGGGCTTTGGCCTCCCCTGCGGAGTGGCTCTGACCAGACCGGGAGGCAGGACGCTGCGTTTTGGTCCGAGCGCACGTCCCGACTTGTGGCCCACTCTTGGGGACAAGTGCATGTCCCGGCTTCCCCCTTGGCTCCACTCTCGGAGCTGGAGCGGGAAAGGAGCGAAGGGATGAGGTTGAGGCTGGAGGTCGTTTCTTGGAAACACAGGGCTGCCCCGTGCAGCGCTGGTTAAAATGACTGCGGTCCCCCTCATGCCTGTCTCCCGGAACTGGTGGGCAGGAGGCATTGAGGTTTGACGGAACCTCAGAGGTCAACGGTGTCATCTTTTCAGCCCAAACACTTACAGGTGATATTAATAATCAGTCACGTGGGGGCTGTCATCCCTCGGGTACCCACCACGTGCAGGAAGCTGGGTGGACATGTCTGTCCCAGCACTGCATGAGCTGTGCCCGTCACCCTATTTGCATGCTAGAAAACAGGCCAGACAGTTCCCAACCGCGCAGGAAGCAACAGCTCCGCTGCCTCCATACCCTCCCTCCCGCCCCGCTCTGCCTGCTGCACTCTCACCTCCCCTTCGCCGTTCCGGCTCCAGCCTGGGAATCGCGGGCCCAGGTGAAGGCTCCTGTTCCCACACTCTTGAGTGGGCTCTGAGGGGACTCCACGGGCCCACGCGGTGCAGAGTACCTGGCTTGAATCAACCCCGGCTTTTGTCAGCCATGTGATCCCGGACAAGTCACTTCACCTGTTGGGGTCCCAATGTCCCCCGCATTTATAAAGAGAATAAGAACAATGGCGATCCCACGGGGACTTTCTGAGGATTTGGTGAGGGGACGCATGTAAAGTGGCTGTTTAACACAATGTCTGGGCATAGTAGATGCTCACTAAACGGCCCGTGTTGTCAATAATTACTAAATACGCGAGGGTTCGGGAAAGAAAGAGGTGACACCGCCCCCCACCCAGATACGGGCCTGGGAACGCAGGGACAGGCCCAGGGGCGTGGGCGCTCGAGGCGGGCTCGCAGAGGTCGGGTCGCCGCAGGGCCCTGAGCGCCGCGCCGCACGCAGGTGTTCTCCATCGCCGTCTTCGGGCCCATCGTCAACGAGGGCTACGTGAACACCGACAGCGGCCCCGAGCTGCGCTGCGTGTTCAACGGGAACGCGGGCGCCTGCCGCTTCGGCGTCGCGCTGGGCCTCGGAGCCTTCCTCGCCTGCGCCGCCTTCCTGCTGCTCGATGTGCGCTTCCAGCAAATCAGCAGCGTCCGCGACCGCCGGCGCGCGGTGTTGCTGGACCTGGGCTTCTCAGGTGGGCGGGGCCGGGGCGGTGAGCGCGGAGAGCCTTCCGGGTGGGCGGGGAGGGGGCGGGGCCTGGGCGGGGAACACCGCTGGAGTTTCCAGCTGGGCGTGGCCGTGACGAGGGGCGGGGACTGAGGCAGGGAGTGTCAATGGGCCTCCCGGGTGGGCGGGGAGGGGGCGGAGCCTGGACGGGGAGCGCCGCGGGACTTTCTAGGTAGGCGGGGCCCGGGTCTGGGCGGAGCCTGGGCGCGGAACGGGTCTGGCGCTCCCGGGTGGGCGGGGTCAGCGCAGGAGAGGGAGGCGGGACCTCGCGCCACGCGGCGAGCCCAGGCGAGGCGCCCCAAGCCTCGGGCCCACCGACCTTTCCTCCTCCGGGCGAGGCCGCCGTGGGCCACCGCGTGGAGCGTCGCCCTGACGCGCCGCACTGTTCGCAGGACTCTGGTCCTTCCTGTGGTTCGTGGGCTTCTGCTTCCTCACCAATCAGTGGCAGCGCACGGCGCCAGGGCCGGCCACGACGCAGGCGGGGGACGCGGCGCGGGCCGCCATCGCCTTCAGCTTCTTCTCCATCCTCAGCTGGGTGAGTGCGGGGCCCGGGAGGGCGGGGCGAAGGGGCGGGCGCTCGGCTGATCCCGGCTGACCCCGCTGACCCCGCCCCGCGCAGGTGGCGCTCACCGTGAAGGCCCTGCAGCGGTTCCGCCTGGGCACCGACATGTCACTCTTCGCCACCGAACAGCTGAGCACCGGGGCGAGCCAGGCCTACCCCGGCTATCCGGTGGGCAGCGGCGTGGAGGGCACCGAGACCTACCAGAGCCCGCCCTTCACCGAGACCCTGGACACCAGCCCCAAAGGGTACCAGGTGCCCGCCTACTAGCGGCTGGCAGGCACAGACCAGGGCTCCAAGGCCACCCCACCAACGCAGGCCCCAGGGTCTCCGGGACCTCCCTTGGGTCCTTCCAGCTCAGTGCCGCGGACAGAGTAGGTGGCCGCTTTGCGCCATCCGGGGCCAAGAGGGGGTGGACCCGCGTGTCTGGGCTGCCCCTGCCAAGTTCCCCCAGTCCCTCAGCACCTGGCCCCAGGACTGAGGTCCTGAGAAGGGGATAGCACTGCCCAGGACGTGTGTCCCTAGCCTGGAATGGACTGGCCTGGGGAAGGCTTTCCCCTCTTGGGCCACACCTGCTCACTCTGGGGTTGGGGGTCCAGCTGCCCTCTACGATCAGGTGCAGGGGCTGCCCAGGACAAAGCGGGGGCAGGGGAAAGACACCACCCTCGCCCCAAGACTGGGGATCCTGGCCACTGTTCCCATCCCATGTCCCTGTGGGTAGTGACTGTCTCGTTTCTGTCATGGTGGTGCGTCCCGTCCGGAGCCACTCTCCACTTTCTCTCACAGGCTGCTAGAACAGCCCAGCCCTGTCAGTGTTGTGATCATGGTCCAGTCTTCGGGTTTCACCTCCTAGTACTCCACAAGCTGCTCCTCTCTCTGTGGCCCCGGCCCCTGCCCAGGTGTGGGTGGTTCTGGCCAGGAAGGCACAAGGTAGCTGTGGGCCAAGACACCAGCCCTGTCCTAGCCCTTCAGTAAGACCTTGCCAGGAGAGGAGAAGGATGCCTGGGTGCCAGGCAAGACAAGCCCCTCAGCAGGAGAGAGGCCCAGAGGCTCCAGCTGGCCACCGTGCCCCACAAGATGGCCCCTGTGTGGTTCCCTTTACCTTGGCTTCCTGGCCCAGTCCCTGCCTCTCCACCTGCACCCTGCTTCCTGGCCCAGTCCCAGGTTGGAGTCCCTCTGCATAGCTGACTACTCATGCATTGCTCAAAGCTGGCTTTTCACATTAAGTCAACACCAAACGTGGTTGCCACATTTCATCAGACAGACACCTCCCTCTGGAGATGCAGTTGAGTGACAACCTTGTTACATTGTAGCCTAGACCAATTCTGTGTGGATATTTAAGTGAACATGTTTACAATTTTTGTATATATCACTCTCTCCCTCTCCTGAAAGACCAGAGATTGTGTATTTTCAGTGTCCCATGTTCCGACTGCACCTTCTTTACAATAAAGACTGTAACTGAGCTGACTGTGACCTGGACGCTCCTGGAATCATTTCTACCCCTTCCCTTCTGGTGCCAGGGATTGGTATCTGAGAGGCACCAGGGCCCCACAGGAGGGGACGGGGAGGTAGAGGCCAGGCTGACCCCCAGGCTCTGGGGGCTCCAGGTCCATAGGTCCCCACCACCACGTATCCCACTAGTCTGGTTCTCTGAAATGCTGCGAGACCCCTTGTTTTTTTTGTTTGTTTGTTTTTGTTTTTGTTTTTGAGATGGAGGTTCACTCTGTCGCCCAAGCTGGAGTGCAGTCGTGCAATCTCGGCTCACTGCAACCTCTGCCTCCCGGGTTCAAGCAATTCTCCTGCCTCAGCCTCCAGAGTAGCTGGGATTACAGGTGCCCGCCACCACGCCTGGCTAATTTTTGTATTTTTAGTAGAGACAGGGTTTTGCCATGGTGGCCAGGCTGGTCTCAAACTCCTCACCTCAAGTGATCCACCCACCTTGGTGTCTCTCAAAGTGCTGGGATTATAGGCATGAGCCACAGCGCCCGGCCTGTTTTTTTTTTGTTTTTTTTTTTAAGACGGAGTTTCACTCTTATTGCCCAGGCTGGAGTGCAATGGCGTGATCCCGGCTAACCGCAACCTCTGCCTCCCAGGTTCAAGTGATTCTCCTGCCTCAGCCTCCCAAGTAGCTGGGATTACAGGCATGCACCACCATGCCCGGATAATTTTGTATTTTTAGTAGAGATGAGGTTTCTCCATGTTGGTCAGGCTGGTCTCAAACTCCCGACCTCAGGTGATCCACCCACCTCGGCCTCCCAAAGCGCTGGGATTACAGGCGTGAGCCACCACAACGGGCCTAGAGTGAACCTGTTTTTTTTTTTGTTTGTTTTTTTGAGGGATAAATAAATAAATAAATAAATAAATGCCTAGGCTAGAGTGCAGTGGCAAAATCTTGGCTTACTTTAACCTCTGGCTGGCTGCAACATCCACCTCCTGGGCTCATGTGATCCTCCCTGCTCAGCCTCCTGAGTAGCTGGGACCACAGGCATGTGCCACCATGCCCAGCTAATTTTAAAGTTTTTTGTAGAGATGGAGTCTCCTTATATTGCTTGGGCTGGTCTTGAACTCCTGAGCTCAAGTGATCCTCCCACCTTGGTCTCCTAAAATGCTGGGATTTCAGGCATAAGCCACCGCGTCCGACCCTGATGATTTCACTCTTATGTTCTAGCATTCTATAACGCTGATGAGAGTGATGCTAATGGTACCATTTGCATTGTTTGTAAGTGATCTTGTTGGTAATGATTTGTAGGGTTCTTTTCTGTAAATCCTTGTCTAGATAAGAATTTCTTATCGTTGATCCTGTTTGGTCCTTGATGGTTTGTTTTCTCTCTTGGTGTTGGGGTGAGCAGTCACGGTTTTTCGCATGTCCTCTTCTCGCCACCTTCTATTCCTGGGACTCCTGTAAGATTTGCCGTGAAGCCTCCAGTACCAGGTCCCTATTCCATGGCCTTCCATGGCCACACCCTTCCCCACTTCTCACTGCTACCTTTTGCAGTTACATCCCCCAGCTTGGGTTTACTTTTGAACCCATCTATTGGGGTTTTTATCTCAATTACTTTTTCATTCCTAGGATTTTTGAGACAGAGTCTCACTCTGTCACCCAGACTGGAGTGCAGTGGTGAGATCTCAGCTCACTGCAACCTCCACCTGCCAGGCTCAAGTAATTCTTGTGTCTCAGCCTCCCAAGTAGCTGGGATTACAGGCATGCACCACTACACCTGGCTCATTTTTTGTATTTTTAGTAGAGATGGGGTTTCACCATGTTGGCCAGGCTGGTCTCGAACTCTTGACCTCAGGTTATCCACCTGCCTCAGCCTCCCAAAGTGCTAGGATTACAGGCATGAGCGACTGCACCCAACCTCATTCCTAGGATTTCTAACTGTTTTTTTTTTCATAACTTCCTGGTTGAATGAAGCACAGCTAAGAACCATCTCTGGAGCCAAAATGCTGGCTTTGCCCCTTTCTAGCTCAGTCATCCTGGGTAAGTCTCTCAACCTGTCTGTGCCTCAGGTTCTCCTTCTGTAAAAGGGCCATCGTGGTTCCTGTGGCGTGGGAGGGTGACAATTACTGTGGTGAGGGGTGTGGAGCTTGCAGCAGTGCTTGTCACAGCAACTGCCACTCAAGTGTTGCCCCATATTCCTCTAGCTCTTGCTCCTTCTTTAAGAAGTCATTTTTTAGCCAGGGGCGGTGGCTCATGCCTGTAATCCCAACACTTTGGGAGGCCGAGGTGGGTGGATCACCTGAGGTTGGGAGTTCCAGACCAGCCTGACCAACATGGAGAAACCCCATCTCTACTAAAAGTACAAAAAATTAGCCAGGCATGGTGGCGTATGCCTGTAGTCCCAGCTACTCGGGAGGCTGAGACAGAATCGCTTGAACCCGGGAGGCGGACGTTGTGGTGAGCCGAGATCACGCTTTCGCACTCCAGCCCGGGCAAGAAGAGCGAATCTCCCTCTCAAAACAAAAGTCATTTTTAGCCGAACACAGTGGCTCATTCCTGTAACCTGGCACTTTGAGAGGCCGAGGCAGGAGGATTGTTGGAGCCCAGGAGGTCAAGGCGAGCCTTGGCAACATAGCAAGACCCCTTCTCTACAAAAAATATCAGCTGGGCATGGTGGCGCACACTTGTAGTTCCAACTACTCAGGAGGCTGAGGTGGGTCACCTGAGCCTCAGGAGGTCAAGACTGCACTGAGCTGAGATCACACCACTGCACTCCAGCCTGGGTGACAGGGCCAGACCCGGAAAGAGAAGTTCTTTCCAATAACCTTAAGGAAACAGCCCATTTCTCAGACTGCTCTACTCTTCTGTGGAGCTGGTCTTGCTTAGGAACCTACCATCCCCTGCCAAGTGGGCATCAGCTGTGAGGCGCCTCTGGTGTGGGGGGAATGCAGGTGGCCCCTACCCAGCCTCTCATCTCCTAGCCAGCCCCAGCATGGCCATCACCCAGGGGACACAGTTGAGTCCCAGTGTCCAAGTCCTCAGCTACAGGGGGGCAGTGCCAATGCCGCCACATGGCTGACCCAGCCCCTCTGCAGCCACTGACCTTGGCTCTTCATCACCATGGGAGCCCCTTTCTGCTTGCTTTAGAGAAATTTCCCCACTTTCTCTGATCTGAGGACATATTCTTGGCCTTATTTGAATGTGGCTGTGTTTAGAGCATTTTTCCTACTTCTATGTGCTGGAAGCAGAAAGTGATTACCGTATGTGTCTGGTCTCCCTCCAAAAACACCAGATCCAGATAATTACGCTCAAATTATTTCGCTGCAGTATTTCAGATGTCCCCTCCACCCTGTTTCTAAATTTGGCTTCAGGGTATACTCAGAAGACAGAGAAGCTCAGAACACCAGCTATGCGTGGTATTGCAAAATAAATTTATTTGAAGATAAACTGTCTTATAAAAGGTCAGAGGCAATTTGAGATCCCAGATTCAGCTTGTCTCATAAAAAGATTCAACTTCAAGTAGCACAATTTCTTGTCTGCTTTTAATCCTGAACATTCTTGAAGCATGAAACAGCCAACTGTTTACACAACACATCTGTGACATCTGACTCTGGCACCAGTGGCGCCGCAGCTTTCAGCTCTGAGGCCCCACGGGCTGCAGCCCTCAGCTTTGGGAGGGCCCAGATCAGGCCACTGTGACCTCTGGCTTTGCCAGCAACAACAGGTCCCAGCATCCCAGCCCTTCCCTCCCCTGGCACCTCCCAAAAGCACAAGAATGCAAACCGAGACTGGCCCACCACTGAGGCAGGGGTGGACTCCCGCTTGAGTGTGCCAACAGGGCGGGTGGACTGTCCTGGTGACTTCCTGGTGGGCCTGGCCAACCAAGAGGCCAAGTGGCCTCACCAGGCCTTACCTGGCTGCCTGGCAGCCCGGAGAGGAAGGAGGAAGGACGCTCACGGTGCGACAGCTCTGGCCACGCTGGCGGGAGCTACGTGATGATCCTGGCGATGGCTTGCAGGGAGGGGAAGTCGTCGTCCCGGGCAGCATGCAGCGCCTGGTGGCTGCTGGCATCGCCATGCGCGAGCACCTGCTGGCAGGTGGGGCACACACGGCAGTCCAGGCCCGCCTGCTGGGTGGTGGCCTGCCACGCGCTCTTCTTGTTCTTCTTGGACTTGGTGCTCAGAGGCTTCTCGCGGTTGCAGAAGTCCGTGTGTGCAGACAGGAGCTCCTGCTGCTTGGCCGTGTCGGGCAGCAGGACCAGCAGCTCATTAAAGACCTTCTGGAAATTCTCCCCCAGCAGGTCCCGGCAACTCTTGTAATACTGGGCTGCGGAGATCAGGCCCTGCCACCGGAGAGCCGGACTCAGTCATCCCCTCTGGCCCGGGCCCTGGATGAAGACGGGCTGGCACCCCGCCCCGGGCCCGCCTGACCCATCTGGACTCCCCGGGCCCGCCTGACCTGTCTGAACTCCCCTGAGTGGCTCTTGAACTCGCTGAAGCGGGCCTCGTCGCTCTGCAGGAAGTCCCTGATGGACTGGATGAGCTGAAGGTTCCTCTCCCGGAAGTTCTCGGGGACTAGGTACGCCCGTGGGGCAGGCAGCAGCCTGGGTCTGGGGGTCAGAAGGTAAAGAGGAGGTGGAGGCTTCAGCCTTCACAGTGGCCCAAGGGGAGGGTACCGTTCCTCCACCCCCGGTGGACACCAGGCAGCTCACCCACACTTACGCTTTTGTGGTGGTGGTGGTGGCGGGGCTGGGGACACAGGCCGGGTGGGGGCTAGGCAGAAGGCCAGAGAAGCCAGGGGGCGGCTTGCTGATTGGGGGCACCAGGCCCGGCGGGGGTGGGGGAGGCGTGCCCTTCAGGAGCACCACAGCGCTGAAGCCTGAGGGGTGGCAGGACAAGACCCAGAGAGGACCCTCGCTGACTGCGGGCTGCCTGGCCTCCAGGGCCAGCTTCTGTCTACAGCCACCCCTTCCCTGCAGGGCAGGTGCAGGGCCAGCACCCACACCACTGCTGCTGGTGTGGCAGGCCCAGCCCACACAAGCTCACGCACCCTCAGACCTGGGAGGCGCCATGAGGGCCGGTCTCACAGAGGCAAGGAACACAGGGTGGTTAACGGGAGGCTGGAGGTCATGTGGGTGGCCGATGGCATCACACAGGGGTCCCCACCACCCAGATGCAGACTGTGCCTGCGGCTCCAGCCTGACCCCGGCCCCTCCCGACACCCAGGGAGCAGGCCTGAGCCAGCACGCGTACCTGGGGGCGGCGGCATCCGGGGTGGGCAGGGGCCGCCGAGCGCTGGGAAGTCCTCCTGTGGCGTGGGGCAGGGGAAGGACCCCAGGGGCCTTGGGAGCCCAGGGGGTTCCTTGGGGGCACTCCGAGCAGGGGCCGGGCCCTCCATGTGTCCATTAACGACGACGGCAACTGGCCCCTCGGCTCTGCTGGCAGGAGCTTCCGGGGCCTGCAAAGCCCCTGGGGGACAGGTAGCGGGCGGGGGCTGTGGCAATGTGGTGCCTGGCTTCTCCGAGCCCACTTTCTTCTTCTTCCCAACTTTAGAGGGTTGGATGGAGGCCAGCCCCAGTGTGGAGGAGACGGAGCCCGTGGGGCGTGTGCTCAGAAGCTCCTGCAGGGCCGGGCCGCCGTCCTCCTCCTCCTCCTGTGTGAAGGGCGGGCCGCCCTTCCTGCCGCCCCTGCTCCCCTTCCCAGCCTTCCTGGTGGGCTGGCCGCTGCCGGTAGCCTGCGCCGAGAGTGGGGGCTGTGCTACCTTCTTGCTGCTACTGCTGCTGTTCCAGGCAGAGACAAGGCTGGTGGGGGCGGTGCCAGGCTTGGGCACCGAGGACACCAGGGCGGGGAAGTCCTCCTCCTGGAAGGCACTCCTGCCTCTGGCAGGGATGGCGTACGGCAGCGCCAACCCCACAGGGCCCGGGGTTGCTGCAGTGGAGCAGGAGGAGGAAGTGGAGGCAGAGAGGCTGGGGAAGTCTTCGTCCTTGAGCTTCGGGCTGGGTGGTGGGAGGGCGCTGGGTGCAGGGAAGCACAGCTGGTCAACAGCTATCAGGCCCCGTGGCTCCATACCTGCCCTCCCGGCACCCACCTGTGGCTGCCCGCACCCGCCCACCATGCACCATTCACCCCTGGGCGCCCATACTCTCACCCTGGCACCCCCACACACCCTGGGGCGGCTGGGCCTGTCACCGAGAAGGCTTCTTGGCTTACAGGACCATTTGTCGAGGTTTCCTTGGGGCCTATGAAGAACACAAGGCCCCCAGGTCAGGTCAGGGTGTGGGGACAGGCCCTCTGGGGACTGGCAGTGCAGGGTGCTCTTCAACCTCCCAGGTGAAGGCCTGGAGCGTCCCAGGCACCGTGCCCATCAAGAGCTGGCCACTAAGCTGGACATCGTGGCTTACACCTATAATCCCAGCACTCTGGGAGGCTGAGGTGGGCGGATCACCTGAGGTCAGGAGTTTGAGACCAGCCTGGCCAACATGGTGAAACCCCATCTCTACTAAAAATAGAAAAACAAGCCAGGCGTGGGGGCAGGCACCTGTCATCCCAGCTACTCGGGAGGCTGAGGCAGGAGAATCACTTGAACCCGGGAGGCAGAAGTTGCACTGAGCCAAGATTCCGCCACTGCACCAGCCTGGGCAACAGAGTGAGACTCTGTCTGTCTCACAAAAAACAAACAAACAAACAAACAAACAAAAAAAAAGAGCTAGCCACTGACCTCCTAGCCCGGGCAGAGCTGCCACCAGGTAGGGCTTACTCACCTGGGCCTTCGCCCTGAGTCCGGGGTGAGCGCCGGGGGCCACGGGGATCCTCAGGTCCCCGCGCCGCTGCCTCCTCCTTCTTGGGCCTACCGCCTTCCTCCTGATCCTCACTCCTGCGAGCCTCCTCCTGCTGCTGTGCGGCCACGGAGGCCCGGACAGCAGCTGCTACTTCTCGGTCCTCTTCTTCCCTGGGACAAGGAGGCCAGCCTTCAGGCTGAGCATGGCCCGAGACCAATGCCTCAGGCGGGCAGTGCCTGGGCCCAGTGTGTGGGGCGATCATCTGGGGTCTGATGCCTCTGCCCTGCAGGGCTGCCGGGGCGGTGCTTCCTCGTACAGCTGCGGTGACCGCCCAATTGACACAGGCCCCTTTCACCCACCCCAACCCTGGGATCTGTGGCTGTGGCTAGAACTGGAGAAAAGAGAGAGAAACTTGTGCCCACCAAGGACCCTCAACAGACCCTACTGCCACTCAGGACCCCAGGAACTCTGGCCACAATCCCTGACCCCATCCCCACTCCCAGCTTGGCCACTGGCCACGGTCACCACAGGAGAATGTCAGCGGCACGCAAGGTCCCCCACCTTTTGTACCTCCAGCTTCCTCGGCGGCTCTGCTGGGCTCCGCGAGTGCCAGCCCGGGCCACTCGGCCCTGGCGGCTGTACCTGTCCACCTCCTCGTAGTCTTCGCCACCAACGACCCCTGCGGCCAGCAGACAGCCCGTCACTTCCCGGGACCCCGGGACGACAATAGGAGGAACAGGCCTGCCGTCAAGGCCACACCCGGCCAATGCTCAGGCCTGGATGGCAGAGGCTTTCCTACCCACAGTGCACATGAGCCCGGGAGTGGCACAGGAGCCTCGCAGGGTCCACGCCAGCCACGGGCCTCTACGACCTGGGTGCCAAGCCACAGGAGCAGTGGGAAGGGAGAGGAGGAGGGTCCCCGAGCCCCAGGTGGGATCTGCATACAGCAGATGCTCAGTAAAAGCCTCCTGGTCCAGGGAAGGGCCCCGGGCACCCAGGGCAGCAGACCCGAGACCCTGAGGGAGCAAGAGCTCCTGGCACACAAGGGGTGCTCGGGCGCTCCAGCCTGGCCGGAGGGTGGGAGGTCAGCTCCTGCACCCACAGCTCGGTCTCATCTCAGGCTCCAGAGCAGGGCATGGTCATGCGGCCCCACCTGGGGGCATCCAGGCCAGGTGCCTGCTCACCCTCGTTCCGGCGCGAGTGCCGTGGCGCGTAGCTGAACTGCAGGTCGATGTGGCGGTTCTGGCGTGCCTCGGCGCGGCTGCGACTGTGGCAGGCCGTCCTGTGGGCCTTGAGGTCGATCTCGGTGCGGAAGGCGTGGGTGAACTGCTCCGTGCTGCAGCGGCCTTCCTCACACAGAAAGTGCTTCTCCCGGAAGTGCTCACGCAGGTAGGCATAGTCGCTGGCAGGAGATGGGGTGTCGGTAGGAGGGCTGCAGCCCGGTTAGCCCCACGCCCTCGGGGAGGGAGGGTCATCTGTCTGTCTGCTGCCCGGCCCACCTGTAGTAGTCCTGGGCCCCGTCCGAGTCGCAGAAGTGGCAGAAGTAGTGGTCGCGGCGCAGGTGCTTAAGCAGCTCATCATTGTCCAGGTAGCGCTCGTCACAGAACTTGCAGAGCGGGTGCCCACGGTGCGACGTGTCATCGGGGTCACCCTGCATGCGATGCCGGGCCAGGTCCTTGCGCGAGTACCACTTGCGCTCATATGTGAAGATCTACAAGGCACAGGAGGCTGGGCACAGGCTGGGGGACCCCAAGCCTCCTGCCTCTTCCCACAGGCCAGTGGCGGAGCAGCAAGGGGCGGGAGAGGGCCCCGCCAGCAGCCAGAGGCCTCCCTGCCACGTGCAGCCTGACCCTCAGGGGGCCATCCGGGGCCAGAAGCAGCAGGTGGACAAGCCCCTCCCAGCCGTGTGGCCACATCCCTTGCACCACCCACCGCCTAGGCTCTCTCCGGGGTCGCTGGGGGGGCACACCTGGAGGTGCTGGAGGCACAGACGGCAGCAGAAGAGCTCATGCTGCCTCCGCATGTGCTGCTCCAGGTCCCCGAAGAGGCTGAAAGGTGGCAGCTCGGGGCACCGCGGGCACTCGTGCTGCAGCAGCTGCCTAGGAAGACACCGAGAGCCGCCCACGGCCCCAGGACATTCAGTGTCACCGCCGGGAGCAGGGCCACTCACCAGGCCCCAGGCCCGTGACCCAGGACAGATGCAAGGCCATGGCTGTGCACATGGCCTGGGTCAGAAGCCTGGCTCTAGCCCTGAGCCCATGAGCTGCCCCTCCTCTGAGAGACCAGCCCTGGGACAGCTGTACCCTTTATAGGATTTTCAGGCCACGGGCCTGGCTCACACACCTCGTGTGCCCCTCAAGGTGCCCCCGAGGCAGGTGCTGCACCACCTGGGCATGCCTTTCCCCAGCACAACCACCAGCTCTACCCCCAGGAGGGCCTGGTAAGCCTCCCCAGTCACAGGATGGAAACCCAGGTGCCTGGCCCCAGCATTGGTGCACCAGGTGGCCCCCGAAGTGCCTCCGGTTGTGAGGAGAGTGGGACGTGAAGGGCCACAACCACAGGGAGGCCAGGACCCAGGGAGAGGCCCTGCTCACCTGTACAATGCGTACACCTTTCCATCTGCAAAGTAGATATCATATTTCTTCTCATGCTGCAGCTGGTGGATGGGGATGGTGGCAAAGGCAGGAAGCTTCTTCCCAAAGACCACCTAGAGCCAAAAACCAGAGGGGTGGTGAGCAGGACTGGGATGGGACCCCCACCTGGGATGCAACGGAGGCTCAGAGGCAAGGGAGCCCTCACAGACCCTCTAAGAAGGAGTGAGGCATAAAGGGTCCTCCTAGGAGGCCCCAGCAGGCAGCGGCCCCTGGCACCCTGGCCTAGGCCTCCCCTCCTCACCCCAACCCGCTTGCCTAGGGTCAGGGGCAGAGGACAGAGACACAACGCCAGGCCTCTCCACCAGGGGGCGGCAAGGCCAGTCCCTAAGCAGCCACGCCCCACCGGCCGGGGCCCTCACCCGGTGGCTCCACCCTGCGGGGAACAGAGCAGCTGTCGCTCTGCGGAGCTTTCCAGGACAGAGAAGAAACGTGTTCCAAGCAGCTGCTAAGGGAATACCAATGGCCGCCAGCCGGGGATGCATCAGGTGACAAGGCCCGGCTACCCTGTCCGGCGCCCCCGCCCCCACGTTTCCATGGCGCCTTCACGGCACGAGGCTCAAGCCGACCACCTCAGCTCCGTGCATCCTCAGCAGGCGCTGCAGAGCCTCTGCGTGGGCCCCTTCCCAGGGGTCTCTGGCACCTGCAAAGCTGGCTGCCAGAGGACTTGCCCGTCTGCCCTGTGCCCTCCACAGACGGCCCCGGCATCCCTGCTCAGCTCAGCACCCCTGCTCTCCACGAAGCTCTGCTGGGGAGGACCCTCGCTGCCCCCATGCCAGCAGAGATTGGTGCCACCCACCCCTTGGGTTGGTCAAGCCCCCTTCTGGCTCCATCACTGTCCCAAGCCTGGCACTGGTCACTCGCCTCGGCTCTGGGCCCTTAGAGCAGCTCAAGGCCTCAAGCGCACATCCAGGGCAGGGGGACGTCCTCACCCGGGCAAGGGTCATGCCAAGGTCATGTTAAGTTTACCTTAGCCCCTTAGCCAAAGAGAATGTCGGGCTGGAACGGCCGTGAAGCTGGGAAACCTGAGGCTTGGCAGGAAGAGCCAGTCCCACACGTGCTCAGGGGGTCCTGGGGTGTCTCTGTCCCCCAGAGCAGGTGGTTAAATCTGACTCCCCAGGAGGGTCAGGAGCGCCAGGAGAGCTCAGCCCCCACCCCACCGACAGGAGCCGCTTCCACCAGGGGCGGGGTGGGCGGTACGGGCTGCAGGAGCAGCAGCCCAGGCCTTTCCTCCCCTGGTCACATCAGGCAAGGCTGGGCAGGATGAACTCGGCCGCCTCTGCGTCCCCGTCACATGCTGGGCTCAGATGGGCACTTCATCACAGCTGCCTCCCACGCGCGACGTCTTCAGATGGGAGTCGCAGCCCCACCCAGAGCCCCATTACAAAGGCTGCCAGTCACTGCGGGCCACACCACCCTGACCTGTCCCCTGGCTCCCCTCCCCTGGAGCAGCCTCTCTGCACACCCCAAACACAGGGAAAGGCCCTGGGCCTTGTGCGGCCTCTTTTCACAGCAGCTGCCCTCGCGGCAGCTGGCACCCAGCCCTACCTTCCACTCACTCCCAAGGGCGCCTCTCCAGCCCGACCCTCACAGGCGCAATCTGTGCAGCCACTCAGGGTGCTGCTGGGACCCAGAGCACGAGCCTCCTCGGGGAGCTGAGCGGAGCCACTCAGGGTGCTGCTGGGACGCAGAGCGCGAGCCTCCTCGGGGAGCTGAGTACCTGGACTCCCGGGAACCAGACAGGGCCACTTCCCCACCACAGCTCCCGAAGCAGCAGGCAGGCGGGCGAGGAAGCCAGTGTCTGCCTGTGAGGTGGCCAGGCGAGCAGCCTGTGAGGGAGGCCCCAAGGCTGCCAAAAAGCATCCAAGCCCATCAGACTCCGAGGAGAAACGACTTCCTTCCCCAGAGGAAACCCGTGCCAGGGGCGTCCCCAGCCCCACCTCCCCACTTTGGCACCCCTCCTTTCAGCCGCACGCCCTCATCCACCGTGGGTGGCGGCGACTCAGACTGCGGGCACAGGGGCATCCCAGGCACCCCTAACACGCAGCCAACCTCCACTGGTGCGTCCCCCGAGTGCCACCCGTGTGCGGGCACAGGGCCAGGCCCCGCTGAGGAGCACATACACTCCTCTGTCCTTGCCGCCTGGGGGCACCCATGCTCCATGCGATGCTAGCACATCGCAAGTCCCAAGAAACCTATGTGGGACGGCACTGGTGGGGCTGGCGGACTCGGTCAAGGCAGCCTCTCTGAGGCCAGGGAGCAGCTGGGGGTGGAGGAGCTGCGGGGAGCTGGGCAGAGGCAGGGCCAGGCCGGGCGGATCCCAGGTGCACTGACAGCACCCAGATGAAGGACCCAGGGTGGGCCAGCACGGGAGGGCTACATGCCCCATATGGAGTCTAGATGGGCATCCATCTGCACAGCAGCTAAGGCAGGTACTCCGAGCACCAGGGGTAGCAAGACCCAGAGTATTCGTCCCTCCTGAACAGCTGGGAGGGGTCACCTAGGCAGGGCACCTAAGCGGAGCAACGAGACAGGGGAAAGGAGACACTGGGTGGGCTCAGGAACAGGAAGAGGCTTGTGAAAGAACAATGGCTGTGAGCAAGGTGGGCCCAAGGCCACAATCACTGGAGCAGGAGGGCGTGCAGGTTTGGGGCCGGAGTGAGAAATACCACCTGATAGTGGGGGCCTGAGGCTGCCCATCCTCAGACAGGCAGGGAGACCAGGACTGGCTGCCCAGACCTCAGGAGCGGGCAGTGGGACAGCAGTGCAGCCTGGCATGGCCAGCATCGCCCTCCCTGAGGGTGAGGAGGGGGCTGGACAAGGCTGCGCCCCGCAGCACAGTGGCCAGGGTGGAGTCAGGCACGGTCCACTAAGGAGCCAAACAGCAAGACCCTCCCCCGCCTGATGGTTCCAGCACAGCCAGGCTGGGAGTAGGGGACGTAGGGGACATGGAGGCCAGGGGAAGATGGCTATGGGTAGGGGACTTGGGGGCCTGGGGGAGATGCCTGGGGTGGGACTTGGTGGCTGGAGGGAAATGGCTGGGTTGGGACGTGGGGGCAGGGGGGAGATGGCTGGGGCTACAGAGGGAGACAACAGGTCTAGGTCGCCCCAGCAGGAGAGGGTCACGTGTCTGAGGACAGAAGTACAGAACCCATGGGGAGAGGCTTGGGGATGGGCTATGCAGCAAATGATGAGGGGAAGGGCACTCTACGTGAGCCCTGGAGACGGCCAAGCTAGGCCCCAAGGAGAGCAAGAGGCAAATGGGGTGAGGCCTGCTTAGGAACAGGAGGCCCCCAAGACCCCCCACAGGGACAGGTGTGGTGTCTGCCTGGGGCCTTGCTGCTCTACACTCCCCAGCATGTCATGGGCACACAAAAGGACAGCGGTGAGGGCCTGCCCACACGTGGGGAGGGGGACCCTGGGGTTGGCTCCCAGGGCCATCTAGAGAGTCTAGACCTCCAAGGAGCCCAGATGGGGACAGCAGCAGCAGGGAGCATCTTACAGAGGGCCAGGGCCATGGGGGACGGGAGCGGGGTGGGGGGACAGCAGAAGCAGGGAGCATTTTACAGATAGGGCCAGGGCCACGGGGGACGGGAGCAGGGCGGAGGGGGAGCAGTAGGAGTAGGAAAGCATGACCCAAGCCAGCATGTCACCCTCCTGACCTGGGACCTTGGGTAACTGTGGGCTGGCCCTCTGCGCCCCCTCCCACTGCCTGCCTGTAAGGTGCAGGTGGGCTGCCCTGGGGGGCTTGCAGCCTCATCAGGACTCCTGCAGTAACACCAGGGACCAGAGCAAGCTGGAGAGCAAGATGCAAACAGCAGGAACCGGCCCTTGAGAAAGACGCAGCCAGGAAAGAGGCCCAGAACGTGGGGCTCCACCACCCCAGGACCTCTGTCAGCCATGGCCAAGACCAGCGCCCCCACCTCCCACGGAGGGGAGCCTGCCTCGGCTTCCACCCTGAGCACCTGCCAGGGGTCAGGCCCATCTGGCTCCTGGCCTGAGCAGCAGCTGCAGCCTCCACAGGGAAGGCCTGGGTCCAGGTGTGTGGAACTAACAAGCACATGGAGCCAGCCGATTCCACACGGCATCCTGGACACTTTCCTCACAATTTTCGCAAAACCTTAGTCCCATAAGGGAGGCCAAGGCAACGCCAGGGTTCAGGAGTTGAGGGTTGCAGTGGGAATTCCTGAGCACGCATGGGACACAGAATATATTCAGGGGATGGTGCTGAACTCAGTA
The DNA here is from genome assembly GCF_000001405.40 of Homo sapiens. Classification (NCBI taxonomy): domain Eukaryota; kingdom Metazoa; phylum Chordata; class Mammalia; order Primates; family Hominidae; genus Homo; species Homo sapiens. The sequence goes on from NC_000016.10 coordinate 2,007,912, forward strand.
AGGAAAAAGGAGACTAGAGTGAGGCGGCAAGCTCAAGATGGGAAGAAAATAGAACGAATGCAAAGGAGAGGAGACCAGCAAACAGCAAACTTTCCAGGAGCCCCTCCTTCAGCCCAGTAAGGCGGGGTAGGCCCTAGAGGAAGCCGGCTGGGGGCACCCAGTGCCAAACCACACCCCGGCTGACAGCTCATGTCCGCAGCCCCCAGCCACAGAGCTCCTGGAGGGCGTGGGGCCTACAAGGAATGAGAGCGGGCAGAGGCTGCCACAGTAAGCATACGCAGATGTTCACTCATGTCTTGCATCAGACCTGCAGCCTGGGTCGGGACCTCACGTGCCAAGAACTCCTTAGCGTCTTCTTTCCGGAAGGAAGCTACAGGTGTGCTGGGAAACCTAGCTGTTGGAGAGTGAGGTCATGCTATGCAGGACTGGCTGGCAAGGCAGGCCCTGGCAAAGCCAGGAAGCGCCCTGAGGAAGCCACGGGCCAAGGTCCTCTGTGACTGTTCCTGCACCCCAGATCTCCCCGGGGTCTGGGTCGGCCTCCTCCTGTCACATGACAGACTGATAGAATCTCCAAATGTCTTTTTCCAAAAAGGGCACAGACTATAAGCCCACAAATTGCTCAGAGAATTGCAGCATCTCTTCAACTCCTTTGATGTAAACGTCTACTTAAAGAAAGAAAAGGAAAAAAAGAAAGAACCTACACCTCAATACTGCTCTGCATCACTTCTGGGGAGAAGAAAGTTAGATTCCTGGCAGATGTCACCAGCCGAAGCCTTCTATGAACAAACCGGGGGAATTTCACAATGCTGGAAGCAAACAAATCTCTAAGCTCAGCAAACCAACGGGCTCCAGCCAGGTGCCCACAGCCAGCAGCTGGCAGTGCAGTGAGGGTGGAGGAACGCTGCATGGTACCCTCTGACCCCTCCACGGCTTCCAAGTCTGTACAGTCAAAAACGTCTCCCATTCACTGCGGAGATGAGCGCCAAAGGCGGGGGGCGGCGGCGAGGAGGAGGACAACTTCCTAACACTTTTCTCCCTTCCCGCCAAGAAGCGCGAGGGGGCCTTCCCCTCCGACGGGCAGGTCTCCTTCCGAGGCTAGTGTCACCTCCACTCCACAGAGGAAAACGTCAGTCTCGGAAGGAGTTTGCTCAGGGTCATCCAATGGGGGCCCAGAAACACAGCTGGGCTGAGAATGCCCAGAGTTTGACGCCCTGCTTCCAGGACGGATGGCCTCCGCAGAGTCCCCCTTGCCTTGTTTCCTCGAATGGAGGACCCTGGAAAATAAACTCCTGAAGACGAGCAGGTCACCGAGTTCTCCATCTGATCAGGACCCTTCCTGAGGCCCGGCAGGAACCCCCGGGACACGGGGGAAGTCCCCAGGCTGTCCCCACAGGGCTTGCCCCCTCCTGCAACCCGCTCGGCCGCCTCCGGCCTCCAAGCCCCAACGCCCCGCCGTCAGCCGCACGGCCGGGACCCCGCCCTGGGTGGCCCCACCAGGCCTCTCTCGGAAGCCGGCGCCGCCGGGCCCACGGCCGGACCTCAGTGAGGCAAAGTCCCCATCCGGTCGCCGGGAGCCCCGCTGCCCCCGGGCCGCGCCCCCGGCGCCCCGCACCTGGCGCAGCTCCTCGCGGCACACGGCGCAGTAGCGCTGCTCGCAGAGCACCCGCATCTTGGTAGAGCAGCGGTAGCACACCGGGTGGTCGCAGCGGCCCCAGCGCCGTGGCCTCCAGGTCTCCGCAGCACAGCACGCAGCTCCCGCCTCCCCGCTCAGGAGCTGCCGCCGCCTCCGCCTCCATGTCCGCGCGCCGCCCCTCGGCGCCCCCCGGCCGCCGCCATGGTCCGGGATCCGGCCCCCCTCTCGGCCGGTCGTGGCGCCGAGCGGCCTGGCTCCCGGCGGGCCCGCCCCTTCCGGGCAAACGTCACCGCCCCACCCAGCAACGGGCCCGCCCGGCGCAAGTGCGCGTCGCGACTTCCGCCTCAGCGCGGCGCCGGCTAGAGCGGTGGCCCTGATAGAGGCCGCTCTACCATGAGCCGACCGCTCGAAGGTCCGCGCGGCCACGCGGCCAGCCCCGGGCTCCTCTGGGCCACGCGTGTCACGTCAACACTCGCCGGGCTCCACGAACTGGCGTTGTCAGATGAAACACGGCACAACTGGTTTGCATCTCAGATGAACAAGGGGTCATGTCTTAGTGTAAGTATAGCCCAAATATTGATGGGCTAGGCTCATACTAAAATGCTGCTCCTTATCTGAAATTGACATTTAAGTGGACCTGCCGTATTTGTATTTGCTAAATCTGGCCACCTTATTAGGAAACCGGTCTCTGGTATTTGGAACACACACAAGCGTGGTCCCGCCTCCACTTCCCTAATGCCCTGTTTAAATCCCTACATGAAAGACAACGTGAAAGGCAGCACGTGGTGACGTCCATCTCGCAGCCCAGGGCAGTCTCGCCAGGCCTGCCCAGAAGGGGCCTCTGGAAGGCACGAACGGAACCTGTCCTCTTTACGCTGGGCCCAGCACAGGACGTGTTTGGATGGATGCTGCAGTAACAGGGCCTCCTCCCTACCCTTGAGGGCCAGGCACACTCAGGACCTCCCTCCCTCTGCCATCCAGAAGGCAGGTCCAGATCTAAACCCTACTGGAAAAGAGGCAGTAAATTGTATCAATGAGCCTGAACTTTACTTACTTTATTTGAGACCGGGTCTTGCTCTTGCTGTAACACAGTGGTACGATCACAGCACACTGAGGCCTCAACCTCCTGGGCTCAAGTGATCCATGCCCAGTGAACTTGGACTTTAGAAACAGACACAAATGGGCTTGAAACCCCAATTTTGCCACTTGAAAAAAGCTGTCAGGCACAGTGGCTCAAGCCTGTAATCCCAGCAGTTTGGGAGGCTGGGTGGCCCGGATTGCTGGAGCCTGGGAATTTGAGACCAGCCTGGCCTACACAGTCAGGCTCCATCTCCACAAAAAAAATTTTTAGGCCGGGCGTGGTGGCTCACGCCTGTAATCCCAGCACTTTGGGAGGTTGGGATCACCTGAGGTCAGGAATTGGAGACAAGCCTGACCAAAATGGTGAAACCCCATCTCTACTAAAAATACAAAAATTAGCCGGGCGTGGTGACATGTGCCTGTAGTCCCAGCTACTCGGCAGCCTGAGGCAGTAGAATCTCTTGAAACCGTGAGGCAGAGGTTGCAGTGAGCCGAGATCACGACAATCACGCCACTGCACTCCAGCCTTGGCAACAGAGCGAGACTCCATCTCAAAAAAAAAAAAAAAAACACACACGACTAGAGTGCAGTGGCGTGATCTCGGCTCACTGCAAGCTCCGCCTCCCGGGTTCACGCCATTCTCCTGCCTCAGCCTCCTGAGTAGCTGGGACTACAGGCACCCGCCACCACGCCCTGCTAATTTTTTTTTTTTATTTTTAGTAGAGACAGGATTTCACCATGTTCGCCAGGATGGTCTCGATCTCCTGACCTCTTGATCCACCTGCCTTGGCCTCCCAAAGTGCTGGGATTACAGGCATGAGCCACTGTGCCTGGCCAAAACACACAAAAATTAACGGGGCGTGGTGACATGCGCCTGTAGTCACAGCTTCTCGGGAGGCTGAGGCACGAGAAACGCTTGATCCCAGGAGGCAGAGGTTTCAATGAGCAGAGATTGCGCCCCTGCACTCCAACCTGGGCCACAGAGTGAGACTCCATCTCAAAAAAAAAAAAAGAAAACTGGGAAAAGTTATTGTAAGGATGTAAGAAGTTCAACATCTTGGCTGGGCGCGGTGGCTCACACCTGTAATCCCAGCTTGAAATTGGCACTTTGTGAGGCTGAGGCAGGTGGATCACGAGGTCAGGAGATCAAGACCATCATGACTAACGCGGTGAAACCCCATGTCTACTAAAAATACAAAAAGAAATTAGCCTGGTGTGGTGGCGGGCGCCTGTAGTCCCACCTACTCCGGAGGCTGAGGTAGGAGAATGGTGTGAACCCGGGAGGTGGAGCTTGCAGTGAGCCAAGATTGCGCCACTGCATTCCAGCATGGGCAACAGAGTGAGACTCCATCTCAAAAAAAAAAAAAAAAAAAAAGGCCACAAACTTGGCTTAAAACACACAAATGTATTATCTTTAGTTCTGGAGTCCAGACTCTAACGTGGGTCACACTGAGCTAAAATCAGGGTGTCAGTATCACTGCATTCCTATTTGGAGGCTCCAGGGGAGAATCTGCTTCCTTGCCTTTTCCAGCTGTTAGAGGCTGCCCGAACTCCTTGGCTCATGGCTGCTTTCTGTCTTTCAGAGTTGACTCTGGGGGAGGCCAGTGGTCCAATCTTTTTTTTTTCTTTGAGATGGAGTCTCTGTCGCCCAGGCTGAAGTGCAGTGGCACAGTCTTGGCTCACTGCAACCTCCACTTCCCAGGTTCAAGCAATTCTCCTGCCTCAGCCTCCCGAGTAGCTGGGACTACAGGCACCCGCCACAACACCCGGCTAATTTCTTTTTGTATTTTTAGTAGAGACAGGGTTTCACCGTGTTAGCCAGGATGGTCTCCATCTCCTGCCCTCATGATCCACCCGCCTCGGCCTCCCAAAGTGCTGGGATTACAGGCGTGAGCCACCCCGCCCAGCTTTTTTTTTTTTAGGTGGAGTTTCGCTCTTGTTGTCCAGGCTGGAGTGCAATGGCACAATCTCGGCTCACTGCAAACTCCGCCTCCCGGTTCGAGCAATTCTCCTGCCTCAGCCTCCTCAGTAGCTGGGATTACAGGCATGCGCCACCACGCCCGGCTAATTTTGTATTTTTAGTGGAGACGGGGTTTCTCCATGTTGGTCAGGCTGGTCTTGAACTTCTGACCTCAGGTGATCCGCCTGCATTGGCCTCCCAAAGTGCTGGGATTACAGGCGTGAGCCACCACGCCCAGCCGCTAATCTCCTATTAAAGCCAGCTGGCCTGATGTGGTGGCTCAGGCCTGTAATCTCAGCACTTTGGGAGGCTGAGGCAGGCAGATCACTGGAGGTCAAGAGTTCGAGGCCAGCCTGGCCAACATGGTGAAACCCCATCTCTACTAAAAATACAAAAATTAGCCGGGCATGGTGGTGGGCGCCTATAATTCCAGCTACTTGGGAACCTAAGGCAGGAGAATCGCTTTGAACCCGGGAGGCAGAGGTTGTAGTGAGCGGAGATCATGCCACTGTACTCCAGCCTGGGTGACAGAGCAAGACTCTGTTTCAAATAAAATAAAATAAAGCCAGCTAATTAGCAACCTTAATTTTATATTCCCTGGTGTGGTGGTGCGCACGTGTAGTCTCAGCTACTCGGGAGGCCGAGGCAGGAGGATTGTGTCAGTCCAGGAGTTCTGAGGATATAGTGGGCTGTGTCAGTCAGGTGTCTGCACTAAGTTTGGCATCGACTTGGTGACCTCCTGGGAGCAGGGGACCACCAGGTTGCCTCAGGAGGGGTGAACTGGGCCAGTTTGGAAAGAGAGCAGGTCAAAACTCCTGTGATCAGTAGTGGGATCACGCCTGTGAATAGCCACTAGACATCAGCCTGGGCAACATAGTGAGACCCTGCCTCTAATCAACCATTTTATCTACAGCCTAATTCCCTCCTACTATGTGGCATAAATATTCACAGGTTGCAGGGATTGGGGGCGAACATCTTTGGGGGGCTACTGTTCTGCGTACACACATGGGTGAAGGCCAGGGATGCTACTAAAGATTCTCAGTGCACAGGATGGCAAAGGTCAGTAGTGCTGCAGCTACGAGTTTTTCTGTTTCTGGCCGGGCGCAGGGGCGCATGCCTGTAATCCCAGCACTATGGGAGGCCGAGGCGGGCGGATCCCCTGAGGTCAGGAGTTCGGGACCGGCCTGGCCAACATGGCGAAACCCTGTCTCTACTAAAAATACAGAAATTAGCTGAGCGTTTTGGCAGGCACCTATAATCCCAGCTACTTGGGAGGCTGAGTCAGGAGAATCTCTTGAGCACAGGAGGCGGAGGTTGCAGTGAGCAGAGATCGCACCATTGCACTCTAGCCTGGGTGACAGAGTGAGACTCTGTCTCAAAAACAAAACAAACAAAACAAAACAAAATAGTAGTTATGCTTATGATTCAAACATTTGGAGATAAATACTAGAAGAAACAGCTAACAGCTAAAAGAGTTGGAAGTAGCTGTCTCTGGAGAGTAGGAGCAGGGTGTGAAGGGTGGGCAGGGATAGCTTTGTTCTCTTCCTTATAGCAAGCAGCCTTTGATTTATAATGTATACTGCCTTGACAACATTAATTATTTTATTTTATTTATTTATTTATTTATTTTTTATTTTTTTGAGACGGAGTCTTGCTCTGTTGCCCAGGCTGGAGTGTAGTGGCACCATCTCGGCCCACTGCAACCTCTGCCTCCCGGGTTCAAGCAATTCTGCCTCAGCCTCCCGAATAGTTGGGATTACAGGCATGCAACACCATGGCTGGCTAATTTTTGTATTCTTAGTAGAGATGGGGTTTCACCATGTTGGCCAGGCTGGTCTCGAATTCTTAACCTTGTGATCCACCTGTCTCAGCCTCCCAAAGTGCTGGGATTATAGGCGTGAGCCACCAGGCGCAGCCCTAATTATTATTATTATTTTTTTTTTTCCTTTTTTTTCTTTTTCTTTTCTTTCTTTCTTTTTTTTCTAATTTTTTTTTTTTTGAGGTGGTCTCTTGCTCTGTCGCCCTGGCTGAAGTGCAGTGACATGATCTTGGCTCACTGCAACCTCCGCCTCCCGGGTTCAAGTGATTCTCCTGCCTCAGCCTCCCAGGTAGCTGGGATTACAGGTGCCTGCCACCACGCCCAGCTAATTTTTGTATTTTTAGTAGAGACAAAGTTTCACTGTGTTGGCCAGGCTGGTCTCAAACTCCTGACCTCATGATCCGCCCGCCTCGGCCTCCCAAAGTGCTGGGATTACAAGCGTGAGCCACCACACCCGGGCAATTTTTTGTATTTTTAGTAGACACGGGGTTTCACCGTGTTAGCCAGGATGGTCTCGATCGCCTGACCTTGTGATCTGCCCACCTCGGCCTCCCAAAGTGCTGGGATTACAGGTGTGAGCCACTGAGCCTAGCCAATTATTTAATATATTTACTGTTTTGGTTTTTTTTTTCATTTTTTGTGAGATGGAGTCTCGCTCTGACGCCCATGCTGGAATGCAGTGGCATAATCTCGGCTCACTGAAACCTCCGCCTTCTAGGTTCAAGCAATTCTTATACCTCAGCCTCCCGAGTAGCTGGGATTACAGGCGTGCACCACAACACCCAGCTAATTTTTTTGTATTTTTAGTAAAGATGGAGTTTCACCGTGTTGGCCAGGCTGGTCTTGAACTCCTGAGCTTAAGTGATCCGCCCACCTCGGCCTCCCAAACTGTTGGGATTATAGGCATGAGCCACTGAGCCCGAGCTATGTATTTACTTTTTGAGACAGGGTCTGTCGCCCAGGCTGGAGTGCAGTGGCAAGATCGCGACTCACTGCAGCCTTGCGAACTCCAGGCCTCAAGGGAACTTTCTACCTCGGACTTCAGGCACACACCACCACACCCAGCTAATATATATATATATTTCGTCATTGTTTGTTTTGGTAGAGATGGGGTTTCGCCATATGGCCCAGGCTGGTCTCTAACTCCGCCTCAGCCTCCCAAAGTGTTGGGATTGCAGGCGTGAGCCACTGTGCCACGCCCTGGCCAATAATTTTAAAGATGACAAAACAGATTTGCTCATTAATCTCCTCCTTACCAGGGCGTTCCTGTTCGGGGCCAGGCTTTGTGCCTGCGGCAGGCGTGGTCCTGGCCTTAAGCAAGTGTCTCACGGGTTTCTAGGCCGGACACTGGTGTCAAGGAACTGAGATGTGAGCCTCAAGAAGCAGGGCTGGCTCTCGTCACCTCCTCCCCAAGGAGAGTTGTGACTCCAGACCCCTGGAGGTGGGGAGAAGGAAGCCTTTGTCACCAGGTCCTGTTCCTGGGCACCAGGCTGGGCAGGACACAGAGGCCTTCCTCCTGCCGCCTGAAAAGGGAGCCCACAGACACCCTTAAGGTTCTGTGTTTTGCTCCTCTAACCCAGTCCTGGTCTCCCCCTGCCACGTGTTCCGGACACTCCACCCAACAGACGCCTCCCCGTGCCTCTGTTCCCAGTGACCTTTCCCTGCGTCCTGCGACTCTCACTCCCTTGGGCCACAGCAATAAACAAGGTAGAGGAGCCACTGCTGGTTTTTTTGTTGTTGTGGTTCTGTTTTGTTTTGTTTTTTTTGAGATAGAGTCTTGCTCTGTCGCCCAGGCTGGAGTGCAGTGGTGTGATTTTGGTTCACTGCAACCTCTGCCTCGCGGGTTCAAGTGATTCTCCTGCCTCAGCCTCCCGAGTAGCTGGGACTACAGGCACCCATCACCACGCCTGGCTAATTTTTGTATTTTTAGTAGAGACGAGGTTTCACTGTGTTGGCCAGGCTGGTCTCAAACTCCTGACCTCATGATCTACCTGCCTTGGCCTCCCAAAGTGCTAGGATTACAAGCATGAGCCACCATGTCCAGCTGTTTTTTTTTTGTTTGTTTGTTTTGTTTTTTTTTTTCTTGAGAGAGAAGGAGTCTTCCTCTGTTGCCCAGGCTGGAGTGCAGTGGCGCAATCTCCACTGCTTCTATTTGCTGTCACAGGGACTTCCATCCCAGCATAGACTTTCATTGATCAGTTTCCACAGTTCCCCCTGCAGAAGCTCCCCGGGCCACCTCCAGGGGGCGTCCTGGACCCTCCCCTGACTGGCTGGAGTCCCCCCAGGGGTCCAGAGACACCCACGTCCTCTTAGCCAGGAGCGGGTGGCAGCGCCAAGGGACCCTGATGGGGCCTGGCTCTGGCCCATGTCGTGCTGCACTACCCGCCCACCACACACTCCAGGCAGCTGTCAAGGACAAGGGGCCCTGGGGGAGCGTGGCGGGGATAGCTTCTTGCAGGGCCTCTGGTCCCCGTGGTCCTCCAGGCGGCGCAGACAGCTCCATCTGCATCCCCCATTCTGCCCCTGTCACAGTGTTTTCCTGACAGGCTGGGGGTGGTCAGCCTCTGGTGCAGCAAGGATAGGTCCTAGCCACAGCGTTCATTGAGTGCTTACTGGGTACCAGGCACGGTTCAGCTCCCAGACCCACCACTGGATTATCAGTGCCAACAAGATGATGAAGTGGCCACTTTTTTTACCCCCAGTTTACAGATGAGGAAACTGAGGCAGGAGAGGCCGAGGTCCTTATCCTCTTCCCCTCAGCTGCGACTATCAAGCAGGGCTGGCGTCTCGCCACTTCAGTGTGGCCTTCCTGGAGAGGGCTGCTGCTTCTAACCCTCGTCAGGCTCACCAGACTCACCGGGGACCCTCACGCCTCAGGAGTGGGAGTCTGGCTCTGCCCCCAGACCTTCTGTTTTGTTTGTTTGTTTGTTTGTTTTTTGAGATGGAGTCTTGCTCTGTCACCCAGGCTGGAGTACAGTGGTCCCATCGTGGCTCACTGCAACCTCTGCCTCCCGAGTTCAAGTGATTCTCCTCCCTCAGCCTCCCGAGCAGCTGGGACTACAGGTGTGTGCCACCATGCCCGGCTAAGTTTTTTTTTTTTTTTTTTTGAGATGGAGTCTCACTCTGTCACCCAGGCTGGAGTGCAATGGCACAGTCTTGGCTCACTGCAACCTCCGCCTCCGAGGACCAAGCAATTCTCCCGCCTCAGCCTCCTGAGTAGCTGGGACTACAGGCGCATGCCACCACACCCGGCTAATTTTTGTATTTTTAGTAGAGATGGGATTTCACTATGTTGGTCAGGTTGGTCTGAAATTCTTGACCTCGTGACATGCCTGCCTCGACCTCCCAAAGTGCTGAGATTACAGGCATGAGCCACTGTGCCTGGCAAGTTTTGTATTTTTAATAGAGATGGGGTTTTGCCATGTTGGCCAGGCTGGTCTTGAACTCCTGGCCTCAAGTAATCCACCTGCCTCAGCCTCCTGAAGTGCTGGGATTACAGGCATGAGCCACTGTGCCCAGCCTGCCCCCAGCCTTTCTGTGCCCTTCTGGACAGGAGTACCCTGTTCCCCCAAGCTGAGGCTCTTGGGCTCAGGTGCTAGGATGTATCTCACCTCCACCATTTACCCAACATGATCTGGGGCAGGTCAGTTCTCCCTGGGCCTCAGTTTACTCGTTGGTGAGTGGAGTCAATAATAGTTCCACTCATGACATTGTCTGGAGGTCAAGATGAGATAGTTCATGATGACCCAAAACGAGATCCCTGGTGTCTGGGACCCAGGGGCTGCCCCATGACTGACATGGTTGCTGAGGGAGGGCTGGATTCACCCTTGCTGGGAGGTCAGGAAAGACTGTGTCAGGCTCTGCCCTCTGGGAGGGGGTTGTTAAGCCCAGATGGCCACAGAGGGAAATTCTGAGGGACTGTCTGGCCCTGCGCCTTTTTTTTTTTTTAAGATGCAGTTTCGGCCGGGCACAGTGGCTCACGCCTATAATCCCAGCACTTTGGGAGGCCGAGGCGGGCGGATCACAAGTCACAAGGTCAGGAGATCAAGACCATCCTGGCTAACGTGGTGAAACCCCGTCTCTACTAAAAATACAAAAAATTAGCCGGGCGTAGTGGCGGGCACCTGTAGTCTCAGCTACTCGGGAGGCTGAGGCAGGAAAATGGCGTGAACCTAGGAGGCGGAGCTTGCAGTGAGCCGAGATCGCGCCACTGCACTCCAGCCTGGGCAACAGAGCCAGAATCCGTCTCAAAAAAAAAAAAAAAGATGCAGTTTCGCTCTTGTTGCCCAGGCTGGAGTGCAATGATGCAATCTTGGCTCGCTGCAACCTCCGCCTCCCGGGTTCAAGCGATTCTCCTGCCTTAGCTTCTCAAGTAGCTGGGATTACAGGTGCCTGCCACCATACCCAGCTAATTTTTTGTGTTTTTCGTAGAGATGGGGTTTCACCACGTTGGCCAGGCTGGTCTTGAATTCATGACCTTAGGTGATCCGCCCGCCTCGGCCTCCCAAAGTGCTGGGATTACAGGTGTGAGCCACCGCGCCCGGCCAAGGATCTGGGCCATTTAAGTGGAGTCTTGAAGGATGAGTAGGTGTTAGGCACAGACGCACAGAGGCAGGCAAAGCCACAGGCTGTTGGTTTAGGCAAAAATTGAGACTGGCTGGATAAAGTGGTCTTGGGGGACCATCACCAGAGAGGAGGCGCTGGAGGTCTGCAAGGCCTTGTCCTGCCCCTCCAGGGGTAGAGGTTCCAGGAGGGGCTGACTTTTTCTCCTGGAAGCCTCACAGAACTGCAGACCCCACGGATGGCTTGGTGTTGCCAACATGAGGCTTCTAAGGCTTCTGCGGGGAGATGGGTTGGTGGGGAGAAGCTGGGGGTGGCAGTGGACAGGACAGGGTGTGGGGACAGCTTTGGGAGCTATGCTAGGCAAGGACAAGGGACAACTCTTGGGGGGACTCACCCAGAGGGGTCTTGAATGGTGCTGAAGGCCCCCGACAGCCCTCCTGCAATAGCCACTGTAGCTCTGCCTGCACCTGGGCCTTCGCTCTGCTGTCGTCCCACCGGCAGGAGTCTGGCTAAAGGGGCATCCCTCAGCCCTACTCCCTCATCAGTGTTCCCAGTACCCACTCCCTGGCACTTCCACTCCTAGAGGGAGGAGGCTGAGCAGGCAGAGAATGGGACGTGTCCCCTCAGAGGAGCCTCGAGCCCAGTTCCAGCCAGCGGCCCACTCAGTGAGGTGCTCAAGTACCCACGTCCCCCGCCAGCTGCCAGGGTTCCCTCTCCTCCCTCCGTCCCTCCCCCCATCTGGGGAGCCCAGCGGTACTGAGGGGGCGGAACGAGGCGGGGCCACCGAGCGGTTATAGCTGGGCCTGCAGGGGACCCACGGCTCGCCTCCAGCCTCCTGCGCTCCGGTACCTGGGCGTCCCAACTCCACTGCGCGCCCAAACCCAGCCGAGCCGGTTCGTGGCCCGCCCCGCCGGGCGGCCGTCGACGCGAGCGCCCTGGCGTGGCGCCCAGGGGAGCGGGGGGCTCCCGCGAGCCGGCCGCGGCTGGCACTGCTGCTGCTTCTGCTCCTGCTGCCGCTGCCCTCCGGCGCGTGGTACAAGCACGTGGCGAGTCCCCGCTACCACACGGTGGGCCGCGCCGCTGGCCTGCTCATGGGGCTGCGTCGCTCACCCTATCTGTGGCGCCGCGCGCTGCGCGCGGCCGCCGGGCCCCTGGCCAGGGACACCCTCTCCCCCGAACCCGCAGCCCGCGAGGCTCCTCTCCTGCTGCCCTCGTGGGTTCAGGAGCTGTGGGAGACGCGACGCAGGAGCTCCCAGGCAGGGATCCCCGTCCGTGCGCCCCGGAGCCCGCGCGCCCCAGAGCCTGCGCTGGAACCGGAGTCCCTGGACTTCAGCGGAGCTGGCCAGGTACGTGAGAGGGGAGAGGCCTGGACCGCCGCGGGCAAGGGGGTCTCGGGAGGTCTGAGCCGGAGCACGGAGCCGCGCGTTCAGGGGGCACCCTCGGGCCCTTCCATTCCCTGCTCCGCGCCCAGAAGAGCTTTCCCTGGGCAGGCTCGACCCTGGCACCCGGGGGCGGTGGTTGGAGGGCCACAGCCTCCTCCCCACGGCCTTGCTGTGTTCTCGTTAGAGACTTCGGAGAGACGTCTCCCGCCCAGCGGTGGACCCCGCAGCAAACCGCCTTGGCCTGCCCTGCCTGGCCCCCGGACCGTTCTGACAGCGTCCCCCGCCCGCCCGTGGCGCCTCCGCGCCTGACCCAGGAGGAGTGGCCGCGCGCTTCCAGGAGCCGCTCATAGACCCCGCCTGCCGTCCGGTCAATAAAATCCGCCTGACTCCTGCGCCCCCGCATGCGACCCCTTCGTCTGCTTGTGTACTTTGCCGTCTAGCTCAGGGCGCAGACAGGCGCGCCCACGCCCTGGCAAATGTCAGGGGCCCCTCCCTCGCCGACCAGGGGAAGCGCCGGGCACTCAGCATTCATTTCAAACCTGGATCTCCCGGCACCCCCTCCCTCCCTTAGCCAAAGGCTTCCGCAGATTGATTAAGAACCCCTGGTCCCCTTCTTCTGGGTCATGCCCCGGGAGGAGGGGCCCCTCCACCTGAGCCCCACCTTGCTTCTTGCTTTTTTTTTTTTTTTTTTTTGAGATGCAGTCTCTCTTTGTTGTCCAGGCTGGAGTGCAATGGCGCGATCTCGGGTTACTGCAACCTCCACTTCCCAGGTTCAAGCGATTCTCCCGCCTCAGCCTCCTGAGTAGCTGGGATTACAGGCACCCACCATGATGCCCAGCTAATTTTTGTATTTTTGTAGAGACAGGGTTTCACCATGTTGGACGTGCTGGTCTTGAACTCCTGACCTCAGGTGATCCGCCCACCTCAGCCTCCCTCCCAAAGTGCTGGGATTACAGGCATGAGCCACTGCCCCTGGCTGCTCCTCTGCCTTTTTTTTTTTTTTTGAGACGGAGTCTGGCTATGTCGCCCAGGCTGGAGTGCAGTGGCGCAATCTCGGCTCACTGAAAGCTCCGCCTCCCGGTTTCACGCCATTCTCCTGCCTCAGCCTCCCGAGTAGCTGGGACTACAGGCGCCCGTCACCTCGCCCAGCTAATTTTTTGTATTTTTAGTTGAGACGGGGTTTCACCATGTTAGCCACGATGGTCTCGATCACCTGACCTCGTGATCCGCCCGCCTCAGCCTCCCAAAGTGCTGGGATTACAGGTGTGAGCCACCGCACCCGGCCTGCTTCTCTGCCTTTTATCCCCCTCTGCATGCACTTCTGGTCACTGGCTCCAGCCCCCCCACATAAATGTGCCCTGCCATCTTGAACACCGAGGACCTCCATCCACCAGGCCCCCTCCAGTTCCCTTCCCAAGGGTCTGGGCCCCTCCTCCCTCCCGCTGCCTCTTCAACCCTCTCTAATCTTCCCTGGGACTCCAATGACTGTCCTGGACCCCAAACCACCAAGGTCACATGCCCTGATGCAGCCCACCCTTGGAGCCCTCCTGTGGCCATGTGGCAGGGTCCCCCCTTGGGGCCACCCAGCAAGCATTGGGGGAGAGGTGGTCCTGGGCCTGGCTCCAGGATGCCTCTGTGGAACCAGCTCCCCACCCCCACTTCTAGAAGCCCCCCTCCCCTCACTGGTAGGTCCTTTCCATCTCCAAGGTGTGTCTGTCTCCCAAATGTGGGTGCTTTTTATCTCCACCCCTTCAATTCTTTTTCTTTTCTTTTTTTTTTTTTTTTTTTTGAGACGGAGTCTCCAGCCCATGCTGAAGAGGCACTATCTCGGCTCACTGCAACCTCCGCCTCTCTGCCTCCCCGGCTCAGATGATTCTCCCACCTCAGCCTCCCCAGTAGCTGGGATTACAGGTGCCCACTACCACGCCCAGCTAATTTTTGTTTTTTTTTTTTTTGAGACAGAGTCTTGCACTGTTGCCCAGGCTGGAGTGCAGTGGCATGATCTCCGCTCACTGCAAGCTCCGCCTCCCGGGTTCACACCATTCTCCTGCCTCAGCCTCCCGAGTAGCTGGGACTACAGGCGCCCACCACCACGCCCAGCTAATTTTTGTATTTTTAGTAGAGACGGGGTTTCACCATGTTGGCCAAGATGGTCTCGATCTCCTGACCTCGTGATCCGCCCGCCTTGGCCTCCCAAAGTACTGGGATTACAGGCGTGAGCCACCGCGCCCGGCCAACAGCCAATTCTTATGGAGCCCTTGGTTCCATCTAGCCCTCCCTCCGGCTCTGTGCTGGGTGAAGAGGTGGTCACACACCTCACAGGGCAACTCATTCTCCTGCGAGCTCATTCCTTCCCACTCCTGCCCCTGTTCCTCACTGAACCTGACCTCTAAGAACATGGATGTCCTGACCTCGTCACCACCACACCACGCCTCAAGGGCTCCCCACTGCCTATGGGACGATACCCGTGCTCTGGCAGGGCTGGCTCTGTCTGCTCTCACCGCCCCTCCCACTGCCTCCTCCCCCTTCCCCACCGCCTGCTCCAGACTGCAGATTCCAGGACAGCCCGGGACCTCCCCCGCCGAAGGAGGACTCCAGGGCCCCAGGCTGGGTTAAATGTTCTTCCTGGGGCTGCTTCAGCTCTGGCCTCCCCTTGCGCAGGCCAAGGTGCTCAAAGCTCTGTTCTCGCGGGGCTGGCGGGGGGGCGTTCAGTGATGTTCCCTGGTGCTTGCCTGGTCCAAGATGGGGAGACAGAGCCCATGAGAGGCTTCTCTGCCTCCCCCACTCCACACCCTTATTCCCCTGCAGCGCAACCAGGCCTAGGGCGCCAGCCTCACCCCAGTCCCCACCCCACAGGACTGGATCGAGTGGAAGGAAGCCAGATGGGCAGGATCCTGGGGCAACTCCTCGCACGATGCAATGCCACCAGTTCCGGCCAGGTGGCGCTGCGCGGCTACTGTTCCGGGCGGTAGCGTCCGACTCGCGCCTCCAGCAACGGGCGGGGCTAGAGCCGCAGTGGGCGGGGCCACGACGGGTGGGCGGGGTCGCCCCGTCGGCGGCAGCGGTTTCCTGCCTCTCCCCACTCTTGGGTCGTCGCAGTCCCCCGGCCTTCTCTCTCTGTCTGGTCTGTGGGTCTCTGTTGGTCACCTCCTTCTGTCGCGCTGGCTCCGCCTGCTCCAGTTTCAGAATGTAAAGAGAGGCATGGTGCAGCCTGAGGGAAGAGGCCCTAGGCGCGGTCTGGTTATGCTTGAAGGGCCATTAATGTCCATTAGGAAGCCCCGCCTGCCTGAGCAGCTCTGGACCATTACCGGGAGTCGGAATAGTGGCCCCACCCCCAGACAGGGCCCCAGGCCACGGCCACACCCCGGAGCCCCGGTCCAGGTCCAGGCTCGGGCTCCCTGAGATCGCTGGGACCTTGCTGGAGGGATGCGGGTTCAAGGCCCGAAGGAAAGGTCCTGCCAAAACAGGAGTGCACGGGCGGCCCCCACCCCGGTGGACCCCCCACCGACAGCCCAGGGGAACGGCTGAGACCTGCTCTCCCTCTGCTGGATAGGACCCACGCCTGGGTAGCATGCTGGCAGGCGTGGGTTAAGGGGGTTGGGTGGAGAGTTGGGGGATCTCCCAAGCCTCTGATTGCCTCTGCCTTGACTTTCTTCCCTCCTGCTGGGGCCCGGGGAGCCCACGTCACCCACACCCCATCTGCACCCCACAGAACCAGGAAAATAAAGTCCACCCTCCTCTCGATGCTGACCCTACTCCCTCCCGCCCACCTCCCTAGCCCTTTCTTCGAGACACCAAGCACTTTGCGGCCCCTGAACACCTTTGCCCAGGTGCTTCCCTTCGCCTTTCTCTGCCTCCAGCGCAGCACCCATACGGGCCAAGGTCAGCCTCGGACCAGGGCTGAGAGCTTCCGGAGGCTGGCTGGAGAAGAGGCCTGGGAGGGTTTGCCCCCGAGAGCTTCTAGGTCACCCTTCCTCGCCTGTTCCTCCAGGCCCCTGGACTCACTGTCCCCTCTCACTGACTCTGCACCTCCTCTGAAATCGTGACCTCTGGTTCCTCTCTGGCTGCCTCATTCCTCCTGCTCCCTGCTTTGCTAGGCCCACTTCCTTTGTTGCCCGGCCCTTTGCTACTCTGTTACCCTCCTCAGCTCCTTCATGGCTTTGGGGACTCTTTTGTTAACTCTGTAGCAGCAGTGTGTCCGGTGATATTTCCTTGGTTCCTGGCCCTGGTTGTGACCTCATGTCCCTTGTGGCCCCTCCCTCTGCCATGCTGTTCTCCATCCCATCTTTTTTTTTTTATTTGTTTTTAAATTATTTATTTATTGTTTTTGAGATGGTGTCTAGCTCTGTTGCCCAGGCTGGAGTGCAGTGACGCAATCTCAGCTCACTGCAACCTCCGCCTCCTGGGTTCAAGCGATTCTCCTGCCTCAACCTCCCCAGTAGCTGGGATTACAGATGCCCACCACCACGCCTGGCTAATTTTTTTTGTATTTTCAGTAGAGACGGGGTTTCGCCACATTGGCCAGGCTGGTCTCGAACTCCTGACCTCAGGTGATCCACCCACCTCGGCCTCCCAGAGTGTTGGGATTACAGGCGTGAGCCACTGCTCCGGCCCCTCAGCCCATCTTCAGTCACTGGGAGTAGGAATCAGCTGAGTCCTGGGCCAGGGAAGGATGGTGTATGCCCAAGGCTGATCAGGCGTCTGCCCCACCCAGGGCGGGTAAGGTCTGCAAGCCCCCTTACCCAGGGGACCTGGGGCTGCTGGAGTCTCCCATCCAGCCACCTCCCTCGACTCTAGTGTGGCCAGGAAGCTACAGCCTGCCAGGTTTTGGGTGGACCTGGTTGGTGTGGGATGACCCCCTAAGCCCAAACAGGTGTGGTATGTGGGGTGCGTGGTGGTGGGTCACACTGCCCACAGCCATCTTCACAGACTCCAAGGGTGGCAGCACCAGGCTGTGTCCAGGGAGGCCAGCCACAGGCCAGACAGGCAGCCTCTGGACATGCAGACAGAGAGATGGAAGCGGCCGGCCGGGCGGGAGCCTGAAGCAGCCTTACCCAGGAATTGCAGGGGTTGGGGTGGCGAGCAGTCGCGGCGCCTCAGCCTAAGTGGCTTTTAGGGGCAGCTGCCGGGATATGGGCACCCAGGGGGCCATGGCCCAGGAGGCTGCCCAGAGGCGAGCCCTGTGCTTGGGTGGGGGCAGGGGAGCCCAGCCCAGGGCCCCGGAGAGACGAGAGGGAGAGGAGGACTGCGCCAAGCCTGCTTCTACGGCTCACATGGGGAATTGCCTGGGCTGGCTGTGCCTGACCCCTGGGAACCAGGTATGTGCAAGGGGGCCTGGCTGGGCTGGGGAGGAGGGCAGACTGGGGCTGTGCCTGGACTCAGCTACCTTCCTATATTGGAGACAGAGGAAGAGCTGGGTGGTGAAGATAGCATGGACTCCGAATCTCACATCCCTGGGCCCAAATGGAGCTGAGGAGGCTTCGTGGGTCTTTTCCCTCTCCAGGCCTGTTTGCAGGTCTGTGAAGTGGCCGGTCCCCTAGGGTTGTTCCAGGTAAAATGCACTTAGGCCTAAATGATTTCACTGTGGTGGTGACTGTCCTGTTGGGGAAGGAGGGACACTCGTGCTTCAGGTAGAGGCTGAGGGACGTGGACGGCTGTGGGCAGGGGAGGGGAGGCCTGCTGCCTGCCTGTGGACACTGTGGAGCAGCGCCTGTGCACACCCAGAGCTTAGAGCCCAAATAATTCAGTGGAGTGTAGCCCATGTCAGGAGGTGGGTAGCAGGGACCCTCGAGACTCATATCCTTTTGTCACCCTGCAAAGTCACAGTCCAGGCCTGGGGTGGGCTGGGACACAAGTGAGGGGGCCGGCCCGGCCAAGGGAAAGAATGGCAGCAGGGCGTGGGAACCGACGCGGTGCAGATAGGCCGAACACGGTGGGTAGGCCAGGGAGTCTCCCAGCCACTGGCCCCCAGGATGCAGGGAGGGGCTGCTGCGTGTCACTTTTAAAGCCCTTTTTGCCTCCTGGGCCCTCCTGAGACTCTGCCCTGGGCCAGGGAGTCTCCCAGCCACTGGCTGGGAGGGATCCAGGTGAGACACAGCCGAGAGGAGACAGGCAAGGGGGTCCGGAAGGGCTTCCCGGGGAGGGTGGGGAGGGCTGTGGCCCTTGTTCTTACCCTTTGGCCCCTTTGTCGGGGTCCCTTGGCCTGGAGACCCTTTGTCCAACCCGTCGCCCACCTCAAGACCTGCCTCGATGCTGCGCATACAGTAGGTATCCAATAAATGTTCCTGGGATAGAAGGCAAAGGCGCTGGCACCAAGGCGGCTGCCCAGAGTAGGGGCGAGACAGAGAGGTCCCGGTGGTTAAGGGGTCCCCTAGCCCTGCCGCCTCCCCCTGCCCCGCCTCGGGCTGGCCGGGCGCGGAGGTAGGGGCCTGGCCGGGACGGCTGGGACTGGAGGCGGGGGCGGCCGGGCGGCGGGGGCGGGGAAGGGGCGGGCGCGGAGGCGGTGCCGCAGCCCGAGCCGGAGCCCGAGCCGGATCCCGAGGCGACGGGAGCCGAACAGGAGCCGCCGCTGAAGCCACCGCCGGGTGCCCAGCGCCGCCGCCGCCCCCGAGCTCCCCCGCGCCCCTGCCCGCGGGCGGCCGGTGGGCAGCGGGCGCCATGGCCGCGCCGGAGCCGCTGCGGCCGCGCCTGTGCCGCTTGGTGCGCGGAGAGCAGGGCTACGGCTTCCACCTGCACGGCGAGAAGGGCCGCCGCGGGCAGTTCATCCGGCGCGTGGAACCCGGTTCCCCCGCCGAGGCCGCCGCGCTGCGCGCTGGGGACCGCCTGGTCGAGGTCAACGGCGTCAACGTGGAGGGCGAGACGCACCACCAGGTGGGGGCCAGCGCTCGCCCCCGGCCCGCCGCCCCCTCCCCGAGCGCGTCCCCCTGGGGCGAGCAGGGGTCGCACGGGGGCCCGAGGGGGCTCCCGCGGGGAGGACGCGGACGTTGTCGGGAGGCAGCGGCCCGGCGCCTTCGGAGTCCCGGCGCAGGAAGCTCAGTCCTGCACGGGGGTGGGGGGGGGCATCCTGGCAGGGAGGGGCCCGCACTGCGGCTCCTGGCCGCTGGCCTCGCCCTTTGGTCGCGTTTTGGCCTCAGTGTGCCGTGAAGGAGGGTGTTGGGCCGCCTGGAGCCCCTCCGGAAAGGTGAAGACCTGGGTGCTTTTGCCTGGGTGTGTGTGTACACGTGTGCGTGTGAACACAGCTGGGCGTGTGTATGCAGGTCCCTTTGGGGTCAGCCATGTGTGCATGCGCCTGCCTGTGCGTACCCAGGAGGGGTCGCAGTAAAGGCATCAGTGTGTCTGCACCTGTGTGTGCTGTAGTGTGTGTGTGAGTATACAGGTCTGCACGTGTGCCTGTGTGTGTGCAGGTCTGGACTCCTGGGCGTATGGGAGCTGGGCTCTGTGTGTGTGCACGCCTGGCTAGTGTACTCATCACTGTCTGCAGGCCGGTGAGTCTTTGTGTCTGTACTCTAGTGTGTCCCAGCTGGTGTGTCTGGGACCGGGCTGAGTTGGTCATTGCTGGCAACCACATTCCTTAGCTACAAAGGCACTACTCCTCCTCAGAGGCTGCCTAGCCTGGCTGGGGTTACTGGCCGAAGCCTCCTGCCTCCTGGCTAAGGAGAACAGAGCCTTTTCTCTGTGGGTTCTGACCCCTGAGGTGT
The DNA here is from genome assembly GCF_000001405.40 of Homo sapiens. Taxonomy (NCBI): domain Eukaryota; kingdom Metazoa; phylum Chordata; class Mammalia; order Primates; family Hominidae; genus Homo; species Homo sapiens. The sequence continues at coordinate 2,028,046 of NC_000016.10, forward strand.
GTCTGTCTCCCACAGGCCAGGGACTCCCTCCAGACCCTGGTTGGGGTCCAGCGTCCACACACCCCTTTTCCTCCAGGTCCCCTGTCCCTCACAGCACCGATGAATCCATAACCTGTCTACATGGCTGGTCCTGGAACCTAGAGATTAGCAGGTTGGTTCAGCTGGACCTGGAGCTGGTCTCCTGTTTACCTGGTGCCTTGTCTGTCACTCTGTCGGCCGGCCCCATGCCTTCCACCCAGAGTGTCTGCTGTGTAAGGTTGTTTGCTGAAGAATGTGGGGATCAGGCCAGGGGCCTGGACCTGAGGGATTGAGGGTAGGGCTGCCAGGGCTGGGGCCAGGCTGCTGTTGGATAGTCACTGCCACCCTCGCCCTGGGAACACCTGCTTTTCCAAGGCCCTGTGGGGCTGGTCTCTGAGGACTGGACACACAGACCATGGTGGACTCTCCCCACTGCCCCAGGAGGGCAAGAGGGGCAGTTACTGCCCCATTTGACAGTTGAGGAAACTGATGCCAGAGATTGAGGGTAACTTGTCTGGGACACATAGTCAAGAAGCAGCTGGGCACTGGGTTCCTCTTGTCTCACTCTGGGTCATGGGGAGAGAGGAGGGCTGGGGGAAGATGGGCCTGGCTCAGTCCCTCCTATCTGTTCACCACCCCTGCTGAGCCCGGCAGCTGGTGGGGAGCCTTGTCCACCCTCCCCCAGGCCGCAGGTGGGAGTAGGGCTGCCCCTCTTCCTGCCCACTTCCCAGTGGGCACTGCTTTCTCTCCGCGGGTGTGCGCTGGCCCCCCGCGTGGTCCAGACACTTCACAGGCACCTGCACGCACACACCGACGGCCACCAAGCCACAGCTGTCCACAGGTGCACCTGCCTCTCCCCCTCGCCGGCTGCACCTGAATCCTGCTTCCCTGGCTGTGTGTGGGTGCCCGAGCCAGGAGCCCAGCCCTTCCCCTCTCTGCAGATCCAGAGGGAATGGGCCCATGGCCATGGCCTGGAGGTAGATATAAGGCCTAGGGTCAGGAGTTTAGACTCCCACACTGCACGGCAGAGAATGACGGGAATGGGCACAGACACACTCAAACTGGGGCCCAGGGAGACACACCTCTCCTTCAAACCTGGACGGAGACACAGACTTTGAAACAGATGGATGCATGCGCGCACAGGGACAGGCAGACTGAAAACCTGAAGGTCCACTGTGCACCATTTTTGTCACTTCCAGACAGGACTTACCCAGCGGCCCTATCCTGCAGCCCCTTCCCAGCCCCGCCTGGAGAAGACCCTGGGCTAAGGGCAAGGCTCTGGGAGCACCCTGAAGCCCTCACAGCCTGGGCCTCAGTGTCCGGAGCCTGAGTGCAGAGGGAGGGAGCCGCTGGAGTCCGGGGGTGGGGGGCGGGGCCGGCAGGCCTCTTGGTGCAGCCACCCGCCCATGCAGACCAGCCGCCTGTCCGCACGCCTGGGCCAGCCCAGAGTGGTGCCACTGCCCATGTGCTGCCCGGAATGTGGGCCACTGACCCGCTCCTATCGCCCATTCGCCCCAGGTGGTGCAAAGGATCAAGGCTGTGGAGGGGCAGACTCGGCTGCTGGTGGTGGACCAGGAGACAGATGAGGAGCTCCGCCGGCGGCAGCTGACCTGTACCGAGGAGATGGCCCAGCGAGGGCTCCCACCCGCCCACGACCCCTGGGAGCCGAAGCCAGACTGGGCACACACCGGCAGCCACAGCTCCGAAGCTGGCAAGAAGGTATGGCGGGCTTGGCCCACAGGGACCACCCTAGCCTCTCCCAGAGGCTCTCTCAGCTTTTGACGACGATCTTTGCCTTTGGTCACCTCCAGAAGTCTTGGTCTCTTCTGCCTTTTGGGGCTCCTTTTCTGCCCCAGGGACCATCTTGTTGGCCACTGGGGGCCACTGTTTCTACCCTCAGCCTGTGTTTTAAACTGGGTAGGGTCAGGGCAGCCTGGCCTGTTCCTCTTCTCCAGGATGCTCCAGAGCCACTTGCCCTATCGAGGGGTCACTCTGACAAGCTGCCGCCTCCCCAGCCCCCAGCCTCGTGGCTGAGGAACCCTGGGAAGAGGCATTCCAGGTCTGCGTGTGCGCAGCTCTGTGCCTGTGCTGGGTGTCATCCGTGGCTCTGTCTTTGTCTCTGTTGAAGGCGCCTGCATGCTGGGAAGGCCTGGGAGAGGGCCGGCCTTCTCCACAGGCAGCGCCGTGGTTGGGGAAGCCTAGGAGGCCACTCTGCCAGGCCTGGCGTAGGTGGGGCTGGGAGCATGGGAGTGGAGTTGGGGGTCCAGGAGGCTCCAGGGTGAGCCCACTCCTCCCCCTAGATACAAGGGAGGGCCCTGGGACCCTGTCTGCTGTTCCTCCTGGACTCCTGCTGGGTAGTACTTCCTCCTTCCCCTGCCCTTGCTCCCAGCCAGGAGACCCAGAAAAGTACAGGGGCGGCCTGCTCCACCTCCTGCTAGGTGGCCGACTGGGAGGGGCGGCCTGGCAGGCCTTGGGGACCAGGAGGAACAGCCTGAAGCTGTCTGTCTTATCTTCCTGGAGGCCCTGATGGCATTATCTCCATGTTCTCTCCTACCTTTTTTTTTTTTTTTTTTTCATTTTCAAAGAGAACCCTGGCCGGGTGCGGTGGCTCACGCCTGTAATCCCAACACTTCGGGAGGCTGAGATGGGTGGATCACCTGAGGTCAGGAATTTTGAGACCAGCTTGACTAATGTGGTGAAACCCCCGTCTCTACTAAAAATACAAAAATCAGTTGGGCATGGTGGGGCACGCCTATAGTCCCAGCTACTTGGGAGGCTGAGGCAGGAGAGTCGCTTGAACCCGGCAGGCGGAGGTTTCAGTGAGCCGAGATCCCGCCATAGCACTCCAGCCTAGGCGACAGAGTGAGACTGTCTCAAAAAAAAACAAAAAAAGGAAAAGAAAGAAATCCCTTCAGGGGATATGAGTCCAGGGGTTGGCCAGACCCCACTGTGAGAACCGCGCTTGGGGCAGGGGTGTGGGATCTGGAGTTCTGAGGGTGCAGGGGATATACACATTCACTTTCTCCCTTTCCCAGACGTCACTGCTGAAGCTGGCTGCCCCTAGGAGCTGAGCCCGGGGGGAGCGGCTTGGCAGGGAGACAGCATTCCCTGTGGGGAGCCCAGCCTGGGCGCAGGCCTGCCCGTGGGACCTGTGGGACCCGTTTTGTTCCTGGGGCTTGAGGGCGGGCCACAGTGGTGCTCAGGGCCAAGGTGCCCAGCCCAGGGCTGGTGGGGGGGCTGGCCTTGCAGGGGGGCTGGCTGGTCCTAAGCCCCTGTCTCCAGGCTGAGGGTTGGGGCCTCCCTCTTTCCCAGCCACCTTCCCTCCCCCAGGAGGAAGCTCCCCCTCTGCCTCAGGCGTTTGTCCATTGATTTGGACACAAACGCATGGTTCACCTTCCTGTGGAAAAATCCGGCCCTCGGACTTTATCTGGAGGGTGCAGTGGCCCAGGCACCTTGCCTTGGGTGGGACCTTCCCCCTCTGCTATTTCAGGCTCTGGGGGCTGCAGGAAGCCCTAGGAGGGGCTTCCTCTGGGTGTATTTTTAGAGGAACAAAGGGTGGCCTGAGTGGCAGGTCCCTTTGTGCATGAGTCTGGCTGGGGACAGGGGCTCCAGGAGGTCAGGGGGCACCCAAGGAACAGGGTCTCCCCTTCTCTCTTCTGGCATCAAGACCTGAGGTTTCTTTTTCTTTTTCTTTCTTGGCTCACTACAACCTCCGCTGTCTGGGTTCAAGCGATTCTCTTGCCTCACCCTCCCCAGTAGCTGGGATTACAGGCGCGCACCACCACACCTGACTAATTTTTGTGTTTTTAGTAGAGACGGGGTTTCACCATGTTGCTCAAGCTGGTCTCGAACTCCTGATCTCAGGTGATCTGCCCTCCTCGACCTCCCAAAGTTCTGGGATTACAGGTGTGAGCCACTGTACCCGGCCCCTGAGGTCTGAGGTTTCATTTCTTTCTTTCTTTTTTTTTTTTTTTGAGACGGAGTTTCACTCTGTCGCCCAGGCTGGAGTGCTGTGGTGCGATCTCGGCTCACTGCAAGCTCCGCCTCCTGGGTTCAAGCAATTCTTATGTCTCAGCCTGCTGAGTAGCTGGGATTACAGGCGTGTACCACCACACCTGGCTAATTTTTGTGTTTTTGGTAGAGACAGGGTTTCACCGTGTTGGCCAGGCTGGTCTCAAACTCTTGGGCTCAAGTGATCCGCCTGCCTCAGCCTCCCAAAGTGCTGGGATTACAGGTGTGAGCCCCTGCGCCTGGCTCAGGACCTGAGGTTTCTTCACCTGAGCTCCCAGCATGGGCAGGAAGAGGTGGGCCTCACCTGACCTCCACAGAGCAGGCTCAGATCCTGCCCTTCTCAGCCTGGGTTCAGGGCATGCCTCAGATGGTCAGGGAGCCCAGGAGGGCAAAGCTTACCTTGCGGGGATGGCTCCAGTGGGGGCACTGGTGGCAGAGAGGCAGAGCTCTGGAAGGGATGTGTGTAGTTTGTCTTTGGTGAAGGATGGAGAGGGCCCAACTTTGGGTGCCCCCTGGGAGCTAAGGGTGGCTCTCAGTGTCCTCTGTCCTGGCTGGGGATAGGGGAGGTGGGCAGGGGAGGACACTGATGTGGTTGGCCCCTCCTTTTGGGGGCCGTGAAGGCCTAGTTAGTGATGACTCAGCCCTGGGCCACACCAGGCTGGGGGTGGCCGCAGCTGCAGTGCAGCTGATCCTAGTAGTGACGACAGGGGACAGCCCCCAAACAGAGACGGGGTGGCCAGCGGTGCCAGGCCCTGGAGGTGGTGGCAGACCCTGAGCCCTCTGCCCCCTGCCCCTAGCCCATGTCTCCACCCCCATCTGGAGGGCCTTGGGGGCTAAGAGCAGGTGTGAGGGGTGACAGTTCTGCGGGAGGCGGCTGTGTGGTTGGGGCGCGGTGCCTGCGGGGGCTTCCGGGCTTCCCTGGCTCTTGCTCCTCTGGAGCCTCAACAGGACCGTCCTGTGTTCTGGGGCCGGGACTCCTCCCTGTCCCCTCAGCCCTGGGTCCTGGGGCAGGGCAGGGCCTTCCAGCAGCTTCCTTCCTTCCTTTCTTGGGACGGAAGCCTAGCTGGGTGGGGGGCGCCAGGCTGGAGCCTTCGCAGGGGAGCGGGCTCAGTCATCACCCTGCTCCCCAGAGTGACTCAGCCCCCACGTCCCCACCCATCCCCGGGGAGCCAGGGCCGCAGAGGGAGGTAGATAAGTGGGGTGGCAGCCTGGGTCGGCCAGAGAGTTCAGGCCACCCCGGCCGGACGCCTGCCACTTGCTGTCACTGTGCCGCTGTCATGGCACGCTCCGGGAGTGCCACGCCACCTGCCCGGGCTCCGGGAGCCCCTCCACGGAGCCCACCCCAGAGGCTGGTACAGGTCAGGTGGGGTGGGAGGAAGGGAGGGCTAGGAGGAACCGGCAGCCGCTCAGCCTCCCGGGGTGGAAGGAGGGGACTCCGGGACCTTGATGTAAGCAGGCTGGTCGCTGAGCAACAATGAAGGCCTTTCTCTGCCAGGGCTGGTGCGTCACCATCTGGGGGGGTGCCCAGGGTACCCCCATGCCAGCCTCTTTGTCCGGACACAGGCATGGCTGGGGGACCAGGGATGGTCCAGCTCTGTGCTGGCCGCCGGCAGGGAGGGAGCCTGGAGCCCGTGGGAGCCCGAGGGCCTGGCGGGAGGCGGCAGGAAGTGTGTGCTGAGCCAGGGCAGGGAGGAGGAATGTGAGCTATGAACGCCGCCCGAGCTCCTCGGCTCTCTGGGCCCCCCTTCCCCACGAGCCCATGTGCTGCCAGCAGCCCACCCTGGCCCCTCCATTGCAGCCCCTCCACCTGAGGTTTTAGTGCTGTGCCTGGCGCCACTGGGACCCTGCTGACAATGAAGGGGTTTAGGTTTGATAGGCAGAACTTCTTGCCTTGTAGAGTGAAAGACGGCTGCTTCTGGACAGAGGCAGAGGGGTGGCCAGAATGACCCTGAGAACACTGAGGGGTCCTTGGCCTGGCCTCAGGGCCCCAGACACCCACCAGATCCTGCTTCCTGTCTGGTGCCCTGAGAAACCCTGCCCCGCAGGCCGCTGTGCAGGCGTGGGAAGGGCTGCCGGGCCAGCACTGTGGGGCTGGCCGCATGTGTGGGCTGCTGTGCGTGTTTGCAGGTGTGTGTGGACGTCTTGTGTCTGTGGCTGTGTGATGTGTCTTTGCGGACTGGGCCCATATCACGCTCCCACCTCCTCCACTGAATTGGGCTCCTGTCCCCACGCCTTCCCTGCGTCCCAGGCCAGCCTGGGGGCCGTGCTCCACCTCCCCTCCCGAACTGGACTCCTGTCCCCACGCCTTCCCTCCGTCCCAGGCCAGCCTGGGGGCCGTGCTCCACCTCCCCTCCCGAACTGGACTCCTGTCCCCACGCCTTCCCTCCGTCCCAGGCCAGCCTGGGGGCCGTGCTCCACCTCCCCTCCCGAACTGGACTCCTGTCCCCACGCCTTCCCTCCGTCCCAGGCCAGCCTGGGGGCCGTGCTCCACCTCCCCTCCCGAACTGGGCTCCTGTCCCCACGCCTTCCCTCCGTCCCAGGCCAGCCTGGGGGCCGTGCTCCACCTCCCCTCCCGAACTGGACTCCTGTCCCCACGCCTTCCCTCCGTCCCAGGCCAGCCTGGGGGCCGTGCTCCACCTCCCCTCCCGAACTGGGCTCCTGTCCCCACGCCTTCCCTCCGTCCCAGGCCAGCCTGGGGGCTGTGCTCCACTTCCCCTCCCGAACTGGACTCCTGTCCCCACGCCTTCCCTGCGTCCCAGGCCAGCCTGGGGGCCGTGCTGTGACTGCATCCCTGAGGGGCACTTTGGTGGGCAGGTGTCAGGGTCAGCCTTGAAGCCCCACGCCTGTGCCACCAGGTGTGTCTGGGGGAGGAGTGAGTCTATGTGGTGGGGCCCTGGAGATTTTGGGGGTCTTGCACCCTCTAATTCAGCCCATGTGGCCCAGCTGAGCCCCTGTGGGGCCAGGGAGCCACAGGCTTGTCCCTGGAGTTTCTGGTGTGACGGGCTGGGTGGTGGCCATGCAGAGAGGGTTCAGAGGGTGGGCAGGAGGCTTCAGATGAGGCATCTGGCAGGCTGGACAGGAGAAGGGTGTTCCAGACCAAGGGCAGGTCCTGAGCCCAGGGGACAGAGCACTAGCTGTGTGGAGAAGGACCCCCTTGCTCCCTTGGCGGGGCGGTCCCCCCCGCTGACATGGCCGTTTCTGGTCCATTGGGGTTTGGAGCGAGCTTGAAGGTGGGTGGCTGGAGGGGTTGGGGGTGTCTGAGGCCTGGAGACCTGCCCTCCTGAGGTCTGAGCGCCCCCTTGCCATGCCGCCCCAGCCCTGGCCTGGCCTGGCCTGTGGTCCCTCAGGGACACACAGGGAGGTAGGAGGTGAGGGAAGGGCCCTGGCAGCCCCCAGCCCGCCTGCACAGTCTCCCCTGCGCACGCCCTCAAGCTTGGCGCTCCCTGGAAACCTGAGCTGCCTCCTGCCTGCTCCGGCCACCGCCATGTTTAACTGAGCACGGGCAGCCGCTGGCCACCGCCGCCGCACCCTGGCCCACCCCCTGGCTGGGAGGTGGTCATTGGGCCTGGCCTTGCCTGCATGGTCCCCTGGCCCAGAGCCCTACCGCAGGATGCCAGAGGTAACATGGGGCAGGGCCTGGGATGGTAGCGGGGGGTCCTTCCGGGCACCAGGAGGCCCTCTGTGCCCTGTCCACACTAAGCTCCTGCCCCAGCCCCTGCTTGCTGGGCCCACGGGGGTGGGGCGGCTCATTTTCCTGGAATGTGAAAGCAAACAGAGCCGCCACCGCAGCCAGCCCCACGGAGGCCTCTGGAGAGAAAACAAAACTGCTGGCCTAGGAGCGCCTGCCCCACGCTCTGGAGGAGAGCCCGGGGCAGGGGGACGCACAGGCAGAGCCCTCAGGGACAACCGCCCCAGGAGGCCAACGGCGACAGTTCATCCCACCTGGTGCTTCCTCCCACCCTGCCTGTGCGCCACGCTGGCCTCGAGCCAAAGGAATTCTCCCAGCAACCCGGGAAGGCGGCTGGGCCCGTCGGGGAGGCTTCTGGGTTTGAAAACAGGCTTTGCCCAAGTTCCCACAGCTAAAGCTCTGTCACAGGCAGCCTGGGTGCCCGGAGTGTTTGCCACTGAGACCTGGGCCTGCCCGTGGGGGGCACGGTACCGAGTTTGGGCAGTGGCGGCACCACCGGGGAGTGGCCTCTGGAGGCGGGAGGCTGGAGCAAGAGACTGACCCTGTCCGTTGGGCCTGCAGGATGTCAGTGGGCCCCTGAGGGAGCTGCGCCCTCGGCTCTGCCACCTGCGAAAGGGACCTCAGGGCTATGGGTTCAACCTGCATAGTGACAAGTCCCGGCCCGGCCAGTACATCCGCTCTGTGGACCCGGGCTCACCTGCCGCCCGCTCTGGCCTCCGCGCCCAGGACCGGCTCATTGAGGTACCGGCCCACCAGGGCTGCGGGGTGCCGAGTGCCCCGCACCTGTCCACACTGGGGCCCTGGGTCCTTGCAGGGAGGAGGGAGACGCTGGGAACCTGAGCTGGTGCGCCTCCTGCTGCCTCGGTGGGCGGTGGCTGTGATGAATATTTGATGCCACACCTGGCCACGCGGCGTTGGGGGCTGTCTGGGCCCATGGCGGGGCTGATACATGCTGGTGGCGGCAGGTGAACGGGCAGAATGTGGAGGGACTGCGCCATGCTGAGGTGGTGGCCAGCATCAAGGCACGGGAGGACGAGGCCCGGCTGCTGGTCGTGGACCCCGAGACAGATGAACACTTCAAGCGGCTTCGGGTCACACCCACCGAGGAGCACGTGGAAGGTGGGCCACGGCCCAGGGCACAGGGTGGGTGCGGTGTGGTGGCTGAGCAGCCACTGACACGCTGTCCCCACAGGTCCTCTGCCGTCACCCGTCACCAATGGAACCAGCCCTGCCCAGGTAAGAGGGTGGGGTGCCCATGAGACACAGGGTGCCTCTGGGGGTACCCAGGCCCGACAGAGGCCCCCTTCTCCCTGGAGATCCGTCCTCGAGGTGTGCTAGTGACACCCGATTTTAGCCCTGTCACCTCCCTTTAATGCCCCTGTGGGTCTCATCCTGGGTCGTGCCACACACAAGCCACGTGGGGCCCCTGGGGTCGGGGCCACTGCCTTCTGTCCTCTCCTGGGCACCACCTGGTAAGGAGTTGCCCTCCAGTCTCTGCCTCCTCAGGGAGCTGGCGGTGGCCTCACCCCAGGCGTTGCTCACGCCGGCCATTCCTGCACCTGAACCCCCTCTGCACCATGAGCCGGCCAGGCCACCTGCCTGTCACTGCCAGGCGCCCGGTGCCTGCCCCGCCGCATCTGGAGTCCACCAGAGGCCCGAGGCCCCCTGCCGAGTGGAGGAGCACACACTGGGGGGGGGTGTGCCTCTGTGCACATGTGTGCGTGTGCAGGTGTTGTGTGTGTCTGTGAAACCACAATCTGCCCTTGGTTTCCCAGCTCAATGGTGGCTCTGCGTGCTCGTCCCGAAGTGACCTGCCTGGTTCCGACAAGGACACTGAGGTATGGATGTTCTCCACTCCTGAGCTCACACGTGGGGTTGCTAGAGGCCTTGGGGTAGGCGTCTGTGGAGATGTCAGCCCGGGCAGTGGGGTCTCTGTTCAGGAAGTCCTCGTGAGCCCCAGCCCCAGCAGGCAGCCTCTGTTGGTTGCTCCCTAGGAGGGGCCACCGTCTGGGGTGTGGGACTAGGGCTCACTCCAGACACCCCACCCACCGTGCTCACCCCAGGATGGCAGTGCCTGGAAGCAAGATCCCTTCCAGGAGAGCGGCCTCCACCTGAGCCCCACGGCGGCCGAGGCCAAGGAGAAGGCTCGAGCCATGCGAGTCAACAAGCGCGCGCCACAGATGGACTGGAACAGGAAGCGTGAAATCTTCAGCAACTTCTGAGCCCCTTCCTGCCTGTCTCGGGACCCTGGGACCCCTCCCGCACGGACCTTGGGCCTCAGCCTGCCCCGAGCTCCCCCAGCCTCAGTGGACTGGAGGGTGGTCCTGCCATTGCCCAGAAATCAGCCCCAGCCCCGGTGAGCCCCCATCCTGCCCCTGCCCACCAGGTACTGGGGGCCTGTGGCAGCAAGATAGGGGGAGAGAGACCCAGAGATGTGAGAGAGAGTCAGAGACAGAGACAGAGAGAGAGAGAGAGAGACACAGAGAGAGACAGAGAGAGAGCGAGCGAGCGCGCGGCAGCCGCGGGGCGAGGGCCTTTGCTGCTCTGCCGGGGCCTGCTGACTGAAAGGAATTTGTGTTTTTGCTTTTTTTCCAAAAAGATCTCCAGCTCCACACATGTTTCCACTTAATACCAGAGACCCCCCCCCTTCCCCTCCCCCTTCCCCTCCCCCTTGGGACGCGCTCTAAATAATTGCAATAAAACAAACCTTTCTCTGCAAACCATTTCCTCCCCGCCCCCTCCCCTCAGCAGCGGCCGTCCTGAGTGGGAGTCCCTGGGACTTCCCAGTGGCCAAGTTGGGGCGCCCAGCCTCTTCGTGGGGACCTTGGGTAAGGCCAGGGAGGCCTGATGTGGCCGTAGGAGCTGCCCCTGCCCACCTGCCCTGGTGTGGGGGTCCCTAGGCCACACCCTGCTCCCCACCCAGCTACCCTGTGCGCCTGTGCCCTGCTGGGGGCCTGGGCTCTCCGAGGGGCCTGAGGATGGAGGCCCCACGTCCCCGAGGAGGGCGGCCTCTGGACAGGCCCCTCATTCCGCGCGGCAGCTCCCAGGCCTGGGGAACGTAGGTGTGTGAGAGCGGCACCCGGGAAGGACGCCTGGCCTCTGGCTCAGCCCTGCTTGGCGGGCTCCCCCGTGGACACCCTGTTGACTTTGCACTTCCCTCCCGGGCCCCGCACCCCCGAACCGACCACCGATCGACCGGCACCGCTGTTGCCTCGTAAGCCATAGCGCATGCGCGCTCTCAGGATAAACAGGCCCTGCCTGGGACCCACACGCCTCTGTCTTTTCTGAGCCTCCTCCCCGTGGGGTGAGAGGGGTGGAGGGATGAGGCTGTTTCAGGGAGCCCCCTCCCCGAGTCTCAGCAGCTGGAAACGGTCTCGTTCCTGAGCCCGTGCCCTGCATCCATCTGCTCCCAGCCCTGCTCCATCTCCCCCGCTGACCCCCATGGGACCCCCTGCTGTGTGGCACATCCTGGGCCCATGCCCATCTCTCTTATTTGGCAGACTCAGCCTCCCACCTTCACCTTCCCTGTGAAGCCATCCGGCCCCACACAACACCCACACGGGCCACCCTTTGCCCAATTCACCCTGCGACCTCTAGCAGTCACAGGTCAAGCTTTGTACCCTGTGGCGCCCTGCCTGGGTCCCCAGTGTCCCTTTCAAGGCCGGGTAGCTCTGTAAACAGGGGTGGGACCCTGGCAGAGGCTGGGCTTTGAGGGCATGAAAGTTCAGGAGCTGGCGGTGTCCGGGCTGGGAAGCTGGGGGGCCGGCGGTGGATAGCATGAGGGGCCAGGGTCCCCAGCCAGCTGCCCGGGGGCTGCTTGCTTCCCCAGCGGACTTCCAACAGCTGGCTGCAGCTGGCTCTCCCCACTTCCTCCCTCCCAGGTTCATGCACACCCCCTCCCCCTCCCTGAGTACATAGCAAAGATTGTCACGTCCCCAGCCGGCCTCCCAGGCAGCCCTGCTCCAGACACGCGAGCACGGGTGTGTACGAACACATCCTTGTATGCGATTCCCAGGCTCTCTGCCCCCTCAGGGACAGACATCAGCCAGATCCCATCTGCAAACACACCAAAGCTTTATTCAACAGGCGTGGCTTCCTGAAGCGTAAAGCCACTTCACAGACGGTGGCCACAGCGGCACCTCGGCCAGAGCCATGCGGCCATCAGAGACCCTGGGCGGCCGGGCAGAGGGCTTGGTTGAGGCAGGCGTGGCAGCGAGGGTGCACAGGCAGACAGGTCTGCTGGCCGAAGCCCACCAAGAGTCCATTGATCTCGTGCCACAGCTCCCTGTGGGGGTGGGGGCTGGGTCAGTGCTGACAGAGGGCGGGCGGGGTGAGCTCTTCTCCCTAGGAAGCCCCCCACATACTCATACCTAGGCAGCCACTCCTCCAGGGCGGCGCGGGTCTCCTCTGGGGACTTGGTTGCCTTCTTGGTCCACCTCAGCCTGTTGGCGATTCTGTGCACATGCGTGTCCACTGCTGCTGGGAGGCCAAGCGGGGTGAACAGGGGCACACTCCACCAGCCTAGCCCGTGCCCCTCCCCGCCCAGAGGCGAGTCTGCCACCACCCCCGTGGCCCTCCAGTTAGACATTGGAACCGCAAAGCCCTGGCTGCAAGCCTACATGTGACCATCTTGGCTGCCCCTGAGGTGCTGGGGCAGGGGCTGAGCCCTCTGTTGGGGTGCAGGCCTCTCTCCCATCACCTGAGCCAGCCTGGGGGGCTCTGTTCTGGGCTGCCCACTCCCAACACTGGTGCTAGTTGGATGTGTGGGTGGTGGGGTCTCTGCTTTGGGCAGGGCCTGGGGGTGATGACTCGGCTCTGCTTGGAGCTCTATTCCCCACAATAACAGCGACAGCTCGCTTGGACAAACGCTTGCTGGGGGCCAGACCCTGCCAGAGAGATTGGCCAGCTCAGTGAGTCCTCATGAGGTCCTACGGATGCTGAAACCGAGGCCCGGCAGGATCCCGACTCCGAAGCACCTCTCAGCCCTCAGCCTCCCCAGGAACGTGGCCCTGTCCCCGGAAGGGTCCATCCAGGCTTCCCTCTGTCTGTCTCCTGTGGCCTGAGGCTCCTCTCGGCATAAGCACTGGCTCTGGGCACCAGGCTGGGTGGCAACAGCTCTGCCTGGCAGGCCGGCATGAGGTCACTGCCTGCAGACCTAGCACCTGCCACTGCAGCGGTCAGGGACACAGCGGGAGCATGCCCTGGCCGGCCGCAGCTGCTGTCCACCTGGGTTCTGGCTCCTGCTCCCCTCAGCTGGCCACCCCAGGCGTCTGCTCACTGGGGCTCCCTTCTCCCACCCGGTGGCCCCGGCCAGCTGCAGCCCCAGCCCTGCCTCCTCCTCCCGTGTTTCCCAAAGAGAAAGCCGAGGCCTGCACCAGCTCCTTCGCTGCTGCCTAGAAAAAGGTGTCCGAGGGTGTGGGGAGACCACAAGGCCTGAGGGGTCACACCCCTGGGGCTCTGAGCCTCAGTTTCCTCCTCTGTAACACGGAAGTGGCCATGCTTCAAGGCTGAGTCAGGCCACGTCACGTTGTGTGAGCCTCCTGCCCACCTGGACAGTGAATGACGAGGACTGCCTCACCCACTTTGTGGCCAGAGCTTAGAGAAGCCAAGGGCCTGGCCCAGAGTCACCCAGCCAGGAGGTGCAGAGCTGGGACCGGAGCCAGCAATCTATGGCTGTGGCATTTTTTTTTTTTTTTAAACGGAGTCTTGCTCTGTCACCCAGGCTGGATACAGACAATGGTGCGATCTCCACTCACTGCAACTTTCGCCTCTGGGTTTCAAGCGATTCTCCTGCCTCAGCCTCCCGAGGAGCTGGAATTACAGGCTCCTGCCACCACGCCCGGCTAATTTTTTTTTTTTTGGTGAGACGGAGTCACGCTTTGTCGCCCAGGCTGGAGTACACTGGCGCGATCTCAGCTCACTGCAAGCCCCACCTCCCAGGTTCACACTATTCTCCTGCCTCAGCCTCCCGAGTAGCTGGGACAACAGGCGCCTGACACAATGCCTGGCTAATTTTTTGTGTTTTTTAGTAGAGACGGGGTTTCACCATCTTAGCCTGGATGGTCTTGATCTCCTGACCTCGTGATCTGCCTGCCTCGGCCTCCCAAAGTGCTGGGATTACAGGCGTGAGCCACCACGCCTGGCCACACCCGGCTAATTTTTGTATTTTTAGTAGAGAGCGGGTTTCACCACGTTGGCCAGGCTGATCTTGAACTCCTGACCTCAGGTGATCCACATACCTCGGCCTTCCAAAGTGCTGGGATTACAGGCTTGAGCCCTTGTACCCAGCCAGCTCTGACATTTTAACTGAGAGCGTTTCTCTTTCGGGGAACCCCTAGGAGGCAGCCCTGGGGTCTCCTTGCAGGTGGTCAGGCCCACAGACACCTGGAGAGGGAGGTATTTCCACATGGCTGTCTCTTGTGCCCGCTGCTCCCAAAGCCCGTTCCCTGCCTGGCTGCGGGCAGGGACCTTCCCCCACAGCCCTGCCCAACCACGATGCAGCACCCCAGGGACACGGGCAGCTGAGGACAGCCGCCCAGATAAGCTCAAGTGTCCACTGAGAGGCTGGCAGGTGGTGACGCTGGGAGTCTCAGTCGGGAGGAGGCCCTGCCCCGGCGCACCTGGCCTGGCTCTGGCTCTTTGGGGCTGCTGTGGCTGTTCAGCCTCACCAGGTGGCCCCGGCTCAGAATAGAGGCCCCCGGCCCTTGGTGGCCCTCTTGCCCACCAGAAAGTGCTGCAAGCCCCCCGCCTCCGGCACAGGCCCCCTGCAGGAGTCCCAAAGGGGCCTGGGATGGGGGCACACAGAGGGCAGGGCCAAGCCCTGGTTTCTGGACTGGCTGGGCCCGGCTGCGTGTGGCCTTAGGAGCCCCAAATCCTCTGGACAAAGCCGAGGAGGAGGCAGCCCCACCCCAAACCCAGGGGTCTGTCTGCACCCAACTGCCAAGAAGCCTCCGGTGCTAGGAAGAGACACCAGGACCTGGGAAAAGGATTCAAGGAGGGCCCTCCCCCCAGTGCCTCCCTCCCCACCCTCCCCTCTTCTCCCTCTCAACCCTCCCCTCTTCTCCCCGCAGCACCTCCCTCTCCACCCTCCCCCCATCCTCCCAGCGCCTCCCTCCCCACCCTCCTCCCCCATTCCCCCAGCGCCTCCCTCCCTACCATTCCCCTCCTGTCCCCGCAGAGCCTCCCTCCCCACCCTCCCCCTTTCTCCCCCCAGCACCTCCCTCCCCACCCCACCTGCTGAGGGGATACTCTTCCTCCTCCCTCCTCAGTCCTTACCTCCCCACTCTGCCCTCATCTCATTCCAGAACTTCCTGCTCCTGGCCCTCTCTCTCGCATCATGGTTTTACAGATGCTGTTCCTTCTGCTGGGAACACACTTCCTCCTCTTGGCCTGGCTCACCCCACCTTGCTCTGCAGCTCTCAGGTGAAGGATGACCTTGGGGGCCTTCCCAGAGGCCCTGGGCCCAAGCCAGGCCCCAAGAGCACCCTGCACAACCATCAGGGTTTCCACTCCACGAGTGGGGAATTCCTCGCTCCACATTTCTCCCGAATACAACGCAGATGGAGTCCAGCTCCGGGGCCTCTCTCAGAGCCCTGCACGGAGCAGGTGCTCAGCCCATGTGACCTCCTGCCCCAGCACCTGTCTCTGAGTGGGGCTGGCCTGGCTCCACCCTGGGAGCACCTTTCTGACTCTATGGGCTGGGTGGAGGACCAGCATGCTGGAAGTGGAGTCACAGGTCACAAGGATGTGGGGAATCCCAAGAGCAGCCAGTGGGCTGGAGCCAGCCCCGCCCT
This sequence comes from Homo sapiens, assembly GCF_000001405.40. Lineage (NCBI taxonomy): Eukaryota > Metazoa > Chordata > Mammalia > Primates > Hominidae > Homo > Homo sapiens. The sequence goes on from NC_000016.10 coordinate 2,043,556, forward strand.
CCTCTACTCACCAATGCCTGACACAGTGCCCCAGGCCACAGCCATAGCCAGGTGTGCCATCTTGGGCCCAACACCCGGCAGCGCCACCAGCTCGGCCACAGAGGCTGGGATGTCCCCACCGTAGTGCTGCTGCAGGATGGCGCTGGTCTGCTTGATGTATTTCACCTTGCTCTGAAAGACAGGGGTGGGTTCAGCCTTGGAGGCAAGGGCACAGCCCAACCTGGGAGGATGCAGCCCCCAGGAGACCCACAGGTGGCCAGAGCTACCTGCACCTGCTGAGGACGTGTGCAAGCTCAGCCCCCGCCCCCCAGGAGGCGGGAACAAGCGGAGGGCAGCAGGGAGGCCCAAGGTAGGCCTGACCCCCTCCTCCCACCCGTGTGGGCCAATGATGCACGTGTAGGCTCTGGCTGGGGTTCCCCTGCCCGTCATTCCCTGCCAGCACCCAGGCCAGGCCAAGCAGGCCAGCCGCTCCCAGGAGTGGGGCTTGGCTGCACCTGCGCCTTCAGGAAGGAGGGCTGGAGCTGGGGCTTCCCCACCAGCTGCCAGGCCTGCCGGGTGGTTCCCATCCTGTGCCTGAGTGGAGAGGGCTATTTAAAACCCATCTGAGAAACTGCGGCCCACGCGGGTGCCAAGGGGAAGCGGCCCCACCCACCAAGCTGCTTTCAACAGATCCGCCCACCACCATCCAGTGCTCGGCGGGGTTGGGGAGCAGCCTCCCCAGGGCTCCTGGAGGGTGAGGGGCTCTGGACAGGAGGGGGTGACACACCGGGAGAGGCTAGCAGTAAACAAAGGGAAAGGCGGGTGGGCAGGCAGCCTTGGCGGTGAGGAAGGGTGGGCAGGCGGCGAGGCGGGGAAGCAGAGGAAGGAAGGGAGGATGCGAACAGGAAGGCCAAGGAGCTGCTGGGACTGGGCGTCAGGCCTCAGGGCCCCACGGCCTGGGGGGGGCTTCAGGGGGACCCCCCGAGCCTGAGATGCTTGACCCTCACTTCCTGCACCGTCGCCACCCCCCTCAGCCTTCTGAGGTCTCTCTCAGGCCACTGCCACCCGGCCCCCGTTGCCACAGGCAGGGCTCACCCTCCAGAAACCGACGGGGTAGATGAGCTTGCCCAGCGTGGCATCATCTGTCTGCAGGATGCTGTCCACCGTCAGGCCCCGCGCCCGCAGTCGCTGCATGGCGCCCGCCGTCACCTGGTCTTTGGTTTGGCTGGAGAGCATCAGTGACAGCAGCACCTGGTACCTGCGTACCTGCTTGTGCAGTGACAGGGACCGGGGTGGCGGCGGGTCCTGGGTGATTCCCTGGCCAGGCTCCGCCCCCCGCCCTCGACACACCCTGGTTTGTTGCCCTGGGCCACACTTGAGGCATCAGCCTCCCCCTGTGGGGTGGGGAGGTCTGGTTTGGGTATGTTTGGTCATCTACAACACCAGGACAATAATAGTACCTGACTCACTGGAGTAATGTGAAGCTTAAATGAATTATCTCAGTGCTTAGAATCGTATGTGGCCGGGCGTGGTGGCTCGCACCCGTCATCCCAGCACTTCGGGAGGCCAAGGCAGGCGGATCACCTGAAGTCAGGAGTTTGAGACCAGCCTGATCAACGTGGTGAAACCCCGTCTCTACTAAAAATACAAACATTAGCTGGGTGCGGTGGTGCATGCCTGTAATCCCAGCTACTCGGGAGGCCGAGGCAGGAGAATAATTTGAACCTCGGAGGCGAAGGTTGCAGTGAGCTAAGATTTCACCACTGCACTCCAGCCTGGGCAACAAGAGCAAGACTTGGTCTCAAAAAAAAACCCAACACGATCGTATCTGGCCCATCACTACTGAACAGCCATTGGCCACTACTATTATGATTGCTTCGTGAATCATCACACTACCCTTTAAAACAAATTTTTTTTTTTGAGATGCAGTATCACTCTTTCACCCAGGCTGAAGTGTGGTGGTGCCATCTTGGCTCACTGCAACCTCCGCCTCCGGGGTTCAAGCGATTTTCCTGCCTCGCCCTCCTAAGTAGCTGGGGTTACAGGTGCCTGCCACCACACCTGGCTAATTTTTGTATTTTTAGTAGAGACGTGGTTTCGCCACATTGGCCAGGCTGGTCTCGAACTCCTGACCTCAGGTGATCCACCCGCCTTGGCCTCCCGAAGTGCTGGGATTACAGGCCTGAACCACCATGCCTGGCCCATACTACCCATTTTACAGACAAGCAAACTGAGGCTCAGAGAGGCCTGTATCCAAGCCACCTGGTAGCAGAATAGGGATTAGAACTCAGCTTGGTCTAAGGGTTTCAGGCCCTGGGACCGTGAAGCAAAAGGAACTCTTCCTTCCTGATATCACACAAAGCCCAGGTCACGCCTGCACTGGGCAGAAGTTCGAGCACGAGGCCCTAAACCACTGGTGTCCTGACCTGCTGAGTGGCTACAGTGATGCAGGCGATGCTCTGGGGCACCGGGTGTCCATCCTCCCAAGGTGCTGTCTGCAGGGGAGGGTGCCAGCCAAAAGCCACCGGGTAGAAAGAAAACAAGGACCTTGCTAAGATGGGGGGTCATCTGGGCAGATGGGGCCCCTGCCTACCTTTGGGGGGGCACTGGAGTCATAGCAGTGCTCAGTCCCCAGATGGTCCACAGGTGCATCCTTTTTGTTCCTCATGGCACGGATGTTGACCAGCTGTTGCTGCCAGTCCTGGGGCTCCCAGACTGGCACCTTGAGGGGCTCAGCCCCCTCACCTTTCTCACTGTCCGAGCCCTCATAGGCCACACGCAGTCTCTGTGCTTTCCGCGGACGCTTCACGGGGCTGTGGCTTTTCCTCGCTTCTGCAAAAAGCACCACGCAGTCCCTCTGGTGGGGCCACAGGTGAAGGTAGGGTAGGGGTGCCATCCCGCCTGCTAGCTCACCCCTCACTCGTTCATGCCACAACTGTCCATCATCTAATACACTTGGGGTGCTCTGCCCTCTGCAGTCTGGGGTATGTGGGCCCTCCTTATGCCAGCGACCCTGACAAGGTCCATGTTAGCTCATGAGGACTCTAGCAACAGCCTGTACCAAGGTGCCCCCAATACATCTTCTATACTGCACCAGAGACAGTCTGCTAACACCCACATCAGGTTGTGTCACTCCCTTTTAAAAAATCCTGGCCGGCCGGGCGCGGTGGATCAAGCCTGTAATCCCAGCACTTTGGGAGGCCGAGGTGGGTGGATCACTTGAGGTCAGGAGTTCAAGACCAGCCTGGCCAATATGGCAAAACCCCATCTCTACTAAAAATACAAAAGTTAGCCGGGTGTGGTGGCAGGGGCCTATAGTCTCAGCTACTTGGGAGGCTGAGGCAGGAGAACTGCTTGAACCTGGGGGGCGGAGGTTGCAGTGAGCTGAGATCACAACACTCCACTACAGCCTGGGTGACAGAGCAAGACCCGATCTCAAAACAAACAACAAAACCTCCTAATTGACTTCCGTTTACTGTCATAATAAACTCCAAACTCTATCCTGGCATCAAAGCTCCTGCCACCCTGGCTGGCATCACCACCTGCCTGCTCCCAGCTGCACCAGTTCCTCCTGACATAGTCTGGACTACCCCTGGGGTCCCTGGGTGCCTATGGGAATCCAGCTCTGGCCAATTCTGCAGAAGTCCCAGCGGGACTAGCGCAGAGGCCCTGTCCGTGTCCCTCACTGCTCACTGCAGTGCTTGGCCCCCAGCAGGTCCTCAACGGCTGCAGGATAAATATAATAAGTGCCATGCCCTTTCCTGTTTTCCCTCAGAGGCACCCTCCCCCGAGCTGGGGGAGCAGGCTTCTGGCTGCGTGTGTCCTTGGCACCCAGCCTCTCCGAGGACAGCAAGTTCACTGCAGGAGGGCGGGGATGGGACCCACAGAGCCTGGAGTGGAGAGTCCCGGACAGAGTGGTGGGAAAGGAAGCGTTTTCTTGCTTGGGGCGAAAGGGGGCAGCGGAGCGGAGCGCCCGAAACCCAGCCCCTGCGGACCGCAATCTTTGGGAAAAAGGCGCAAGGTGGGAACGCAGGGCCGCACGTGGGAACCGTTCGCGGCTGCCGGGTTTGCAGCCCCTGCCCGCGCAGCTGGGAGCCGCAGGAGGCGGCCCGGGACTCCAGCCTGCAGCCCCTATCCCGCCTCCTCCCACGCTCCAGCCACGGCGCGGCGCTACCTGCTGCAGCCTCTCTTCTCCGGAGAGGCCCGGGCTCCTCCCTACACCCCCGCGGCCCAGCCCCGGGTCCCAGGCTCCGGCTCCGGGTCAGCATCCTCGCGCTCAAGGCGGTCATGCCGGACTCCTGCGGACTACACATCCCGGCGGCCCATGCGGCCCCGTCACGTGATGCAAGGATCGCCGGCCTTTCCGCCAGAGGGCGGCACAGAACTACAACTCCCAGCAAGCTCCCAAGGCGGCCCTCCGCGCAATGCCGCTACCGGAAGTGCGGGTCGCGCTTCCGGCGGCGTCCCGGGGCCAGGGGGGTGCGCCTTTCTCCGCGTCGGGGCGGCCCGGAGCGCGGTGGCGCGGCGCGGGGTAAGTGGCGGTCCCCACGGGGCAAGTGGCGGTCCCCACGGGGCAGCGGCCTAGAGAGGCGGACCCCGCAGTGTCCGGGTCCCGGGCCCTCACCCGCGCCCACTGCAACCCGACTCCGGAGCTCCGAGCATCCCTTAGTTTTAAGTCATGGCGGGTGCGAACGGGTCTCTGCTGCAGGCGGCTCCGTGACAGCTCCTGCTTCACATGGGTAGAGGAGAGACGGCAAACGTCGGGGCTCCCAGGACTTCGCGGCGGCAGTCCTAACCCGTGCACTGAGTCGGGCGGGGCGGGCGGCAGCGTCTGAGTAGAGAGCTCTCTAGACCAGGCCTGGTGTCTCCCGGGCTTTCCTAGGTGCCTGTTTGCGAGCTGGTCAGCTGGGCTGTAGTTGAGTTCTCCCAGGGAGTGTGGGAGGAAAGGTTATGCCCACCAGAGACCCAGGGTCCTGACGGCTGGAGGTCCGCAGTGGGGAAGGTGGGCAGAGGTGTTGCTCAGATGTCCCCATTCCTGTTTCGTTTGCACAGAGGGGTTTTCTGGTGCGTCCTGGTCCACCATGGCCAAACCAACAAGCAAAGATTCAGGCTTGAAGGAGAAGTTTAAGATTCTGTTGGGACTGGGAACACCGAGGCCAAATCCCAGGTCTGCAGAGGGTAAACAGACGGAGTTTATCATCACCGCGGAAATACTGAGAGTGAGTGAGCTACCTGTGTCTTTGCTAGGCTAGAGGGAAATGCAGAGAAGGCTGGGTTTGGTCTTGCACCAGGTTCTGTGGGAGACGGGTTGCTGGCAACTGTCTACACAGGAATGCTGTCTCCAGTACTTGGAGGCCGACATGTCCTTCCTCAGGAGACTTCGAAAGTCAGGATCTTGGTGACCTGGTTCAGGCACACTTGAGTTACTATTCAGATGTTGATGAAAGAAAGCCCATCTTATAGATGAGGCCTGAGTATCATCATCTTCACAGGTAAGGATATGTCCAGGTGTTACATGATAAGATGTGAGTTCCTGGGAGAAGTAGGTTCTTTATTTTATTTTTTTTTTGAGACTGAGTCTTGCTCTGTTGCCTAGGCTGGAGTGCAGTGGCACAATCTCTGCTCGCTGCTACCTCTGCCTCCCAGTTTCAAGTGGTTCTCCTGCCTCAGCCTCCTGAGTAGCTGGGACTACAGACACGTGCCACCACACCCATTTAATTTTTGTATTTTTAGTAGAGATGGAGTTTCACTATCTTGGCCAGGCTGGTCTTGAACTGCTGACCTCAGGTGATCTGCCCGCTTTGGCCTCCCAAAGTGCTGGGATTACAGGCATGAGCCATCGCACATGGGCTAGGTCGTTATCTTTTATGTGTGTTTGTGTCTTTGTCACACATGCCTGGCATTGTGTTTTGCCCATGAGTAAATGCTGAATTTTTGCACTTGTAAAGTTTTCTACTTAGAAACAACTAAAACGTTCATCAACTGATGAATAAAATATAGTCCATCCTGGCTGGGTGCGGTGGCTCACGCCTGTCATCCCAGCACTTTGGGAGGCCGAGGCGGGTGGATCACCTGAGGTCAGGAGTTTGAGACCAGCCTGGCCAACATGGCGAAACCCCGTCTCTACTAAAAATACCAAAAATTAGCCGGTCATAGTGGTGGGCGCCTGTAATTCCAGCTACTCGGGGGGCTGAGACGAGAATTGCTTGAACCCGGGAGGCGGAGGTTTCAGTGAGCCGTGATCGCGCCACTGCACTCCATCCTGGGGAAGAAGAGCAAAACTCCGTCTAAAAAAAAATTGTGCAGTTTGAAATTGTATTTCATGTTATGTTTTATCTCAATACAACATTTGCAGTTGTGAAAAAAAATTGCACATTCTCAACTCCTCGGGATGGAGCAGTAAAGCCCCTCAGTAAATCTTTTTTTTTTTTTTTTTTTGAGACCGAGTTTCGCTCTTGTCACCCAGGCTGGAGCGCAGGGGCGCGATCTCGGCTCACTGCAATCTCCGCCTCCTGGGTTCAAGGGATTCTCCTGCCTCACTCTCCCGAGTAGCTGGGATTATAGACGCCCACCACCACGCCCAGCAAATTTTTTGTATTTTTAGTAGAGACAGGGTTTCATCATGTTGGGCAGGCTGGTCTCAAACTCCTGACCTCTGGTGATCCACCTGCCTTGGCCCCCCAAAGTGCAGGGATTACAGGCCTGAGCCACCGCGGCTCGTCAAGTGAATCTTGATTCCAGAAAGATCTGTTTTAAGTCTCTAGTCTGGAAAATGCAGTGGGAGTCTTTAGGTGGTTTGTGACTTGCAGTTAAGGAGACCGTGGCCTGAGCACTGGCCCCTTTTTCTTCTTTCATCTCTCTCCAGGAACTGAGCATGGAATGTGGCCTCAACAATCGCATCCGGATGATAGGGCAGATTTGTGAAGTCGCAAAAACCAAGAAATTTGAAGAGGTAGGTTTATCCAGTTGAGCTACTAGAGAGAGGCACGTAGACTATTCAGAGCCTGAGTTTGCTTTTTTTAGGAACATGGTTGACAGCTGACTGCCGATGATCTGGTTTGCACTTTTTTTTTTTTTTTTTTTTTGAGATGGAGTCTTGCTCTGTCGCCCAGGCTGGCACAATCTTGGCTCACTGCAGCCTCTGCCTCCTGGGTTCAAGCAGTTCTCCTGCCTCAGCCTCCTGAGTAGCTGGGATTACAGGCACGCGCCACCACACCCGGCTTTTTGTATTTTTAGTAGAGACGGGGTTTCGCCATGTTGGCCAGGCTGGTCTTGAACTCCTGACCTCGTGAACCATATGCCTCAGCCTCCCAAAGTGCTGGGATTACAGGCGTGAGCCACTGCGCCCAGCCAGTTTGCACTGTTTTAGGGGAATTTAGCTTTCATCGTAGTGATGGGGAAGCTACTGGAAATGCCCCGAATACAACCTTGAGGGACCAATCAAGCGTGGAAATGGGGAGCAAAGGGATTAGGCTTTTCTAGCAACACCAGAAAGGATTTCTATGCCGAGCGGGGGTGCGGGGGCTTATGCCTGTAATCCTAGGACTTTGGGAGGCCGAGGTGGGTGGATCACGAGGTCAGGAGTTCAAGACCACTCTGGCCAACATGGCGAAACCCCGTCTGTACTAAAAGATGATGAGCCGGGCATGGTGGCACATGCCTGTAATCCCAGCTACTTGGGAGGCTGAGGCAGGAGAATCGCTTGAACCCGGGAGGCACAGGTTGCAGTGAGCCGAGATCGCCCCACTGCACTCCAGTCTGGGTGACGGAGCAAGACTCTGTCTCAAAAAAAAAAAAAAGGAAGAGTTTGTAGTGGCTGATAGAAACGCATGCTCACTCGCTCTCTCCTGTTACAAGTTCAGGCCAAGAAAAATCAAGAAAGGGTTTGTTCCACAGAGAACAATCCTAGGCACGCTGGTCTTGGTGCCATTTTGGGAGGGTGACTGGTCGGTGGTATTGGGCGACCTCACGGACATAGAAATATTTATTTTGGGCAAACATTGCCAGACTTTCCTGATGACTTGTGGACAGGACAGGAAGTGGTCATTTTGGGAGTGCAGGTTGCTGGTAGAGCACCTGAGGGCTCTGCCCTTGCCTTGCCCAGCATTTGTGTGTGGGAGAGCAGTGAGACCTGGACCTCTCATGCTCAGATCTGCTAAGAGGAGAGTGATTGCTACCTCTGCAGCAGCTCATCTGAAACGTGCTGGCCGTACGCTACCAAAGATAGGTGTAAAGAACAGGTGTCCTTAGCCGGGCGCAGTGGTTCACGCCTGTAATCCCAGCACTTTGGGAGGCCAAGGTGGATGGATCACCTGAGGTGAGGAGTTCGAGACCCGCCTGGCCAATGTGGCAAAACCCTGTTTCTACTAAAGATACAAAAATTAGCTGGGCATGGTGTCGGGCACCTGTAATCCCAGCTACTTGGGAGGCTGAGGGAGGAGAATCGCTTAAACTCAGGAGGCAGAGGTTGTGGTGAGCTGAGATTGTGCCATTGCACTGCAGCCTGGGCAACAGAGCAAGACTGTCTCAGAAAACAAAAAAAAGAACAAGCGTCCTGCATCCTGTTCTGAAAGTTGTTTGTGTGGGTACGGGGCAGCCTGTGAGTGGATAAATAGGCCTCCGAGGCTGGGATGGTCCCGGGCCCTGTGTCCACGGATCTTTGCAGCTCAGGTTGCAACGGTAAGAGTATTGTCAATGAGACAAAGGAGGTGAGAGTGCCAGTTGTCTGAATTGGTTGGGATGTTGGTCAGATGACATCTAAAAGAACACGGCCATTTTGTTATTATTTGGTTAGAGACAAGGTCTCACTCTGTCACCCAGGCCGGGGTGCAGTGTCACAATCATGGCTCACTACAGCCTCAACCTGCCAGGCTCACGTGATCCTCCTACTTTAGCCTCTCAAGTAGCTGGGACTACAGGCATGCAGCACCACGCCTGGCTAAGTTTTGTATTTTTTGTCGTGACAGGGTCTCACTGTGTTGCCCAGGCTAGTCTGAAACTCCTGGGCTGACGTGACCCTCTCCCCTCTGCCACCCGAAGTGCTGAGATTACAGGTGTGAGCCACCGCACTTGGCCAGAACACGGCCATTTTAGTTCCCCTCCTTAGAGGAGTAAGGCCAGGAATGAGCCTGTGGTCTGAAAGCCGTGGCTGTTGGTTAATGTGGAGAAGGGAAGGTGGTGAGAGCCAGCCCAAACCCCTGCCGAGTGAGACTGATTCTGGCAGCTTTAGGGAGCAGGGATGAGCCCCTCACAGGCTGGGTGGTAGTTAGAGGAGGCAGATTTCAGAAGGCCACGCAGCGCTCTTTCTCAGCAGGTCAGGCAGGCAGCAGAGGTCGGGCAGGGGCATGGGGTCGAGGGCCCGATGCTGGTGTGTTCACTAGAGGAGAGCCACAAGCAGGGATTCTGGGTCAGGTGCAGGCCTAGGGCTTAGTGTGCACTTGTGGTTCTGAGACTGTCCCATGACTTCCTGCCAGCATTCCGGCAGCTCTAGTGGGACTCCCTCCTGGTCCAGGTGAGGCCACCATTGCTGCCCTGGCTTGCTGCTGTCCTCTCAGCCCCCAGTCTGTCACCTGGTGGGAGTTAAAGGGACCTGCTGGGGTTTGAGGAAGCTCTGAGCCGTTCCCTGTACGAAGCCTGTGGTCATCTCAGGCTGCAGGAGACACAGGAGATACGAGCTTTGGAGGTGGGGCTCTCAGTCACAAGCCCCCGTTGTTCCTCCCTGTCCTCCGCTCACGGCACTGCTCCAGTTGCCGGGGCCAGGGTTCTTGGAGAGCACATCCTCACCGCTGTCCCCTCTGCTGGTGACAGCACGCAGTGGAAGCACTCTGGAAGGCGGTCGCGGATCTGTTGCAGCCGGAGCGGCCGCTGGAGGCCCGGCACGCGGTGCTGGCTCTGCTGAAGGCCATCGTGCAGGGGCAGGTAAGGCCCAGGGCGACGCTGGGATGGGTGACGTCAGGCTGCCCACTGACTGTCCTGTCCCTGCTGGGCCGTGTTTGGACTCCTGCCTCGGTGAGTTGCTGGGCACAGGGTCTAGGGGCTGATGGGCTCTGGAGCTGGATGGCCTGTGGGGTCTCCTGGTGTCATGAGGTCTGTGTGACCGTAGGCACTGCCTCCTCGCCTGTAAACAGATGGTCACTGCACCTTCCTCTTATGGGATGTTCTGGGGATCATATGAGGCAGTTCTCGCAGAGTGCTGAGATCGTACCTGGCAGCTGGTGTGGGGCTACGGTGTTGTTTTGCCCTTGCACCCTTTCGGGGCCACTCCCCTGCTCACTGCATTCCATCTGTGCTGGTCTTGGCTGACCCTGAACACCCAGGCCTCTTGGTGTTCCTGCCTCCCCTGGTCGGCCACTTCTACTCCTTCATGTCCCAGCTGCTCAGAAGGGCCGTCCACTCTCACAGGCTCTCCTGGGTTTCCCCCACTCAGGCCTTGTCCTCAGTCTCTGAGCACAAGGCTGTCTGCCCTGCACCGAGTGCAGGGGTCGGGCAGGAGCTGTGTCATCCCCTGCTCTGCGCCACCCGCTGTGCCAGGTCCCGACACACAGCAGTTGCTCCCCATACGCCGCTCTGCGGTCGGCCGGTGCATCCGGCCCCCTGCCCTGTACAATGCTGATGCTGCAGACCTGTCTCTTGCAGGGCGCCTCTGTGGGAAGGAGAGGGGTCCAGGGCTGGAGTCCGGGTGCCCCTGCACTTCAGGGACTTCTTGGCAGCCGTGTGGGCGACGCTGGCAGGCTCTGCTGATCCTGTGGCTTTTGTCTTTAGGGCGAGCGTTTGGGGGTCCTCAGAGCCCTCTTCTTTAAGGTCATCAAGGATTACCCTTCCAACGAAGACCTTCACGAAAGGCTGGAGGTTTTCAAGGCCCTCACAGACAATGGGAGACACATCACCTACTTGGAGGAAGAGCTGGGTGGGTGCCACCTTGGGTTGGAGGTTTCTCTGGCCTTGACGATCAAGTGTAACCTGGATGGGAAGGACCTGGGGCTGGGGAGGGGCTGCCGTTCTCAGGGATGGCCTGCAGCGGGTATGCCCACCCTGCTTCATGCACCTGGGCTCACCTGCGTGGCCGGAGTGCCCCTGAGGCACGTGTTAAAAATGCAGAGTCCTGGCCTTCACCCCAGACCTGCTGACTGTGAGTCTCTGGGGCTTGGGGCCTCCGAACACCTCTGCAACGGCAGGAGCTGGGCGAGTTCTGTCACTGGGAGGTGGTGCTGCTGACTTGGTCTCAACCGGAGCGTACTGGTCCCGTCTTCCTCCTCCTTTCTCCACTTTGTGGACCTTCCTCCTGCCATCCTGTGGTGGGAGGTTTCCATTAGTCTTGGGTCTCTGTGTCATGATTCTGGGAAGTAGAGAAAGAGGAGGAAGAGATCGGTCTGACTCTGGCTTTGCTGTTCTGTCGCCCAGAAAAGGGCCTCAGTGGCTGGGCTGCCTGCAGGACAGGTGCCGGCCAGGTGCCTACCGTCAGGTTTCCTGTCTGAGGTGACGTGGCCGGCAGCCAAGTGTGCACACGTCTCCTCCGAGCCACTCTCTGCTGGGGGTGGGGAACGCCCAGGAGTCTGGTGATGTCGGCGTCTCCCAGCCTCGGGTTGGGCCCTGAGTGTACGGCATACACACTTCTGCTGCCGCCTCGGCACAGACCCTCTGTGCAGCCCCAGGGGCGGTAGATCCTAGTGTCCGTGCGTAGCCGGCCTGCCCTGGGCTCCCCTGAGCCTCTTCGGGCCCAGTGCGTGGTCTGTCTGTTGCTGCCGGGGGACTGATGATGGGGTTTCTGGCAGTGACGGGTTTGGACACACTGTCCTGCGGCGGGAGGGGGAGGTGAGTGGGAGATGTAGATTCGGCGTCCTCGCAAACTGCCGCCGCTTCTCCCCCAGCTGACTTTGTCCTGCAGTGGATGGATGTTGGCTTGTCCTCGGAATTCCTTCTGGTGCTGGTGAACTTGGTCAAATTCAATAGCTGTTACCTCGACGAGTACATCGCAAGGATGGTTCAGTAAGAAAAGAATTGAGATCCTGTTCTGATAATGGTCCTAAGTTCAGCTCCGCAGTGAATAAAGTTGAAACCACCAAAAAAATAGAGGTTGGGCTGGGCACAATGGCTCACGCCTGTAATCTCAGCACTTTGGGAGGCCGAGGCAGGCGGATCACGAGGTCAGGAGTTCGAGACCAGCCTGGCCAACATGGTGAAACCCTGTCTCTACTAAAAATACAAAAATTAGCCGGGCATGGTGGTGGGAGCCTGTAATCCCAGCTACTCAGGAGGCTGAGGCAGGAGAATTGCTTGAAACCGGAAGGCAGAGGTTGCAGTGAGCGGAGATCGTGCCACTGCACTCCAGCCTGGGTGAAAGAGCAAAACTCCATCTCAAAAAAAAAAAAAAAAAAAGAGAAGTACGTAGCTATCTTCTGTTTAGCTCTCATCTGATGTCTTGGTTATCTTTTTGTTGTTTGTTTAGAATGTTGCATGAGCTCTGTCTCACTCATGCTGAACACCCAGCACCGAGAGCAGTGGCTGGCGCACAGCAGGCACCTGAGTGCTTGTTGGGTGGGTGGGACCCCCAGGGAGGATGAGCCATGCGTGTTATTGACGTCATAGAGTGACTAGACCACAGCCCGTGGTGGCTCGGCCATCCAGGCAGTGCTGCCGGGACTGAGCTCGGTGCTCCCTGCAGGATGATCTGTCTGCTGTGCGTCCGGACCGCGTCCTCTGTGGACATAGAGGTCAGTGCCTCCCCTCCCCAGGGCCGGCCCATTTCACCCTGGTTTCTGGGAGGCTGGGGCTTGGGGGTTGAGCCCTGTGTGCCACCTGCTGGCTGTGTAGCCCTGGGCAAGCTGCTCGGTCTCTCTGAGCCTCAGGAGTCCCCCATGTAAGTCAGGATAGCCGGGCGCCTCCATGTGGAGATGTAGCTCAGGGTGGATGACAGCATCAATGACCCACAGTGACAGGGACGTCAGGTGCTTCCCACATGCCCGCTTGCCCTGTGGCTTGGAGAGAGGGTGCCATGGCAGCGGGGAGAGGTGGCAGCGCAGGCTGAAGGAGGTGGGAAGGAAGCCTGGGTGTCCTCTCCTGTGGGGAGGAGCTGGGGTAGGACGGGCGTGAGCCGTCTCCCTCTCCACCAGGTCTCCCTGCAGGTGCTGGACGCCGTGGTCTGCTACAACTGCCTGCCGGCTGAGAGCCTCCCGCTGTTCATCGTTACCCTCTGTCGCACCATCAACGTCAAGGAGCTCTGCGAGCCTTGCTGGAAGGTGGGGTTTCTGAAACTGCTCTGGAAGGTTCCTGAGAGCACATGGATGGGACAAGGGCCATCCTGTCTCCCATGAATGGTTGTCTGATTCTTGGGGTGGCCAGACAATGGCCTGTTGAGGGACGGCCAGTGTCATTTTCCCAGGCAGTTGAGCTGAGGTCAGGGTTTTGGTGGCATTTTGAGAACCCTGCTGCCTCTGTCTTTGGGAGGAGATGGTGGCGAGCTGGCCGGACCTTGGGTGGCTATAGGGCAGCAGCCAGGCGGGGCCAGCAGCGGGACTGGGGCTGGGGGCAGGGCTTATGCCTGCCAGCCCCTGACACGCATTGTGTCTCGCAGCTGATGCGGAACCTCCTTGGCACCCACCTGGGCCACAGCGCCATCTACAACATGTGCCACCTCATGGAGGACAGGTGAGTGTGGTGGGTGGGGCGCAGGGCAGTGGAGGCCAGCACAGCCCTCGGGGCAGCTCCAGTGTCCCTTGCCAAGCACACACTGGCTTAGAGAGTCCTTGTCCTCTCGGGCAGCTGTTCCAGAGGCTGCCACTAGAGCGAGGCCCATGACTTCTAGGATCCAGCCCCTGTCCTCTCCTTCCTCTGTCAGTTCAACAGAATATCCACACCCAGCTCAGTGCCTGCCCCATGCTCGGACGTCCTCCAGCGGTGCTCCCCAACTACTTAGCCTGTTACAAGGCGAGGCTCGGGGTCTTGGCTTGACGTTGCCCTTGCCCTCACCCCCACAGCCAGGCTGTGGCCACTTTTGTTGCTTTAGCCATTAGAGATGGCTCAGCTCTGCCCACACCCTGGCCTCCCACCCATGCTGCCAGCTCCCCCTCCTGCTCTCCTGTATCCATCCGCGCCTCCTGAAGCCCACTCCATGCAGCACCCGGGTGGCCTTTTTCTGACACAGATATGTCGGTGTCACCCTTTGCTGGAAGCCAGGTGGTTCCCAGCGCCCTTGGGATGTAGGCTTCTCCTATGGAACCAGGCCCTGGGGCCAGCCCTGCCTCAGCCCTGCATCTCTCCCAGCCCTGCCTCGGCCCCTGCATCTCTCCCAGCCCTGCCTCGGCCCCTGCATCTCTCCCAGCCCTGCCTCGGCCCCTGCATCTCTCCCAGCCCTGCCTCGGCCCCTGCATCTCTCCCAGCCCTGCCTCGGCCCCTGCATCTCTCCCAGCCCTGCCTCGGCCCCTGCATCTCTCCCAGCCCTGCCTCGGCCCCTGCATCTCTCCCAGCCCTGCCTCGGCCCCTGCATCTCTCCCAGCCCTGCCTCGGCCCTGCATCTTTCCTTCCCTCCATCCTTGGAACCAGGCCCTGGGGCCCAGCCCTGCCTCAGCCCTGCATCTCTCCTAGCCCTGCCTCAGCCCCTGCATCTCTCCCTCCCTCCTCCCGTAGAACCAGGCCCTGGGGGCCAGCCCTGCCTCAGCCTGCATCTCTCCCAGCCCTGCCCCACCCCCTGCATCTCTCCTTTCCTCCATCTTGCCTTCTCCCCTCCACCAAGGGCTTGTGCATGCCCTGATTCCTCTTGCCAGCAGGTTCTTCCACCTTTGCCGAGTTACTCTGTTTACTGAGGTCTTAGCGTGGTCACTGACTCCCCCACCTCCCTGAGTAGTTTTTGCTGTGGCTTTCCTTCTTGGCTGTGATTGGAGGAAGAGATTTTGCGTTTACCTGGGAGATTATGTGGCTGGCGCCTGTCTCCCCCAGACTGCGAGGCTGTGGGCCATCCCTCTTGCCTGCTTCCTGTCCCTGGCATGACCTGTAGCTCACAGCGTGGTCAGCAGTGATGGGCTGCCGCCTGTGCGCAGGAGTGAACAAGAGTGTTACTGCTGGCCTCTGTTCCCTGCCCTTCCCCAGCGGTGCTCCTGCCCCCCCCAAGCACAGGGACCTCTGGGGCTGCTGCAGGAGCCTCGGCAACCTCACACATCCATGGCGGACCCTGGGACAGGGCCCTGCTCACATTCCGTCTCTCTGGGGAACACTTTTAGAGCCTACATGGAGGACGCGCCCCTGCTGAGAGGAGCCGTGTTTTTTGTGGGCATGGCTCTCTGGGGAGCCCACCGGCTCTATTCTCTCAGGAACTCGCCGACATCTGTGTTGCCATCATTTTACCAGGTAAGGCGGTTTCTGTGTGCAGTGAGCTGGCAGGAACGGGAGAGCTCCCCTCACGCCTGCCCACCCATCCCACTGGGGGTCCTGCTGCGGGGGCTGCGGTGGCATTTCTAGGCCTTTCCAGGCAGTTGCTTTGCAGCTGGGGGTGAGGTTTGGGGCCCTTTGTAGGCTTTAGTCTTTTTTTTTTTTTTGAGAAGGAGTTCTGCTCTTTCTGCTTGGCTGACTGCAATCTCCGCCTCCCGGATTCAAGTGATTCTATTGCCTCAGACTCCTGAGTAGCTGGGATTACAGGTGCCTGGTACCATGCCTGGCTAATTTTGTGTTTTTAGTAGAGACGGGGTTTCGCCATGTTGGCCAGGCTGGTCTCGAATTCCTGACCTGAAGTGATCCACCCATCTCAGACTCCCAAAGTGCTAGGATTACAGGCGTGAGCCACCATGCCTGGCCAAAGGCTTTTTTCTCTCTCTCTTTTTTTTTTTTTTTTTTTTTGAGACAGAGTTTTACTCTTGTTGCCCAGGGTGGAGTGCAATGGTGCGATCTCGGCTCACTGCAACCTCTGCCTCCCCAGTTCAAGCCATTCTGCCTCAGCCTCCTGAGTAGCTGGGATTACAGGTGCCTGCCACAGTGCCTGGCTAATGGTTTTTTTTTTTTTTTTTTTTTTTTAATGGGACAGAGTTTCGCTCTTATTGCCCAGGCTGGAGTGCAATGGCGCGATCTTGGCTCAGCGCAACCTCCGCCTCCCAGGTTCAAGCCATTCTCCTGCCTCAGCCTCCTGAGTAGCTGGGATTATAGGCATGGGCCACTACACACAGCTAATTTTTTATTTTTAGTAGAGACTGGGTTTCTCCACATTGGTCAGGCTGGTCTCAAACTCCCGACCTCAGGTGATCCGCCAGCCTCAGCCTCCCAAAGTGCTGGAATTATAGGTATGAGTCACCGTGCCCGGCCAAGGCTAATGTTTTGTATTTTTATTAGAGATGGGGTTTCACCATGTTGGTCAGGCTGGTCTTGAACTCCTGACCTCAGGTGATCCACCCGCCTTGGTCTCCCAAAGTGCTGAGATTATAGGCATGAGCCACTGCGCGCAGCCCAAAGGCTTTATTCTCAAGCAAACCTTACATCTTGCGAGTTTCACCTTCTGGAGTTGGCAGTGGAGGGGTGAACGCTGCCTCGGGGGTAGCCGTTCTCTTGCTGTTGGCGGCTCTGTTTTGTCAAGTGCTGGTCTTGTCCTGTCTCTGCAATGACGCCGTGGCACAGACGCTGGTGGTACAGCTTCAGTTTCCGCAGTGCCCCGTGATGACAGCGCTTTTTGTGTCCGTCCTCGTTCTGTGCTCACAGCTCCCTGGAGGGTGGGGCGATCACGTCGTCCTGGTTTTATAGTGATGAGCTGCGGTGTGGGTCACAGGGCTCTCCTGATCCTCTGCTCTTCCTGCTACCCCCCTCCCCGTAGGGGCGGTGGGGGGATGTTGTCTTTGTGCACAGCTTGCAGCCGAACTCAGGGCAGCTTTCAGTTGCTGCTGGGCTGGCCCACCGGGTGCCCAGGATTCAGTTGCTGGTCTGTCCGAGTCAGGGACTTTGCAGGCAGGCATGGGGGTGGGGCCCGTCTGGGTCCTGACTGTGCTGGAGCATGTAGAAACCCCTCCTGGGCGCCCCACCTGCTGTTTCTGCGGCCCCTGATAAACGTGTGGTGGGCACTGCGCGCTCAGGCGTGCTACTCTCGGTCCCAAGGGTGACTGGGAGGGCGTCCCACAGCAAGCAAGCAGCTCTGACCCTGTGTGCTGGCCGGGCTCGTGTTCCAGGCCATGGCATGTCCGAACGAGGTGGTGTCCTATGAGATCGTCCTGTCCATCACCAGGCTCATCAAGAAGTATAGGAAGGAGCTCCAGGTGGTGGCGTGGGACATTCTGCTGAACATCATCGAACGGCTCCTTCAGCAGCTCCAGGTGGGGTGGGGGCAGGAGCTCCGGGGAGCACCGGGAACCCAGACAGGCAGGCTCGGCCCACTCAGAAGATGGTACCTTGGGCCCCATCTCTGGGGGTCCCGCAGAGACTGCCAGAACCGTGTTCTCTGGTGATTCGCAGTGGCGCTCATCCACCTTCCACCGGAGACAGGTCTGATTTTTCCAGACGTGGTGCATCGTTTAGGCCCCAGACAGGAATATGCAGTAGGTGAGCCGGGGCTGGGCCAGTGCTGTCCACAGTCCGCAGAGTGACCTGCAGGCCGCCTTCGTGGCCTGAGTGGGCCCCGGCACAGTTCCCAGAGGGATGCCAGTGTGGCTTCCGCATGACTTTGGAGGACCGCATTAGTCGAGTCTGTTAACCACAGCTTTAAGGAGGACTCCACGGCCACACGGGCTCATCAGCATAGGGGCCCTGGGGAGGCGAGGCTAGTATCCAGCAGCCTCAGGGCTGTGCCTTTTCCTGGAGCCTGGGGCGGGTGATGTACAGGAGGCCAGGCAGCAGAAGGGAGGCCGGGACTTCGCCGGGACTTAGCAGGGACTGAAGTCCTCTCAGAGCCTGTCGCTGGGCCAGAGCATTGCCCCCGACCGCTGGTGGCAGTGGCAGAGGTCATAGCCTGGGGCTTCTAAAAGAGGCTGGACCTGGGAGAGGCAAGAAAGGCTTGTAGTTGTGGCTACTCTTGGCCCTCCTGCCCGAGCTTCCTTCTTGGCCCAGCTGCATGGGCACAGCCAAGATTCCTTGGGGGGTGGGGTACGGGCAGGAACAGCAGCTGCCATCACAGCCACTGTGGCCCCTTGAGAGGATCTGGGGGGTGTCCTGGGCCACGTGGGTCAGGGTGGCCCCTGGAGAGGATCTGGGGGTGTCTCAACCCATGAGGCCCGGAGCGGCCTCAGAGGGCTGGGGGCGTCTGTCCCCATGCGGCCCAGAGCGGCCTGAGAGGGCTGAGGGTGTCTCCATGCGGTGGGTGTGTAGCGAGGCCTCTGGTGCCAAGTCCATGTGGGGAGTGGAAGTCAGCCTGTGTCATCGTGCCTGGTACTGCAGACCTTGGACAGCCCGGAGCTCAGGACCATCGTCCATGACCTGTTGACCACGGTGGAGGAGCTGTGTGACCAGAACGAGTTCCACGGGTCTCAGGAGAGATACTTTGAACTGGTGGAGAGATGTGCGGACCAGAGGCCTGTGAGACCCCCTCCTGGGTGGGGCCTTTGGGCTTTGGCTGGTGGGGAGGGGCCGGGTGCTGGGTGAAGTGCAGCTTTCTGAGCCTCAGAAGCCAAGGGCCAGGTGGGCGCCTGCTTTCCAGGTTTCTGCACTCGGCAGGGAAGGCTGGCAGGCACAGCACGTGTTTGGTAACAAGCTCGGGGCTAGCCCACCCATCAGTTTCCTCCCACCTGTGTGGAGCAAGCTTCCATCCGGCTCTGTAGAGTCCTGTGGCTCCCAGGCGGCCGCAGTCATTTTGCCAGGAACACTCAGCTTAGGGCCCAGGCTTTTCCATGGGTTTGGACACAAGTCTTCCCCGCTGCCAGGAGTGCCTTTGTGTCTGGGCTGTGGGCTGCAGGCTGTGAGGCGGCTGGGCTCTGACAGCAAACCAGCCTCTCGACCAGCAGCCCAGTGTGGAGAAGGAGAGCGCCGGAGGGGCAGAGGGGCAACACCGGCTCTTCTTTTGACAGGAGTCCTCCCTCCTGAACCTGATCTCCTATAGAGCGCAGTCCATCCACCCGGCCAAGGACGGCTGGATTCAGAACCTGCAGGCGCTGATGGAGAGATTCTTCAGGTAGGGGGTCCTCTGTAGCCTTGCCTGGCACCTGGAGCCTGGCCCTGTCTCTGTCTGGGGCCCACCCGGGCTGGGTCTCAGGATGCCCGATGAGCAGGGCCCTCCCCTCTGCCTCTGGAGAGCCCTGGCTCTGGGTGAGCAGGTGCTAGCTTGCTTTCCAGTCCAGCAGGACAGGTCCTCTCATGACGCCACTGGGCTCCCTCTTTTCGGGGGTCGTCTGGAGAGATGCTCCCTGGGAAGCAGAGCTCTGTGCCCTGTGTGCCTGGCCGCGGGAGGACCCAGAGTCGGGCTGGCCTGCGCCAGGCAGACGGGCTGGTGTGGGGCTGTGGCCGGGCACTCCCCACCCGCCCCAGCAGGCTGCCGTCCCGCAGGAGCGAGTCCCGAGGCGCCGTGCGCATCAAGGTGCTGGACGTGCTGTCCTTTGTGCTGCTCATCAACAGGCAGTTCTATGAGGTGCGTGTCCAGGCGGCCGCAGCTGGGGGCTCAGGGCTATTTCTCCGTGGGCGGGCTGTCTCTGTTGTGCACGTGCTCCCGCAGAGCCGGGCTCTGCCTGGGACTTCGGTCCTGCCGGACCCTCTGCAGCCCCCAGCGTGGTCTGTTTACCCCTGTTCATTCACTGGCTTGCTCGTCCTGGGTGCCTCTGCCAGGCCTTGACACGTGGCCAAGTAGCAAGGAAGGCACAGTGCCTGCCCTCAGGGAGCTCCGGCCGGTTTTCACCCAACACAGGAGCCTCTTAAAAATTCTGTGTGAGTTCGTTTCAGCCAGTCTTGCATGGGGACATTGTCTTCCGTTTCAGTCCTGACGTTCACCCTGTGCACCTGCGTGATCGCCAGCCCTGCCTGGTCTCTCCTCTGCGGGCTCTCCCTCTCCACTCCCTCCTCTGGGAGCTCTGTGGCCCCAGGCCCACCTTCCTTGAGAGACATTTGTGTGCCTGCCAGTCATACCCCTTTCCCAGGAGGCGCAGCTTAGGCTCTGAGGCTGTCCCTTCCCACCGAACTCCTCCCTGCAGCCTCGCAGTCCTGCCCTCCTGAGAGCTGCCCACTCTGCTCCTCTCCCCAGCGTCCACTGTCCTTGAATTGCCCTTTGCTGGGCATTGCGATCCCGCATTCTGTCTGAGGGAGCTAAGGGCCTCCTGGAAGTTCCTCTGGGTCCTCTGGCTTCTCCCATCAGGGCTGGTCTTGTCCTGGTCTCTGTTCCTGTGGAACTTTTTACCTGCTTCTGTGAAAACTCACGCTGTCCTCAGCACAGCACGCACACACACGCATATTCACGCATGCACAGGCACACACGTGCACATGCCCACGCGTGCACACAGCCACACACACCCTCACGCACACACGCACAGCACCATGTGGGAGGGGTTCTCGGCTGTGACAGTGAAGGGCAGGGCCTCACCTCGGCTGCTCCTTGTGAGTTGTGGGCCCCGTGTCTGTGCCCGGCCGCCCTGCGGTGCTCACCAGCCTTCTGAACGAGGAGCTGGACAGGATCCCTGGAAGGGGCCCCGGGGTCTCTGAGTCGCGCTCAGCGGGTGCTTGTGCTCTCTGCCCAGCTGTGCTGAAGTCCCGAGGGACATGTCCGCTGCTTGCGGGTCGGTTCCTGAGGAATTGGAAGTGTCACGAGATGTGGCCCTCGTTGGGCTGGCGCTCATTGGCCTCCCTTGTGCCTGTGCAGGAGGAGCTGATTAACTCAGTGGTCATCTCGCAGCTCTCCCACATCCCCGAGGATAAAGACCACCAGGTCCGAAAGCTGGCCACCCAGTTGCTGGTGGACCTGGCAGAGGGCTGCCACACACACCACTTCAACAGCCTGCTGGACATCATCGAGAAGGTGAGAGCCGTTGTACCCGGGGCCGGGTGCTAGCGTGCCAGAGCTCCGTGGGCAGCAATGGCCTCTGGGCCCTCTGTCCTCCTCTTCGAGTGACCGGATGGCTGTGTCCGTAGGTGAGGCTCCCCTCCCTGCAGGGTGGGTGTCCCGAGGCCTGTGCAGGGCCTGCCACTGCTGGATTTGTGTCCTGACTGAAAGTCCTGGACATGGGTGTCCTGTCACACTCTGGGACAGCTGGGCTGGGCCTCCTGGACCGACGCTGGAGCCCAGACCTGGGGCTGGGGCTTTGGCCTGCCGTCCTCCCTGCCCAGCCAACAGCTTTGCTCTTTGATTTTCAGATGCATTTTGGTTTCTGCACAGTCACTCGGGTATAAAGGGCATCTTTGCTTTTGAGCAATAAAGATGAAGGCCGGGCACAGTGGCTCACGCCTGTAATCCCAGCATTTTGGGAGGCTGAGGCAGGTGGATTGCTTGAGTTCAGGAGTTCAAGACCAGCCTGGCCAACATGGTGAAATCCTGTCTCTACTAAAAATATAAAAATTAGCTGCACGTGGTGGCGGGCACCTGCAATCCCAGCTGCTCAGGAGGCTGAGGCAGGAGAATCGCTTGAACCTAGGAGGTGAAGGTTGCAGTGAGCCAAGATTCTGCCACTGCACTCCAGCCTGGACGACAGAGCAAGACTCTGTCTCAAAAAGAAAAAAAAAAAGGGCCGGGCACGGTGGCTCATGCCTGTAATCCCAGCACTTTGGGAGGCCAAGGCAGGCGGATCATGAGGTCAGGAGATCAAGACCATCCTGGCTAACACGGTGAAACCCCATCTCTACTAAAAATACAAAAAATTAGCTGGGCGTGGTGGCGGGCGCCTGTAGTCCTAGCTACTGGGGAGGCTGAGGCAGGAGAATGGCGTGAACCTGGGAGGCGGAGCTTGTAGTGAGCTGAGATTGTGCCACCGCACTCCAGCCTGGGCGACAGAGCAAGACTCGATCTCAAAAAAAAAAAAAAAAAAAAAAAAGGTGTTTGTGGTAGAAAGTGTTCTCACGGCTGCTGACTCAGAACCATGAGCCTGTGTGTAAGTCCTGGCCTTCTCTTCAAAGGTGATGGCCCGCTCCCTCTCCCCACCCCCGGAGCTGGAAGAAAGGGATGTGGCCGCATACTCGGCCTCCTTGGAGGATGTGAAGACAGCCGTCCTGGGGCTTCTGGTCATCCTTCAGGTGGGTGTTCTGCACGAGGCCTCTGCTCCCGGGGCGCGCATGGCTAGCGTCCACCAGCTGCATCTGCGTTGTGTTGGAGTCTGTTCCCCAGCGGGACCCACACCCTCCCTGGATTTGCTGAGGGTGCGGTGGTCTCAGCAGGCAGCAGAACCTTCCTCCTGCTCTTGTGGAGGGATGGATGCAAGAGGCCCCGTTGTACGCCCTGACCAGAGCTTGTCTCTGTGCTCCTGAGTCAGGGCCGGAACCATGTACCATCCTCAGCGTGGCGCTTGCCCTCGTCACCCAGCACAGCACCTGGGAAGTAAGGGTGGCCCTCCATTCCTGCCCTGCAGTCCGTTTAATATTTGCAGCTGTTTTGTTGAGATTTAATTTACATATCATGCAATTTACCCATTCACAGTGAACAGTTCAGTGGTTTTCAGTAAATTCACAGAGCTCTGCAGCCAACCCCACAGTCAGCTTGAGAACCTCCTGAGCATACCAGTAGCACACGCTCCCATCCCCCGTTGCTCCCGTACCCCCGGGTACCATCAAGCTGCTTCCTGTCTCTGTGGATTTACCTACTCTCAACATTTCATGGAAGTGGAATCACACAAAATTCATCCATAAGATGTTGGATGGTAGAACAGTTTCCTGTCTGCTGACTGGATTGTTCCACCCAGCGCCATGTGTCCAGGCCCGTCCAGGCTGTGGCAGCTGTTGGTGCTCCCCTCCTTTTCATGGCTGAGTAGTATTCCATCATCTGGAAGGAGCACATTTTGTCTGTCCGTTCCTCCATTGGTGGACATTTGGCCTGTGTCCGCCTTGCAGCTGCGGTGAGTGGTGCTGCTGTGAACCTTCTCCTACGAGGGCTCCGCCGGGCCTGCATTTTCACTTTTGGGTCTGCACCTAGGAGTGAATTGTTGGGCCCTAGGTTTAGTCTGCATTTGGTGTTTCAAGGCGATACCAGGCTGTTTTCCACTGGTGCTGTGCCATTTTCCATCCACTCGAGCAGCATGTAAGGGTTCTGATTTATCTTTTTTTTTTTTTTTTTTTTTTTTGATACAGTCTCACTCTGTCGCCCAGGCTGGAGTGGAGTGCAGTGGCGCGATCTTGGCTCACTGCAACCTTCGCCTCTTGGGTTCAGGCGATTCTCCTACCTCAGCCTCCTGAGCATCTCGTATTACAGGCACCTGCCAACATACTCGGCTAATTTTTTGTATTATTAGTAGAAACTGGGTTTCACCATGTTGGCCAGGCTGGTCTTGAACTCCTGACCTCAGGTGATCCTCCCGCCTTGGCCTCCCAAAGTGCTGGGATTACAGGTGTGAGCCACCACGCCCGGCCTGCCTCTACTTTTCAAAGCCTCACAGCATCACTTACGTGTGACTGTCAGTGTCAGTATCGTGTAAAATATAATGTATGAATCAGTTTGCTCAAAAGCTCATCCTTAAGATGTTGGATGGTAGAACAATTTCCTGTCATGTTTATATGTCATGGGTTTTTATTTCTTGCCATGGAAGTTGAAAGTGGTGATGATTTTTTTTTTTAATTAATTTTTTGAGACAAGATCTCACTCTGTCGCCCAGGCTGGGGTGCAGTGCTGTGACCATAGCTCAGTGCAGCCTTGAACTCCTGTGACCAAGTGATCGTCCTGCCTCGGAGGCCTCCCAAGTAGCTGGGACCATAGGCACACGTCACCACACCTGGCTAATTTTTTCATTTTTTGTAGAGATGGGGTCTTTATATGTTGCCCAGCCTGGCATCAACCTCCTGGCCTCAAGCAGTTCTCCCACCATAGCCTCCCAAAGTGCTGGGATTACAGGCATGAGCCACCACACCTGGCCGTGGTGTTTGATTAAAAACCAGGCATCAGCCGGGTGTGGTGGCTCATGCCCGTAATCCCAGCACTTTGGGAGGCTGAGGTGGGTGGATCACCTGAGGTTGGGAGTTCAAGACCAGCCTGACCAACATGGAGAAACCCCGTCTCTACTAAAAATACAAAATTAGCCGGGCGTGGTGGCGCATGCCTGTAGTCCCAGCTACTCGGGAGGCTGAGGCAGGAGAATCACTTGAACCCATGAGGCAGAGGGTACAGTAAGCCCAGATCACGCCATTGCACTCCAGCCTAGGCAACAAGAATGAAACAACGTCTCAAAAACAAAACAAAGCAAAAACAGGCATCACCTCCTTGGTGTCTCATCCACATGAGCACCATGCTCTTTACTGACTGGTTGGGAAGGGGTGTGCTGGGCTGTGGGGGCCTATGGCCTGGGAGAACTGAGAACCTTTCTGCTTCTGCAGAGGGAAGGAAAGAGGTTCTGTTGCCCTTACTTGGAACTCCAGCCCTGGAGGCCTGAGGGTCTGGGCTGCAGAACTGAGATATTTCCTAGTTGAGGCAGAGTCCTGGTTCTGGCTGCTTTCATTTCTTTATTTTTTTGAGATAGAGTCTCACCACTATGTCACCCAGGCTGGAGTGCAGCGGCACGATCTCACCTCACTGCAACCTCCGCCTCCCAGGTTCAAGCAATTCTCTTGCCTCAGCCTCCTGAGTAGCTGAGATGACAGGTGCGCACCACCACACCTGGCTAATTTTTGTATTTTTAGTAGTGACATGGTTTCACCATGTTGGCCAGGCTGGTCTCAATCTCCTGACCTCAAGTGATCCACCCACCCCAGACCCCCAAAGTGTTGGGATTACAGGCGTGAGCCATCGTGCCTGGCCTGTTTTCATTTCTTTTGTTATAATTGAAAAGTAACACAGTTGACTCTTGAACAGTATGGGGCTGGGAGTGCCAGCCCCTGTGCAGGTGAAAATCCCCATCTAACTTTTAACTCCCCAGAAACTTTACCAACAGCCCTCTGTTGACTAGAAGCCTTGCTGATAGCAGACAGTCTATTAATGTACAGCTCGTGTGTTTTATGTATTCTGTGTTTTTACAGTGAAGTAAGCTAGAGAAAAGCAAATGCTGTTAAGATGCTAGGCATGGTGACTCACGCCTGTAATCCTGGCAGTTTGGGAGGCCGAGGCGGGCAGATCATGAGGCCAGGAGTTCGAGACCAGCCTGACCAACATGGTGAAACCCCGTCTCTACTAAAAATACAAAAATTAGCTGGATGCGGTGGTGCGCACCTGTAATCCCAGCTACTCGGGAGGCTGAGGTAGGAGAATCACTTGAACCTGGGAGGTGGAGGTTGCAGTGACCTGAGATCGTGCCATAGCACTCCAGCCTGGGCGACAGAGAAAGACTCCGTCTCAAAAAAAAAAAAAAAAAAAAATCATAAGGAAGCGAAAATACATTTCCTGTTCCTTAAGTGGAAGTGGCTCATCACCAAGGTCTTCATTGTTGTCATCCTCATGTTGAGGGGACTGAGGAGGAAGGAGAGGAGACACATGGTCTTGCTCTCTCGGGTGGGAGAGGCGGAAGAAAATTGGCATGTAAGTGACCCATGAAGGCCAGCCTCGTGCTGTTCGAGGGTCAGAGAGTTTGCACAATGGACACGGTGACAAGTTTGATTCCCCTTTTCCTGCCTGCCTAGTGGGCCCGGCAGGGCGGCAGCTGCTGTTGGTTCCATGTGGCCTTCCCAGAATGGGGGGTGCCAGGCACTGTGTGAACCCCCACCTCCACCTCTTTTTTGTCCGAGGAAGGGATGTTGCTTTTATGTCATAATATTTTGAGATGAGGAGAAACTGTTAATCATTTAATCATCTTTTTTTTTGAGATGGAGTCTCGCTCTGTCGCCCCAGCTGGAGTGCAGTGGCGCAATCTTGGTTCACTGCAACCTCCGCCTCCTGGGTTCAAGCGATTCTCCTGCCTCAGTCTCCTGAGTAGCTGGGATTTACAGGCATGCACCACCACACCTGGCTAATTTTTTTTTTTTTTTGAGACAGTCTTGCTCTGTCGCCCAGGCTGGAGTGCAGTGGCACGATCTCGGCTCACTGCAAGCTCTGCCTCCTGGGTTCACGCCATTCTCCTGCCTCAGCCTCCCAAGTAGCTGGGACTACAGGTGCCCACCACCACGCCCGGCTAATTTTTTTGTGTTTTTAGTAGAGACAGGGTTTCACCATGTTAGCCAGGATGGTCTTGATCTCCTGACCTCATGATCCACCCGCCTCGGCTTCCCAAAGTGCTGGGATTACAGGCGTGAGCCACTGTGCCCGGCCTAATTTTGTATTTTTAGTAGAGATGGGCTTTCTCCATGTAGGTCAGGCTGGTCTTGAACTCCTAACTTCGTGATCCACCCACTTCAGCCTCCCAAAGTGCTGGGATTACAGGCGTGAGCCACCACACCTGGCCTCAGTCATTTCTTTCAATGATTTTTTAATCATTTAAAGGTGTTAATCATTTCTTTAAAAGAATAACAGTGTAACCACTTACCTCCAGAGTGCTGCAAAGGGTCCCTCAGGCCAGATTTCCCCTGGCTCCTGCTGGCCTCGGCCCCAGGGTTGCTGGAGGCAACAGATGCTCTTCACACCTTGCCACACGTGTCTGGGAGGTGCCCTTGACCTTTTGGGAGGGGCTGCCTACACCTGGGATCGCCCTGCAGCACACACTCCCCGCCCCATTCTGCCCTGTCTGCCACGCAGCTGGAGCTTCTCCATTGAATGGACTCTTCCTCACCTGTTGATGACTGCCCTGATGATGAGATGGGCACGAGGTTGGGTTTTACTTTTTGCTGCTGTGGAGAGAGAGTCCTGGTGGTCCTGGGTTTGAAGGTCGTGTGTTTTGAAGCACGCACTCTAGAGCAGCCGCCCCGGCCCCTGCTCCGGGACAAGGGTGCTGTCTTAGGACTGCGTTTTCACCTCCTGCGCCGTGGTGAGCTGCGTCCTCTCTCTGCAGACCAAGCTGTACACCCTGCCTGCAAGCCACGCCACGCGTGTGTATGAGATGCTGGTCAGCCACATTCAGCTCCACTACAAGCACAGCTACACCCTGCCAATCGCGAGCAGCATCCGGCTGCAGGTATGGTGGCTGGGGTTGCGCAGCCAGTTCCTGGGGGCCCAGCCAGGTATCCCCGTCTCGGCAGGTGTGGTTCCTGGAAGCTGCAGAGACGGCCCCAGGATGGGGCCTCAGCTGACCGTCCCTCCTCTGCACCCACTGTGGCCGCAGCCTCCCCAGTCCTGGTGTCCTTCCCTCTGCCTGCAGTCCACACATCTGTGGCTTGTCGCTCTAAGCCGCACGGTGACATGGGTTGGGGCAGAGAAAAGGACGCACGGCGACTTCCGGGGCAGTGCATGGCCCTGACGCTCCTGGTGCTGCAGAATCTGTGAAGGACCTGCAGCAGAGGGCTGGGCAGGTGGGCGGCACAGGGCAGAGCTGAGAGGGCAGAGCTGAGACGGCAGGGCAGGGCTGGAGAGGGCAGAGCTGAGAGGGCAGGGCAGGGATGGGCAGAACAGGGCTGGAGGAGTTTCGCTGAGTTTGCGCTATAGATGTTGGCACCAGGCTGAGCAGAGGTGACTGGGATGGGAGCCCTCCCTCCTAGAGCAGGTGCTCTCTGGGGCCACCCCTGTGGCCTCAGAGTCCTGTTCAGCCTGTCGATGGAAGAAGTGGCAGGGCTGGGAGCTGAGCTCCGCTTTCTGGCAGTTGGGGGCGTGTGGTGCTGCCAGAGGAGCGAGGCGCCCATCCCTTCCATCCCAGGCGGGCCCAGCTGTGGTGGTGGGGACACCAGGCTCTGTGAGCTCCGAGGCAAGGGAGGGAGGAGGCTGTGGGTGCTGGGCCTCCGGTGTCACCAGGACAGAGCCTGTGTCTGTGTTGGGATGTGGGTGTGTGCACATCAGCAGGTGGCCTTTTCTGAGTGCCTGTGGTGCTGGACGTGGGTCTGAGCAGGTGGGACGCCGCCTGTCCTGGGCCTGCACGAGCTTGGCTCTGGCTTTCACCATCCTCTTCCTGACAGGCCTTTGACTTCCTGTTGCTGCTGCGGGCCGACTCACTGCACCGCCTGGGCCTGCCCAACAAGGATGGAGTCGTGCGGTTCAGCCCCTACTGCGTCTGCGACTACATGTACGCGGGACCTCGCCCACGGCCCATGAGGCTCAGGGCGTCAGAGGCGCTGGGGCTGTGGTGGCGCTGTTTGCATGTCTGAGGGATGTCCCAGGGTTGGGAAGAGCCAAGTCTGTTCCGTTCCTGCTGCGGGGACTTGGCCTCAGCTGCTTCTCTTGCTTCTGCAGGGAGCCAGAGAGAGGCTCTGAGAAGAAGACCAGCGGCCCCCTTTCTCCTCCCACAGGGCCTCCTGGCCCGGCGCCTGCAGGCCCCGCCGTGCGGCTGGGGTCCGTGCCCTACTCCCTGCTCTTCCGCGTCCTGCTGCAGTGCTTGAAGCAGGTGAGTGGGGCCGGGCAGGGACCATCCGTCCCACGTTGGGCCAGGAGGACAGGGAGCTGCCACCTGCCTGCTGGGCCTCCCTCCCTGTCTGGCCTGTGGAGGGCAGCCCTCCCTCAGAGCTGAGCCTTCCCCCTTCCCCGAGCAGCTGCAGGGACAGAGGCCTGCGCTGGGCAGGCTCCCCCGGCTGAGAACAGGGCTCCATAGCCCTTGACGCTGTGCAGCCACAAAGCAGAGCCTCAGATGCTAGCTTCCGCCTCTGTCTCTAGGGTCCAGAAGGCCCTGTCCTGACGCCTCCTCTCCTCGCAGGAGTCTGACTGGAAGGTGCTGAAGCTGGTTCTGGGCAGGCTGCCTGAGTCCCTGCGCTATAAAGTGCTCATCTTTACTTCCCCTTGCAGTGTGGACCAGCTGTGCTCTGCTCTCTGCTCCATGGTACCATGGCCGGCCTGGGGTTGGGGTGGGGGACCCAGTAGGGTTTTTCCCCAAAAGACTGCGAGCCTCTGGGCAGAGCGAGTGAGACCCTTCGGGCTCGGGCTCCATTTCCCTCAAACTCAGCTGCACTCTGGAGCGCAGATTGTGCCTTGGGCAGGGTGGAGGGACCCCTGCCCCAGCTCGCAGCTTTTGGGACTGACGTCAGAGGTCCCCAGCCAAGGGCATGTCACTGAATGTGGATGTCTCCCATCTGTGCTTTTCCTAAGTGGGGCTCCCGTGCCGTTCACCTCACATTCCTGGTGTGTTACTTGGCAGGCACTCCCACCACTCCGAAAGGGAGGCCCTTCCTGGGAGGGAGGCAAGAAGGCTCCCCAGCCCCTTTGCCCCCTTTCCTGGGCCTGCGTTCCCAGGGCCTCCCCAGCCCCTCTGGCTACCCCGTGACCTGGCCGCTGGGGAGAGGTTTCATGCCTGGATTTGGTCATCAGCTTTCAGGCCCAAAGACACTGGAGCGGCTCCGAGGCGCCCCAGAAGGCTTCTCCAGAACTGACTTGCACCTGGCCGTGGTTCCAGTGCTGACAGCATTAATCTCTTACCATAACTACCTGGACAAAACCAAACAGGTAGGAGGTCAGAGCAGGACAGGCGAGCTTGATGGGGCCTGGGATTCGAGGGCCTGGCCCAGGTAGGCCCCACATTTTTCTCATAAACGAGTTTCTGCCAGGCCAGGGATGAGTGAGTTGGCTCTGCTTCCCTGGGTGGCTGCCAGATGCCCAGAGTGGGGACATCCGATTCCCTGGTGCTTCTAGCTCTCTTTGGGGCCTGGGAGCCATCCAGTGTTCCCTGTCCACCCCGGACAGCATCTCTGCTCTCTGTAGAGCGTTGCCTGGCTTGTTCCTGCTGTCCCAAGGGGGAGGTGGCCATGCCGGTTGGTGGAGCTGGGCTGGTTCTGAGGCGCAGGGTGGGCAGGCCAGAGAGTCTGGCTTCTGCCTCCCTCCACGCCCCATCAGGTGCCGGAAACTGTCCCTTCACCTGCGATCTGCCTCGCCCCCGTCCCAGTCGCATTCTTCCACACCTCTCTTTGACATGGCCCTCCGGGACGAGGAGCTGGTGTCCTAGAGATTCTGGCCTCCGCTCAGGGCCATGCCCGCCAGGAGATGCTGACTCTGAGGCTTGGCCCATCTGTGCCCCGGGCCTCAGCTTCTGATGGTGGCCCTGTAGGGAGCTGTTGTTGGGTTCCCATCCCTCAGGCTCAGCCCCACCCTGTTGGGCCCCTTCAGCCCCTCTGAGAGGCTCACTGGGTCCTCATGGGTCTTGCCTCAAAGCATAGCCAGCCTTGCTGGGCTGCAGGTTCTGAGGCCTTACTGGCCCACAGTGTATCCGAGGGGTGAGGCCGGCTTTGGGAAATGGAAGCTGTTCCCGGGACACTGCCTGGCAGGCCATCTGGCCCCGGGCTCTGCCTGAGCTCCGCTCATCTTCTGCTGTCCTCATGGAAGACACTGCCCAGGGTTGGTGTGGGATCTGGTGGCTTGGCCACTTCAGGCAGCACTGCCCCTTGCAACAGAGCCAGCCTGTGAAGGGCCCAGAACCAGGGGATGAGAGCCCAGCATGTCTGGGTTCTGTTGGCCTGTGGGATCGTGTCGGAATGCAACTGACCGGAGCAGTCTGCTGTGCAGAGTCTGCTCGGGTAGCTCAGCACTGCTGGCTCTGCCCCACAGGCATTCAGGGACTTGCTAAGCCTCGGCTGTTCTCCCGGTGGAGCACTCGAGGTTGGCGAGGGGTAGGCGAGGCTGCCTCTGCTGCAAGCGGGTGGGGCCTGAGGTGTCCTGTCTCCTGCAGCGCGAGATGGTCTACTGCCTGGAGCAGGGCCTCATCCACCGCTGTGCCAGCCAGTGCGTCGTGGCCTTGTCCATCTGCAGCGTGGAGATGCCTGACATCATCATCAAGGCGCTGCCTGTTCTGGTGGTGAAGCTCACGCACATCTCAGCCACAGCCAGCATGGCCGTCCCACTGCTGGAGTTCCTGTCCAGTGAGTCCCCGCCCTGCCTGCGCATGCACCCGAGAGGTTCGGGCTGTGTAACCTGTGCGGGCTTCTCTGGTGCCCTCTCTCAGGACTCCTTGGGGAACCTGGGTGTCTCGCCTTCTGCTGCCTCAGGGCCTGGGCGTCTCTGCCCGGCTGCCATGAGTGCTCTCCTTCCTGGCTTTGAGGGGCGGCTCCTCTCACCCCTCTAGTGTCCATGTGAACGCTCCTCCTTGAAGAAGCCTCTTCCCCCCCGAGCAGTGGCCCTCCCCTGGTTTTGGGCCTCCTCTCTGTCCAACAGAGCACACGCCGCTTCAGGGGGGCTTTGTTCGCTTCCCCCAGACTGTGACTTCAGGAGCTCAGGTGCCTGTCCCTTCCCCTCACCGCCTGTGCGCATCTGGGCAGGCCCTCAATGTTGAGATGGCAGAAGGGCACTGCTGGGCCCGCACTTGGTGTAGAGGCTGGAGAGAAGATCGTGTGTGCTTTGTGGGCCACATGCAGGTCCTGTCGGTCTTTCTGTTTTGTTGATAACCCTTTAGAAGTGTAGAAGCCTGGCCAGGCGCGGTGGCTCAGGCCTGTCATCCCAGCACTGTGGGAGGCCGAGGCGGGTGGATCACCTGAGGTCAGGAGTTCGAGACCAGCCTGGCCAACCTGGCGAAACCCTGTCTCTACTAAGAATACAAAAATTAGCCGGGTGTGGTGGCGGGTGCCTGTAGTCCCAGCTACTCAGGAGGCTAAGGCAGGAGGCAGGAGAATCTCATGAACCCAGGAGGTGGAGCTTCTAGTGAGCTGAGATCACGCCACCGCACTCCAGCCTGGGCAACAGAGCGAGACACCGTCTCAAAAAAAAAAAAGAGAGAAGTGAGGCCGGGCACGGTGGCTCACGCCTGTAATCCCAGCACTTTCGGAGGCCGAGGCAGGCGGATCATGAGGTCAGGAGATCGAGACCATCTGGCGAACACGGTGAAACCCCGTCTCTAATAAAAATACAAAAAAACTAGCCAGGCGTGGTGGCGGGCGCCTGTAGTCCCAGCTACTTGGGAGGCTGAGGCAGGAGAATGGCGTGAACCCAGGGGGTGGAGCTTGCAGTGAGCCGGGATCGCGCCACTGCACTCCAGCCTGGGCGACAGAGCCAGACTCATCTCAAAAAAAAAAAAAAAAAAAAAAAAAGAGGTGCGGAAGCCTTTCCTCACGGATCACACAAATGGTAGGCGACAGCTCGAATTGGCCCAGAAGCTGTGGTTGGCTGGCCATGGGACCGAGAGTTGAGGCCAGGGTCGGGAAAGCCACGTCCGTGTGGCCGTGGCCTTCTCTCCTCTGCAGCACCCCATCGCTGCCGTGGGCAGAGCAGCCGTGTTGGCCTTCAGAGGCGCTGCACGGGACCCCGGCTCCCCTGACCACCCTCTCCATTACCGCAGCTCTGGCCAGGCTGCCGCACCTCTACAGGAACTTTGCCGCGGAGCAGTATGCCAGTGTGTTCGCCATCTCCCTGCCGTACACCAACCCCTCCAAGTGAGTGGTCGCCCCAGGCCCTGTGCCTCCCAGCCGTGGCCCCCGCTAGGCCTTGCGGCAGAAAGCCCCGGCAGCCTTTGTCCCCAAGGCCTGAGCGCCTCGGTTTTTTGCACTTCATGCCCTGGGGATGTTTCCCTGCTGCCAGGATGGAGTGCCAGCCCCCTTCTCATCTCAGGTTTAATCAGTACATCGTGTGTCTGGCCCATCACGTCATAGCCATGTGGTTCATCAGGTGCCGCCTGCCCTTCCGGAAGGATTTTGTCCCTTTCATCACTAAGGTGGGCTCAGGGCCGGTGAAGGCTGTGTCTCTCGGTAGGCCAGGGCTTGCTTTGCCCTTGGCTGTCCATGGTCGGGCAGAGTGACAGGCAGGTGGAGGGCAGTGGGAGGGTGTTTGGGGCTGTGCCTGTGGCGCTGGGGGCTCTGCTGGGCAGCCTGCAGGGCTTTGATGCGCGGCAGGCATTGAGGGGTGGGAGCTGGGTGCCGCCGCCTTGCCCCTAGCCTGCAGCTTGTCCCTGGCCAGGGGGCACCCGGCAGGCCTGGTGAGGGCCTCCAGCCCCCATTGCCACCCCTCACTGTCTGGGTGTGCTCACTCTGCCAGGGCCTGCGGTCCAATGTCCTCTTGTCTTTTGATGACACCCCCGAGAAGGACAGCTTCAGGGCCCGGAGTACTAGTCTCAACGAGAGACCCAAGAGGTACGGCCTGCGGGGGTGTGCCTGGAGTCGGTGTGGGGTGGGGAAGGACATGGGGCTGTGGCCTGCCTGACGGTGCCTCCAAGTCAGTGAGTGGAAATGGGTCCTGTGTGCCCTGGAGTATGTGAGGCAGGGCAGGACCTGCAAGGGCCGCTAACACCCCTCAGCCCCTCAGCAGGTTGGCCGTGGTGGCCTGGGTCCGGGCTGCGTGTGCCACGGGCACCTACTTGTGGAATTGGGGGTTGGGGTGCAAGCTTTAGGCGCCTGAGCCCCTCGAAGGAGCCGGCCTTGTCTGGGGCTGCCCCCTCCTCTGCAGCCCCCAGCCTGCTGCTAGCCGGGGACTCTGCTTCATCACCGCCGCCTTGCCGGACCGCAAAGAGCTGAGCCAGCCTCTGTGTTCTTGTTTGCATTTCATTTGAACGGCTTTCTCCTCCTGTCCCCCACCTTCCTGCCCGAGCTATTTTGGCTTTCCCTAGATGGGAATACGGCATTTTCCAGCGTGACCTCAACTCGGAAGCTGTTGTCTCCAGCCCCTGGGGGCCGGGGGCCAAGCTCGGCCATTACGGCCAGAGACTACTTTCTGGGGTCTTGGTCTCTTTTCCTAGTGACCTTCAGGGCCTGGCCACTGAGGCCTCAGTGCCGCCTCGGTCAGAGCTGGGCGGTGCCTGCCTTC
Organism: Homo sapiens; assembly: GCF_000001405.40. NCBI lineage: Eukaryota > Metazoa > Chordata > Mammalia > Primates > Hominidae > Homo > Homo sapiens. The sequence goes on from NC_000016.10 coordinate 2,077,256, forward strand.
CGCGGGTGGGTGGGATTGCCTGGCCAGCACAGCCTGGAATCTGCCGTGGGGGTGACCCACACACGTTTAATTTGCACTGACGTTGTTTGTTTTGGTGTCATGCGTGAAGCCTTACTTGTTCTCAGTCATGTTTACCAGACGTATTATCATGCATTTTTGTTTTCTGTCTCTTCCCCGCTAACTGCCCTTTGGCATGGCTCTTTTTGCTCATCTCACCCGCGGGATCTCTCCATCCTGACCCTGTGGCCTGGGACCTTTCCTCCTCACCCCTCCACTGGCTTGTTCTCCCCTTCCCGGGAGCTGGGCTCTCTGGGGCGTTGGGGCTCCTTCCTCACCCGATAGTCTGAGGATAGCCAGACCCCCCAAACAAGGCTTGAATAACTCTCCACCCGTGAAAGAATTCAAGGAGAGCTCTGCAGCCGAGGCCTTCCGGTGCCGCAGCATCAGTGTGTCTGAACATGTGGTCCGCAGGTAGCGGGACTGTCGGGTGGGGGGCACGGACCCTGGAGCTTGGCCCCGTGAGCACCTGGGTGGCAGTGCATGGGGCTGCTTGCATGACCTCATCGTCTGCCCGTGTCCTCCCTGGCCAGCCCAGGGGGAGCCGGTGACGAGGGGTGGAAAGGTTGCATTCTGTCCCCAGGCCCCGTATGAGCACGGGCTGGTTGCACGCATCCCCAGGCCCCCTCGGGGTGCCGCTCCGAGAGAGCCAGGCGTGCCGGGCAGCAGCCTCCCCAGGCTGTCCCCAAGGGCCGCAGTGTGGGTTGGGGGAGACACCACTCCTGGTTTTGGCCTTTTCGTATTCTCTAGAATGGACGTTTTTCTTCGGGCTTTCTTCTCAACAAGGTTTATTTTTTGTTGTAGCTGAAAGGGAACAAGGGGCATTTGTGGAGGGTGCTGGGGTGGGGCAGCCTGGGAGGGCCTGGGTGGGGGCTAGGATCCTGCAGGGCATGGGCATGGGCCTGGGCCCCAGGCCATGGTCTTAGTTCTCCCCGCAGTGTCTGGGTGCAGGTGTGGGCTCTCGGGCTCTCGGCTGTCACCTGCCTGTGGGTCATCGCTGCTGGCACTGGCAGAGGGGATACCTGTCTCCTCCTGGAAGCCCGTTGCAGGCCAAGGGGTCCCATGGCCCTCAGTCCATCCACCTCCTCACCTCAGGCCGGCCTCTGCTGGGTGGGACTTGGCCAGGGGTTGGGGTGGTAGAGGTGCTCGGTGAGGCTTAAAGCCATTTTCTAGCACATTCTGTATCATGAGCAAAATATTGCCTAGGGGCTATGAAATTTGTATCAGAATGAACTCCCATAAGCCTCTTCCCTGTCACTGGGTGTGGAGCTCAGGCAGCCGCTCGCCTGCCTGAGGGTGACGGTGGAAGGCCACATGGGGATCCCAGACCTCTGTGTGCTTGCCGGAGGCAGCCTGCGGGCAGAATGCAATCTGGGCCTGTCTGTGTGGCCTCCGCCTCTCTGCATGACTACACCGTTTCGCCAGGAGGCCGTAACCTAGTGCTCCCGTGGGCTTCGGTGAGGGGGATGTCGGTCTCTAGCCTCCTGAGTCTGCTCCGACCAGTAGGCCTGGTCTTCCCCACCCAGCGTCTCCCCGTTCTCTGGGACAATGTGGTCCACGTGATTCTCAAGCTGAGGCTCGCTGGGCCGCCCACGCCCTGTTGGGGTCTTTCCGAGCGAGGTCCTCAGCCGTGCATGCGTTGAGCTTTGGCCCTTGGTGATAGGTGGCTCGGCCCGCCCTACCTGGCACCCTGACCCTGGTCACGGCCTCTCCCTCCAGCAGGATACAGACGTCCCTCACCAGTGCCAGCTTGGGGTCTGCAGATGAGAACTCCGTGGCCCAGGCTGACGATAGCCTGAAAAACCTCCACCTGGAGCTCACGGAAACCTGTCTGGACATGATGGCTCGATACGTCTTCTCCAACTTCACGGCTGTCCCGAAGAGGTCCAGGCGGCACTACAGGGCTGGGCGGGCCTGCGGGAGCTCCACGGGCAAGCTGGGTTTCACGCTCCCTGTCTTCTAGGTCTCCTGTGGGCGAGTTCCTCCTAGCGGGTGGCAGGACCAAAACCTGGCTGGTTGGGAACAAGCTTGTCACTGTGACGACAAGCGTGGGAACCGGGACCCGGTCGTTACTAGGCCTGGACTCGGGGGAGCTGCAGTCCGGCCCGGAGTCGAGGTGACTGCACCTTCCTTTCCTCCGCGCCTGCCAGCCTCGACACCGGCTGTCCCGAGCCCAGGCCCACGTGGCACCCTCGTACCAGCCTGGGGACTAAGTCCACCCTGTGCGTGGGATTCTCTTCTCAGCTCCAGCCCCGGGGTGCATGTGAGACAGACCAAGGAGGCGCCGGCCAAGCTGGAGTCCCAGGCTGGGCAGCAGGTGTCCCGTGGGGCCCGGGATCGGGTCCGTTCCATGTCGGGTGAGCCTTGGCCCCAGCCACCTCCACACAGGCACCGGGGCTCCCTCAGTTGCTGCTGGTCCCAGTGTTCAGGAAGGCCCCGAGCCCAGGGGCCGGGGTGGCTGGCTTCAGGCCCGGCCCACGTCCTGACTCTGGGGTGAGCCTTCCACAGCTCACCCCAGAGCCGTGGAGTGGTGGAGTGTGGCCCGCTTGCTGCAGAGGGGCCTGCTCTGGGTGCTGGTGTTTCCTGCGGGTTTTCAGCTCGGCTCAGTCCTGGAGCCCTTCTCTGCTCCAGCGAGCCGTGGTCTGACTGCAGGACAGGTTCTGGGTCCCTCCCTGTGGCCCTGGGTTCACTGAGGCCAGCACTGTGGTGGGCCGTGCCCCAAGGGCAGAGCTGCCACCGTCTCTGGCTGCCTGTGGCACTAGCTTGCCAGGCTCGGGGGGAGCATTCAGCTTGAGGCTGGTGGTTTTGCATCAGGTAAGTGGTGGTCACCAGTCCTCTGCCCTCTTCTTCAGGGGGCCATGGTCTTCGAGTTGGCGCCCTGGACGTGCCGGCCTCCCAGTTCCTGGGCAGTGCCACTTCTCCAGGACCACGGACTGCACCAGCCGCGAAACCTGAGAAGGCCTCAGCTGGCACCCGGGTTCCTGTGCAGGAGAAGACGAACCTGGCGGCCTATGTGCCCCTGCTGACCCAGGGCTGGGCGGAGATCCTGGTCCGGAGGCCCACAGGTACTGGGCGGGGCTGGCCTGAGCGCCATCTTTCTGCCAGTCACCCACAGAGCTGTGGACACTCAGGGGCGATTGCAGACTTGGCCCTCTTGGGATATTTGGGGGTAACTTTTGTTTTTTTTTTGAGACAGAGTCTTGCTCTGTGGCCCACGCTGGAACGCAGTGGCGCAATCTCGGCTCACTGCAAGCTCCACCTCCCGGGTTCACGCCATTCTCCTGCCTCAGCCTCCCGAGTAGCTGGGACCACAGGCGCCCGCCACCACGCCTGGCCAATTTTTTTGTATTTCTAGTAGAGATGGGGTTTCACTGTGTTAGCCAGGATGGTCTCAATCTCCTGACCTCGTGATCCGCCCGCCTTGGCCTCCCAAAGTGCTGGGATTACAGGCGTGAGCCACCGCGCCCAGCCATTTGGGGGTAACTTGTAAGTCTCCAGAGGTGAGCTGTGAGGGGCGATCCAGGTGGCTGAGGTGGGGCAGGGGCCTGTGGCGAACCAAGTGACTTCCATGGCAGAGAGTTGCCCTCCCCGCCTGGAGGCTGCAAGTCCGAGACCAAGGTGCTCCTCGGCAGGAGGTGCTCCTCAGAGGCCTCAATCCTTGGCATGCAGTTGGTTTTTTCCCTGTGTCCTCACAGGCTCTTTCCTGGATGTCTGCGTGTTAATCTCCTCTTGGGAGGAAACCGGTCATGGCTTAGGGTCCGCTCTGGTCCCTTGCTAGCCGTAATTAGCTTTCTGAAACCCAGTCTCCAGAGACAGTCCCGTTCTGAGTTCCTGGGGTTGGGACTAAAGCATACCAACATGGGGGCACAGCTCAGCCTGTTCCCAGGGGCAGAGGGAGCCCCCGCAGAGGCCCAGAGCCCAGGGACAGAGGGAGGCCTTTGCAGAGGCCCAGAGCCCAGGGGCGCCTGGGTGTGCCGTGGCTGAGGGGTGCAAAGAGTAGGGGTTCCAGCCCTCGTGGAGGCCTTGGGTCCGGACTGTGAGGCTGTGGGCTGGAGGCCGCTGCTCTGAGGTGCCTGGCGGAGCCTGGCCTCGAGGCAGGGGCTGAGCGGGGCAGCAGGGTGGGTGGCCGTCAGAGCAGCGCTGGCTCCGACATCGTGGTCCTGAGGATTGTGGGAGGGAGCATGAGGGCAAAACCAGGGCCCAGGCCAGGAGGCCCCTGGGGGGCCAGAGATGGGTAAGGGGAGGTACTGGCCTCAGGCCAAAGGTGCTGCCGCCTCCGCAGGGAACACCAGCTGGCTGATGAGCCTGGAGAACCCGCTCAGCCCTTTCTCCTCGGACATCAACAACATGCCCCTGCAGGAGCTGTCTAACGCCCTCATGGCGGCTGAGCGCTTCAAGGAGCACCGGGACACAGCCCTGTACAAGTCACTGTCGGTGCCGGCAGCCAGCACGGCCAAACCCCCTCCTCTGCCTCGCTCCAACACAGGTGAGTGGCATGGCGGGCCTTGGCACGGGCTCTGCTCCCACTGGCCTGGTGCTCCCGGTGACGGCAATGTGGCTCCTCTCTGCTGAGGGCGCCCACACGGCTGGGAGTGGTCCCTGGCCTGCCTCAGCACCATTGTTCTCCGGTGTTTGGGAGGAGGCTGACCCGTGGGAGGTGTCTGCCCTGCTCAGGAAGCTGGGGCTGGCAGCTTCAGAAGCAGTAGGGGCCCTGTGGAGCCTCTGCCCAGCATCCTCCGTGGGGAGTCCAGCACTGCGGGCTCCAGGAGGCTCTGCGGCAGCCTCCCTCCCTGCCTGGGCCCAGGTTTGGACACCTGAGCCCGCCTGCGCACTCTGGGCCCCCACCCCACTCGGCACCGTGCTTCTCGCCAGGCCCTCTGGCTCTTCCCTGTGGCTGCAGATGGCACTTAGCGGCCTAGGACGTCTATTCACGGGAGGAGGGAGGCACTGCCCTCCTCAGGTCTGCCCAAGCAGCTTGTAGCTAGCACTGGGCCCCGTGCGCGCCCCTGCCGGCCGCTGGCCCTGCCCTCTCTCCTCTGCAGGCACGGGGCCTGTGCTCTCTGCTCGACCTGTGTGTAGCCCCTCCTCCTGCTGACGTGGCCGCACACGGCCTTCCCTTGCAGTGGCCTCTTTCTCCTCCCTGTACCAGTCCAGCTGCCAAGGACAGCTGCACAGGAGCGTTTCCTGGGCAGGTATCGCCTCTCAGAGGGAAGCGGTTGGCTGCAGAGCGCCACTCTGCCTCATAGGTGCTGTGCTCGTCGCCTCATCCGCCCACCCCCATGGTCCGTCTGCCTCCATTGCCCTGGGGAGCAGGTCCCGACTCGCATGAGGACGTCTGTGCAGAATGTCTTTGGCTTGGCCAGCGGGATCCCCTTGACTTGGTCCCTTTGTGGCTGAGCCCTGTTCCCACGCTGTGCGAGCACTCCCGGCCCAGCTTCAGGCCTGAGGGGTGGGGGTGGCCTGAGTCTCCATGGTGACATCAGCTGAGCTGCAGACTCTGATGGGTGGCAGCTGTTTAGGGGGAAGCCCACCCCTGGGCCTGCACCGAGCGGGCCTTGCCCTGGCCTTTGGTGGCTCCCCTGGCCTCTGGAACCCACAGATGGGGCTGCCTCAAGTCCCAGGTTGACCAGGGGCCCTGCAGACCGACCTCTGCCTGTTGCCCCCAAGCCCTGGTGGGGAGTGCTGTGACCTGCATGGTGCTCCCCTGCCAGGTCTCCACGTGCAGACGAGCTGGTTTGGAAGGGCTGCGTGGGACGGGCCCTGGGGTGGCTGACTGCGCGTGTGCAGGGCTGTGGGGCGCCCGGGGGCTGTGATGGTCCCCTCTGTTGCTGCTTCTACTTCCTCTCCCCCTGTCCTGACGCTGGCACAGGAAATGCTGCTTTGGGACCTCCCACCCTCTCTCCTTAGCGTCCCCAGCTGTGGGTCTGGCTTGGAGTTGGAGGGTGAGCCTCTGCTCTTGGGAGCAGTCTGTTTGCAAACAGGGACTTCCCCCACGTCACGGAGTCTCCGCAGCTCTCCTCGGTTACGAGGGCTGGTTTCAGGCTCCCGCTCTTTTAGAGCTGAGGCCCGTCGGGCGGAGAGCGTCTTGCCCCTGCCTACCTGGAGGCACAGGGGTGGCTGCTGGTGGACACTAGGGTGGGCAGAGCCGATTGCCTGCCCAACCCCCGGGCACTCATGCAGGAGAGGCCTGTGTCGGGGTCACGTGCAGGCCTTCCCAGCGTCCTCCCTGCCCGCTCGGTGGATGGCAGCAGTAAGCAGAGCCCTGGGGAGGCTCGCAGGGCTGCTGTCCCTCTGGTCAGGAGAAGGCTGGTTCTCGGAGGCCACGTCAGGGCCAGGGCCTGGCCCAGCCCCACATCCAGCAGCCCCGTCTGTGTCCTCCCAGACTCCGCCGTGGTCATGGAGGAGGGAAGTCCGGGCGAGGTTCCTGTGCTGGTGGAGCCCCCAGGGTTGGAGGACGTTGAGGCAGCGCTAGGCATGGACAGGCGCACGGATGCCTACAGCAGGGTGAGTGTGGCTCAGAGCCTGGACCCTGCTGACCTCGGGGGGCTCCTTAGGGGAGGCAGGGCTCTGCGTGGGTGTGCCTGCACCCTGGGAACTGGCTCTGAACTTGGGGGAGATGTTCTTCCACATCCCTCGTGCACAGACGGTCTGCACTTTGCAGCCATCCACCTGGGCCGGCCCTGGCTGCTGGGCAGCCTGTGGTCTCAGGGGATGCTGATACCTCTGCTCACGCAGTGTGGGGCACAGCTGGTGGCAGTGCTGCTGCGTCAACGGGCGGGGGCCGTAGCCTGGTGCTCGGGCTGGTCTGTGGCCCTGGGATGGAGGACAGATAGGGCCTCACCACCTCCAGGTCAACCCCAGGTGGGCTCGAGGGTGCCTGCTGACAGGGGTTCTCTTTGGGATGGTCCTTTCTAGTCGTCCTCAGTCTCCAGCCAGGAGGAGAAGTCGCTCCACGCGGAGGAGCTGGTTGGCAGGGGCATCCCCATCGAGCGAGTCGTCTCCTCGGAGGGTGGCCGGCCCTCTGTGGACCTCTCCTTCCAGCCCTCGCAGCCCCTGAGCAAGTCCAGCTCCTCTCCCGAGCTGCAGACTCTGCAGGACATCCTCGGGGACCCTGGGGACAAGGCCGACGTGGGCCGGCTGAGCCCTGAGGTTAAGGCCCGGTCACAGTCAGGGACCCTGGACGGGGAAAGTGCTGCCTGGTCGGCCTCGGGCGAAGACAGTCGGGGCCAGCCCGAGGGTCCCTTGCCTTCCAGCTCCCCCCGCTCGCCCAGTGGCCTCCGGCCCCGAGGTTACACCATCTCCGACTCGGCCCCATCACGCAGGGGCAAGAGAGTAGAGAGGGACGCCTTAAAGAGCAGAGCCACAGCCTCCAATGCAGAGAAAGTGCCAGGCATCAACCCCAGGTGGGCCTCTTGCTTCCGGGCGGGGCTCCTGACACCTCTCCTGCGGGAACCTGGTGCCTCACTTGCCCCAGGCCGAGCGGGCTGGGGTGGGGTCCTCGCCTGTGCCCTAGGGCTGGCTGGAACCCCTGGGAGGGCGGTGGAGTGGGAGATGGCCAGGCTCTGTGTTCCTCCCTGTGGGCTGTGGCTGCCCTGGCCAGGCCCTCACCTGGGTGCCCACCATCCCCTCCCTGTGCAGTTTCGTGTTCCTGCAGCTCTACCATTCCCCCTTCTTTGGCGACGAGTCAAACAAGCCAATCCTGCTGCCCAATGAGGTAGGCGTGGCCTCCCTCTCCTGCATCCGCTGGAGCTGTGTGGCTCGGGTGAATGGTGGGGGGCCCAGCTCTGCTGCTGGGAGCTCAGGCTTGCAGAGGGCTCTGGCCTAAGCTCCCTGTGGCAGCCTGCCGTGACCGGCCTGGGTGGGGCGGCCTCCTGTGGACGGGCGTCTGGGGCTCAGGCAGGGCTCTGTGTGCCACAGTCACAGTCCTTTGAGCGGTCGGTGCAGCTCCTCGACCAGATCCCATCATACGACACCCACAAGATCGCCGTCCTGTATGTTGGAGAAGGCCAGGTGAGGCTGCGGGGCCGGCCTAGGTGCCTGGACAGGGCCAGCTGGGCCTCAGCCTGCAGTGGGTAGGGAGTCTGGGCCCCCAACGCCCCACAGAGCTCAACACTGCCGGGTCCCCTACAGCATGAAGTGCTCATTGAGCTCTGTGCCAGGTGCTGCTCTGAGTGCTGGGGACCCCGGTGCGAGTGACAGGTTAGCGTGGGAGCACCCGGCACACCAAGGAGTGGGAAGGACTGGGCGGGTGGCACCGGTCGCAGGGCTGGGGAGGGCGCTGTTGGTCAGTGAGCTGACAGCTGAGTGGTGAGGGAGCGGGCAGGGGGAGCCTGCATAAGGGGTGGGGGCATCCCACACACCAGCAGCGGGGGCCGGGCGCACCCTGCCCAGCTTGAGCACTGGTGCTGGGCGAGCACGGGAGCCGACAGGATGGGCAGCCTCAGCGCCCTATAGGCTGCACCTTCATCCCAAGGGAAAGGGCAGGGCCTGGGCTGCTTCTGAGCAGAGGGCACATGGCCTGACTCCGCCCAGTCTCAGTGAGTCCCTCCTGCTGTGTGGCTCGAGGAGGTGGGTGGTGATGGTTCCCGTGGGAGTGGGGTAGGCCCCTGGGGGCAGGCTGCTGAGGGGCCAGGGCCCCGGGTGTGCTTTGAGTGTGGAGCTCCCTGATTTTGCCGGCCAGGCACACACGGGGCTGAGGGAAGAGAGGGAGTCAAGGATGACACCCGATGTCTGGCCTGGGTGGCTGCTGGAATGGATGGTCTTGTCTGCCTCAGGGATCAGAGTGGGGCTCCCGGCAGAGCCTGCTGGGCACCCCCACCCTCTGCGGGGCAGGGCCCGGCCCGGGAGTGATGCCACCCTGCCTCTCCCCTCTCCCCACAGAGCAACAGCGAGCTCGCCATCCTGTCCAATGAGCATGGCTCCTACAGGTACACGGAGTTCCTGACGGGCCTGGGCCGGCTCATCGAGCTGAAGGACTGCCAGCCGGACAAGGTGTACCTGGGAGGCCTGGACGTGTGTGGTGAGGACGGCCAGTTCACCTACTGCTGGCACGATGACATCATGCAAGGTACGGCCTGGCGCCTACCCGCTCCTGCTGCCCCAGGCCTCAGGGCACGGCTCCCATCCAGTCCTGCTACCCCACGCCCTGGGGCATGGCCCTGGCACCCCCACCTGCTCCAGCTCCCCACGCCTCAGGTTCCGAGCCTAACAGCGTGGGCATGGAGGCAGTGATGGGGCTGGTGGCTTTGCGTCCCAAAGCCCTGCCCCTGGGGAGAGCCGAGGACCACTGGCCAGGCACCAGAGGACGTGGTCCCCGCAGGCCCCCAGAGCCCCTGGAGTAATCAGGAGGTGCCCCAGTGCAAGGCACAGAGGGCCTCAGCACTGGCCCCACAAACCCATCCGGCCCTGCTCACCCTCAGCCGTCTTCCACATCGCCACCCTGATGCCCACCAAGGACGTGGACAAGCACCGCTGCGACAAGAAGCGCCACCTGGGCAACGACTTTGTGTCCATTGTCTACAATGACTCCGGTGAGGACTTCAAGCTTGGCACCATCAAGGTGAGTGAGGGGCCGTCAGTGAGGCTGGGCCCCAGGCAGGTGCCCACTGCTGTGTCCCGGGTTGGTGGCAGGTCCTCCTCCCTGAGCTTCGGTCACGAGGAGCAGGAGGAGAGGCCGCAGTGCTCAGGGCCCCGTGGGCACGAGCTTCACCCCGAGCCTGCGTTGTGTCCTCTGTGCCCTGAAGCCTGTGGCGCCTGCTGCTGAGTGTCTGTCAGGAGTAACTGGCAAGTGCAGACTGGGTGTGCTGGGTGGGCACAGTGTAGTTGGTGCTTCCTGTCTGTCCGGCGCGGCCCTTGGGCCCCCACCATCTCCCCAGTGGCAGCTGTCAGGCTGCTCAGTTGGTTATCGCCACGCACCACTAGGCAGCAACCAGCGTCACCCTCTTCCTGGAGGTGGGCTGGGTCGGCCAGTGTCACAGCACGGTCCGGGTGAGCCCCAGCATGGCGGGGAGAGCTGGCATGGCCCAGGCAGGGCAGATAGGCTGGAGGCCTCACTCCAAGGGCCCCAGGATGCTGAGGCAGCCACTGAACCAAAACCCCGGGGCTGGTAGTCAGAGTCCAGGAGGGGCAGGAGCATAGGGAGGTGGGCTCTGCTAGATGCCAAGACAACCAGTTGGGGGGGGGGGGGCACCTGGGCGGCTGAGGAGGGTGTGGTGGTGCCGAGATGGGGTGCACGGCTCACTTCATGGCTGGGCAGACGGATTCGGACGTGTGGCTGCAGACACCCTGGGGGCCCCAGTGAGTGGAGGTGCCCCAGCAATTAGAGGTGTCTTGCCTGTGGCTGCAGCATATGTGGGTGCTGCGCCCAGATGTGGAGGGGGCTTGGCCTGGGGGAGGCCAGACAAACACAGCCCCGCTGCCAGAGGGGAAAGTTCAGGGGCAGATGCTGCCCATGGAGCTGACAGGTGTCTAGCAGTGCAACCAGGCAGTAGCCGAGATCAGCCTTCAGCACACGCTGTGTGCGGGGATGACCCTTTCTCTTGTCCGGGCAGGGCCAGTTCAACTTTGTCCACGTGATCGTCACCCCGCTGGACTACGAGTGCAACCTGGTGTCCCTGCAGTGCAGGAAAGGTAGGGCCGGGTGGGGCCCTGCAGTGCAGGAAAGGTAGGGCCGGGTGGGGCCCTGCAGTGTGGCGCCAAGAGCCCTGGGCCTGGCGTGACCACCAAGTCTCCCCAGACATGGAGGGCCTTGTGGACACCAGCGTGGCCAAGATCGTGTCTGACCGCAACCTGCCCTTCGTGGCCCGCCAGATGGCCCTGCACGCAAATGTGAGTGGGGGTGGGTCCAGGCGTGAGCTGGTGGGACAGGCCCAGGTGCCACCTGATAGTGAGCTCACCCCCTGCCTACGTCCCCAGATGGCCTCACAGGTGCATCATAGCCGCTCCAACCCCACCGATATCTACCCCTCCAAGTGGATTGCCCGGCTCCGCCACATCAAGCGGCTCCGCCAGCGGGTAGGGAATATGGGGCTCCCTCAGCGGGGTGTGCTGGCTGCCCAAGCTGTGGGGCGGGTGTGTGGGCAGAGCGGTTGCCACGCCTCCCAGACTTACTGCCCAAGCCGCCTCTGCCTTCAGATCTGCGAGGAAGCCGCCTACTCCAACCCCAGCCTACCTCTGGTGCACCCTCCGTCCCATAGCAAAGCCCCTGCACAGACTCCAGCCGAGCCCACACCTGGCTATGAGGTGGGCCAGCGGAAGCGCCTCATCTCCTCGGTGGAGGACTTCACCGAGTTTGTGTGAGGCCGGGGCCCTCCCTCCTGCACTGGCCTTGGACGGTATTGCCTGTCAGTGAAATAAATAAAGTCCTGACCCCAGTGCACAGACATAGAGGCACAGATTGCAGTCAGACAGCTCTTTTATTGACTTTGTCTGCTTGGTGCGGGGGTTGGGGGGGTGTCGAGGCTCTAGAAGCGGCCATGCCCACAGAAGTGGTACACAGAAGCAGGCACAGCCAGCTCCGAGGGCCTTGAGGCTGCCTGGGCCATACAGCACACTCGCGCGTGCGCGCGCGCACACACACACACACACAGTCACCTTCCTCCACCCTGGGAGCCAGCCCCCAGGAGGAGTCTTTTCCTCTAACCACCCTGGGGTCCTCTGACATGCCTAGTCCTGCTACTTGCCCAGACCTGATGCCAGCAGGCCTGGGCGCTGCTCTCTTGCTACCTGGCCTGGGGCAAGGGAGGATGACAAGGCCTCTGGGGTGATGAGAGTGCCTGGCAGACAGCTGTGCCCCCAGCACCGGCCCAAGGCCAAGCTCGCATCCAAGCAGCAGCCGGGCTGCCATAACGCCACCACACCTACCAAGCGCAGCAGGTGTTGGGGGAGGCCAGCTCTGGGCGCAGGCCCCTCAGCCCTAGTGAAAATAGTGACATACAAAAATATACACATTTTAACACCATATAAATTACTGACACGAGACACACAGTGAGACGGTGCAGGGAGTACGGTAGGAACTGGAGAGGTAATAACTTAGGGGCAGGGTGGCGGCGGTGCAGGCTAACCCTCCCTGAAGCCAGCAGCCTTAGCAGTGGGGGACATCTGCCCAGGGGGTGGGGCCGGGCACAGCCCGCTGTACCTGAGGACTCGGGGAAATAAATTAGCATCTCAGAGGCTAGAAACCGTCCAATACTGCTGTGTCCTTCCCAAGGGAGCTGGGGAGGGGACCCTGGGTCCTGGTTGGCCACACAGCCTCTTTAAAGTGCTGAAGCCCACAGACAGACAGATGCCCCTGCCTGCTCTCTGGGGAACCTACGTGCAGCCATTCTGCCTGGCCCTCGGCCTTGACAGCGGCAGAAAGTAATACTGAGCGGTGTCCACTCCGACTCCACGGCCCACCCCCGCCAGGAAGGAGGACTAAGTGCTGCTGGGGTGGACCTTGTTCTTGGCCCGAAGGGGTGTCCTGCTGGGGCCAGTGGCCAGGTCCACACCCCGACTGGCCCGGGCAAGGCGGCTGGGCAGTGCTGGCCGCAGGCCCGGGGATGGGCCACGGGAAGATCCGGCGGGCGCCCGGCTGCTCCTGCGGCCTTGCAGGCTGTGCAGCTGCTGCTCCAGCTGGTAGACGTCCTCTGTGGCCTGGTTGAGTCGGTCAAACTGGGTGAGCAGGGCCTCGAACACGGCTTGGAGGCGGGAGGGCTCAGGCTCACACCTTGTCCCCAGCCGGCCCAGGCTCACGCTCAGCCCATCCAGCTGGCTGGAGGAGGTGGAGGGGTGCGAGGCATCGGAGCCAGCGCTGGGTGGGGGCACATCCGGGGATACCTTGGAGCCCCTGGAGGAGCGAGAGGGCAGCGGCTCCATCCCTTCAAAGCGGACTTTGTGGCGGAACTGGGGGCGGCACAGGGGCTCAGTCAGTCCGGCTGCACCCTGGGCAGAGCCCAGGGCGTGTCCCTCTCCCCCCCACTGGGCCGTACCCACCTCCTTGACCTTGCTGAGGCCCATCCAGAGGCGCAGCCTGCGCAGGAACAACTCCACCATCTCGTAGTCCTGGGGCTCCCAGGCCGGCCGGTACAGCTCTCCACGCAAGGCGTGGTAGCGCCAGCGGAGAATAACAGCCCCCAGCCGTAGGGCGCCCCACAGCCGCAGTGCCCAGAGCCCCACACACAGCAGGGGTGACAGGTGCCAGGACTCGGCAGGACACAGGGTAGAGAGCCCAGTCCCAGGGCACAGCACCAACAGGGCCTGGGCCACGCTCCAGAGGGAGTCCACACAGGAAGACACGAGCTGCGGGGAAGGCGACACCAGTGAGGGCGTACAGCTGAGCTGAGCTGAGCTAAGACGCCCTCCCCGGCCGCGCAGTCACCTACCAGGATGGCCAGCTGGGCGTAGGCTACCCCGAGCACCACCAGGCCCAAGGTGACCCCCAGGAGCTCTGGCAGAGCTCGGCATAATGTCTTGCCAAAGACGGACCACTGGCGCACGAAGCGTAGCTGCTGGGCAGCCTGCGGACGAGAAATCTGTCTGCTTGCAGCCCTGGGGTGTGCGCCCAGCCCCGCGCCCACCGGCCCAGCCCTCACCTTGACCAAAAGCAGGAAGAGCAGCGAGGCCGCCAGGCCACGGGCTGCGGAGCTCAGCTGCGCCACCTGGTCGAAGCTAGTGAAGCGGCGCGGGCGGCCGCGCACGAAACGGGTCCACTGGCGGTCAGCGGCACCCAGCTGGGCGAGGCGTACCAGTGCCGTGGCCGCCGTCAGCGCCACCAGCAGCCACCGCGCCCAGGCTCCGAGCCGCAGCACGCGCCAGCGCCCTTCCCTGTGCCAAGTACGGGCCTCGGCCACGGCGAAGTGCACGGCGAACAGCAGCAGGCACACCTGTGGGGGGCGCGGTCAGGAGGGCGGGAGGGACGCTGCCGGGGCGGGGCCCTGCGAGGGGGCGGGACGCTGCCGGGGCGGGGCCCTACGAGGGGGCGGGACGCTGCCGGGGCGGGGCCCTGCGAGGGGGCGGGACGCTGCGAGGGGGCGGGGCGCTGCGAGGGGTGAGACGCTGCCGGGGCGGGGCCCCGCGAGGGGGCGGGACGCTGCCGGTGGGAGGCGCGGGGTCTGGCCGGGGACGGGCGTACCGAGGTGAGCAGAGGCAGCGAGAGGCCCGCGCTGAGGCGGCGCAGCGCAAAGGGGCGGACGCTGAGGGCGGCCAGGGCGCGGCCGGCCGCCGGGAACTCGAGGCGCAGCGTGACGGCGGCGTGCAGCCCCACGGCCGGGCTGTAGCGCGTGAGCTCCAGGAACACAGCGCGGCTCCTGCGCAGAGGGTGCGGGTCAGTAGGAGCGGGTGGCAGGGCGGGAGCTGCGGGGACCGCGCAGTGCAGGCGTGGCTGAGGGGCTGTGGAAGCCGCCTAGGCCAGCGGGGGCCGGAGGAGTGAGGGTGGGCTCCTGGCTGGTGACTGCGGCCACCCCGGAGAGGGCAGGGGAGGGAGCTCCCACCTGTTGTCCAGCCAGTTGTGCAGCTGCAGGAAGCGCAGCCGGTCGCGGCTCTCCTCCAGGCTCAGGCCCAGCTCCTGCACGTAGCCCCCGCTGTCATACACGGCACAGGAGCCCCAGGACCATGCCCTGCCGGAGAGGGGTGGCGTGGGTGCCGCACCCCAGCCCTTCCGGCACCCCGGAGCCAGGCTGGTCAGGAGGCCGCGGCACTCCTGGAGAACTACTCCCTTGTCCTTGGCGTAGACGCCCGGGGCCCTCGCTCTGCTCACCCCAGCAGATCCGGCGCTGAATAGGCCCACGTCCCCGAGCCATTGTGAGGACTCTCCCAGCCAACGTCGTAATCGCTGGTGCTGAAGCCTCCTGCGGCCGAGCACGTGTGGACCCTGGGGCCGGGAGGGTCTGGGTAGAGTGCTGAAACACACAGAGCCCCAGGCCGGGGCCAGGGCCTCATCAAAACCCAACAGGAGTGTTTCCTGCTGGCCAGCTCGCCTGAGCTCTGGTTCGGCGCCACCCCAGGGAACCCTCCCAGCAGCCATCAATTAGACAACGTTACCATCTCTCATATACAGAGAAGGAAACGGCGGTGTTAAGAGGGCAAAGGTCACACAGCTAGGGAGCAGGGCTGATGCCAGAGCTCCGCTAAAGGCTGCTCTCTCAACAAGAGGAACGATTTAAGTCTTGGGGCACGCCCTGCCAGCTCACCTTCCTGCAGCCGCACCTGCCGCAGCCGTGGGGGCCCCAGCTCTGGGCTGGACTGGTTCCCGTGGACGTAGGGCAGCAGCACGTGGGCCATCCATGGCCAGAGCTCCTCAGACCTGCCACAGCATCAGTCACACGCTCCAGCCCCTACTGCCCCATGCCCGCCTCGAGTGAGCGGCCACCAGAGACCCAGGGAACATGGCTCCCACTGCCCTGCTGGCCACGGCTAGACCTGGGCTTCTCAGCCTTATCCTGGGGATGTTCTGGGGCAGACAGTTGTCTGTCATGGGCCCGTCCTGTGCACTGCAAGACACGGACCTGTGTCCCTCCCCTCTGCCTACTGATGCCAGCAGCACCTACCTCCAGTTCTAGCAGCCACAAAGGTATCTACACATGTCCACATGTCCCCTAGGGTCTGGCTGGACTAAAGGCAAAACTAAAGCCCAGAAGACAGACCAGTGCACCGGATGCCCGTACCGCGTGATGGCCAGGAAGGCCCGGCTGTGCAGCTCCTGCTTGATGGCGCTTTGCAGACGGTAGGCGTGCCCATGGCATGAGGCATCCCCATAGCTGGCCAGCAGGGTCACCAGCAGAAAAAGCATGTACACCAGGAGGCTCTGGTGGACGGGGGGGCCCTGTGGTCAGCCTGGCCCCAGCCCACAGTGACAGCAGGGCTTTGGCAACGGCTGGAGCCATGGCTGCGGCAGGTGTGGCTGCAGGAAGGTGAGCTGGCAGGGGGCGCCCCAAGACTCTACCTGGCCAGGGTAATGGCAGCACACACCCTGCCCGGAACCCCACCTGGGGGCAGACACACAGGCCACTGCAGTGGTGCTTAGGGGCCTTCAGGGCCAGGCAGGAGTGGGCATTGGAGCTGGGCCCTGGCAGGGACTGGGGCAGCAAGTGGGGGGCGTGGGGTAGGAGGGAGACCGGGCAAAGGCTGCAGAGCATTGAACCCCTAAGGGCCTTCTGAGGTGAGGAAAGGGGGACAGGAGTGTCCTGCGTGCATGGGTGGGAGGTGGGAGACAAGAGACGGAGGTGGCAGGGGCACAGGCCGCACCCAGGCTCACCCGCAGCATGCCATGTAGCCTCTTGACCTTGCGGGCTTCTTCCTTGGCCAGGAAGAGTGCAAAGCCGTGGGGTGGCCGTACGCGGGGCACACGTGCGCTCACAGGCGTCACAGCCGGGCTCTCTACCAGGGTGTCATCTTCATCCGGGTGCAGCCGCTTGGCCACCAGTGAGAAGTACAGGGCTTCCAGCAAGACCTGGGGAGGGGGTGGCTTCAGAGGGGTCCCCCGTGATGGAGGCCTGTAGCCTACCCCTGGCAGCCCCCTCACCTTCAGTGGCTCCCAGCCGAGGAATGAGGCCAGGAAGCTGGCGCTGCTGGACAGGAGCCACGCAACACTCACGCCCGGGGGGAAGCTCGCACCCACCCACCCTGAGACAGCCACAGCCACAGCCACCAGGAGCAGGCTGAGCCCGTGGGCCAGGGAGGCACACCAGGCCGGCAGCAGGCGCTTCCGCAGACCCTCCACCAGTCCTGGGGAAGCAGAGACAGACCTGTGAGAGGCAGCTCACAGGGAGGGGCTAGGGGCATCCCGGGGCTACGCAAGCACACCTGTCCTGGACAGCCTCGCTGCCTGGGGCTGTTCCCAGTTCAGGCCTGGGCTGGGTGGCCCCAGCTCCCCCAGCCTCTGCAGCGCCAGCGTCTCTGTCTTCTCCCCAGGAGTGCTGGACCTGAGGGACATGGTAGGCTGTGAATTCATCCCGGCCTCCAGGAGGCAGTTGCAGCCAAGCCCATGTTAACCTGGGCGGGCAGTTTCTTGAGCCTCTTGGGTCACAGGGTCCCCCCGACAAAAAGCCGGAAGACCCTACCCCAAACGAGAGTGGGAGTGGTGCTGGGAGCCAGGGAACCAAGAGCCACTCCAGGCACCGAAGTCAGGCGTCCGCCTGCGTCCCTCTCCCGCCCGCTTGCTGCTGATAAACCCATCGCCCACAGCCTGACCAGCTGCCCTTACAGCAGTGCACAGTCTCTCAGGGTGCAATGAGCCCCCCTTCAACCCTGCAAACTATGATTGGGTCTCAACCATCCAACAAGCATCTCTACAATCTAGAGACGCCAGTGTGTCTGTCCCATGCAGGTTTATGGCCTAAAATTAACTTCTGGACAAGGAAACATATGAATGCCTTTCAAATCCCAACAGTGTGTAGGGCTCCCTGAGGCCAGAGATCTGCTTGTGTCTCCAGGAGCCAGTGACCACCGAGGCTGTGCCACTGCATCGGGCCACCATGCTGATATGCCCGGTCCCAGAGCTGCTAGAGAAGAGGTACAGAGGCAGCGAAGACACGTTGAGGGGGAGGACGAGACCAACTGCGAGACGCCGAGTCCCGGGCTCTCAGGACGCTCTCCCGTACCTGCGCCCTCGTCAGCCCATCACCGAAAGAACGGCCTGACCCAGGGTCACACTGCACTGAATGCTTCCTGTTTTGCTGTCTCTCGGAGGATAAAAGACACTCTTGGCTGGGCGCAGTGTCTCAAGCCTGTAATCCCAGCACTTCAGGAGGCTGAGGCAGGAGGATCACTTGAGCTCAGGAGTTGGAGACAGTGAGACCCTGTCTTTACAAAAAATTAAAAAATGACCTAGCCTCAACTTGGTCAGGCGTGGTGGCTCACGCCTGTAATCTCAGCATTTTGGGAGGCTGAGATGGGTGGATCACGAGGTCAGGAGTTCAAGACCAGCCTGGCTAAGATGGTGAAACCTCCTCTCTACTAAAACACACACACAAAAAATTAGCCGGCTGTGGCGGCGGGCGCCTGTAATCTTAGCTACTTGGGAGGCTGAGGCAGATAACTGCTTGAACGTGGGAGGCAGACTTTGCAGTGAGCCGAGATCATGCGACTGCACTCCAGTCTGGGCAACAGAGACTCCATCTCAAAAAAATAAATAAAAATAAAAAATAACCCAGCCTCAACTATTCCTTTATAGCAACACAAATGACTCAGGGTCTGACTCAGGGAGCAGGCTCTCGCTGGCAGAGACGGAGAATGGCCAATAGGGAGGCATGGAGTGGCAGGGAATGCCAGGGCAGAGGCGCCGCCAGGACGGAGGGTGCAGGCTCAGGCGCAGGGAAGGCCGTGCTCTGCGTTGGGAAAGGAGCCACGGGACGCGCTGGAGGCTGCAGTGAGGAAGGACGCAGAGGGGTCCAGGACAAACCCAAGCCTCCGACCTGGTCAGCCCGAAGCACTGTCCGAGCAAGGGACGGCCAAGGGTTGAGGAAGCCGGGAGGGTGAGGGCCACGCGCTCTGTGTGGATGCGGAGTCTGAGCTGCCGTCAGAAATCCCCGCGGAAGCACTGAATCTGGATTTCACAGAGCTTTGGGCCGGAGATACCTGGGGCTGGTCAGCATGTAGTGACTACCCCTGGATTTCCCCATACTCTGTATTTTTAAAACCAACCAGCAATTTATTCATAAAGATGCCCTCATGTGATGGTTATCTGCCTTTTGTAAATCAGGAAGTTTTCCTTTTTGTTTGAGTCCAGGGGCAGTTCATACCTCTTTAGTTCTTGGTTGCTTAACAATGAGAAGCACTCAAAGGAATAACACACAAATCAAACTAGATGTGGATGCAAAAGCAGCAGTCACGCACCACTTAGTGCCAGGGATGTGTTCTGAGAAATGCGTCATTAGGTAATTCTGTTGCTGTGCAAATGTCACAGGGCGTAGTTACCCAAACCCAGACACCGCAGCCCCTGTGCATGCAGGCCCTGTGGTGTGGCCTGTGGCTCCGGGGCACCGCACCTGCACTGCATGCCACTGCACTGAATCCTGCAGGCAGCTGCAGTGCAACGGCAGGGCCGTGTGGACCTCAGCACACCTGAGCATAGGAGGGCATGGCAGAGCCCGGGGTCACACGCGTGGGAACACGCCGTGGGTGCGCTCCGCCGCCGGCTGCCATGTGCGTGACTATGTGCGTGACTACATACAAGGTAACCTCTATATGACCATTTGTTGATAAGTTACAAAACAACCAAGAAATTGAGGAATTTTTTTGTTTTTGAGACGGAGTTTCGCTCTTGTTGCCCAGGCTGGAGTGCAGTGGCGCGATCTCGGCTCACTACAACCTTCACCTACCAGGTTCAATCGATTCTCCTACCTCAGTCTCCCGAGTAACTGGGACTACAGGCGCCTGCCAGCATGCCCGGCTAATTTTTTGTATTTTTAGTAGAGACGGGGTTTCGCCATGTTGGCCAGGCTGGTCTCGAACTGCTGACCTCAGGTCATCTGCCCACCTCGGCCTCCCAAAGTGCTGGGATTACACGTGTGAGCCACCGCGCCCGGCCAAAAATGGGGTATTTAAAAACCCGCCCATAATTTCTCACTGCTCTGAGACCAAGATAAAAACGTGGCCCCGGCCAGCCTCACACAGGAGCCTTTCTGCTCCTACAAAGCCCCATGAGCCTGCTCCCTCCCTAGAGGGAAGGTTCTGGGGCCCTGGGGATCCCATGAGGCTCTTTCCACAGACAACAGAGGTTCAGAGAAGTGAAGTGGTGCAGCCACAGCCCTGCCCTGGCACCCCACCCCACCCTACCCCAGGCGGGAACCACGGCTGCCTGGCCTGAGTCCCGGCCCCTCCTCTGGCAATCCCCCCTCCCCCGAGAGCCGGACACTCACAGGCTGCTGAGCAGGTCCGTTTCCATGTGGGTGTCTTGGGTAGGGGCTGGGCTGCTGACCCCCTCGGCAAGGACCTGCTGGATCAGGTCTTCATCTAGAGGTACAGGAGGCATAGGGTGGGCCCAGCTGCAAGGGTGAGCTTCAGAGCCCCCTCCTCTCACCCCAGCTCACCTGATGCTGAGAAGGATTTGGCAGGCGAGTAGGGGCTGGCCAGGGAGAAGCCGTCCTCCTCTGGGCCCAGCCCATGGCCCGCCTGGCCCCGTGCCAGCTGCCGCAGATTGCTACCCACAATGGACGGGTCACTGAGCAGGTCCGGCCAACTGAGCGTTCCCTCGCCGGAGGGCCAGCACACCAGACTGCAGGTGGCGCGGGTCAGCAAGGTACCAGGGGATGTGTCACACACACAGCCCACCCCCGTCCAGTCACGCACGGACACCCTGGGCTTCCGAGCAAACCTGCTCCCGGGTGGTGTGACCACATGGAGCCACAGACACCCAGCAAGGACACGCAGCCCGCACACCCCCGGCACCCCAGACACAGTGACCTGCACCAGGGCTCGAGGTTTCTCTAGGGAACCCACCTCTTAGAATCATCCAGAAACAAGTCACTCTTCATCTGTCCAACAAAGGCCTGCTGAGAGGTGCACAGTGTCTTGAGTCCAAGCTGCGCCAAGGCGGCAGGACCCCCAGCCCAGCCCAGGACCCCCAGTAGAGTCCTCACCTCAGCGTGGAGGCCTGAGAACGTGAGGAAGGAGCTGTCCAGCACGGACGAGTCCAGGCAGCTGTCGATGTCCAGCACCTGCTGCCCGGCAGGTGTGGGGCTCGGGCTCCCAGCCACCTGCAGGACGAGGGCAGTGGTCAGCGGGCGGCAGCTCAGACCTGCTCAGGACAGGGATGAGAAGCCACCTCCTCAGCAGACAGGACAGAGCCCGGTGCCATCTGACAGAATGTCCTAGAATGCTGGATATATGGGACATCTGCACCGTCCGTGATGGCAGCCCCTCGCGACGTGTGCCACTGAACACTTGACAGCAGACTGGTGCAGCTAAGGAACAGAGTTTTAAATTTCATATTTTCTTTTTTAGATGGAGTCTCGCTGTCACCCAGGCTGGAGTGCAATGGCGCAATCTCAGCTCACTGCAACCTCCACCTCCCGCGTTCAGGCGATTGTCCTGGCTCAGCCTCCTGAGTAGCTGGGATTACAGGTGCCTGCCACCATGCCCAGCTAATTTTTTGTATTTTTAGTAGAGACGGGGTTTCACTGTGTTGGCCAGGCTGGTCTTGGAACTCCTGACCTCAAGTGATCTGCCCGCCTCCGCCTCCCAAAGTGCTGGGATTACAGGTGTGAGCCACCACACCCGGCCATCGTTCCATTTTAATTAACTTAAATACGAGCAGCCACATGTGGCCTCTGGTTCCTGCCACGGACTCGGGAGCAACCCCTCCTGGTCGCGGCTTATGCGCCTTCTCTGTGTGCTGCTGGGGTTAGTTTGCATGTAACCTCTTGAGGACCCCACGTGTGCATTCCTAAGGGGTGCGGCCTCCCGTTTCCGTATGAATGGGAAGCGTTCCCACCTGCTGTATTCTTGGAAAGAGTCTGTGAAGGATTGGTGTTAATTCTTCCTTAACTGCTTAGAAAAATTCTATCGTGAAGGCTCTGAGCCTGAGCTTTTCTTTGTGGGATTTTTTTTTTTTTTTTTTGGAGATGGAGTCTTGCTCCGTTGCCCAGGATGGAGTGCAGTGGCGCAATCTCGGCTCACTGCAAGCTCCGCCTCCTGGGTTCATGCCATTCTCCTGCCTCAGCCTCTCGAGTAGCTGGGACTACAGGCGCCCGCCACCATGCCCAGCTAAGTTTTTGTATTTGTAGTAGAGTCGGGGTTTCATTGTGTTGGCCAGGCTGGTCTCGAACTCCTGACCTCAAGTGATCTGCCCGCCTCGGCCTCCCAAAGTGCTGGGATTACAGGCGTGAGCCACCGCGCCTGGCCCTTTTTAATGTTTTATATAGATGGGGTCTTGCTATGTTGCCCAGGCTGGTCTCAAACTCCTGGACTCAGATCCGCCCACCTCGGCCACCTGAAGTGTTGGGATTACAGGCGTGAGCCACCACACCCGGCCCGGCCACTGGGACGTTTCTAAGGGACTAACTCAGCCTCTTCACTTCCTATAGATGTACTGAGATTTTCTTCTGGAGTGCATTTCGGAAGCGTGCACAGCCGCGTGCTTGCTTCTTCTGAGTTATCTGGCGTGCTGCTGTGCAGTCGTCCGTGGCGTCTGCTTAGCAAAGTGCCCTCGTTCTTTCACCATTCTGGCTTCTGAGTCTTCTCTCTTTCTCCCTGGTCAGTCTAGCTAAGGCTGCTCAAGTGTGTTGACCCTTCCCGAGCAGCCTTTGGTGGACGCCTTTCCCTCTGGCTGCAGCACTGGAAAGTGGCGGCCCTAGGCATGGTGCCGAGGCCCAGGCTCCATTCCCAGTACTCCCGGGTCCCCAGCCCCAGCCCACCTTGCTCCGGGACATCCGGAAGAGAAAAAGGATGGCCAGGTAGACGGGATAGACAACCACGCTGGACACCAGGCCAACAGCGACTGTGTCGACGCTCAGCGGGCTCAGCCTGGACACATGCCCCGTGCTGTGTGGAGGAGAGGAGGCCACACAGGTGAGGCTGAGGGGCAGGAAGGGCTGGGCAGGAAGAGGCTGCCCCGACCCCTACGGCACCCACCTGTAGGCAGAGTCGCCAACAGCCCCGTACCACACGGCGTTGGCGCCCAGGAAGAGGCAGATGAGGAGAACGCAGCAGGTGGCCCTCTGGATGCGAGTGAAACGGCTACGAGGCGGCCGGTCCCATATGGAGAGCCAGATGTGCTTGTCAAAGAAGCCACGCTGCAGCTCAGCCACCAGCAGGCGCCGGAAGCGCAAAAGGGCTGCGTCGCCTAGAAGGCAGGGAGGGCCGCACTGCAGGAGGCCACGGGGCAGGACCACCCTGCCCAACCTCCCACGGAGTGGGAACATGGAACGAGGCCTTACTCGCGGCCAGCACCTCCTTCTCCACCAGGCCCCCGTTGGCCTCCGTCTCCACCGAAAGCCAGTCATTGACCAGGAAGAAGGCGCTGCGTGCCGTCTGCAGGTCCCTGACGATGACGTGCTGCAGGAACCAGGCAGGGCTGAGCCCTGCAGAGGCGCAGGAGGGAGGTCAGGCTCGCAGGGCGCCCCAATGCGGGGGCAGAGGGGCAGAGCTTGGCAGGGTCCGCACAAACCTTTGTTGTCGTGCCACACTCGGATCTTCCACACGCTACCCAGGCTGTGCGGGGTGGCGATCCGGAAGATGTCCAGGCTGTTGCGGTGGAAGGCTCTGTCGCCGTCCAGGTGCCGGTGGCCGCTCCGGCTGTCCACCCCATACAGCATGATGCCCACGTGGGCCGTGGTACCTGGGAGGCAAGAGGGAGGGGTGGGAGGCTCGGTCTGCTGCCCAACACGTGTGGCATCCCAGGCAAGTCATCTCAGCTTTGGCCTGTGCGCACTCAAGGAGCCACACAGGCAGTCCCGGCTTTGCACGGCTCTGCCATACACAAGGAGCTGCGGTTACTGCAATTTGTCCAATTAACAGCAGGACCTCAAGGACATGATTAAGTTACATGGAAAGAACTGTAACTTGTGACATGCAAACATGGCTGCACACGCCTCAGTCCACACCACAACCAGTGACCCGCACTGCACACCTGTCCACGCCTCAGTCATGCCACAACCGGTGACCCGCACCACACACCCGTCCCTCAGTTCATGCACAGACTGCAAAGCGTGAAGCTGTGTCACCTCCTCTCCCAGTGACAGACCCAGGTGACAGTATTTTTTTTCTTTTTTTTTTGAGATGGAGTCTTGCTGTGTCACCCAGGCTGGAGTGCAGTGGCGCAATCTCAGCTCACTGCAAGCTCCGCCTCCCGGGTTCACGCCATTCTCCTGCCTCAGTCTCCCAAGGAGCTGGGACTACAGGCGCCTGCCACTACGCCGGGCTAATTTTTTTGTACTTTTTATTAGAGACAGGGTTTCACCGTTAGCCAGGATGGTCTCGATCTCCTGACCCCGTGATTTGCCTGCCTGGCCTCCCAAAGTGCTCGGATTACAGGTGTGAGCCACCGCGCCCGGCCGACAGTTTTTAAAAGTAGGTAATCAAAAGAAAGAACTGGGCAATGAAGAGGAAAGCAGCACAGAGATAAAAAATGGGAACACAGCCAGGTGTGGTGGCTCACACCTGTCATCCCAGCACTCTGGCAGGCCGAGGCAGGCGGATCACCTGAGGTCAGGAGTTCGCCTGGCTGACATGGTGAAAAATTAACTGGGTGTGGTGGTGTGCACCTGTACTCCCAGCTACTCAGGAGAATCGCTTAAGGGGAATGGCTTAAACCCGGGAGCTGGAAGTTGCTGTGAGCCAAGATCATGCCATTGCACTCCAGCCTGGGCAACAGAGTGAGACTCCGTCTCTAAAAAAAGAAAAACGAAAACAAAAAGGGAATGCCAGAAGGGCAATTCCAATGAAAGGAAAATGGAGGTACTGAAGAAACAGCCACGGGGAGGGTGCTGGCGCCTCCGTCTGAGAGACGAGCTATGCAGTCAGGATCGCGGGTGGATGCACAGTCTCCCACAGTGGTAGCGATGCTCACGTCACTTGTGGGGCCACGCTACTGTGCAGAACGTGGGCTGCCCACCCTGACTGACTGGCACCTACTTCCAGCTAGGAGCTGTCCTAGTCCTCAGGGACAGTGAGTGCTCACGAGGTCATTCCCAGGATGAACACACGAGCCCTTCACACAGCACTGCAAAAACTGCCTTGTTCTGACGCCTGCGACGAGACTCACTCCCAGAGGGTGCAACCAGCACAGCCAGTGAGAGCAGGGGAGGCCCTGCCACCCCGCTGCGCCCCTCACCTGAGCCCCGGCCCCAGCCTGTCTTGACGAGGATCTCGTACTTGAAGCGGCCCCGCTGCCCACAGAAAGGGATGGCGCGGCCCCGGCTGGCATCCAACTGGTCCAGCTTGTGCAGGATGGCGGCCATGACCATGTAGGTCACCAGGCACACAGCACATGTCAGCATGACGATGTAGTTTACATCCGCTGTCGGCTCCTGTGAGGACACAGCCGCCGGGCCCAGGAGGTCACGTGCAAGCTGTGCCTTCTCAGGATAGAGCCGAGCCCACCCAGGCCCTCCTCGACTCTGCAGAGGCTCCCAGGAGCACAGGGTCACTCACAGGAAACACAAAGCGGACATGGCTTGGGGGCACGAAGAGGCTGGCGCCGAAGGCGGTGAGGTGGCGGGTGAGGCAGACGGCCTGGCGGGGCGAGGTCTCCTCCAGGGGCAGCAGCCCCTCTGTCCGCCACACCATGTCCTCCTCGCTGAAGTACTGGCACAGGGACGTGTACAGGCCCACGGACACCTGCAGCGCCGACCAGCGGAAGTGGCTGGAGAGGTTCAGATGGTAACTCCCCGCTGGGTCTCTGCTCCTGGGCAGGGAAGGGGTAGCGGACGTGAGCCCAGGCTCCGCCAGGTTGGATGTCGCAGTCTCAGAGCCCATACCCGGTCCAGTCCCCTCGCTGCCTGCCGTCCCCATGGGGCCAGTAACCCAGGCAATGCTGACCCATGATGCCCTGCCCTGCCCTGCCAGGCTGGCCCGCAGAGCTCACCCCGGGGAAATGAAGAAGGTGTAGGGCCGGTGGTCAGCACCCTGGAGTGACTCTGGGCGGATCCTCCTGCTAGCCGAGCAGTTGTGCTCATTGGGCCGGGGCTCCGAGTGTAGGTAGACTGCCAGGTAGGGCTCAGGTTCCTCAGACAGGTAGTGGCCTGGGGCAGAACGCGCAGGTCACACGCCTGCCGGGAAGCTCAACCACCCGGGGGACACCCACGATGGCCCTCCTGAGCCCACCCTCTGCCACGGGCCTGAAAGGCCATAGGAGCCTCTGCACCAGAGCTGGCACCTGCTTCTCCGTGGCCCCCAGCTCCTCTCTGGCCAGGCCCCCAGCAGCCCATGAAACAGAAAGCAAATTTCACCAGAGACACCCATGGAAGCCCTACGAGAAACGCCTTCCCCCCAAGAACAAGGCCAGGGGGCCGCGTGTGCCCCACCCGCTGCACGCACCGTCCAGCAGCGTATAGTTGAGCTGCAGATGCAGCCCGGCCGCAGGGTTGCTGCTGTCCAGGGTGACCACAGCACCGACGGAGGCCTGGGGCTGGACCACAACGGAGTTGGCGGAGTTGGCGGAGCTGCGGTGGCCCCGGGCAGCCCAGTCCGAGTTGTTGGGCACCTTCACGGTGATGGCGCGCTCTGAGGCCAGCCGCTCGATGGGGATCTGGGCGCCGGCCTGTGTCTGGAATGCCATCGAGGCCACCTTGGTGGAGACGGTGTAGTTGCTGATATAGCCAAAGGGAAAGGGATTGGAGTCCACCAGAAAGATGAGCTGCACCACGTCACTGAGGTTGGCCAGGGCCCCGCTGAAAGCCTCGGGGATGGAGAAGTGGCAGCCAGGCCCTGGGGCGCCGCCATAGCACAGCAGGCTCCGCGGGTCCGAGCGCTTGCCCTGGGCCACGATCTCCTCGCCCGCCAGCGTCAGGGGCTCCTCGTTGAGCACGCGGGAGCGCATGAGGATGCGCATGAGGGCAGAGGTCAGGTTGTAGGCCTGGGACGCCACCATCCGAGATGGTGACTCGGCTCCCAGCTCTGAGGGCTGTGGTGCCCGCACGTCCGAGCTGGCCAGGTGGATGAGGTCTCCTGCAGACATGCGTGAGGTCAGTGCAGAGACAGGGAGGTAGAGGGAGGGTGGGGGCAGGCAAAAAGGGGGAGCCGGAGGGTGGGGGCTGGGAGAAAGGGGGAACCTGAGGGGGCAGAGAGCGAGGTGCAGGCAGAAGGAAGGGGGAAGCTGGAGAGAGAGTGGTGGAGGGGGGAGGGGGAAGGTGATGGGGATGAGGACGAAGATGAGGGGGATGATGGGGAGAGGGAGGAAAAAGGAAGGAAAAGGGTAGAGAAAAGAGAAGGGAGAAGAAGAGGAGCAGGGGGAAAGGGAGGGGAAGGGGGATAAGGGAGGGGAAGGGGGATGAGGGGGATGAGGAAGATGAGGGGAATGGACAAAAGGACGGGGAGGACGGGGGGGGAAATGGAGAAAAGGGGAGAGAGATGGAGAAAAGGGATGGTAATAGGGAAGGGGGAGGGGGAGGAGAATGGGAATTGGGGGAGGGGGATGAGGATGGGAATTGGGGGGAGGGGAGGGGGACGAAGATGGGATGGGGCAAAGGCGACGCGGTTGGGGGGAGGAGGGAGGCAGAGGAAAGGGCCGCACGGGGCGGGCGGGTGGCATGGGGCACGGGCCGCGGCACCTGTGATGTTGAGGATGCTGTCTCCGATGGCGGTGGGCGTCACGGTGCCCGCGGTGGTCTCTGCCTGCAGGATGAGCATCATGGCCTCCAGCTTGTGCAGCGTCTGCTTCAGGCACGAGCGGCATACGAGCTCCCTGCTGGGCCCCTGTGTGGAGCCAGCAGTGTCCAGCCCCGCTCCTGGCCCCACTCCTTGCACACGCCCTCCTCTCTACACGGGTCCTCACCTGGCTCCCACCCCCAGCCCTGCAGCTGGAGAGCCCACTTGACTGGACCCCCACAGCCTCCTCACTAAGCATTTTCTGTGGCTCTGCATGACCCAGGGCCTCCACCTGGGGACCACGTGATGCAGCCCACCGACCACACAAGGCACCTCTTCACATGAGAGCGGAGGAGGAGGGGAGAGAGGAGAGGGGAGTGGAGAAAAAGGGGAGGGGAGGAGGGGAAGGGCTGGGGGGGAAGAAGGGAAAGGGCTAGGGGAGGGGAGGAGGGGAAGGGCTAGGGGAGGGGAGGAGGGGAGGGGCTAGGGGAGGGAAGGGGGAGGGGAGGGGAGGGGAGAGTGGAGGGCACAGAGCAGCATCTTCTTAGTCCCTCCCCACATCTGGGCCCCTCTTTACACCCTGGGTCCCCCGAGAGGCACCCTGCGTTCACACAGGACAGAACGGCTGAGGCTACTGAAGCAGGTCAGAGACCGAGGAACGCCATGGCAGGAAGGAGCCCAGGCTGGAGGCTCAGCTCCTCGGCCAAGCTGCCCGTCTGCCCTGGGGGGCTGAACCCAGTGCCCTGGCAGGCATGCGGGGCAGGGTGAGCAGGTGGGGCCATCCTACCATGCACTGGGCCAGCGCAGCAGCGATCTGCTGGATGTCATCCACAGTGTGGACCCTCAGGGACACCAGAGTCTCCGTGATGTTCTTGCGTATCTGGGCTCGGTGCTGCCGCTCGTGCTTGGGCTCTGCCGCCACGTCCAGGGCCCGCTCGTACTGGGGCAGGCAGGGGGCACAGCAAGCTGTCAGCAGCGCAGGAGGCCGGCAGGAGGCCAGCAGATGCCCACGACTCCCGGGGTGCAGTTACGTGCTAGACGCTGTGTGATGCGGGCACTGACCCACAACACTGAGCTGTTTCTTCATGGGCAAAACAGGGTAAGCACATGGGCCCTCCTGGGCGGGGGCTGCATTGTGGAAAGCAGACGCCGGAGAGGGCCCGGTGGGTGTGGCTGCTGGGAGCGGAAGGTCGGGGTGCTGCTTCAGGGTCACTGGGATTTATCTCTGGGGCCCGGGATGAGCCCTCTGCAAAGCTCCAGGCAGGGGTACAGGTCTTGGTCCCAAGCACGCATGCAGCAGATGTGACGTCCCCTCCCAGGCTGCACTCACCTCGTTCAGCACGGTGACCAGGGCCAACGAGTACTCGATGACGTGCTGGGGATCGGCCTGCCGCAGCAGCCCTGGGAGCACACTAGCGGTGAGCCCGTGCAGCCAGACTGTGAGCCCCGTTGCGCTGCCGTTGGGCTCTGGGAGGGTGATGGCCAAAGACCTACGAGCAGAGGGGGGTGGTGAGCAGGTGGCAGTCTCGGGGGCGCCCTCCCACGGCCTGGCTCACCTGTTGAGGGCGACCACAGCGGCTCCCAGCTGGTCCTGCACCACCACGGCCAGGCCCACCTCGAAGTGTGGCCTGAAACCCGGGGGCAGCACGGCTCCGTAGCTGGAGAGGCTGCCCTTGTAGACACAGAACTCCTCGCAGTGGCCCTGGCGACAGCGCCGCAGCAGCAGGGCGTACACCAGCGGGGCGCCAGCATCCTCCGCGTCATGCCAGCCTGAGGGACGGTCCCCACGGCATCACGGGAGGGCTCCGTGACGTCACAGAGTCGGGGGATCCCGCTGCTCCCCCCACGCAGGCCTGCACTCACCCGTGCATTCGAAGTGCACCTTGGTGGTGAGGGCGTGCACAGCGCCCAGTGGGAAGAGGCGGCAAGAGCCCCCCAGCGGCGGGCGGTTGGGGGACAGGCGGATGGAGGCGCAGCCCTCCTCCTCGCCAGAGCGGCCCAGCACCGTGAGCGTGAAGGTGTATCCCTCGCCGTCCCGCAGCACGCCCCGCCGCAGCACCAGTCGCATGCCTGCACTGCCCGTGGATGTGGTGGTCTCATCCAGCACCAGCGTCTTGTTGCTGAACGTACGTGCAGCCCACCGCTGCAGGCAGAAGGGGTGGTGAGGGGGCGCAACCCTCTGCCCTGTCAGCCCCACTTCTGCCTGCAGGCCCCGTCCCCTCGGCCATGGGACCCATCCCCAGCCCGCCCACACCCCGCTCAACACTCACCCCTCGCTTGGAGCCGCTGCTGCAATTGAGGCAGCGGCCCTCCAAGTACACGTAGGAGCTGCGGCTCACTTCGTACACGGCCTGTGCCTTGCAGGACACACACTCCAAGGACACAATGGGCACCCGGCCACTCCGGATCAGCACCTGGCGTGGGAGTGGGGTTACCTCCAACACAGGTCTATTTGGCCTGCTGGAAGGACTGGGGGACCCATGGAGGATGCTGCTCCCAAACTCCAGGTTTCCCAGGGGCCTGGCCACTGCCGGTGAGCTCACTCCCTCCCAGGATACTCATCCGGTTTGCCACCTTCCAACTTGGACGGCGGAAGGGCATACACAGGGCAGAGGACACTGGAGTGTGCGTTCTGGTGTACTGGACCCAGCTGGACCCTAGCAGGAGGCAGGCAATGCTCACTGAGGGCCCCTGGGGGGATGCGTGTGAGAAGAGACGTATGTGTGGGTGTGAGGACCGCAGCTGCCACGTAGGCCTGACTCACAGACTCCTGCAGCCCTTAGCCAGGGCCTGGGTCAGGAGGCTGAGCTGGGATGGAACCTGCTCCCACACCCTCCCCTCAGACGACCCCTCTGGGAAGACCCCCAATCAGGCCAGCTGAGGAAAGCAGGGACTGGGGAACAGACGCCCACTCTGGGGCACCAGCAGGCCCCGCCTGACAGCAGCAGGAGCAGCCACCACGGGCTCAGGGTCACCAAGCCTCCTGGCCGGTCCAGAGAGGGGAGCGTGAGGGTGAGAACCGGCCCACCACATCCAGCAACAGGGACATGGGCTGGGGACAGTGGCTACCTCTGGGGTGGGAAGGGGCTCTTCCTCACTGTTGGTATTGCTAGGGGACTGTGTAGCTTTTGCCACTAGAGCATATGTGGCTTGAAGACTGTACGTGGAACTGTGGCAGGTTTGGAAGGAAGCAAAGCTGAAGCAGGCTGTCGTGTTACATAGAATTTGCATCAGAAACAGAGAGGGGAGAGCGTGCGGCCTCCACCAGCACTAAAACACGGAAAACAGTAGATGACCAGGGAGGCTGGGCTGTCCAAGGCAAGTGGCCGAGGGGCGGGCGGCACCCACCGTCTGGTTGGTGGCCTCCTCCTTGCGGCCGGCCTTCCACACGGTCAGGCTGAAGGTGTACTCCACGCCAGCCGCCAGCCGCTCCCGTGGAATGGTGACCGTGCTGCTCCCGCGGGGCCCAAAGTTCAGCGCACACCCGCCAGCCTCCCTCTGCAGGCCGAGAACAAGGGGCGACGTGGCCTGAGAGCCCCATCCAGTTTTAAAGCAGAGCCCGGCCCAGGAGACAGCGCGGGAGACCCCCTCCCCATGCTGGGACGGGGCCCACCAGGCACTGAGGACGGGCCAGCCCTGGTGGCAAGCTGGGTGTTCTCTGGGCTCATGGGTGTGGACGGGTGAGGGGCATGGAGGACGGCCCTGCCACGCACTGACCTGTGTCGAAGCCACACAGGCCCAGTGGAAACTGAGCGGCGTCTGGTCGCCGTCCTCCAGGTTGGGGTCGTAGGACTCGCTCCCATCCAGCACCAGGTCCCGTGTGTCTGACCACACGCGGTATGAGCCACCCTCAATGATGGGCACCAGGCGCTCGGGGGCCACCGTCACATTGGCCTGGATGCTCTGTGTCAGTGGCGTGTCCCCAAATGACACGACAAACACAAAGCAGTAGTGCCCCACAGGCAGCGCCAGCCGCGGCAGCACCAGCCGAGGCCGGCTCACGTCCACGCCGGGCAGGGCCACACGCGCTGGGCGCCCCGGCCGCTGGCAGCTGGCGGTGCGATACACCTCCCAGCGGTACTCAGTCTGGTAGGTGACGCAGTCGCGCAGGTCAACGTGGGCCTCCAAGTAGTTGCGCTGTGATCGCCGCATCAGCACCTGCAGGGGCAGGACCACGTCCACCTCCGGCTCCCGGCAGGCCAGCACCTGGACGGTCACCGTGGCCTGCGCCACGAAGAAGCTCACCAGGTTGGAGGCGTTCACCTGCACGCGGTAGTCCCCAGGCCTCAGGTAGGAGTGCTCGGCCCTGGGCTCATCTGTGTCCTGCCCTGGCGACCCATCCCCAAAGTCCCAGTGGTAGGCCACACGCCGGGGGCTGGGGCTGGTGGCGGCCTCAAACTGCGCCGAGCGGTTGGTGAAGCAGGGGCCGCTCTGCAGGGCCACATACTGGACGGCGTCCTGAACCTCCAGCACCAGCGTGCGGTTCTCACTGCCCAGGGCGTTGAAGGCGCGCACCTGGATCTCCAACAGCCCCGCGGCCACGGGCGTGTAGGTGACGTCGCGGCCCGACAGGATGACCAGCGAGTCGCCCTGGACCTTCTGCAGCGAGAAGTACCAGGCGTAGGCGACCCGAGAGCCGCGCTGCACGCGGGCTGTGAAGTTCCTCTCAGTGCCCGTGGCGATGCCAGGCTCGCAGCAGTTGGGCACCTGCAGCCCACTCACGGCCTCCAGCACCACGATGCGCACCTGCGCCTGGGCCCAGCTCACGTGGTTTTTGCCCCGCACGCTCACCACGTGGTCTCCGACGCGGGGGAAGCTGTGGGAGAAACGGGGCCCGGGGAGCACCTCGGGGTTGGCCCCGCCGACCTGCAGGCGGAAGGTGACAGCTGAGCCGGCAGCCAGCAGGATCTGAAAATGGACCAGCTGCCCGGGCGCCACCACCTTGCTGCTGGCCCACAGCACCAGGCCCACGATGGGCTCCTCCGCCGTGAGGTTGTACGTGGCTGAGACCCAGCTGACTGCGTTGGAGGCATTGAGCCGGATGGAGAAGGTGCCAGCATCCGGGAAGACCATGGTGACATGAGGGCCACGCTTGCTGCTGCCGCCGGGCACAGCCCAGCACCAGCTCACATTGGTGCCCGTGGCCAGCTGCCCCCAAAAGGGCACAGAGGACCCGGCCGCCACGAAGCTGCCTCCGGGCTCGCTGGCCCTGATGCTGAGGCCACTCACAGGCACCTGCACATCCACTTCCACGGTGGCGTTGGCTGAGCCCAGCGGGTTCCCTGCCGTCATGGTGACCAAGTGCAGGCCGGGTGTGGGGAAGCTATGGGTGGTAAATGGCTCGGAGGTCTCCCAGCTCAGCCCCTCCTCCAAGGACCAAGTGTATACGACACCACTGCCACCAGCCAGCTCGGCACTGAGGGTGACGCTTGTGTTGACGGCAGCTGGGTTCGGGGAGGCGGCCACCATCAGCCACCCCACAGGCTCCACGAAGTCCATGGTGCAGTCGGCCCAGGCGCTGCCCAGCATGTTGGTGGCCCGCAGCTGCACATGGTAGGTGCCGGCCTCGAGCACGGTGAGCGAGAAGCCTTTGCCGCTGCCGGCCAGGGCCGGGCCCCTGTCCCTCCAGGCAGTCCAGCTGTAGGAGACGTTGGTGCCATCCCTAACCACGGCCTGCAGCTGTACCGTGTGGTTGGTGGGGAAGTAGCGGCCACCGCCCACCACCTGCAGCCCCTCTATGAGCTGCAGGACATAGACGAAGATGCTGTCCTGGGCGGAGCCCACCTCGTTCTCAGCCGTGACGATGATATTGAAGGTGCCCACGGAGCGGAAGGTGTAAGAGATGGTAGGACCCCCAGGGATGGGCGTGCAGCGGTCACAGAGCACCCAGGAATAGCGCACATCACTGCCGGCCTCCAGCGACGTGCTGAAGCTCACGCTCCCATTCAGGGGCACCACCGTGCGGCTTGCATTGACGACGAGCCCCCGCACGCGCCGCTTCACCGTCACATTGAGCCAGGCCTCGCTGCGGCTCACCTCATTCCAGCCGGCCACCCTAACGGTGAAGTCACCTGTGCTGTTGTAAGCGTGGGTGACCTCCGGACCCTCGAGCCACCCACCGTCCCCCAGATCCCACAGGTAGCTGGCGGGGCGCCCACGGCCCACAGCAGAGAACAGGTACGGCTGCTGCAGCTCCAGCCCAAGGGAGCCATTGACCTTGATGCTGGTGACCAGCACGGGCTCCTGCACCTCCACCAGGGCTGAGTCATTGGCAGCAGAGATGTTGTTGGACGCGGTGACTGTCACAAGATAGGAGCCTGGGTCTCGGTAGATGAACGTCACCTCAGGGCCCCTGGCACGGGTGGGGGCGGCTTCCTCGGTGCCAAAGTCCCAGGTGTAGCGGTAGGGGAACGGGGGCCAGGCACATGCCACCAGCCAGGCCTCGTCCCCGAGCTGCACAAACTGCCTCTCTGGCTGCAGGGTGACGTTGCCCACCTCTGGCTCCACGCAGATGCTGGTGAAGTAATGCGCCCTGTTCACGCGGCTGGACAGCACCAGCGCCAGGGGGAACGTGCCGCTCCGCGTGAAGTTGTGTGTCACCGTCGGGCACCCCCGCACGGTCGTGTTGGAGGAGCCATCCCCGAAGGTCCAGTCGAAGAGGTAGTGGGCCGGGTTCCCGGTGACGTAGGCCGTGAGCCGCGCGTCAGGCTGCGTGGGGATGCAGGCGGCGGGTTCAACGCGCAGCACCTCCAGGACGAAGACCAGCACGTGCAGGCTCCGGGCCAGGTGGCCGGCGGGGCTGGCCGCACCCACGGTCACTGTGCAGTTCTGTGCCCGCAGGTACACATGCTCCACTGTTGCCTCCGGGCCCGACAGCACGGTGCCGTCCCCCATGTCGAAGGTCCACGTGATGTTGTCGCCCGTCTGCACCGCGGCGCTGACCACCACGGGGGCGCCCTGCTCCACGGCCAGGCTCATGTCCACGCTGAGTCCGCGGAGCTCCTCAAAGACGCGCACATCCGCCTGGGCCGCCGCACCGCTCACCGTGTTGTTGACCTCCAGGCGCACGTGGTAGGTGCCCCTCGAGGCATAGGTGTGGTTGGCAGCCGGCTGGCTCTGGGTCAGGACAGGGGAGCCGTCCCCGAAGTCCCACGTGTAAAGAACACCCCCAGGCGAGGGCAGCGGGTGCGGGTAGAAGGTGACGGGCCGGCCGGCCACCAGGACGCCGTCACTCACACCCACAGCCACGGAGGGCAGGGAGGCGCGCACGCTCACAGGCACCTGCTGCGTCAGGTTCTCGAAGGCATTAGATGCCAGCACGGTCAGGAGGTACTCACCTGTGGGGACAGGCCCGAGTGGGGCAGCCGCGGCACCCCCACCTGCTCCCCACCCGCTCGGCAGAAGCCCCCCGCCTGAGGAGCCCGGGGTGAACGGCTGCACCTGCGGCCCAGCCTTAAGGGTCCCAGGCTCCCAAGCCACGTGCGGGACGGAGCACAGGTGTAGCAGCACTGAGGGCTGCCTGGCGAGGACGGCACCGCCTCCAAGTGCAGCTGCACTCGGGGCAGCAGAGCAGCAAGAGCCAGGCCCGGGGAGGGCGGGGGGCGCAGTTCAGGGGCCCAGCTTCCCTGTCCACTCCCCCCACGCCTGGCCCCTCCCTCACCCCAGTAGGGGCCTAAGCCATCAGCCCAGGTGAGGTCACAGTGAGGGCTGTTGGGGAGGAAGGGGGGCAGCTTGACTGGGGAGCTGGGGGGACCCCGTGCTCAGAGCCTGAAAGGCAGTGGCCCCCTCACCCCCTCATCCCTCACCTGGGGCAGCGTAGGTGTGCATGACATTGTGCTCCACCAGCACCTGGGCCACCGAGGGGTCTGGAACCGGGAAGGACTCGTTGTACGGAGGCTGGAACTGGTGGAGGGCCTGCTCCCCATCCCCAAAGGTCCACCTGCCGGGGCGGTGGGACGCAGTGAGTGAACCGGGACAGGGGTGGGCGGTGGCGGGGCAGGGGGTGCTTGGGACCCAGCCGAGGCTCCACTCTGCAGTCACGCCCCGGGCCTCCATTCAGGGCCCACCCGGCTGTGCTGAGGCCTCTCCCGGCTCCCGTGCAGCCTCAGGGCTCCTGTGCACCCAGTTACCTCCCAACAGACAGGGAAACCGAGGCTCAGAAAAGCAACCCCGTGATGTGGGGGTCCCTCGGCTGAGGCTGGGGCTGGGACAAGAGCCTGGTGCCCACCCCAAACCGGCCCCCGAGTCACTCACAGGAAGGCCACCTCCACGGCCGAGTCCACCAGCACGCCCGCCGTCAGTGCTAGCGTGGCATTGGGGGACAGCACGGCCGGCACTGTGGAGACCTGCAGACCCTGCATCCTGTTCATCCGCTCCACGGTTACGTTGTAGTTCACGGTGACGTTGCTCACGTGGTTGGAGGCCGTCAGCTGCAGGGACAGGCGTCAGTGAGCCCAGGTGGCAGGTGAGAGGCCTGGCCCTGATTGGCGTCCCTCCCTCCACTCACCCACAGCCATGGCAGCGTCCTCGGGCAGCATGAAGCAGAGCAGAAGGCAGAGGTGAAGGTGGAGCCCGCCCCCGCCCTGCCCCGCCCCATCCCCTCCCCTCCCCACCCCCGCCCACCTACTGAGAGCTTGAAGACCGCCGCGCTCTGATAAATGACATTGAAGACCACGTTCTGGAAGGTCAGGGACTGCTTGTCGTTGATGGTCCACCGGAAGACCATGTCCGAGCCGGCCTCCACCACGGGGCTGTACCTCTGCGGGGGGAATGGTGTCAGCCTGGGCTCTGTGGAGGACTCTGCCCTTAGCCTGTCGCCTCCTGGACACACCTCCCGTCGGGCTGGAGAGTCCCACGCGGGGCACAGAGGAGAGGAGGTGCCCGGGGCTCTGCATGCCATGGGAGCCAAGCCCGGGCTGGGACACTCACTGTCCGGCTCTCCAGCCAGCCATGTAGTACTACTAATGCCTCAACCTCTCTGTGCCTCAGTTTCCCCATCTGTAAAGCAAACCTAGTACCAGCTACAAAGAGTCCACCTCTCTCTGAGTCTTCTCAGACCCTCCCGGCGCTCTTGCCCCAGCTCCTCACCCAGAGAGCTCGGAGCAGTGAGGGGAGGCACCTACACTGGCTTACAGAACCCAGGACAGGCTGCACAGGTCACGCCATTTCTGATGGCCCCTCCCAAGGCCCCTGGTGAAGAGGCAGGTACCCGCAAGATGGAGACAGCCCTGTCCCCCATGTACCCAGCATGGTGGCACCGCGGGCAGCCCGCAGTTTCCCATCAGGGGTTCAGACTCCACCTCAAAAGCCACTCGCTTTAGCCAGGCGAGAACACAGCAGAGGGCGTGAGAGACTCACGGGGGCTCGTGTGAGGTCAGGGAGCAGAGTTTTAAATTCATTTTGTGAAATGAGACAGTGGAATGAGTTAGCGGAGCCACTGTCAGAGCCGTGACTTTCCAGGAATTTAAAGCCCACCAGGTAGCCCGAGGAGCCAGCCAGCAGGACCTGCCCGGGGCCGACGTCCCCAGTAACTGGGCTGCTGCCCTCACTGGGAAGCCAGGCCTCACGCCCTGTGTGAGCACCCTGTCTGCAGGCACCTGCCTGGGGGCTGGTGGTGGAGCCTCGGCCATACTCACCACTAGGACTCCCTGCAGTACACGGGCCTCGGGGCTGGGCGTGGCGCGGAGGCCACAGATGGGCTCCTCCGCCGTCACCCGCAGGCTGAGGTTGGCCCGGCTGGCGCTGTTTTCCACCACCACGTCCACCACGTGCTCCCCCTCACTGAGCCACGGCAGTGCTACCACTGAGAACAGGGTATCGTTGGTCTCCCAGGGGCAGCCGGGCACGAAGGTGGCCACCAGGGCAGGGCAGACATTCTCAAAGCGGGCGCTGACACTGCCCCCAGGCCAGCGAGCCGTGGCCGTGGCGTTGGCACCAGAGTCCACCTGGAGCACCAAGGCTGAGCCGTTGGTGGGCACGTAGAGGCGGCCGTCGCGGGGGGCAGGGTAGATGACCCGCAGCCCAGCCACTGGGGAGACCACGTCAAAGCTGCAGGAGAGGTTGTGCCTGGACACGCCATTGCCCACCTCTGCCCGGACCTCATAGCGCCCAGGCAGCCGCAGTCCAGGGTTGGGCCTCAAGCCCAGCAGCACGGTGAGCTGTTCCGTGGCTGCAAGCAGCCGCAGGGCACAGGCAGGGCAGGCCCAAGTGCCCTCCAGCTGGGCTGGCAAGTGGGGCAGCCATGACGAGGCGTTGGCGGAGAGGTACGGGGCCCGGGGACCAGGGTGGCCGGGAGCCGGCGAGCAGTGCAGGAGGGCGCCAGGGCCAGCGTCGTGCTGCAAGCCAACGAGGTCACCAGGGAGCATGAGGACATCCTGGCCGTGGAGGGTGACCTGTGGAGAGGGAGGCAGGGCTGCATCACGTCCTCACGGTCATGGCCCGTGGACCCCCGCACGACGGATGAGGGTGGACACGCAGGGCTCCCCGCTTCGTCAGCCACACCTCAAGGAGCCTCCCCACAGTGCTCGTGACAAGGACAGGCAGGACAGTTGCAGACCGGGGGACACACGGGGAGAGGACACAGGCCAAGACCTGGCAGACAGGAAGGAGCAGCTGTGCTGGGAGAGAGGAAGAGGAGGCACAGCTCGTGCCAAGGGCCCAGGCGAGAGCTTCTCCCACTGGGAGAGGGCCGAGGGCACTGCAGAGGTCGGAGGTCAGAGGTGGCAAGGACGTGGGAGGGGCCTGCAGGCTGGGTGTGTCTGGTGCACAGACCCAGACCCTGGGCAGCAGACAGGAAGGTGGCCTGAGGAGATGCAGGGAACAGACCCAGGTCAGGGCCACACACCGAGTACTGCGCGGGGGGCCCCGCGGGAACGGAGAAGAGGAACTCTCTCCATAGCGCATAGGGGGCCCCGGGTAGCCCTGGCCCTGACGTGCAGCCATTGGCGCAGGCCTGGGGGTGGCAGGAGGCGTCCAGCGGCAAGCAGATGTTGGCTCCAGGGCACCAGCGTCCCCCTGGCATGCACGCGGGGGCCAGCTGGGTCCTGTTGTCCGGGGACCTGCTCTCAGGCTCGCTGCCGTTCTCCGGGGTCCCTGTGAGGAGGGGAGGGTGTTGGGGCCCTGATTTGCCCACAGGCCACCGTCAGAGATGCCCAACTGCCTGCACCAGCAATCCTGGCCTTGCTGTGAGGACAGGTCTCCCCACCTGGGCAGCACTCCCAGCCCAGTGCTGCGTCCGTCTCCGGCCAGCCGACTGACCCAGGCCGGCCCCCAGGCAGGCCCCACCCAATCCACCCCCAGGACACCTGGAATGAGCTGGTGTCTCTGGAACCCCTGCTCTGTCCACCTAAGACTGGGAACCACTCTGGTGGCCACAGGACCAGCAGACGTGAAAGCTCAGAGAGGCCACCCCGAGTCCTGCGGCGCCCACCACCCACCACCCACCACCCAGAGTCCCACCTGCTGTGCTGAGGAGCCGGTACACCTGCAGCCGCAGCTGGGCGGGCCGCCGGAGCTCCTGGGTCCCAAATTCGGCCGTGGTGAGGAAGGCTTCACGGCTCAGACGCAGGCCCGGGAATACCATGACCTGGTGGGCAGGGGGCCGCCTCAGCTCCACAGACCCCATCCCAGCCTGAAGCCCAGACTCCCCCTACCCGAACTTCCCAGGAAGAGGGGAGGGAAGGAGAGCGAGCCATCAGACCCCCACAGGCCTGGCTCCTGTCGCTCGAGAGGAAGACTCCGGTGGAAACTGTCCATGGGGGGCAGGACCCCTGACCTGCCTTTCAGGAATAACTCACACACGCTCAGAGAAAAGGCCTGGAGGTAATGTGAGTAAACGCTTTCCTCTCTGCACTCTGGATTTTCCCAACCATCTTCACTGGGCACAAGCAACATTAAGGCCCCCAAGTTTTTTGGCGAGACCCACAGTGGGCAGGGCAGGCAAGGCCTCCAGGGGCAGGCAGGAGGGCAGGTTGTAGAACGTGGGGGGCCGACTACCTCCACGGGCTCGTGCGGGGCTGAGAGGCCGTCCTGCTGTGCCAGAGGCGTCAGGGGTCCCTGCAGGTCCCCACTGGGCGCTCCCACGAGGAGGTTCTCGGCATCCTGCACTGGGCCTGGGGTGGCGAGTGCACAGTGAGGCGCCGGGCCAGGGCCCAGGACACCAGGACGAACAGACTGGGGACCGAGCCGCCCGAAAACCCCCCCACCAGCCCCTCCTCCTCAGCCCAGGCTCCACCGCGGGCGCTCGGCAGGCCCCTAACCACAGCCAGCGTCTCAGGCCCCTGCCTGGCCCCCCGCACACCTCCGGGCTGCAGCTCGCAGACGTAGCTGTGCGGCGCTGAGCACAGGTCGGTGTTACACCACCCGGTGGGCCCGAGCCGGACGCAGTGCTCGGCTGTGGCTGGGTGTGGCTCCCCGGGCAGCCAGTTCTGGCAGCTCTCCAGGCTGAAGGCCTCGCCCTGCGGCGCTGGGCCCACCTCCACCCCCTGCACAGTCGAGAAGCCGATCCACACGTCTAGGCTCCTGGGGGCGGGTGTGGGATGGCAGGGGGCTCAGGGCACTCCTCCATCCTCCCACCCTCACAGCAGCCCGCTGGGAGCCCCATCACTGTCCCCCTTTCCAGATGGGGAAACTGAGGCTCAGAGCCCGGAGACCAGGGCCCACCAGCCCAGGCTCACAGCAGCACCCACCCACGGGGCCTGTGGGTACCGGCAGGGATCCCCGTGCAGGCCACCTCCCGTATGGCGTGCCCAGGAGTGTCCGGAGGCTGCCCCCAGCTCATGTCCACCTCTGCATCTGCAGAGCTGACAGGAACGGCCCCACCGGCCGGCGCCACCTGCTCACCAGGGCCGGCCCAGCTCCCACCTCCTTCCTCCTGAGACTCCCCAGCCGCAGGCTCTGCCCCAGTGCTTCAGAGATCTCCCAACCTATGGCCCCTCGGGGGGTGGGGGCAGGCACCTGGTGACCCGGGAGACCAGGAAGCGCTGCACGGCGGGACTGTCCACCATTGCCAGGGCGGCCCCGGCCCAGGCCTGACACTGCTCCTGCGCCTGCAGCCAGGCCGCCTTCTCCACCACCAGGCGGTAGCAGTGCCCGTTGCCAGGGAAGATCTCCGTGTCCGAGGGGCAGAGCGGGTGCACCGCTGGAGACCGGTGGGAACGAGGGTGTCAACGGTCAGTGTGGGCCCAAGACGGGGGTACCAGGCTCTGCCCCATCTGGATGGCCCTGGGGAGGAAGGGGAGTGGGCAGCAGACACTCACCTCGGGCCGGCTCCTCGCCCAGGGCCACGATGCTGTAGGCGGCCTCCAGGCCTGAACCACCGCGGTTCTGGATGCTGAGGTCGAGGCTCTCGTCACTCTGCACCGAGGACGGGCACACGAGCTCCAGGGCGGCAGGTGCCGCTTCCACCTGCACGTCTGTCCCCAGCAGGGCTGAGCCGGCCCCCAGGGCCAGCACGGCCGTCACGTGATAGCGCCCAGGCAGCACATAGCGATGCGAGGCAGCCGGCCCAGCGGCATCCACCTCGGCGGAGCCGTCTCCGAAGTCCCAGCGTGTGGCAGTGACAGGGAGCGGGGCAGCGATGTGGAAGGCTGCTAGCTGGCCAGAGGCCAGAGGTCCGTGGGGCCCCACCAGGGTGGCCCCTGGGGAGGCAGGGAAGACGTGCTGGAGGAGGGTGGGGCCCCTACAGGTGGGGGCAGGAGGTGGCGGGGGGCCGGAGCAGAGGGACAGGCAGGCAAAGGAGGCACTGGAGGGCTGGGCCGCCCCACACAGGCACCAGCCCTGCTCCGAGAGGGCTGCGAGGCCCTGGCCGGTGGAGAAGCAGAAGGCGCTGCAGGCCTCTGGCTGAAGCAGGCCTTCGTGGGCAGCTGAAAAGGACACTGCTGCCACGGTGCCTGAGCTGTTGTCAGGGAGGCAGGCGACATACTCCTCACCTAGAAGAGGCAGCCACTGGACCCCGGGTTCTGCTCCTCCTGGCTCCACCCCACGCCCCCACATCCGCCCGCCGCACTCACAGGCTCCCATGCTGTTCCCTTGGCCCGGAGGCCCCCCCCAGAGAGGCCTTCCTGAGCCCTGCCCAGTGTCTGCAGGGCCCAGGTCCCACCTGGCTGGGAAGGACAGAGCTGGCCCCACCCACCGGCACTCAC
This sequence comes from Homo sapiens, assembly GCF_000001405.40. Lineage (NCBI taxonomy): Eukaryota > Metazoa > Chordata > Mammalia > Primates > Hominidae > Homo > Homo sapiens. The sequence goes on from NC_000016.10 coordinate 2,118,676, forward strand.
CACAGCCACTGTCCAGCAAGGGGATGCCAAGCAGAGGCTGGCCAGCCAGGGAGCCAGGCCCAGCACACGTGGCTGCCTCGGGCTGCACCACCCGCACCTGCTGCTCCTCCGCCCATCGCGGCAGCCACGCCAGGCCACAGTCACACTCAAACGGGTTCCCACTCAGGTTTCTGCAGGGCAGGGGCAGGTGTTGGGGACCAGGTCTGGTGGGAAGGGTCTATGCCAGCCCCCCACTGGCAACCAGGCCCTGGAGCCACCCTGACAGCACCGCCTCCCCTGCCCCAACCAAGCCGGCACTGGGGGGCTCCAAGCAGGCAGTGAACTGCCCCCAGGATCTGGTCTCAAGCCTGGAAGGGGACACGGACCAACTGGGAGGGCAGAAGGGATATTGGGGGCCTGGGGTCCAGCCAGGACCCCACCCAAAGAACCACAACTTACATTTCACTTAAATTAAATAAATTAGCAAATATTCCTTCTTCTAACGTAGAAATCTTGTTGTTGCTTATATCCCTGGAAGAGACGGGGGATTCGGCAAAGCTGATGGAAGCCCCCACAGCTGAGCAGCAAGAGGCGGTGCCGCCAGCCCACCCGGAGTGAGCCCCGCATGCTGGCACGACTGGGGGACACTCACAGCTCTGCCAGCGCCGAGAGGTTCGCCAGGAGCCCAACGTCCAGCGCCCGGAGCAGGTTGTGGGAGACGTCTCTGAGGAGTGAGTGGCCGTGGGTCAGGGCCAGAGCCCCTAGTAGGCCAGAGGCCATCCCTGGGCCCATCCCACACATTGCCAGCATCCCCAAGCTATGGCCTCCCACCCTTGAGCTCCCCACTCCCAGAGGTCAGGAGGGGACTTTCTGATGGAAGACCCAAATGAACACTCATCTGGGGAAACCAAGCCAGGAGAGGCCTGGGGGCCTCAGCCCTCTGCACCCATCTCAGCCCTATGCCGAGTGCCACATGGACCTGTCCACCCAGGGCCAGGAAGGGCACGGACCCCCAACCCATCCCACGCAGGGCCAAGGCCCCCCATCCCCTGTCCACAGTCCCCCACAGAGCCAAGGTCTCCCAACCCTGTCCACAGCCCCCACACAGACTCGAGGGGCCCCCATCTCCTGTTCTGAACCCAACAGGGTGGTCCCACTGTGGGACCACAACCAGGTATGACTGTGTGAGAAGCAGGCTCACTACCAGGCTACCAGGGAGCACAGGGGAGCAGGCGCCACCTCGAGGCATAAACCCAGAGAAACAAGACCTCCAAGACGGCCAGGCACTGGGGCACACGCCGGTAACACAGCACCGTGGGAGCTGAGACGGAAGGATCGCCTGGGCCCAGGATTTTGAAACCACCCTGGGCAACACAGTGAGACCCCGTATCTACAAAAAATACACATTAGCCAGGCATGGCGGCATGCGCCTGGGGTCCCAAGTACTCGGGAGGTAGAGGAGAGAAAAATCACTTGAGCCCAGAGAGGTCAAGGCTACAGGGAGCTGAGATCGCATCACTGTACTCCAGCCTGGGTGAAACGGCGAGACTCTACCTCAAAAATAAATAAATACATACATAATTAATAAATAAAACATCAAAGACCAGCCGACCTAACTCCATCTAAAATACACAACTTCTACGCAAAATATAAATAAAATTAGAAAACAAACTACAATCTCAGAAAAGCACTAGCAACTTACACGACATACTAAAGGCCAAAAATACCCTCCTGACACACAGCTAATAAAGAAAACGTCAACTATTCCAGTTAAAAAGAAGAAAAGGAAACTGGGTGTGGTGGCTTATGCCTGTAAACCCAGTGCTTTGGGAAGGCCAGGAGTTTGAGACCAGGATGGACAGCATAGCAAGACCCCATCTCTACAAGGAAAAAAAGAATCAGCCAGGCATGGTAGTGTGTAACTGTAGTTCCAGCTACTCGGGGGGCTGAGGAGGAAGGATCGCTTGAGCCAGGGAAGTCGAGGCTGCAGTGAGCTATGATTGTGCCACTGCAGTCCAGCCTGGGCGACAGAGCAAGACCCGGTCTCGAAAGAAAACAAAGAGAAAGCAAGGAAAGAAAGATGGCCGGGCACGGTGGCTCACTCCTGTAATGCCAGAACTTTGGGAGGCCAAGGTGGGTGGATCATGAGATCAAGAGATCGAGACCATCCTGGCCAACAGGGTGAAACCCTGTCTCTACTAAAAATGCAAAAATTAGCCGGGCATGGCGGCGGGAGCCTGTAGTGCCAGCCACTCAGGAGGCTGAGGCAGGAGAATCACGTGAACCCGGGAGGCGAAGGTTGCAGTGAGCCAAGATCACGCCACTGCAATCCAGCCTGGTGACAGAGCGAGACTCCATCTCAAAAGAAAAAAAAAAGAAAAGAAAAGAAAGAAAGGGAGGAGAGAGAGAAGAAAAGGAGAAGGGGAAAGAGCCGGGTGCAATGGCTCCTGCCTGTAATCCCAGCACTTTGGGAGGCTGAGGCGGGCGCATCACCTGAGGTCAGGAGTTCAAGACCAGACCGACCAACACGGAGACACCCTGTCTCTACCAAAACTACAGAATTAGTCGGGCGTGGTGGCAAGCACCTGTAATTCCAGCTACTCAGGAGGCTTAGGCAGGAGAATCACTTGAACCCGCGAGGCAGAGGTTGCAGTGAGCTGAGATCGCACCCCTGCACTCCAGCACCCCATCCTGCAAGAGTGAAGCTCCATCTCAAAAAATAAAAATAAAAAAAAAAAGGATGGAGGGTGAGAGGGAGGGAGGAAAGAAAGAGAAAACTCCAAAAACAAAAAAAGAAAAACCAGGCAATTAGAAGAAGCACAATTGGTCACAGCCGTAGGAAAAACATCCCATGTCAGTAGTCAGTGAAGAAAAAGCAACAGAAACCACAGGGCGGCAGCATGTCTCTCTTTTCAGAGCTGCCCGAGTTACAAACCAGGTCCTGGAGCTGGTGATGCGGAGGTGAGTAGACAGAGAGCTGGGGCAAACCGAGAACTCCACCTCCCCTCGGCCTCAAGCACCTCGGGGGTCACTCTGCCGCCCACCCTGGGCACCCCTCCTGGTCCCACGCACTCCCAGTAGTGCTCCTGGCACAGGACTATGGCTCCGCAGGTCTGCACACCACCCCCCTGCTCCCCAGGACCCCGAGGCCTCACCTCCTGCCACGGGCCTCTACTTCCCCAGGTGTCACCCTCCCCACGAGTGACCCAGCAGGTGCCTCCGCCTAGACTTGCTCTTCCCAGCAATGACCACCCGGCAGCCAGCCCCAAGCCGGGGCGGCCTCCATCCCTGAACACCCGCCCAGCCCCTGCCAGCCTCCAGCCCTGCTCCTCCCACCGGAGCTCCGCTCCCACAGGAGCCTACCCGGCGCAGGAGAGACGCACACACAGGCTGCCCGGTGGGGCCCGGGGCCAGGGCAAGAGCTTGAGAAGGGAACCAACAAAGAAGGGGACCAGAGGCCACCCCAGCTGAGGGGACAGAGCAGCCGAGGCCTTCTCCGTGCCAGGAAGCAGCACCAGCCACGGACGGTGGAGCCAGGCCCTCACCTGGGCTGGGTGCCCAGACAGATGAGACGCTGGGCACTGGCTCCCGGAGCTTCTCGTTCCATCTGCGGATGGAGGGCACGGTTGGGGGTGCAGTTCCCTTCCCCCAGGGGCTGTGGGACACTCAGAGAGCCTATGCCTGTGCCCTGGGCTCCGGGAGGGGAGAGGATCTGGGGGCCAGGCACACAGGGAACGGCCCCTCCGGCAGGGCCACCACTTCCCCCCTAACTGAACCCTGCTTCTCTGCCGTCCCCTCCTCTACACCAAGGTAGGGACACGGGCTGAGGTGCTCCCCACTGCCCATAAGGATGGGTGGGCCCACAGCCGCGCTGCTAGGCATCCACACCATCCCCGCCGTGGGGTGGGACAGGGTGGTGGCTGGGAGACCAGCAAGAGGCCATTCTCGAGACAGGGTGAGGCAGCTGGACTCACACCCACTGCCCAAGCACCATGCCCGAGGGGGAACACTGTGCCGTGAGGAACTGCAGTTAGACCTGAGGAGGGACTTTCCAGCGGCTGCGGCGGCAGCAGAACCAATGCTTTAGGGAGAAATGAGGCACCGGGACCCGAGGCGCAGGAGCCCTAAGGGGCGAGAGGTGCTGCAGAGGCCACGGTGAACACAGGCAGGCCCCCTGGAAGGGACACAGCTGTGAAACTGCCCCAGGGAGGGGCACAGGCTCTCGCACCTGCCCCCAGGCATGGGGAGCAGCTCCCACCCAGGCCACGGGAGAAAGGAAAGAAGGAAAAGCCTGAAGATGTTTGGCCACACCTCATTTTCTGGAAAATCCATCAAGAGTGGCTGCTGCTGGGAGCTGACAAGCCAGGGCAGGGGTGGGGGCAGGTCAGCCGAGGACCCCAGAGCCCCCCGGCTCCCCGCCCATCCCACTGTGAACCAGGCCTGGGGGTGCCATGGACACTTCTTCCACGCCAGCAGGCAGCCCTGCCTGTCACCGGTTCTGGCCATGCACTCCCTGCGTGCCAGGCTCCAGGCTGGCTCCTTCTCCCGGCCCTCACCCCAGCCCAAGGCCCAGAAATGCAGCAAGGTCTTGGGGACCCCGCTCGGCCGAGCTCCCAGGGCCCAGGGCAGTGGAATGAAGCTGGGGCCCAGACAGGAGCCAGGTGCAGTCCCCCAGCCCCCAGGGTGTGGAAGCGTCTGCCCTGGGTAGGACTCAGGTGCCCCCTGGGTGTGGAAGCATCTGCCCTGGGCAGGACTCAGGTGTGGGCTTCAGGGACAGGGAACAGCACAGGGGTCCCCGTGGAGTCCTCACCTCGCTTGCTCCCGTACTTTTTCACGTCTCCATCTGCTTTTGCCATCGCCGTTCTGGGGGAACGCCAAGGCCTAGCCAGGCAGCCTCGCGCCAGCCCCCCCACCCCGCCCCTCGGGCTTCCTCTGCACCCGCCAGGTGACATCATCGCCGCTGTCTGATGCCCTGCCCCCACGTTCTGGTTCCCTGCAAGGATGGGGGACACAGCAGGGCCCAGGCATCTGGCAGCAGGACCACCGAGCGGCCCTAAGCCCAGGCAAGAGCACAGAGCAGAGTGCAGGGTCCTCTGGGGTCCCAGGCCCTTGCTGCCCCACGCACTCCTCACCCCAGTTCCTGCTATGAGCTGGAAGGGTGGGAGCCAGGTGCACAGGGACAGCCTGATGGGTGCCCGAGGGCCAGGATGTGCTCCCAGGGAAGCTGAAGCCAAGCTTGTCGGGAGGAGTACACCCCCATGGGGGGCAGGACGGTGCCCCAGCCCCGGGACACAAGGGGTCCCCAGCGCCGAGCGTCCGATCTGGAAGGCGGGAGGAGTTAGGACCATCCTAGCGTGGGACCCAGCGGGCTCCTTAGCGGCTGCTGGGGCACCACTGGGTGGAGAAGGAAGTCCCAGGTGTGTGGCCACAGTACGGGTCTTCACCCCTTCCCAGCACCCTTGCCAATCCTGGAGCAGGAGCAGCAACAGCAGAGGGTGTGGCCAGGCCTGGAGGCTGCCCCTCCACACCCGTCACAGGTGGGGCCACGTCCCAGGGCTGTGGGCAGCAGGGCCAGCCTGCCGGCCCGAGGTAGCTGACACGTGTCTCATGCTGCAGCGGGTCTGCCCGCCACCCGGGCGTGTGAACCCCAGGTCGGGCCCCCTCGCCCTGGAGCCTCGGCCCCTCAGGGGTGTTCCCAGCCAGGCGCTGGCTCTCCTGCCCTCCCCCTGGGCTCTGCCCACAGTTGGCGCGAGGGTGGGTGAAGCCTGAGGCTGGCAGGGCCGGGAAGTCTTGGGGCTGGGCCTTCTGCCCCACAGGCGCTCCTGGGCCGGGGGAGCCGGGGTCGGGGAATGCAACAGTGGGACTGAGGAGAACTTCCCTGGGTGTGGGGCAGCTCCCGGGGCCCTCCCAATCCACAGCAGAGGGAATGGCCCCAGACAAACCAGACCTGCCTCAGAGTCTCACACTCAGAGCTGAGTGCCCCAGGCGCCCACTCCCCAGACCAGATGCTGAGTGGGGTCTGGGGGCCGGACGGAGCCCCCAAAGAAACATCTGCACATTCCAGACACGTGTGGTCAGCAGCGGGTGTGCGCCAGGCCCGGCACCCCCGCCCGCGCTGGCCGCCTCACTGGAAACTGGGCTGGGGGGACCGGCTCGGAGGGGCCGCCTGCGGAGCTTATGTAACCGCTCCTCCCTCGGCAGGGGCAGGACAGGACGCCAGACCCAGGGAGGCCCCATGCCCCCTGCCAGGCCCCGTCCTCTCCTGGAGGAGCTGGTTCCCCTCCGCCCAGCAAGAGGACCCCCAGGCCCGTCCCTCCCGAGAGCAGGCCCAGGGTGAGGAAATGGGCTGCAGTGTGGGCGCTGGAGAGGACAGGGGACAGGCGGCAGTGCCACCCCCACTGCGGCCCCTTCCTCGCTGGGCCAGCCGAGCCATGACCTCATCTGTTTCCCTCTGCGCTGTGCTCCTTTCTATTTAAGGAGAGTGAGGCGGCTTCCAGGGCCGGAAATGATCCTGTTTAAATTAACGGGCTGCAGTTTGGGACGGTGCTCATTTGAAAAAAAACAGTGCAGCCCCGGGCTGGGCAGATGGCTGCTGGCTCCGCCTACCACTTCCATGGGGAGGGCCAGGGAGGCCGGCCACAACCCTGGCCCCACGAGGGGTGGGGGTGGCAGCCTCTGATACAGGACGAGGCTGCCAGGCCCCAAGCAACAGAGCCCTGCACGAGGGTCTCTGGGTCCCAGACACGGGGTGTGAGACTAGCTGGGGAGCCCCAGGCTCAGCGGCATTCTGTCCTTACAGATCCCTCCCACGGCTGAACTGTCCCCAGGATGAGATGCCGGGGGTGACATGGGCAGCCTCAGGTCCTCCCGGGACCCACAGGCAGGCACAGGGATGGAGACTCCGGCCTCGGAGGCTGAACGAGGGAGATGAGAAAGGGGAGTCTGCGATGTCCTTGCCTACACAGATGGAAAAACACAGCCAGCTCAAAAAGGGCCGTCTGGAGACGAGCCCACCTGTGGGGTGTAGGAAGGAGAGCGCTTCATACGTATGCTACCTGCCGCTGGGGTCGGGGCCACCCTTCCAGTTCAAGGGGAGAATGAGGGCCGGCTCCTGGTGCCCCTGCACGCAGCTGACATGGAGCCAGGCGTTGTGACCCCCTTGCATCCCTCTCCACTCCCACCCTTCACAGCCTGTGTGGGCAGGTGCTGCACTGACCTTACGCTCCTGATGGGCACACTGAGGCTCAAGGGGCCCTCCTCCTCCCCCAACACCATCCCCCAAACACCTCCCCGGGCAGCCAGCAGGGTCCAGTGTGTCAATGGAGGAAGCCAAGGTAGGAAGAGGATGGTGGGGGGGGGGGCAAGCAAACTGGCCATCTGCGCCCGGCTGTGCGGGCACAGCAGTGCCCTGGAGAGGGCAGCAGCACAGATCCAGCGGGGCAGCCGGAATCCCATCACCCACTCGGCTGTGGGCACAGCCAATGATGGTACGAGCCATCCTGAGGCCAGGGCCACGATGCACAGTGGACGGGCTCAGAACCCGGAGCCCCTGTACTCCCACAGCTGTGACGTTCCCTGGGCATGGGCTTGCCCCAGCGCTGGCCTCATTCCTGCCTCAACCAGAAGGAAGAGCTGGCTTCCGCCTCTGCCTGGGCACAAAGCCCTTTCTGAGGTGGCCTCACAGAAGCCAGCCTGTCTTCAGATCATGGCGCTGCTAAGGTCAGGAATGCCAGGCTGGGCCAGGGCTGGGCCTCGGGAGCTGCAGGGAGAAAAGGACCCAGCCCGCCTCAGCCCCAGATGTAGCCCTTCTCCTGCCACCAGTGCCTGGGCACCCTGGCCCCTAGGCAAGGACAGCTGCCAAGCCATGAAGAGCGAGGTGTTCTGGGAAAGGGCGTGAGCTGCATTTTCCAGCTGCGCTCACTCTGCAGGGAGACTGTGGCGCCCCCGCTGCTGTGCCCGCAGACGTGCCCGGCCTCAGCCAGCTGGAGCGCAGGCAGCAGAGTGCAGGCCAGGCCCAGACAGCAGCGGGATGTTTTCATTCCAGGGTGCTTGGCGGGCTGGGCTGCCGTGGCCACTGCAGAGCTCCAGAAAAGAACATGTGTGTCTCCCTCCAAAGTATATTCCTTGCTGGAAAGCAGATCCCAGGCAGGGTCTCCCCCACGAGCAGGGGGAGAGGCACCCCAAGGTGGGGGAGCGAGGGCAGTGGCAGAACCACCCCATACCCTAGGGGACCCAGGGAGGGGCTTGCAGATGCGGGACCCACATTTGGCAGCGGTGCCCGGCCACTGTCACCAGATGGTGGCCAGCGCATCACCCACTCATGGGCCAGGATGGCAGAGGAGATCCACAGAGACGGCTCCAGCAGGAGGCCCTCATAGAGATGCCCTGGCCTCAGAAGAGCCAACAGAAAGCCGGGAAGGGGGACGTCGAGGCTCAGGCTTGGCACAACCTCCCCAAAGCTCCCAAAGACTCTCGGTGCCCACCAGCGACAGCGCACACCGCCACCACCTAACAGCAAGAATGCAGCGGGGTCCGCACATCAGGGCGGGCACTGAGCGGAACTCAGGCAGTGCCACTCGCCAGCTTACGTCAAAAGAACAAAAGGAGTGAGGACGGTACTCGCGGCTCTGCCAACACTTCCCAGCCCCGCACGTCTCACACACACCAGAACGCGTCAAAAGGCACCAATGGGCAAACACCCAGATGTAGGCACAAGCAGGAGTGGGCCGGGTCTTGTGAGCCCCCACAGCCACGCGGCCCTGCGCTGAAGGCACCGAGGCTGGGTGCTGAGGGGTCCATAGGAGTCCACCCGCCCAGGCTGCACTGGCTCCCGTCGTCCAGTGTCTGGTCTAAGCACAGGCACAGTGTCTGGCTCTCACCCTCAGGCTGTTACACTCTGCTCTGTGGCAGGGCAGGTCTCACAGTGCATGGAGGACAGGGGAATGGGCCCCCGGAACCCCTGAGGGAACCGACAGAGCTACTTTAACAAGGTATGATTGTTGGGGCTGCCAGTGGCTGAGCCAGGTCACTGCTACACTGCCCTGCAGGGTGCATCTAATCATGGAGCCCACTTTACAGGTGAGGAAACTGAGGCTGAGAGACTGGACCAAGGTCACACCAGAGGTGGAGGCGCTGGGACGTGAACCCAGGTCTGACTCCAGGGCGCAAATTCCCTACATCTGGGTTCCCAGCCTCCTTCCTGAAACTGAACAGGAAACTAGAGAGAAGGGACACAGCAGGGATGAGCCAGGGAGGGAGAGGTGGGAGGGGCTGGCAGGGAGGGAGAGGTGGGAGGGGCTGGCAGGGAGGGAGAGGTGGGAGGGGCTGGCAGGGAGGGAGAGGTGGGAGGGGCTGGCAGGGAGGGAGAGGTGGGAGGGGCTGGCAGGGAGGGAGAGGTGGGAGGGGCTGGCAGGGAGGGAGAGGTGGGAGGGGCTGGAGGGAGGGAGAGGTGGGAGGGGCTGGCAGGGAGGGAGAGGTGGGAGGGGCTGGCAGGGAGGGAGAGGTGGGAGGGGCTGGCAGGGAGGGAGAGGTGGGAGGGGCTGGCAGGGAGGGAGAGGTGGGAGGGGCTGGCAGGGAGGGAGAGGTGGGAGGGGCTGGCAGGGAGGGAGAGGTGGGAGGGGCTGGCAGGGAGGGAGAGGTGGGAGGGGCTGGCAGGGAGGGAGAGGTGGGAGGGGCTGGCAGGGAGGGAGAGGTGGGAGGGGCTGGCAGCACCCAAGCAGCTGCACCTGGGCGCAGGGCCCCTCAGCCCCTCGGGGAGTGCAAGCACATCGCAGCCCGACTCGGAAGCGCCACTGCCACCTCTGTCTGTCTATAAACCAGGGCACTAGTGTGGGCCCCAGGCACCCTGTGCGGCTGCAGGGGTCTGCCCCAGAGCATGCTGATGAAATCATCACCACGGCTTCTCAAAGAGCCTCAATTTCCTGGTGTGTAAAATGAGACCAGGAGTGGCTGCAACCCTGCGGTGCCGTGATGAGGTATGGAGAGACAAGAACACAGAGGGCTCAGCGCGGAGCCCGGCGTGGCCACCGCGGGGAGAGGGTGCGGACTCTTCCTAGACCTTTTCTTTTTGAGACAGAGTTTCACTCTGTCTCCCAGGCTGGAGTGCAATGGTGCAATCTTGCCTCACTGCGACCTCTGCCTCCCAGGTTCAAGCGATTCTCCTGCCTCAGCCCCCAAAGTAGCTGAGACTACAGGCATGCGCCACCACGCTCAGCATTTTTTTTTTTTGAGACAGAGTCTCGCTCTGTTGACCAGGCTAGAGTGCAGTGGTGTGATATTGGCTCACTGCAACCTCCGCCTCCCGGGTTCAAGTGATTCTCCTGCCTCAGCCTCCTAATTAGCTGGGATTACAGGCGCCCACGACCACACCTCGCTAATTTTTGTATTTTTAGTAGAACGGGGTTTCACCATGTTGGTCAGGCTGGTCACAAACTCCTGACCTTGTGATCCCCCCACCTTGGCCTCCCAAAGTGCTGAGATTACAGGCGTGAACCACCGCGCCCACCCTGTTTTTTTTTTTTTTTTTTAAAGACCGTTTCCTAGTCGCCCAGGCTGGAGTGCAGTGGCACCATCACAGCTAACTGCAGTCTCAACCTCATAGACTCAGGGAATCCTCCCCCCTCAGCCTCCCAACTAGCTGGGACTACAGGCGCCACCACTAATATCTATTTATTGGTCTCGCTATGTTGCCCAGGCTGGCCTCAAACTCCTGGCCTCAAGCCATCTGCTCTCCTAAAGTGCTGGGATTACAGGCGTGAGGCACCGCGCCCGGCTGGACAGTGGTTTTGATTTACGTTTCCCTCATGACTAATGAGGCCGACCATCTTCTCACACGCTGTTGGCCATCTGTGCGTCTTCTTTGGAGAAATCTCTGTTCAGATCCTGTGATTTTTTTTTTTTTTTTTTTTTTTTTTTGAGACAGGGTCTTGCTCTGTGACCCAGCCTGGAGTGCAGTGGTGTGATCACAGCTCACTGCAGCCTTGACCTCCTCGGCTCAAGTGATGTCCCACCTCAGTCTCCTGAATAGCTGGGACCACAGATGCATACCACCACGCCCGGCCAATGTTCTTTTATTTTTTAGAGACCGGGGTCTCACCCTGTTGCCCAGGCTGGTGTCAAACTCCTGGGCTCAAGCGATCCACCCACCCTGGCCTCCCAAACTGCTGGGATTCCAGGCGTGAGTGACCCCTTGTCCATGTTTAAACGGGGTCCCTGTCTGTTGTTGAATCATAGTGTTCCCTGTATGATCTGGATGCAAGCCGATACTGCATGGATGACCTGCAGGTGCTCTCTGTCTCCACAGTCGCCTCTGCAGTGGGAGCTCGGGTGCCCCACATTCCCAACTGCTGCAGACACAACCAAAGCCTCCCCATCCCTTCCCCCACCCCTGCCGGCAATCGCGTACAGGAGTGAGCGTGTGACTTCTTGTCCACATTTTTGTCCACAAGTTTGGCGAGTTTGCATCCGCGTCTAATAAAGAAACTACCGTTTCTCACGCAGGCACGTTCTGAACGCCCGAGTGCGGGAGCCACGTAAGACCCGGCTCAGGGACCCCGGGTGAGGCCAGCTGGACATGCAGGATGCAGGTCCTCACCACTGCCTCCGCTCGGCTGCCAGGGCTCTTCCTAGAAGACACAGGCCTCTCCTAGGCTCTCCTGACAGAGGCCCTACCCCTGCCCCCGAGTCACCTTGCCCCTTGGGGACTCTCTCTGGGCAGCTCCCTGTGGGAGCTTTGAAACCTGGCTTCAATGTCACCTGCACTGGGGGTCCTTCCAGGCCAGCCCCCTCCCCATCATCCATCTCTGTCCTTGGAGAATCATCTGCGTGTTGGTTGAACGCGGGCTCCAGTGATAACGGAGCCCTCGAGGGTGGCCCTCCTTCTGCTGAGGGCTCATGGAGGCCTTGGTGACAATCCCTAGTCCTCGCTCTCAGGATCCAGGGACCAGAAATGGGAGCCAGGGGCCCCTCCGTGGCCTGGCCAGCCCCCCAAGGAAGCTGTGTCTCTGGCAGTTGCGCTCTAAGGCATCAGGCCTAGGGGTCGCTCCAGAATGCCTGTCTTCCCCGACGCCAATCCCAGGCAGGGGCCCCGGGGTCTGCGCCTGCTGTCCCTACACTCTCCCACACTCTCCTGTCATTCAGGGATGCAGGTGGGAAAGGGCAAGGCCCCGGGTGCTCCTATATTTTACATCAGTGAACCAAGCACCTACCAAGTCCCTCGATGTGCCCAGTCCTGGACCCCAGCATTTGCGAGACAGCAGCAGACCCAGGTGACCCCCAGCCAGGGTGAGTGGCAACCAGCACCAGAAGTGGCCTTTAGAGCAGGGGGCCCTGAGCTGATGACATCTACACCTAGGCCAGTGCCAGCCAGGACAACCTCTGGGACAATGGGATGTCGGCTCCAACGACCAATTTACAAGAAACACAAAGCACACACTCACAGCACCACGGAGGTGACACCATGGAGGTGGCACCCCCAAGACACAGCGAGAAATCCAGGCTGCAGGAGCCAGTTTCTTCAACAAATTGCACAAGGAAAAAGAGAGGAAGGGAAGCTCCTAGACATCATCGGACATTTAAAAGACAGGCGGTGGCTCAAGCCTGTAATCCCAGCACTTTGGGAGGCTGAGGCGGGAGGATCACGAGGTCAGGAGATCCAGACCATCCTGGCTAACACGGTGAAACCCCGTCTCTACTAAAAATACAAAAAATTAGCTGGGCATGGTGGCGGGCACCAGTCCAGGCTACTCAGGAGGCTGAGGCAGGAGAATGGCGTGAACCCAGGAGGCGGAGCTTGCAGTGAGCTGAGATGGCACTGCTGCACTCCAGCCTGGGCAACAGAGTGAGACTCCATCTCAAATAATAAAAATAAATAAATAAATAAATAAATAAAATACATCACTCACACCTGTAATCCCAGCACTTTGGGAGGCCGAGGCAAGCAGATCACCTAAGGCCAAGAGTTCAAGACCAGCCTGACCAACATGGTGAAACCCCATCTCTACTAAAAATATTTTTAAAAATTAGCCGGGCGTGGTGGCGCGCGCCTCTAATCCCAGCTACTCAGGAGGCTGAGGCAGGAGAATCGCTTGAACCCGGGAGATGGAGGCTGCAGTGAGCCGAGATCACACCATTGTCCTCCAGCCTGGGTGACAGAGCCAGACTCCGTCTCAAACAAAACAAAACAAAAGACATCAGCTAGCTGGTCCAAGCACAGTGGTGTTCACAACGAATTGATCACAGCCAGGTAGAATTCTTCATTCTTTCTCCAGTCCTACTGCTTTGCTTGACCAGCCTTAAAGACACACATATATTTTTGTCTGGGCGCGTTGGCTCACACCTGTAATCCCAACACTTTGGGAGGCCAAGGCAGGCGGATCACCTGAGGTCAGGAGTTTGAGACCAGCCTGACCAACGTGGAGAAACCCCGTCTCTCCTAAAAATACAAAATTAGCCAGGCATGGTGGCACATGCCTGTAATCCCAGCTACTGGAGAGGCTGAGGCAGGAGAATCACTTGAACCCGGGAGGCGGAGGTTGCCGTGAGGTGAGATCGCGCCACTGCACTCCAGCCTGGGCAACAAGAGCGAAACTCCGTCTCAAAAAAAAAAAAAAAGTATATATTTTTAAAAGACATTGGCCGGGTGCGGTGGCTCACGCCTGTAATCCCAGCACTTTGGGAGGCCGAGGTGGGCAGATCACGAGGTCAGGAGATCGAGACCATCCTGGCCAACACAGTAAAACCCCGTCTCTACTAAAAATACAAAAATTAGCTGGGCACGGTGGTGCATGCCTGTAAACCCAGCTACCAGGTACTCGGGAGGCTGAGGCAGGAGAATCGCTTGAACCAGGGAGTCGGAGGTTGCGGTGAGCTGAGATCATGCCACTGCACTGCGGCCTGGAGACAAGAGCAAGACTCCGTCTCAAAAAAAAAAAAAAAAAGAAAAAAAAAAAGACATCAACTAATTGCAGTGTGTGGACCTTATTTGGCTCTTAATTCAAACTATTAAACCAAAAATGTGAACACACCAGGCCTTCGGTGGCATGAAGGAACTGTCTGTTGTGTTAGGTGGGTCTGCAGTATTGCGATGCCCTCCAAAATGCTTGCAGATAAAAGGGTGGCTGGAATTTGGTTCAAAACATGGGTCAGGGCTGGGCGTGGTGGCTCATGCCTGTAATCCCAGCACTTTGGGAGGCCGAGGCGGGCGGATCATCTGAGGTCAGGAGTTCAAGACCAGCCTGACCAATATGGAGAAACCCTGTCTCTACTAAAAATACAAAATTAGCCAGGCATGGTGGTGCACGCCTGTAATCCCAGCTACTCGGGAGGCTGAGGCAGGAAAAAGCGCTTGAACCCAGGAGGCGGAGGTTGCCATGAGCCGAGATCGTGCCATTGCACTCCAGCCTTGGCAACAAGAGTGAACTCTGTCTCAAAAAAAAAAAAAAAAAAAAAAAACACATGGGTCAGGAGGGAGAAGGGTCGGGGCAGGGAGGGCAGGGCAGGCTCTGGGGTGGGGGGTCTGTGAGTCAGCCACGGCTCTGCCCACGTCTCCCCACGAAGCTTCGAGCCACGCAGAGCAGCACGTTTTGCAGTACGCCATCTTTTCCAAAAGCCACCACCTCTCGGCAGCATCATTAACCCAAGGCAGGCTGTGGCCTCAGAAGCCCCGGCTGTCCTCCACCTGGAACTGGACACAGCTGTCCCTGCTGAGCTTCAGCAGCCAGGGAGCCACAAGTGGAGAGGCACCTGCGTGAGCCCCCCAGGAAGGCTACTGGTGACACCCAGACAGCAACGCTCTTGGACCCTTGAACACCTGCCAGCAGCTGTGATCTGTGTCCTTCACCTCTCCCAGCTTGACCCCTCTTCCCTGGGGAAAACCCAGCCGTCTCCCCGAGGAGGAGTTTGCAGGGTAGACAGCAAAATGGCTGGGCTGCCCCACAGCACAGAGGGTGGCCTGGGGGGCCAGCCAGGGCCTTCACATCCTTCCTAAGGCCCTAGTTTGCCATGGGTCCCCTCACCCCACCTTCCAGAACTCTCCCAGCGGCGGCCCCAGGTGTGTACAGAACAGCACCCACCTGCCCACATGAGGTCACCCTGTGCCCTGTTGCACACTTGGGGGGCCTGGCATTCGGAATCTTGCCAGCTCAGGCTGGGACAGGCCACCAACTCCCAGGGTCCCCCTCCTCCAAACCCCAGGACCAGAGCCTAAGAGGACAACACAAGGCAGGGGCGGGGGCTCCACTGCTGTGCCAAGGGCCTGGAGAACACGGGCCTTGCTCTCCGCTCAGCAGCCACCAGCGCCCTTCTCTCCCGGACAGCTCCTGAGGGGCTGCTCTCATGGACACCATCAGGTGCTGGGAAGCAGGAACCACCAGGCCCTGGACAGAGTCCCCAGTGACCGGCCTGGCAGACAGAGGAGCCCTCAGCTACAGCATCACAAACAACGGGTGGGGTAGGTCTGATGCAATTCTGTGGGTGCTGTTGCCAGGCAGGAGGAGGCCATCTCCACAGAGACAGCCGCGAGACACACGCGTCCGCAGTCAGGGAGCGCAGGAGCAATGTGGCCCCGAGGGGCACGGGCTCCATTGGTCCAGGAGAACCCATTCTTCTCCCACCCTCGAGACCACCCAGCAAAGCCCCAAGGACACACGGCTCCCCTAAGGAAGGGTGGCCACAGGCGGGAGTGACCCAGAAACGTTACAAAACCAAATGCCAGAACCCACCCAATGTTTAGCAAGCCTGGGGATGTGCCACGTCCCCCAGGGATCCAGCACGCACCCAAGGAGACACTGTCCCGGCGAGGAGCCTGGAGCCTGGGAAATACAAGGCATCAGACTGGTCCCAAGACTCTCCCCAGCGCTGGGGACAACTGTCTGCTTATCTTAGTCCCCTCCGCCCTTTTCAATCCAACCCTGGGTCCTGGGCACCTCATAGTTCCAAACCCCTGCTATGCACATCCCGGCTGTGATGCCTGGGACAGGTCGTGTCACCTCTCCAAACCTGTTTCCTCATCTGTGAAATGCAAATCTCCACGGTCCCTATGCCTCGGATGGTCAGAGTCAGGATTCCGCATGACGACCCCCAACAGGAGCCTGGCACAGACCTGGCTCTGGGCAGCGTCTCCATAAAGGCCACCTGTTGTTTTTATCTCCCGAAAGCGAACATGACAAGGCTTTAACCCCCCACGGCAATCCCCCCTCACCCCTGTTCTCAGGATAGCCTTGGAACCCAATAGCAGAGCGCCTGAGGCCCTTCATGACCCCAGCCCACCCGCGAGCCCACCTCCCACCCTGCCCCTACCCCTCACACCTCCCGTGGCCAGCCTCCAGCCTCACGGTCTTTGCTCACACCGTTCACCCCCCTTCTTCTGGACCCACCTCATCGCCCCTTCCTAAGCATCAGCCCAATTCTTGCACATCCATCAAATCCTTTTCCAGACACCTCCTGGAACTCTTCCCTGCCGCCCCCTACAGCCATCCCCACCTCTCCGGGTACCCCGCAGCCCCAGGCCGCATCCCAATTCCTCTCCAATTAGCGACTGTTTGTCCTCCCAGCTGAGCGCGGCCTCCGCGCCCCGCCCCCGCTGGCGTCTGCAGAGCCCCCGGGTGGGACGTCTGTCTCCAGACCCGGGGTTTTTCGGCTCCCCGGGGCCGTGCCAACCGCGGCTCCAGGCGTTCCTTATTTAGCAGGGCCGCCGTGCCGCGCCGGAGCCTCGCCCTGGGAGCGTCCTGGCCCGCGTCCTGCTTCCCGTCCCGGGCCAGGGAACGCGCCCACGCCCGCCCGTCCCGCGGCCTCTCCCGGGTGCCGCTGGGCCCGCTACTCACAGCGCTGTGGCGTCCGCGGGGATGCGCAGCGCGGGACCGAGCGTCCGCAGCCCGCGGCCCGAGCAGTTGACGCGGCAGGCGGCGCCGGGCGCTGGGCCGCAGAGGCAGGGGGGCTCGCAGGGCCCGCAGCCGCGCCCGGGGCCCCCCGCCAGCGCCCCGAGCCACAGGCCCAGGCCCAGGGCCAGCGCCAGGCGGGCGGGCGCGGCGGGCGGCATCGTTAGGGCAGCGCGCGCATGGCCCCGCCGTCCCCAGGCCCGCCCGCGCGCGGAGGCCGCAGCTCAGGCGGGGCCCGCGGACGGCATGGCGGGCGCGGGGCTGGATGGGGCTGCGGCCGCGACCTGCTGCTGAGCGACGCCCGCTCGGGGCTCGGGGCCAGGCCGCTCCGGGAGCTCGGCCGCCCGCTCGGACGCTGGCGCTGCAGTGCGGGCCCCGCCGCGGCTCCTCCTCCTCCTCCCCGCGCGGCGCGGGGCGGACGGGGCGAGGGGGGGCGGGGCGGGTGCAGGCTCCGCCCCCTTCGCCACAGCGCGACCGGGCCAGCGATGAGGGACTGGCATCCGGAGGCTTCACCCTCCGCTCCACAGGGTCGGCAGCAGGGCGGGGCCTCCGGAAGCTCCGCCCCACGCGTTCCCGGGGCGCATGCGACGTGGGGCGGAGCGTCTGGAAGCTCCGCCCGTCGCACTGCAGAGTCGGCCGAGGCGCACGAGCTATTTTTCACGCTCCGCCCCGCTGCAGGCTAAAGTGCGTGGGCGGGAAGCGGTGGGCAGGGTGCCATCTGGCTCCGCCCTTCTCCTGTGGTGTGGGCCAGGCGGCGGGTTCCTCCTCCTGCAGCAGCCACAGGCTCCACCCTGATCCTTCTTCCGCGGTGTGGATCCTTCTCCCGCAATCTCCGTGCGCGGCCCGAGTCAGTACCCGCAGCCTCCCGACGCACCCGCTGGCTCCAAGCCTCCCTACCCCAGGTTTCCTGGCTGAGAGAGAGACAGAGGGAGAGAGGGGGAAGAGAGAGAACAGGCAATGGGAGGTTGATGGTGAGAGCTTATTGAAAGACAAGAGGGAGGAAACCCACATCCTTCATTCCCCATCCATTCATTTATTGCCTTATTTATTCCATTGAATCTTCACAGCTCTAGAAAAAGTGTGCTACAATTATTCCCTTTATTAAATGAGGTCACTGAGGCACAGACAGTTTAAGAAATTTGCCAGCAGGGCACAGTGGCTCACTCCGGTAATCCCAGAACTTTGAGAGGGGGAGGAAGGTGGATCCCTTGAGTCCAGGAGTTGGAGACCAGCCTGGCCAACATGGCGAGACCCCGTTTCTACAAAAATTAGCCAAAATTAGCCAAACTGGCTCACGCTTGTAGTCCCAGGTACTCGAGAGGCTGAGGCCGGAGGAGCGTGTGAGCCCAGTAGGCAGTGGCTGCGCTGAGCCGTGATTGTGCCACTGCACTCCCGCCTGGGCAAAAGAGTAAGATCCTGTCTCGAAAAAAAAAAAAATGGAAAAAAGAAAAAAAGAACTGGCTGGGAGTGGTGGCTCATGCCTGTAATCCCAGCACTTTGGGAGGCCGAGGCGGGCAGATCACAAGATCAGAAGTTCGAGACCAGCCTAGCCAACATGGTGAAACCTCATCTCTACTAAAAATACAAAAATCAGCTGGGCATGGTGGCAGGCACCTATAATCCCAGCTACTAGGGAGCCTGAGGCAATAGAATCGCTTGAACCTGGGAGGCAGAGGTTGTGCCACTGCACTCCAGCCTGGGCAACAGAGCAAGACTCCGTCTCAAAAAAAAAAAAAGAAATTTACCAGGTCACACAGCAGGTGGATGGTAAGGCTGCGATTGTATTCCAAACCCAGCTTTTAATTGCAGTCAAATGACAGACTTAAGATTCAAGGACTCCAGTGGAGGGAAGAAACAGCCACAAGAAACTGCTGCCAAATGAGCAAAACAGATTAACCAAGTCTCAATGATTGTTTGAAGGCGGTTGTGGAATAAAATGCAATTGTTTAGAAAGGATTTCTTAAATAGAAAAGACATATGTTTAAAGAAGCAAATTAGTTACCTGGAAATGAAATTCTAAACTATTTGAAAAACCATGGGGGCCGGGCGTGGTGGCTCATGCCTGTAATCCCAGCACTTTGGGAGGCCAAGGTGGGCAGATCACAAGGTCAGGAGTTCGAGACCAGCCTGACCAACATGGTGAAACCCCGTCTCTACTAAAAATACAAAAATTAGCTGGGGGTGGTGCCACGCGCCTGTAATCCCAGCTACTCAGGAGGCTGAGACAGGAGAATCGCTTGAACCCAGGAGGTGGAGGTTGCAGTGAGCTGAGATTGTGCCATGGCACTCCAGCCTGGGCAACAAGAGTGAGACTCCATCTCAAAAAACAAAGAAACAAAAAAACAAAATCCATGTGGTGAGACAGAGCAAATAAAATGTGCCAGAGATCTTGTTTGGTTCAGGGAAGAAGACGTGAGGGAAATGTTTCTTGATAAAATACAGACCTGAGGGTTTTTATTAACAGTGAATAATTGTTAGCCTAAAAGGGGGAAACTAGAAGAGGAGAAAAGAAACAAGAAAGCCAGGCCAGGCACAGTGGCTCACACCTGTAATCCCAGCACTTTGGGAGGCCAAGGCAGGCGGGTCACATGAGGCCAAGAGTTCGAGACCAACCTGGCCAACGTGGCAAAACCCCGTCTCTACTAAAAATACAAAAATTAGCCAGGCATGGTGGTGGGTGCCTGTAATCCCAGCTACTCGGGAGGCTGAGGCAGGAGAATCACTGGAACCCGGGAGGCGGAGGTCGCAGTGACCTGAGGTTACCCCACTGCACTCCAGCCTGGGTGACAGAGTGAGACTCCATCTCAAAAAGAAAAAAAAAGGCCAGGCACAGTGGCTCATGCCTGTAATCCCAGCACTTTGGGAGGCGGAGGCAGGTGGATCACGAGGTCAAGAGATTGAGCCATCCTGGCCAGTATGGTGAAACCCCGTGTCTACTAAAAATACAAAAATTGGCTGGGCATGGTGGCACACAGTTGTGGTCTCAGCTATTCGGGAAGCTGAGGCAGGAGAATCGCATGAACCCAGGAGGTAGAGGTTGCAGTGAGCCGAGATCCCGCCACTTCACTCCAGCCTGGGTGACAGAGTGAGACTCTGTCTCAAAAAAAAAAAAAAAAAAAAAAAAGACAGGAAACTGCAAACAAAGTAAGTGTGCCAGTATTGATACCAGAAAAATAAACCTAAGGCAAAAGGTGTTAAATGGGAAAAGAGTCTGTTTATCTACACATAACAGGTATGGTCTATGTAGAATATATTATGAACTGTTGTGTTCTCAAAAATAGAACATTGGCCAGGTGCGGTGACTCACGCCTGTAATCCCAGCATTTTGGGAGGCTGAGGTGGGCGGATCACCTGAGGTCGGGAGTTTGAGACCAGCCTGACCAATATGGAGAAACCCCATCTCTACTAAAAATACAAAATTAGCGGGGTGTGGTGGCGGCGCCTGTAATCCTAGCTACTCGGAAGGCTGAGGCAGGAGAATCTCTTGAACCCAAGAGGTGGAAGTTGCAGTGAGCCAAGATCACACCATTGCACTCCAGCCTGGGCAACAAGAGCAAGACTGTGTCTCAAAAAAAAACACAAAACACACACACACACACACAAAAACAAAATAGAACATCAACCCACGAAGCTAAACTGTGAAATACAAAGATTTTGAAAAACAAAGACATTGCAGGAGGGTTTATTACACCTTCCCTCGAAGAAGGATCAAGTAGACCCAGGAGGTTGACGCTGCAGTGAGCCATGATCACACCACTGCACTCCAGCCTGGGGAACAGGGTGAGATGCTGTCTCAAAAAGTTTACAGATCAATTTTTGTCTGGACACAGTGGTTCATGCCTGTAATCCCAGAACTTTGGGAGGCCAAGGAAGGAGGATCACTGAGGCCAGCCTGGACAACACAGAGAGACCCCATTTCTTTTTTTTTGTTTGTTGTTTTTTCTTTTTTTGAGACGGAGTCTCGCTCTGCCACCCAGGCTGGAGTGCAGTGGCGCGATTTCGGCTCACTGCAAGCTCCGCCTCCCGGGCGCACGCCGTTCTCCTGCCTCGCCTCCCGAGTAGATGGGACTACAGGCGCCCGCCACCACGCCCGGAGAATTTTTTGTATTTTTAGTAGAGACAGAGTTTCACCGTGTTAGCCAGGATGGTCTCGATCTCCTGACCTCGTGATCCACCCGCCTTGGCCTCCCAAAGTGCTGGGATTACAGGTGTGAGCCACCGCGCCCAGCCAAGAGACCCCATTTCTACAAAAAATACAAACAAAAAATTAGCCAGGCATAGCGGAGCTCGCCTGTGGTCCCAGTTATTTGGGAGGATGAGGTGGGAGGCTCACTTGAGCCCAGAAGGTCAAGGCTGCAGTAAGCCATGATGGCACCACTGCACTCCAGCCTACATGACAGAGTGAGATCCTGTCTAAAAAAAAAAAGAAAGAGAGAGAGACAATTTTTTTTTTCTTTTGAAACAGAATCTCGCTCTGTTGCCCAGGATGTTGGAGTGCAGTGGCACGATCTCAGCTCACCACAACATCTGCCTCCCAGGTTCAAGTGATTCTCGTGCCTCAGCCTCCTGAGTAGCTGAGATTACAGGCGTGCACCACCACACCTGGCTAATTTTTGTAATTTTAGTAGAGACAGGGTTTCACCATGCTGGCCAGGTTGGTCTCTAACTCCTGGCTTCAAGTGATCCACCTGCCTCGGCCTTCCAAAGTGCTGGGATTACAAGCGTGAGCCACCGTACCCGGCCAAAGAGACAATTTTTTTATGTCAGTAAAGATATAGAGACTTTGAGTAGCACAGTTAATAAGCTGTATTGTACACAAAACAGGGCGTGTTAACTATTTTGGCATTACAGATGTTAGGCAAGGTCAGAGGAAAAGCTTAGATAAGAACGTGGCCTTTGGCCGGACGCGGTGGCTCACGCCTGTAATCCCAGTACTTTGGGAGGCCGAGGTGAGTGGATCACCAGGTCAGGGGATGGAGACCATCCTGGCCAACGTGGTGAAACCCTGTCTCTACTAAAAATACAAAAATTAGCTGGGTGTGGCGGTGTGTGCCTGTAATCCCAGCTACTCGGGAGGCTGAGGCAGGAGAATAGCTTGAACCCAGGAGGTGGAGGTTGCAGTGAGCCGAGATCGCGCCACTGCGCTCCAGTCTGGTGACAAAGGTAGACTCCATCTCAAAAAAAAAAAGAAAAGAAAAGAAAAGAAAAAAAAGAACGTGGCCTTAAACACCACCGCCCCCTAGAGGCTCTCTTGGGTACTTTCACTTGCTCACTGCATCAAATCTTGAAACCAGATCAAAACTGAAGCTCCCACAAGCACAGCCTAATTCAGGGACTCCCACCTGAGTAGAGAGGCCGGAAGAACCATCCGCAGAGGGTCACAGGACAGCTGGACACCCTGACAGCCCAGATCACTGAAAGGTAAAGATGGAAATCATGGACTGGGTGCGGTGGCTCACGCCTGTAATCCCAGCACTACAGGAGGCCGAGGTGGGTGGATCACTTGAGGTCAGGAGTTCAAGACCAGCCTGGCCAACATCGCAAAACCCCATCTCTACCAAAAATACAAAAATTAGCTGGGTGTGGGGATGCAGGCCTGTATTCCCAGCTACTTGGGAGGCTGAGGCAGGAGAATCGCTTGAACCCGGGATGGGGAGGTTGCAGTGTGCTGAGATCGTGCCACTGCACTCCAACCTGGGCAACAGAGTGAGACCGTGTCTCAAAAAATAAATAAATAAAAAGTAGAGCATATAGAAATGAATAGGCTGGGTGGGGTGGCTCATGACTGTAATCCTAGCACTTTGGGAGGCCAAGCCAGGCGGATCACCAGAGGTCAGGAGTTCAAGACCAACCTGGCCAACATGGTGAGACCCTGTCTCTACTAAAAATACAAAAATTAGCAGAGCGTGGGGGCACATGCCTGTAATCCCAGCTTCTAGGGAGGCTGAGGCAGGAGAATTACTTGAACCCTGGAAGTGGAGGTTGCAGTGAGCTGAGATCATGCCACTGCACTCCAGCCTGGGTGACAGAGCGAGACTCTGTCTCAAAAAAGAAGGAAAAAAAAAAAAAGGAAATGAATAGTAATGAGCAAACATCATAGAAAATCTATGGGGATGCAGTCAAAGTTATACATGGAGAGAAACGGATAACTTCACTTGTTTTTATTAGTTAGCATGAAGAATCAAACCAATATATAAATTAAGTATTTATTTCAACATTCTAGAAAAACACCTGTAAAATAAACCCCCCAAAAAAGATGGAAGGAAATTAGAAAGTAAAGAGCAGAAATTAGTTACTTTAAAAGAAAGAGTAGGCTGGGCCTCAAAAAAAAAAAAAAAAAGAAAGAGTAGAATTGATGAATAAAATCGAGCTATTTAATAGATATAGTTGCTAAGATTTTTCTAGGAAAAACTTCTGGTAAGTGTGACTGAGAGAAAAGGAGAGAGAAAAAGAAAATATGGGACATTCAGATGAAGAATGAAGGTTTATTCACAGAGATGAAAAAAGTTAAAAATTATAAAAGAAAATTATGTGCAATTGTTTGCCTACATTTTTGAAATCTATATGGGATGCTTATATGTTACAAACTGTAAAAACCAATTCTAGAAAAAATTAAAACCCCAAATAGACCAATAACAAAAGAACACATTGAAAACGTATCAAAAGCCATGTCAGGAAAAGACACTTAATCCAGATCTTTTTGTGGACAAGTTCTATCAAATGTGGAAGAATCAGATAATTGTGATTTAATTTAGACTCTTACAAAACAAGGCTGGGCGCGGTGGCTGACGCCTGTAATCCCAACATCTTGGGAGGCTAAGGCGGGAGGATCCCTTGAGCCCAGGAGTTCAAGACCAGCCTGGACAATAGTGAGTCCCCCATCTCTATAAAAAAAACTAAAAAATTGCTGGGAGACTGAAGTGGGAAGATTGCTTGAACCCAAGAGTTCAAGGCTACAGTGAGTCGGAACCGCACCACTGCACTTCAGTCTGGGTAACAGAGTGAGACCCTATCTCAAAAAAAAAAAAAAAAAAAAAAGGGCAGGGTGCGGTGGCTCACGCCTGTAATCCCAGCACTTTGGGAAGCCGAGGCAGGTGAATCACGAGGTCAGAAGATCCAGACCATCCTGGCTAACACGGTGAAACCCTGTCTCAACTAAAATACAAAAACAAAAATTAGCCGGGTGTGGTGCCGGGCACCTGTAGTCCCAGCTACTCGGGAGGCTGAGGCAGGAGAATGGTGTGAACCCGGGAGGTGGAACTTGCAGTGAGCCGAGATCGCACCATTGTACTCCAGCCTGGGCGAGAGCCAGACTCCGTCTCAAAAAAAAAAAAAAAAAAAAAAAACAATTAGCCAGGCGTGGTGGTGGGCACCTGTAATCCCAGCACTTTGGGAGGCCGAGGCGGGTGGATCACCTGAGGTTAGGAGTTCAAGACCAGCCTGGCCAACATGGTGAAACCCTGTCTCTACTAAAATACAAAAATTAGCCGGGCGTGGTGGTGGACACTTGTAATCCCAGCTACTCGGAAGGCTGAGGCAGGAGAATTGCCTGAACCTGGGAGGCAGAGGTTGTAGTGAGCCGAGATCGAGATGGCGCCATTGCACTCCAGCCTGAGTGACACAGCAAGACTCCATCTCAAAAAAAAAAAGAGAGAAACGTTGCAAGGAAAGCACTTGGTGCAGTCCGGGGTAGTCAGTGATTGTTACGGTTACGCAGGGGTCTGTTTTGTTCATCGACAGGGATCCCTGCACCTGCCGTGAGGCCATGTGTGTCACTCTGAGGCTGCCGGGAGAGCCTGCAGCCAGGAGCCCTGATGCTGCCTCCTCCAATGGCTAAGCGGACACCCTCACTCAGCTCAGGCGCAGGAAGCCAGCACTGCTGAGAGCAGGCAACTGGCTCCGTAGGAGTGAGGATACTGCTCTGACAGCCACAGAGGCGCACATGACTCCCCCGTTAGCTCATCTTCTGTGTGGCAGATCACCTCTGCTGCCTTCCCGTCTGGGAGCACCTGAGTCACTGTGGTCACGTCTGCAGGCAACAGACAAAGGGTCCCCATTCGGGCAGGGATGGACACCTGTTTGTCCCGACCCACCCGGTAGGGCCTCAGGGCCACCATGGTGAGCAGGCTGAAGGGGGGTGACCTCTCAGGAGGACACCAGACTGCTGCACACCTGGACACCGGAGAGAGCTTACCTGTGATGTCACCCACGTGCTGGGGTGACTCAGTGCTCCTCTCTCGGGTGGAAGTTGCGTTCAGTGCTGCCGCAGTTCCTCCAACGTCTCCATGGCAACGTTCACACGGATTTCATAGAACATAAGGTGTTTGAGCTGGAAGGGACCTCAGAGATCGGCTCCTCCTGCCCCCTCATTTCATGGAGAGGGGAGCAGGCCCAGACAGGGAATGCCACGTGCCCAGGGGCACATAGCAAGCCGGGGACCCCGCGGAGGGCACAGACCGCTGAGCTCCAGAGGAGGGTCTTGGGAGGTGCCCTGGGGGCACAGGCCGTGGCGGCTTTGCCACTCCCTGGCTTGCTAAGAGCCCCTTGAAGTCCAACCCAGCTCTCTGCTGCTCAGCCACAGAGCTCTCGCTCGAGTGCCTGGCGGGAACAGGAGTAGGCAGGACAGGGCCCTGTCCTCAGGAGGCTCCCAGGCTGCTACAGCGGCCATGCAGCCGCTGGGGAAGGGCTGGAGAGCATCCAGGGAGCCAGAAGTGGGGCAGGAGGAGCCAGGGCAGGCTCCCTTGAGGGTGGGGCTCCAGGCAGAGTCTGGAAGCCTGAGGAGGCCTCACTCGTGCCTGCGCCCCCTCTCCTGGCACACAAGGGCCAGCCCGAGGGCCCCACTCTGGGGGCAGAGTGTAGGGAAGAGGCTGGAAAATGGGGGCCAGAAAGAGACTGTCCTGATCCATGGCTCCCAGGGGTCGTTTTGGCTGGGGGCTCACAGCACACATCCTTCCAGACACCCAGGACGGTCAGAAGGAACTGGCAGGAGTTAGAGGGCACGGTGTAAGGATGCCAGGGGGCCGGGCCGTCAGAAGGTAACAGGAGCGAAAGTCCCAGAGCAAGGCCCCAAGGAGACCCAGGGCGCTCTCTCCGCTCGAGGACAGGAACCCGTGGAGACCTTCCCCTCCCTGGAAGAGCCAGCTCTGCACCAGAAGGGTGGGGGGCTGTAGCACCCCTCCCAGGGGAACACGGACCTCACTCTCCGCCCCCAGCTCCCAGGGCCCATCTCAAACTCGGACCCTGTCTCAGGGACCTGCCCTGGCCCACAGGACTCCTCTCTTCTCCAGGTCTGAAGATGCCAAGAATCCGGACATCCCAAGGCCTCCCTGCTGAACTTTCCCACCATGCCGGCCCCCGCCTTGCCCTCGCCGGCCCCCGCCTTGCCCTCGCCGGCCCCCGCCTTGCCCTCGCTGGCTGCCTGTTCTAGTTTTTCTAGTTTTATTTGTTGTTGTTGTTGTTGTTTTTTGAGATGGAGTCTTGTTCCGTCGCCCAGGCTGGAGTGTGGTGGTGCGATCTCCGCTCACTGCAAGTTCCACCTCCCGGGTTCACGCCATTCTG
Organism: Homo sapiens; assembly: GCF_000001405.40. Taxonomy (NCBI): domain Eukaryota; kingdom Metazoa; phylum Chordata; class Mammalia; order Primates; family Hominidae; genus Homo; species Homo sapiens. The sequence goes on from NC_000016.10 coordinate 2,145,087, forward strand.
CTGCCGCAGCCTCCCGAGTAGCTGGGACTACAGGCGCCCGCCACCACACCCGGCTAATTTTTTGTATTTTTAGTAGAGACAGGGTTTCACTGTGTTAGCCAGGATGGTCTTGATCTCCTGACCTCGTGGTCTGCCTGCCTCGGCCTCCCAAAGTGCTGCTGGGATTACAGGCGTGAGCCACCGCGCCCGGCCTTTTTTTTTTTTTTTTTTGTGGAGACCAAGTTTCGCTCTTGTCGCCCAGGCTGGAGTACGATGGCGCGATCTCGGCTCACCACAACCTCCGCCTCCTGGGTTCAAGCGATTCTCCTGCCTCAGCCTCCTGAGTAGCTGGGACTACAGGCGCCCGCCACCACACCTGGCTAATTTTGTATTTTTAGTAGAGACGGGGTTTCTCCATGTTGGCCAGGCTGGTCTCGAACTCCCGATCTCAGGTGATCCGCCCGCCCCGGCCTCCCAAAGTGCTGGGGTTTAATCCATCTTTAACCCACTGCAGCATCCCACTGGTCTCTGCCCATGGGCATGGACTCTGACCCTCCCCTCCCTGCCTCCAGGCCTACAGCTTCTTTCCTGAAGGTCCTCTCTGTTCCTATTATCCCTCCCCTGGGTGACTGCAACCCCCATCAATCTCATCTCCAGGCCTACAGGCTCCACCATCCATCCCCTCCTGCCAGTCCCCAATATTCCTGTAGCACAGCGTCCTCTGTTGTTCTGCTCAAAAGCCACGCACAGCTCTCTACTTCCCGCTGTACAATTTCCAAGCTCCTAGGAATAACACTCAGGTTTCCCTTCCCAGCTGACCCCATCCTACCTTACCAGCTTGATTACCTCCCGTTTCCTCCAAGGAACTGGGCCACACTTTGGCCACCTCGGCACAAAGTGCCCATCTCCTAGCACTCTCAGCCTATGCATATTGACTCCCTCCACCTGGGGACTGTCTTTCTCTCTCGTGTCGGACTCTAGCTCAATCCTCAAAGCCCAGTGCAAACCCTCCCTCCCCCAGAAGCCTTGCCCTCACTACTGATCACACTTGCCTTAAATCTTTGTTAGCAAGGACATGTCCTCCTGAAGTGAGGCCTGTGTTTCTAAGTCACATTTCTTTCTCTTTTCTTTTCTTTCTTTTTTTTTTCCCCAGAGTCTCGCTCTGTCACCCAGGCTGGAATGCAACAGCACAATCTCAGCTCACTGCAACCTCCTCCTCCTGGGGTCAAGCGATTCTCCTGCCTCAGCCTCCCGAGTAGCTGGGATTACAGGCGTATGCCACCAGGCCCAGCTAATTTTTGTATTTTTAGTAGAGACGGGGTTTCACCATGTTGGCCAGGCTGGTCTCAAACTCCTGGCCTCAAGTGATCTGCCTGCTCAGCCTCCCAAAGTGCTGGGATTACAGGCGTGAGCCACCACACCTCTTTCACCAATTTAATAACTGCTTATGGAGGCCCAGAGCTGGCTGCTGGGGACAGCAGTTGACCAAGACAAGCTGCTTCCTGTGCCCGGAGAGCTTACACTCCAGAGGGTGAAACAGATGGCAAACACAGCAACCAAGAGACATAATGATCAAAGATTCCGAGGCCTGCTGGAAGCCAAGAGAGGGGTCTGTGATGCAGGCACCCAGAGCTCCCCATTTTCAAGAGAAACCAGAGACTTGGATTTTTATGTAAACTCTCCTAATTTTAAAGGTTGCCAGCGCAAGCCCGTTTCCTCTGCTCTCTCAAGGCTCCCCTCCCCGCCTGGCCTCCCACTTTCTCCAGCGCGCCTGCCTCCTTCTCTTCCTGGGGGCCCCATCCGCACTCCTCCCCCTGCAGGATGCCCTACTTGCACCCAACTCCTCCTGCTGCCCGCGCCCTGGGGGTACCTGAGCAGCAGCTGGCAGGACGGGGTCCACTGGACTGGGAGTCCACTGCCCAGGACCCTGGGGCCAGTGCACAGCAGCTGCTGAGGCCCCCAGCTCAGACCCTGGGCCAGCCATCCTGAAAGAGGCCTTGTAGCGCGGGTGGACACCTGGAGTCCCCAGGGCTGCAGCTGCAGAAGCTAAATGCCTCTACCCAGGCCCAGTGCACACACACTGGGGGTTGGTCTGGAAGAGCTGGGGGGCCAGAGGAGTGAGACAAGGAAGGGTTCTGAGAGGGCTTCCGGGTTTGACCCCCAGCTCTGCCAGGTTCCTGGGGATTAAGTCTACAGGGATTTCTGCCATGGGACGGTTTATGTTCTCTGGAGCTGGAGATCACAGGAACAAATCCTAGCTCTGCCCTTCCTAGCCTGCTGACCTTGCACAGGCTCCTTGCCTTTCTGGGCCTCGGTTTCCCCATCTGGACACTGAGGGCAGTACCCACCTTGCAGGATAACTTTGAAGAGGTCGTGTGCCTGGCACACAACAGTGCTTGCTGTAGGGCAGGCTTCCACGGCCTCTGCCAGGCCCTCTCGAGGAATCACTCTGCTGGGCAGTGCCCCCCATCTGTGTTTTCTCAGGCCTCTGACCCGAGAGGCAGCCAATTGTTTGGACTCTGGGCACTGCCAGCTGGGAGGGCTCAGGTCTCTGAAGGGCCCAAGGTCCTGGTGACAGCTGTCAGGTCTCCGGGGACAGCTGGGTCATCTCTCCAGCTCCCAAAGAAACACCAAGAAGCCCCTGCATGCCAAGGACACCACCCCTCTGGACCACTGTGCCCCAGCTCTGACCACTGCAGTCCCATCTTCTCTGTGAGAGGGGGTGACAGAGCTCCAGTGCAGCCCAGGTTGGGGAGGTGGGTCTGCCAGGGACCAGCTTAGGATTTGGAGAATCGGCCCTGGCCACCTGAAGGTCCGAACCTGGAGGAGAAGGACAAGGGGCCAGCCACACAGCCTGGGCAGGGGCCTCTGCTTTCCACCTTTCAGACCCTGAGGGCAGAGTCCCGTGGGAGGGGACCCTCAGGGGGCCGGGGGCTGGCTGCCACAGCGACTTCCTCCTTCCCGCAGATCCCCAGGCGTGCACAGCAGGCAGAAGCTGTGGGGGAGATCGCAGCGCCCGCTGTGTCCTCCCGGTGACCAGCTGTCACCTGAGCCCAGGGCGCCTGCCCCAGCAGCCTGGTGTGTTTGCCAAGCCAGGGCTGGAGCTTCCTGGACCCGCCTACCCTGGAGGGGATGGAGCAGTGAAGGGCACCGGGCCAAGCGCTAGGCATCTGGGGCTAAGGAGACAGAAGCCCGCGGTGCCCGTCCATGCGGGCCCTCTGCCCCAGCACCCACATCTCAGGACACCCCTTCCTCCCAGGTCTGGCGGTCCAGTTTGGGGGTCACCGAGCTGGGGTGGTGTGCAGCCAGCAGAGGGGATTCAGGATCCCGGGGTGACTCCTGGCCCAGGCCTGTCACCCCACAGCTGGCTCCTGGCCCCAAGGCAGCCACGGGCAGGGGTCGTGATCGGGGGCGGGACGGGGCCCGGACCTCCTGACCGCCCCCCACCCCCCGCCGAGCGGGGGTGTATTTGCATGTCCCCGCCCCACGCACGGCATTGGCGGCGGCGGCGGGAGGCCGGGCCTGAGTGGCTGCGCGCCCGTGGAGCGGCGGGGGCGGGGCGCGAGCCGGGCGCCCGGGATGATGCCGCCGCCGCCGCCGCCGCCGCCGCCGCCGCCAGGGGAAGGGTTCGGGTCCGGGTCGGGCTCGGCGGGCGCGGGGTGCGGGACGGCCCAGGGCACGGCGGCTGCAGCGGGAGCACACTGAGCGCCCGCCCGCCATGTCCAGGAAGAAGACCCCCAAGAGCAAAGGGGCCAGCACCCCCGCTGCCTCCACGCTGCCCACCGCCAACGGGGCCCGACCGGCGCGCTCCGGGACTGCGCTTTCCGGCCCCGACGCGCCGCCCAACGGGCCCTTGCAGCCCGGCCGGCCCTCGCTTGGCGGCGGTGTCGACTTCTACGACGTCGCCTTCAAGGTGAGCCAGGCACCCGCCCCCCAGGCCAGCGCAGCAGGTGGCGCCCGGCCTGAGCCAAGGGTTGGGGGTCGGACAGGGGGTGCAGGGCCCGCGGCCCCAGGGCGCGGAGCCGACGCGGGAGGAACCCCGTGGGGCTTGCACGGTGCATCGTGCACACACAGCTGTCCATCCCAGGTCTGGGGTATCCAACAGCTGGCAGGGCCTGTCCCCCACCCCCCAGGCGGCATGGTGGCACAAGGGGTCCCGCGCCCCAGTGCCCTGGCCCCCGCCCGGGGTCTCACCATTTCCCGTATGCTGCCCTCCCTCAACCCAGCGGCTGTGGGCCTTTTTTTTTTTTTTTTTTTTTTGCTGGGGGGAAGAGGTTTGCCAGATGGATGGGGAACCCTGGGACTCCAGACCAAGGCAGAGGCTGTGTGGACTTGGCAGGGGGCTGGGAGGACCATTTTGGGTTTGGTAGCACAGGTTTCGGGGAGAAGGCCTGACTGCTGCCCACTTGCACCTCCCCCCAACCTCAGACTTGGCCCAGGTCCCTCTTCAGATCGAGATCTGATCCTAATGGGGCAAATTCCTCGAGCCTTGCTGGGGTCATGTCCCTACTGGGATGTGGAGAAGCCCCCGGCAGAGGCCTCCCCAAGTCTCTTAGGAGGTACCCAGCTGCCACCCCACCTGCTCCCCTCCCAGATGCTGTCCACCGTGTGGGGGTATGGACGTTAGGGAGGGTCCGGGATGCAGGTGGCTGCCCTCACTCCCCGCTGACTGAGACGGCCACTGTGCAGAAGGACAGAGCAGCCCCAGCCTTTCAGAGGCATACGCTGGGTGTCCAGCCCATCGGGGTCCCTGGCCCCGCTGAGCCTGCAGGCCTGGGCTGCCTCCCTCCACTCCTGCTCCTCACCTGCAGCCCCCTTCTGACCAGGCCAGCTCAGGGCAGACCAGACTCCCCCCAACCCTCCTGCTTGTCCTAGGTCATGCTGGTGGGGGACTCGGGTGTGGGGAAGACCTGTCTGCTGGTGCGATTCAAGGATGGTGCTTTCCTGGCGGGGACCTTCATCTCCACCGTAGGCATTGACTTCCGGGTGAGTGGAGGCCCTGGCCTGGCCCCACATCAGAGTCCCGCCGGTACCCGAGCAGCAAGTTCTCTCTGATCCCCATGGTACCAACAGGCTCGAGGCCTGGACCCCAGAAGCTGCCTGCCTCGACCTTCCAACACCTGGGCTGGTGGCTGCACCCGACAAGCATAGTTAGTTGCCCTATGCCAGGGGCTGGCATTACCGAGGGACCATATCCTGTGCCTTGGGGGAGGCGGACACTGTTGCCTACAGGGTGGTGGGTCAGAGGAAGTCAAGGGCCACGTCCACTTGGGGCCAGCAGTGCTGCCTCGGTACAGAGGCCTTACTGGGCCCTAGAAGCACATGCTCCCTGCAGAGCCTGAGCGAGGGTTTCCAGGGCTTGCCTAGGGGAGAGGACCCTGCTCTTGGGTGAGGAGCGCCCACCCCCACCCCCACCAGCTGGAATTCCTCGTGCTGAGGTGCCGGCTTGTCCTCAGCAAATCTTAAATTTGCATTTTTCTCACCCTTTAATTAGAGCCAGTTAGAGGGAGGATGGAGGAAGGGCTGTTCCAGGGACAGGAAAAGGGGCTCCCTCCAGTCTGGGGGTTCCAAGTCCCCTCAAGTCCTCTGGGATGGAGTGACGACTGAAGTGCCCGAGGGGGGCAGGCCAGTCCTGTCTGGTCCCCACTTCCCCACCTCCCTCTTGGCTCTCGGGCAGGTGGTAAGAGGTGAGGCCATTTGGTTCGCACTCTCGTTCAGGGTGCCAGGGAAGGCGGTGTCCTCCCCAGCCCAGCAGATGGCCCTGCCTGGTTCCCGGGAGACCCAGAAGCACTCTGACAGCAGGAGCTCAGGCTGAAGGAGGTGGCACAGGTTCCAGCTGCCCAGGGCCTCAGACTGCGGCTGAAGCCCCCCGCCCCCACCCCAACAGATGGGACTGGGGCTAGACCACTCCCTGCCTTACGTCTAATCGTTAACTGGGAGGGCCCGGCTGGGGACGCTGCCAGGCAGTTCTGGGATCTGCGGTTACTGCCTTGGGTCAGACAGGCCCAGGCCCAGCCCTGACAATCCCAGCAAGGAGTGGCTTTAATTTTTTATTCTTTTGAAGCAGGGTCTCACTCTGTCGCCCTGGCTGGAGTGCAGTGGTGATCATGGTGGACTGCAACCTCCAACTTCTGGGTTCAAGCCATCCTGAGTCTTTCAAATTAGCAAAAAGAGCTACTGGGAAGGCTGAGGCGTTGCAGCTCGTTAGTTACTGCACCCATTTGCAGATGAGGAAACCGAGGCAGTGTCAGTAAGAGGCCTGGTGGGGTCATGAGTTCAAATAAGTCAGCGTAAGAGGCTCTAAGCAGGAATAGTGCAGAGGCTGCCGGGAGAGGCCTGCACTTGCAGGTGTGGGTGAGGTCAAATTGGCTTAAGGGAAGCCTGCAGGGGCTGGGCTGGACCTGGGAGCTGGGAGGTCTCAGGGGACAGGAAGGCAGTGAAGCTAGTGGGACCAGAGGCTGGGCTGGGCCCATGCCAGAGCTGCCTGGTTCTGTCTGTTTCAGAACAAAGTTCTGGACGTGGATGGTGTGAAGGTGAAGCTGCAGGTAAGGTGACTGGCAGAGGACAAGTTGGGGGACAGGGGACACCAGGGAAGGGCTGGACAGCCTGACCAGTGCCTGTCGCTGCAGATGTGGGACACAGCTGGTCAGGAGCGGTTCCGCAGTGTTACCCATGCCTACTACCGGGATGCTCATGGTGAGCCCCTGGGTACCTGGGCTGGTTGGGGCGGGGGTCTGAGCACCTGAGGGTGCAGGTGATGGTGGATGTCCTCACTGCCCTCTGTCCCCAGCTCTGCTGCTGCTCTACGATGTCACCAACAAGGCCTCCTTTGACAACATCCAGGTCAGTGGCTTTCCTGGTGGGGTGAAAGGGCCCTGATAGGGCCTGACCCATCCCAACCTCCTTCTGGTAGATGGCATCAGGGTTCCAAAGGACCCCGCTGAGAGAGGGGAGGGGGAAATGACAGCCTTCTGGGCTGGAGGTGGCCCAAGTGGACCTGAGTGCCATTCCAGCTCCCTCAGCAGGAGGCTTTGTGTAAGGGACCTGTAAGGTGGGCTTCTGTATGTGGTACACGGGGGGTTATCACTTCTAAAGACAGGTATCCTGGCCAGGCATGGCGGCTCACCTGAGGTCAGGAGTTCGAGACCAGCCTGGCCAACATGAGGAAACCCCATCTCTACTAAAAATACAAAAATTAGCCGGGCGTTTTGGCACACACCTGTAATCCCAGCTACTCAGGAGACTGAGGTTGCAGTGAGCCAAGACTGTGCTACGGCACTCCAGCCTGGACAACAGAGCAAAACTGTCTCAAAAAAATAAAATGGGCTGGGCATGGTGGCTCACACCTGTAATCCCACCACCTTGGGAGGCTGAGGTGGGCGGATCACGAGGTCAGGAGTTGGAGACCAGCCTGATCAACATGGTGAAACCCCGTCTCTACTAAAGATACAAAAAATTAGCTGGGCGTGGTGGTGCGTAACTGTAATCCCAGTCACTTGGGAGGCTGAACCCTCCCAAGGTTCTCTGAACCCCAGGAGAATAGCTTGAACCCAGGAGATGGAGACTGCAGTGAGTCGAGATGGAGCCATTGCACTCCAGCCTGGGAAACAGGGCGAGACTCTTGTCTCAAAAAAAAAAAAAAAAAAAAAAAGATAAAGACAGGTGCCCTCTACAGTGTGACCTGGAGGGCCAAAGTTCTGGGGCATGGGGCAAGCCATGCAGGGAGCCCCAGCCTGGTCTGCTGCCTCCCACAGGCCTGGCTGACCGAGATCCACGAGTACGCCCAGCACGACGTGGCGCTCATGCTGCTGGGGAACAAGGTGGGAGGCCCGGCTGTCCTCACCTGGGCCACAGGGCAGGGCAGGTGAGGGGGCAGGGGCCAACCATGGGCCAGCTTTCACCAAGACCCTGTGCCTGGGCCAGGTGGACTCTGCCCATGAGCGTGTGGTGAAGAGGGAGGACGGGGAGAAGCTGGCCAAGGTGAGTCAGGGCAGGGGGGTGGTGAGGGGGTGCCCCTGGAGGCTGCGAGCCTAGGCTGTCCCCGCCAGGCCACCACCTGGCTGGCAGCAGCTGTTTACAGGAGTATGGACTGCCCTTCATGGAGACCAGCGCCAAGACGGGCCTCAACGTGGACTTGGCCTTCACAGCCATAGCAAAGTAAGTCCTGCCAGTCACCAGGACTCCCCCAGCCCAGGGCCTGAATCCTCATTAGAGTCCAGGCCATCGTGTCCCCTTGTCACCCCCACTCCGCAGGGAGTTGAAGCAGCGCTCCATGAAGGCTCCCAGCGAGCCGCGCTTCCGGCTGCATGATTACGTTAAGAGGGAGGGTCGAGGGGCCTCCTGCTGCCGCCCTTGAACCTGGCTGAGCTCAGTCCTCTGGAGGAAGCCGTCCAGTCCCTAGAAGGCTGGACAGAGGGTCTCCAGGCCCTTCTGACTTTGTTGCCCAGTGGCCAACGCCCGAGTGTCTGTTTTCAGGAGCCCCAGGTCAAGCCTTGTCCCTTCCTCCTCCCAGCAACAGTCCCAACAAGCAGGCTTCTGAGAGCCCGTGGCCGCACACTGGCCGCCACGGAAAAGCAGTCTTCTGCACGGGACGGGGAGCGGCAAGTGGACAGACTTTGCCACGGTGCTCTGCTGCCCCCTCCTGGGCACGTCCAGGTGAGGGAGGGCTGGGGCTGGCACCACGCACAGTGCCTAACCCTAGAAAAGCCATGTCTTCAGCCGCACATGCTCAGGCAGCTAAGGGAGGACGCCTGCCCACGCCTGGGACAGAAGGCTTCACTGCTAATCACATCGTGCATCTGTGTGTCCTGGGAGCTGCCTGCTCCCGGCCCACCCTCTAGGAGGCTCTGGCTCAAACAGCAATAGGGTCTTCCTCACTGACCTTGGAGGATGCCTGTGGCCTTGTGATAAAATGTGGGAAATCACAGAAAACACCAGAAACAACAACTGCCAGCCCGGCCTGGCCACAGGTGAGGTCTGTGATTTCCGAGCACGCTCCACCTTGCACTCAACTTGGCCTTTTGATTGCACAAGCCTTTGTTTTCAGTCCTAGTGAATAAAGTTGTGTTTTCTGGAGCGTCTGTCTCATCTGTTGAAAAAAATCCACTTCTAGAGCAGGATGCTGGAGTTTGAGAGACTCAGCAAGGCCCAGAACCCTCAGCAGGTGTGTGGCTACCATTCCTCCATGGCCCATGGCTGCCTCCCTAAGGAGGCACATGGGAACCCTAGGTGGTGTCAACTTCCCTCCACAAATCTCAAAAGCCTTTTTGGACTCACCCTGGGGCAAAAGGCATGAAAAACAGTATTTGACTGGGCGTGGTGGCTCACACCTGTGATCCCAGCACTTTGGGAGGCTGAGGTGGGCAGATCACCTGAGGTCAGGAGTTTGAGACCAGCCTAACACGGAGAAACCCCGTCTCTACTAAAAATACAAAATTAGCCGGGCGTGGTGGTGGGCGCCTGTAATTCCAGCCATTTGGGAGGCTCAGGCAGGAAAATCGCTTGAGGTGGAGGTTGTGCCATCGCACTCCCGCCTGGGAAACGAGCAAAACTCCGTCTCAAAAAAAAAAAAAAAAAATCACGGGCAGAAATGGAGAAGGCAATCCCAAGAGATGAAAAGTCACTGGTAACGAGCTTCCGTTTTCATGTCTGTACCCTTTTCCAAGATTGCCTGTGGATCAGCCAGACCTCTGGGGTGCCAGAATAGGAAAATAAAGACACTTGAGAGAAAACCGAATCAACTCACTACCTTTCTTTATTGCTAAGCACTTCAATAGACACAGCGCCCACCTTACCGCTAGGCCCTCCGGATTGAGGTTTACTTAGGTTCAAAACTTGCAGCCGGCTCGCGACGAAACCTGAAAGTCAGCGCCAAAATACAGACATTAAGTCCCCACTCCTTCGTTTCGGGCAACACCTGTTTCCACTCTCAGCTCCCCGTCAGGAGTGCGCACCCTCAAGCCTCAGTCTTGCTAAATAATCAGACTGCACGTGCAGTTTTCATACGAGGTGTCAGAAGTCAAAGCAATTCATCACAGACTGGGAGAATAAGGGAACCCAAGCCCGGCCCAGTCTTACCTGCAGGTAGCTGAGGGCCTGAGATTCGGGAAGAAACCTTTAAACGCTAAGGGACAAAGTGGTGCGTAGGCCAGGCCTGGACGCCCAGGGACCTGGCCGGCCTGCAGCGTTCGGACGGCCCTCAAAGCCACGCTCGTGGCTCAGTTCGTCCCAAGATCGTAGCACATGGCGAACGTATTAACAAACCTCTTCCCCCTCGGACTCGACCCCGAAAAGACAGGGGCGGGCGAGGCTCAAGCTTTTATAGAAACTGTCCCACCTCTGTCATTGGGCTATCCTGGCGGAAGTGCCCGCCTTCCCCCGCCGCTGGTACGCTCCGCTCCCTGCCGCGTTGTTTCCACCAATCGTACCGTGGCATTTCTTTTGGAGACGGTCTCTCAGACCCAGACCCGAAGCTCCTCCCTTATGCAGAGTCCGTGAAGCCTAACGGTGAGTGACGGATGAACAAAGCCAATCAGACTTCGATCTGCAACATAGAGTGATTCTGAAGCTGCCATTCCCGCCCCGCGACGACGAGGCCGCCGGAAGTCGTAGTTTCGGAAGTGCGGCGCGTGAGGCAGCCGTCCGGGCCCGGAGAGGCGGGGAACTACACGTCCCGGCGGGCGCAGCGGCCTGGCGCTTCCGGCTCGCGCGTCTAGTCCCTTTCCCGGCCGGCGGCCGAGGGGGCATCATGAAGCGGGCTGGCGGCGCTGCCGCTCCCGGGCGGCCGCGGGCGGGTGAGTGTCCCCGCGGCGCGCCCGACCCGGGGCTCGCGCCTCGGGACCGCGCGGTGGGGCGGGATCGGGCGCGTGGAGATCGAGGCGAGGCGAGGCGAGGCGAGGGGTCGGGCCGGGGCGGGGAGGGGGGGGCGGGGCTGAGACGGTCGGGGTCGGGGTCAGGGTCGGGGTCCGCGTCGCTGTCCGTCCGCCAGTCAGTAGTCCGTCCCTCGCTCCGTCCTGTTCTCGCGCAGTTCTTTACTCATTCCTTCTTCCTGCATTCCCCGAGACTCCCGGGTGCCAGGCACTGTTCTGGGCGCCGGGAGACCGCGGAGAACACGGTCCCAGTTCTCCTGTGCTCGGCGTCTGCTGCAGGGTTCCCCAACCTCCGCACCATCGACCACGCGGCCCGGGTCGCTTTTTGCTGCGAGGAGCTGCCCTGTACATTGTAGGATGTGGAACAGCTTGCCTGGCTCCTGGCCGCTAGATACCAGTAAACACCACCCCTTCCTCAATTGCGATAACAAATGTCTCCATGCATTGGCAAATGCCTCCTGCGGAACAACTCCCCCCATCCCCCATCTAGACAGACAGGGTGGTGGGATTGACAATAGGTAGTTAAAATCATGGGGAGCAGCGGTATGTGCTGTGAAAGAAAGAAAGAGGGTGCTGAAAAAGTGAGTACTGGCCGGGGGTAGGGGCGGCGCTACCGTTAGCCAAAGGCCTGTTGGAGAAGCAGCCAGTCCCAGGACATGCAGGAGGAGCATTCCAAGTAGAAAGAGCCAGATGTACATAGGCCTGGGGTGAGAAGGGGCCTGACGCACCCCAGCAAGCACTGGCAAGTGGAGAGGTGAAGTCGATGAGGCCGGACCAGGCTCACAGGGTGCATGGTGGGGTGGGGCGGGGGGGTTATTATGCTGGCAAATGACTTGGGGTTGAGGAAGCGCTGGAGAGGCGGTCCGATCTAGGTCCAGTAAAGAGCTTTCTAACTGTGTGTGGACCACAGACTTCAGAGTTCACTGGGGAAGCAGGAGAGAGGGAGGCTAGGCCATCGTCTCCTAGTCCCCACTGGGGTCCTGCTGTCAAGATACGGTTGTCTTGAGCCAGGCCAGAGTGGTCAGCTGGGGTTGAGTCTGGAGTCCAGGGGCAGGGGCCTGCTGGAGCCCACCCTGCTCTTGGGGGTGAGGGGCTGCTGGCTTGCTCAGGAATTTCATGCCGCCCAGCCTGTCTGCCCACCTTTCTCACTACCCCTCAGACCCCTTCCTGGGCACACACAGGCCCCCTAGCCCTCGCCAAGTGAGGAGCCTCCCTCTTCCTCATTCCTTCTCTTTGGGCCTCTCCCTTCCTAGACCCCTTCCCTGTGCCTCTCTGTTGCGAATATCCTGACTTCACTGTTCTGGGCATTCATAGTTCTCTGTGGAAGCCTCGGGCCCCGTGTCCTGAGGGGGAGCAGTGGTATGGGCAGCCTGGCCTAAGGAGGGGAGGGGCTGGGAGTCAGCACCCCAACCTGACGCCCCAACCTGAGGGTCTCTGGTGAAGTGACTTCCACCGTGGCCCACTGGGGCCAAGTGTTACGATATTTCTGGAAGTGAATGGAAAAGTTCAGGGTCTTTGGCACCCACCGAAAAGTGCCTTTGGCAGATTGAGTGGCGATTGGTGGGGCTCCTGCCCCTCTGTCTGCCTGTGTCCCCCACAAGGCTCCTAGCTCCTCCCGGGTCAGATTCGTGTTCAGCCGTCACACATCCCCACCCTCCCGCATGGGGCCTGGCACCCCGTGGTTGGTGTGACTCTCGGCCAGCTGGTTGGACAAGGAATGAGCAGTTTGGGGAAAGGAGGAAGATGCAGTTGAAGAGCCTCCTGGCCAGGAGGCCTGGGCAGCCTGGCTCTGGGATGCAGCCACTCCCCGGCTTGGCATGGGACTGGCTCAGGCGCTGCCGGGGCTCCTGGATGTGTGGCAGCCGTGGACGAAGCAGAAGGAATGTGACTCTGGTCACAGCGGCACAGCCTGCTGGCTGTGTCCCTGGGCCGGCCTCTCCGCCTTCCTCAGCCTCCATGGTCCACTCAGCAGAGGAGCTGCTGTCTGGGGTGCCTTCACTCTTGACGGATCCATCTTCTCTCGGCTCCTTCCAGACAGGGTTCTGGCTCTATTCCGTTTTTCGAGAAGCCCGAGGCCAGGAGGGCAGGTACACAGCTGTGAAGTGGTAGAAGTGGACTTTGAACCCAGCTCTGTCTGAGCCCAGTGCCTGTGGCCTTGACCACGGTGTCACAGCATCTCCTGGATGGACACCCTGCGGGGTCAGGGAGGGCATGTGGGGAGGGCCGAGAGCTGTTGGCTGCGTGTGTCTCAGTCCGGCCTTCTCAGTGGGTGGGCACCGAGGACTTCACCAGGCCCTCTGTGTGGATCATGCGGGGGGAACCTGTGGAGAGGGACCCACCAACCCCTTAGTCTTTGACAGATCCGCTGCTGTCCCCAGCCTTGCTCCCTGGAGGAGGAGGGTGCAGCCAGGTGGGGCAGGTGAAAGGGGAAAGCGGGCACTGGAGGCTGGGGCTGGTCACGTGTAGACCCGGACACCCTCACCCGGCTGGAGGAAGCCGGCTGCCTGGAAACTCGGGGTGGAGGTGACCCAACCCCAGAAGCACCCAGGTGGGAAGTAGGGGGCAGCGACGCAGAGGGCCAGGACTGAGGGCCGTGGGACGGTGTGGGAAAGGAGGTGGCAGTGCGGTGGCACGCTGGCATGAGGGCGCTGGGTGACTGAGGGGGTCAGTGGTCTCTGCCCTCACATTCCTGTTGCCTCTTCGGGCCCATGTATGGCCAGTGTTTATGTCAGCTCCCTGCTGCTGCAGGGCAGAAGGAAGGAGGGAGCCCGGGAGACCGAGCCACACAGGAAGCAAATGAGAACACAGCGTGGGACTGGGAAGCGTGGGCTCGGCGGGGGGGGGGGGGACACTGCCACCCTTGGCTCTTGGGCAAAGCTCACGACCTGTTTCTGAGAGTCTGAGGCCCACTTGACTTGGGTGAGAGCCAGGAACGCACTCCCCAGCCCAGAGCTGTGAAGCTGGGGTCTCTTCCTGTGCCCCAGGATACTCTCCCCACTCTGGATCCCAGCAGCCTCATCCTCCAGGAAGCCCTCTGGACTTCCCCTCGACTGGGCCAGGTCCCCACACAATAGACAGCCATGAGATACAGGGGAAAAAAGGACTGAGAGATGTTGCCAGCCCCCAAGGGGTCGGAGGGGCAGCAAAAGGCATCCTTACTGTGAAGTTGGGGTAAAGCCTTGGCCGAGCTGTGGGGACCCCCTCCCTGGAGCAGAGGGAGATACGGACGCTGGAGAGGCTTGGCCAGGGCAAGACAGGCCTGGAGGCTGAGTGGATGCAGTAGGAGCAGAGCTGGGGGAGGAGTTCAGAGGCCTCTGCAGAGCTGGGGCTGTGGGTGTTGGGGGCAGGGACAGGCAAGGGGGTTCGCCGTGCTAGGAGGGAAGCGGGGCCAAGCCGGCCTCAGACCAGGGCCTGCTGGGGTTCTGAGGGGATCCTAAGGACCAAGGCTGGCAGAGGCCGGGGCACCCCAGGAGCCTTCGACGTCACACCCTGCCTATTTGGGATGGAAAAAACGTTCTAAGGGACGTCAGGGAACAGCGGCGGAAGTGCGTGTGGCTTTGCTATGGCAACCAGGCCTGTTTCTATAGAATTTAGCGGCCTGGGCTTGGGCCAGGGGGCTGAGGCAGGGGCTGGGCTGGGGCGGGCAGTCTGTGGGTGCCCTGGGCAGGCTCTGTGATGCCAGGGGCCACGCTCGGAGCTCTGGCCGCAGTCCAGCCAGCCGGCCACACACAGCCCTGTGGCAGGCGGGGCGGAGGCTTCTGGAGCCGTCCCAGGCTCCTCCCAGGGCAGTTGCAGGCCTCACAGGCACACCCACCCATGGCTTGCGCCCCACACATGTTCAGGGGACCCCCACACCCCACCTGCTCCGGGTTGCTGGAGGAGCTGCTTTAAGGCCGGGCCTGGCCCGAGCAGGGAGCTGCATCTGGAAGCCCCCATCTCCCCCACTCAGCAGGGCCCCCCAGGCTGCTGCCAAGTGGGCGGGGACCCCTGACCCAGACCCCCTCCAGGTGTGTCTCCAGGGAAAGGGGTGGGTGTCCGCATCCCACATGCCCCCAGGGCGATGCCCCAGCAGAGCCCTCTAAGCCCAGCTTGTGGGAGCTAGGGAGGGGCTCCTGAGGGATTTGCCGAAGAGGGGCTGGGGTGGAGGCAGCGAGGCGCTGAGGAAGACTTCCACTTCCTTATTGCACAGTGGGTGCCCCCAGGGCCCCGGAATCCCTCCTACGTGAATGTGGGGTGGACAAAGACCCTGGGCCTGAATCCCAGATTCAGGCGAGGTCAGGGAGGGGCTGCCCTGCGTTGGCCCCAGCTGGAGGGGACGGTGGGGGGCCAATCCTGCCCTTCCCCTCTGCACGGTGCTGACCCACGCACCTCGCCCCTGAAGGTCAGCACTGGCCTTCCCCAGGGTGGATGCTGCGCTTCCTCAATGACTTTTCTCTTTCAAAGATCGAATACTCCTGGAGCATCCAGCATGGGCAGTGTGGACGGGCAGGTGGTGTGGACGGGCAGGTGGTGTGGACAGGCAGGCGGTGTGGATGGGCGGGCGGTGTGGACGGGCGGGAGGTGTGGACCGGCGGGCGGTGTGGGTGGGCGGGAGGTGCTCGGGCAGGCGGTGTGGATGGGCGGGCGGTGTGGGTGGGCGGGCGGTGCTCGGGCAGGCGTGGTGGGGACATGGAAGGGAGGGGTAGGGGGGCTGATGGGGAAAGCCCTTTCTCAGCCACTAGCTGCCCCCATGGCTTTTCCCGGTTTGGGAAGAGTCTCTCATTCTATGGAACACACCCCCACTTCCCCAGCACTGGGAACTGGAGGGCAGAGAGGCCAGAGAATTGAAGGGGAATTCTCACTCCGGTTGACAACTTCCTGCCCGGCCACCCCCCAGCCTCGATGACTGTGGGGTGGGGAAAGAGGCACTCTCCCTCTGGGGGGCCAGGGCATGCCCCCAGAAAAGCCTCCCAGCCATCAGGGGATGCTGAGCTATTGTGCTTTCCAGTTGTGGCCCAAGGGGTCCTCTCCCTACTGGGGAAACTTACTGCAAAACCCAGTCCCTGGGGACTGGGCTGAGGGGAGGCCTCGGGCATCTTGCTCAATTCCGAGGTGCGGGGATGGATCCTGCCTTAGGGCGGGACACAAACGTTCCCTGGCCTCCAGCCCCAGGGTCCCGCCCGCCTCCATGTCCCTGGCTGGGGCTGAACACTGAACCCGAGTGAACTGGGAAGCAGCCTCCTGTGCAGAGTATCCCCCTCCTTCCCTCCCTCCTTCCGTCCCCCTCCCTCCCTCCGTCCCCCTGCTTCCCTCTGCCCCCTCCCTCCCTCCGTCCCCTCCCTCCTTCCGTCCCCCTCAGCTGGCGCTCGATGGGGTCTTGCGCACACCCCACAGATCCTGTGGTGTTGTCCCCGTGGCCCGGCTGCTGTTGGCCAGCTGGGACTTTCTGGCTGATTTGCACATTGCCCTGCGTGCCTTTCTGTTCACCTCACTTCAGAGTGAGGGGGAAGCCAGACAGTTGCTCTCCCAGACTGTGAGCAACAGGCACTGAGGCCAGCCCGACCCATCCCAGGGGAGTGCCTGCTGGGGTCCTGGCCACCTGGGCCCCCGGGCAGGCATCACTGGCAGGGCTTGCAGCTGGCCCTGGGGCCCCGGAAGCTTGCAGTACAGGGAGCTGATGGGTTTGTAAAATGCAGGTCAGTGTCTCCTAGTGGCTGCCCGGTGATCCCCTCCCTGCTCCCAGAGGGCAGGAGCCAACCTGGGGCTCCCAAAAGGGCTGAACCTCCTGTGCCGAGTCATGGCGCCCTGCACTTCAGGCTATCAGGGCCTTACCCCAGCTGGGACATCCTCACCCCAAGCACAATGGCAAAAGGCAAGCCCTGGCCAGCTCTCCCCGACCTTCCTGCCGGGAGCTGCTGGAGACGGGATAGACATGTGCCAGGGCAGAGCAGCCTTGTAGACACACCACGACCACACCTCTGTCCCAGGGCTGACTCCTCTGAGCCTGGCTGCAGGTGTGTGGCACTGCCCACACTCAGGAGCCCCTGCCTCTTCCACAAGAGAAGTCCCCCGAGAGCCTAGTCTGGGTCACACAGGGCCAAGCCCCTCGAGTCGCAGTGGGGCCTGGGGAAGGCCGAGGGAGGCTTTGGCCAGGCCCCA
The DNA here is from genome assembly GCF_000001405.40 of Homo sapiens. Classification (NCBI taxonomy): domain Eukaryota; kingdom Metazoa; phylum Chordata; class Mammalia; order Primates; family Hominidae; genus Homo; species Homo sapiens. The sequence goes on from NC_000016.10 coordinate 2,162,072, forward strand.
TCTCCCGAGACCATGGGACGCAAAGATCAGGTGGGGCCAGGTAGCTCGTGGCGCTGCCAACTGCAGGGGCTGAGATGTCGGGTTGAGCCCGAGTCCTGAAGGCTGAGTGGCTCCAGGGTGGGTGGCCTTCCAGGTGGCATTGGAAGGGACAGGTGGGCCTGGGCAGCCTAGAGAATGGGAGAGGAGACAGCAGGAGTGGTAGACAGCCCAGGAGCTCAGGTGCAGGGAACCAAGGGCTTGAGAGCCAGCCCCTCCCTGCACACCTGTAGGCCGGGCTGGGGGGCCCCAGGCCAGACTGTGGGCACGGTGGTGGGTGATGAGTGGCATCTTGAAGGCGCATGCAGGGCGGGCATGGCCAAAGGGACCCAGTCAGGAGGGACTGATGGAGGAGGTACTGGAGCCAGCTGGGCTCAGTGATGCCCCCTGAGCTGTGCTCCTGCTGGGTGGGGGCAGAGACCAGCTCCGCCACTTTGGCCTGGGACTGGGACTGTCCTGCTCCTCTCAGGCCCCTGGGGCCTTGGTTTGCAGCCCGGCTTCCCCAGGGTGAGAGCAGGGCCGCAGGAGTGGGCTCCCTGCTGCTGCACCGCCCCCAGAGCAAGCTTGTTCTGAGGGCTCCTGCCTTGGGAGCTGAGCCCATGGTGTGTCCTCATGGGGTGCTGCGCATGGGCCTCGAGGTGGACAGTGCAGGTGGGCCCGGGGCAGGAGTCCTGGGCACGTGGCCTTCCTCCCCACAGGGAGCTCAGCTTCAAGCCGGGGCTCGGCTGCGCTATCCGCTGCCAGCAGGAGACAGGGCTGTCCCAGCTGCATTCTGCCAGGCTCCTGGCTTCCAGGCTGCCCAAGTCCTGAAAGTGGGACCTGCTCGGGAGGAGGGGCGCCTGCTGACAGAGCCTGGTGCCTCACGGGGGGAGAGTGGGCGTCATCCAGCATGGACAGCCCCTTCCCCGGGCTCTGTCCTGGGTGTGACCTGTTGGCTGGGTCTCTTTTTCTCTCTAATGTTTACCTTCCCCTACTGGTGTCCCTGGGCCTGGCCAGCACTCCCAGCACCCACGGAGGGGCCACGTCTCCCCCAGGCCCACCAGCCCCTCTCTTCTGGGGAGGGTGATTCCCGCATGCCTTCTCCCTGCCCCCCCACCCACCAGCCCCTGAGCCCCTGTGGCGTGGCTGGGAGTGTGGGTGACCTGCACGGGTTCCAGGGGCGGGCTCATCTCTCTCCTGTGCTTTTTTCCGTGCAGTGCGGTTTGTGTGGAGTTGGGCTCCGGTGACTCACCCTGCAGGTTCTTTCTCTGGGGTGTGGCTGGTGTCTCCCCGCTGCAGCCTGGTGCTGGCTGGGTCCTGACCGCACCTGTCGTGGCAGGAAACACATTCGTCGTGCCTTGGCTGGTCCCTGTGTGACTGCGTCCCGCCACGTGGGCCACACCCTGGGCCTACCCACCAAGGCCCAGCCTTGGCCCCAGGGACATTCAGCCTGGAGGTGACTGGCTGTGACTCAGGACCCAGAGGAGTAGAGGGAGCCAGGCAGGGGTCCCTCCACCTCGGGGAAGAGCTGGATGGGCTCTTCGGGAGCTCAGAAAGGCTAAGCCTTGAGGGACGGTGACGCAGAGCCGCCTGCCTGCCCGGGCCTCTGCATACCTGGGATCGGGGTGAAGGACCTTTGCCTCCTAGAGGCCTGCCTGAGCCGGGGCTGGTGGTGGAAGGCTGCTGCGGCGGCCCCACGGTGCCCCACAGCAGGTCTGCACACTTGCAGCAGCCCGTCTGACTCACAGGGGCCTGGGCTCCATCTCTCAAGCCCCTCATTTGTGCTCCACCCACAGGAGGTGCTTCCCAAGGACCGTAGATGCCTCTCTAGAGCATGAGCTCAGGCAAGAGTGCCCGCTACAACCGCTTCTCCGGGGGGCCCAGCAATCTTCCCACCCCAGACGTCACCACAGGGGTAAGGGTGTGCCCCTCTGCAAGCCCAACATCCCCAGGACCCCCAGCATGCCCCAGGGATCTGGTGTTGCCTGCAGAGCTCCCAGCGCAGTCCCGTCCCGAGCTGGGGTCTCAGGGGAGCTCGGTGGGGGGGGGTGTGGTGTGTGTGTGTGTGTGTGTGCGCGCGCGCGCGCGCGCGCGCACGCGTGCGTGTGTGGTTGGGGCGTGTTAGTGCTGTGTGGCGCGGCCTGGTTGCATGGTTAAGCGTGTGAGTGCTGCGTGGCGCGGCCTGGTCGCATGGTTAAGCGTGTGAGTGCTGCGTGACCTGGCCTGGTCGCATGGTAAAGCGTGTTAGTGCTGCGTGGCGCGGCCTGGTTGCATGGTTAAGCGTGTTAGTGCTGCGTGGTGCGGCCTGGTCGCATGGTTAAGCGTGTGAGTGCTGCGTGGCCTGGCCTGGTCGCATGGTTAAGCGTGTTAGTGCTGCGTGGCCTGGCCTGGTCGCATGGTTAAGCGTGTGAGTGCTACGTGGCCTGGCCTGGTCGCATGGTTAAGCGTGTGAGTGCTGCGTGGCCTGGCCTGGTCGCATGGTTAAGCATGTTAGTGCTACGTGGCGCGGCCTGGTCGCATGGTTAAGCGTGTTAGTGCTGCGTGGCGCGGCCTGGTCGCATGGTTAAGCGTGTGAGTGCTGTGTGGCGCGGCCTGGTTGCATGGTTAAGCGTGTGAGTGCTGCGTGGCGCGGCCTGGTCGCATGGTTAAGCGTGTGAGTGCTGCGTGGCCTGGCCTGGTCGCATGGTTAAGCGTGTTAGTGCTGCGTGGCCTGGCCTGGTCGCATGGTTAAGCGTGTGAGTGCTGTGTGGCGCAGCCTGGTCGCATGGTTAAGCGTGTGAGTGCTGCGTGGCCTGGCCTGGTCGCATGGTTAAGCGTGTTAGTGCTGCGTGGCCTGGCCTGGTCGCATGGTTAAGCGTGTGAGTGCTGTGTGGCGCAGCCTGGTCGCATGGTTAAGCGTGTGAGTGCTGCGTGGCCTGGCCTGGTCGCATGGTTAAGCGTGTGAGTGCTGCATGGCCTGGCCTGGTCGCATGCTGAAGCGTGTGAGTGCTGCATGGCCTGGCCTGGTCGCATGGTTAAGCGTGTGAGTGCTGCGTGGCCTGGCCTGGTCGCATGCTGAAGCGTGTGAGTGCTGCGTGGCCTGGCCTGGTCGCATGGTTAAGCGTGTGAGTGCTGCATGGCCTGGCCTGGTCGCATGGTTAAGCGTGTTAGTGCTACGTGGCGCGGCCTGGTCGCATGGTTAAGCGTGTTAGTGCTGCGTGGCGCGGCCTGGTCGCATGGTTAAGTGTGTGAGTGCTGTGTGGCGCGGCCTGGTCGCATGGTTAAGCGTGTGAGTGCTGCGTGGCGCGGCCTGGTCGCATGGTTAAGCGTGTGAGTGCTGCGTGGCCTGGCCTGGTCGCATGGTTAAGCGTGTTAGTGCTGCGTGGCCTGGCCTGGTCGCATGGTTAAGCGTGTGAGTGCTGTGTGGCGCAGCCTGGTCGCATGGTTAAACGTGTGAGTGCTGCGTGGCCTGGCCTGGTCGCATGGTTTAGCGTGTTAGTGCTGCGTGGCCTGGCCTGGTCGCATGGTTAAGCGTGTGAGTGCTGTGTGGCGCAGCCTGGTCGCATGGTTAAGCGTGTGAGTGCTGCGTGGCCTGGCCTGGTCGCATGGTTAAGCGTGTTAGCGCTGCGTGGCGCGGCCTGGTCGCATGATTAAGCGTGTGAGTGCTGCGTGGCGTGGCCTGGTCGCATGGTTAAGTGTGTGAGTGCTGCGTGGCCTGGCCTGGTCGCGTGTTAGGCATGTGAGTGGGCTCCACATGTGCACGTCCTCCTTGTGTCCCGGAATGAGGCCAGGTCTCCTCCGTCCTCCCTCTAGACCAGAATGGAAACGACCTTCGGACCCGCCTTTTCAGCCGTCACCACCATCACAAAAGGTGAGCCCTTAAGCCAAGGCCAGCCCAGGCTGGGAATAACCGGGGCACCCCCATGCCCACCCTGCTAAGGACTGAGGGACACTTCCCGGTGAGCTGGTGTTGGGTGCCAGTGCTGGGCGCGGGCAGCCTCACACCGCAGCCTGTGTCCTCACAGCCTCTCAGCCCTGGGCCTCCCCACTGGACAGGAGTCGGGTGTCCTGCTCCTTGTGCCTCGGTGACTGTGCTGTGCCCTCTCTCCCTGCCCTCTTCATCCCCTCTAGGGAGGCTTGCCCTGACATCTCCAGCACCACCACACAGCCCTGTCCCTTGTCACAGTGATCCCCAGCTTGTCCCCAGTCTCAGGCTCCTGGCCAGCCTCCGAAAGGTCCCGTGTGCCCGGAGGTCTTCTCTTGAGTTTGGCCCTAGGGCTTCAGTAACAGTGCTGCAGTTGTGACATGTTAATAGGAAGGGAGGGAGAGTGGAAGAGATCCATAAGTCTGGTTTGTTTTTTTGAGACGGGTGTCACTCTGTCACCCAAGCTGGAATGCAGTGGCGCAATCTTGGCTCACTGCAACCTGTGCCTCCTGGGATCAGTCCTGCCACCTCAGCCTCCCAGGTAGCTGGGACCACAGGCACCACCACACCTGGCTAATTTTTTTTATGTTTGGTAGAGATGAGGTCTCACCATGTTGCCCAGGATGGTCTCAAATTCCTGGGCTCACGTGATCCTCCTGCCTTGGCCTCCCAAAGTGCTGGAATTACAGGCATGAGCCAGCAAGCCAAGCCCAATAAATCTTCACCTGCACAAGACCACTGGGCGGGATACACGACAGAAACCTGAAGCTTCCCTGCTGCTTCTCAGTCCTATCCCCTAAAAACCAGAGTGCTGCGCTTTGAACGCAAGCGCCGTGCTCAGGGAGACCATGCGGAAGTGGCAGTGCCTTCTTCCCGAGGTGCAGGGCCAGGGACCCTCATTCCGGGGTGGGGTTCTGGGGTGACTTTGTTCTCTCTCCTTTCTGGCACTCTGCCCTTTGTAGAAGCACACTGGCTGCTAATTAGCTTTTTAATTGCTCTGATAAACCTGGCCATGGGGTCATAGGGCCGCCAAGGACACCTGCTTACAGTAGCGCCTCTTTGCTGCTGGTGATCCCCTCAGGGGCTCTCCAGGGGCCCTCTTTTTTTTTCTAATCCTACCCCCCAAAAAACGGTGCCTTTTCATCTACCCTTAGAAGCCCCATGGCCCCTGTCACACGGCGGAAGGTACCCATGATGGGGCAGGGCACGGCTGCTATGCCTGGCCCCTCGGCGGCAGGGATGGGCAGAGCCAGGCAGCAGGGCGCCCACAGGTACCTCACCTGGCCCCTCATGACAGATGGGGAAACCGAGGCCCAGTCACACGGCAGCCTCTCGAGGCCTCAATCTCGAGCCCAGGGCTCATCGTGACATCTGAGCTGGGCTGGTCCTGAGTCCGGGAGGTGTCTCTCTCTGCCTCCCACGTGGACTGACCGGCCGGTAGCCCTGCCCTCTGGCCCTGGCCAAGCTGGGGTGACGTGTGGGCAGGAGGAGGGAGGGCACTTCAGCTCCTGCCCCAGAGGAGGCCACCAAAGCTGGGGCCACTTCCTGGTCCTGGCTGTGCCAGGGACACCAGGATGCGGTCCTGGCCCTTCTGTATCCCAGCCCACACCTCAACCTCAGCTTCCCCCTCTGTGAGTGGAGGCTGTCAGGGAACTCACCTGGCAGAGGTGCCTCAAGAGGCAAATAAAATGGCACCCCCAGCTGCTGCCAGGCGGCCTTCAGAGTGATGGCTGCGTGCTGGCCATGAGCCTCAGCTGGCTCAATTGGGGTGCTGGGGAGCTTGTAGAGGCCCTGAAAGAAGACCCTGCCTGGGGTAGGCAGGGCTGGGGCAGGGGCTACCGGGCTCAGCGCTGGGACTGTCCAGATGTAGACCGAGCCCAGCGTCCATGCTCCTGGCACTGGTTTGACCTTGAGAGGGAACCCAAGCTTCCCCCGTGCCATCCCTGCATGCTTTCCTGCCTGCCTGGCCCTGGGGAGGGCTGTGAGCTACAGGGGACCCACAGGGTCGGGTATCCAGCATGGGCCCCACCTCCCCCACATCTGCTGAGGGAGCCCCCACTGAGACGCCAGCCCTCTTGCCTTGCAGCTGACGGGACCAGCACCTACAAGCAGCACTGCAGGACACCCTCCTCCTCCAGCACCCTTGCCTACTCCCCGCGGGACGAGGAGGACAGCATGGTAGGTCCCTACCCCCAGGAGCCCGTGTGAGCCTCAGCCTCCCCCCATCCTCCCTCCTGGGGGAACCAGGTCCCAGGAGGAGTTGACAGTGAGCTGGTGAGGCACAGGAGAAGAAGAGCACCTGTGGATACCCTGAGGCCTCGGCAGACATGGCAAGTCTGTGAGAAAGGAGGCTCCTGTGGCTGGACTGTGGGTGGCAGGGGGCAGCCAGTGAGGGCAGCTGGGTCAGAGGGCCTGGCACCTGCAGGCCAGGATGAGGCATATTTGGCTCCATCTTAAGGGAGGTGGAAACCACAGAAAGTTCAGTCAGGAGGATAGCACAATAAAATACATGCTTTGAAAGCTTCCTTTGCTGCTGGGTAGGGAATGAGCGGGGTTGCTGGGTCCAGGCAGGGTTTGAGGAGGGGTCCTGATGAGGCGGGGGGAAAGGTGTGTGGACCTAAGCTGTGGGGACACCAGAGGCAATGGGGTGGGGGTTGCGGAACCTGCGCCAAGTGCTGGGGGAGCCGGAGAATTCCCTGTTGCTGGCTGTGTGAGGTGCAGAAAGGATCAGGGCAGTCGGGGGCTGGCTGCTGGTACCTGAGCCCTGTGGCCAGGGTCTCAGTGGCCGTTCCCTGCCATCCTGGTCAATGGCGCTCATTGCTGGGCTCTGGGCCTACCCAGGGGACAGAGGCCAACTCTACCCTGGGCATGAAGGACTGGCCCAGCAGGGGGTGGGGGTGTGTGGGGCCTCTCTGGCAGCTGCCTCTCTCCAGTGCTTGGACACCAGGTGTGGCGGCCCTGCTGGCCCTCTTGGGACCGAGGCCTTTTCTTTTTTCCTTTTTTCTTTTTTTTGAGACGGACTTTTGCTCTTGCTGCCCAGGCTGGAGTGCAATGGTGTGATCTCAGCTCACCACAACCTCCGCCTCCCGGGTTTAAGTGACTCTCCTGCCTCAGCCTCCCGAGTAGCTGGGATTACAGGCGTGCACCACCACTCCTGGCTAATTTTGAATTAGTAGAGATGGGGTTTCTCCATGTTGGTCAGGCTGGTCTCGAACTCCCGACCTCAGCTGATCTGCCCCCTCCTTGGCCTTCCAAAGTGCTGGGATTACAAGTGTGAGCCACCTTGCTCAGCCAGAAAAGAAGTTTTTAATTAATTGAACAAACACACCTGTGTGCCGGGCGCTGTGCTAGGCCGAGGGCGAGTTGGGTATGTCTGGGCCCCGTCCCCTGGGCCTCTGCCTGCCTCGGTCTCCACAACCCGAAGCCACGAGTCCTCCATGTCTGTGGTTCCCATAATCACCTGCTATCCCCATGGGTCACGGTGGCTTTCAAGAGAGGCGGGTACCTTCTCTGTTTGCTGATAGGCCCACACAGGGAGTCCCCCTCCTGCCCTTCCCCCGTCCCCCAGGCCTGCCTGCTGTCAGCCCCTACGCCCAAGAGGGTGGGAGACTCTGGGGTAGTATTGGGCAGGCCCGGGAGAGTGGTTCCCGTGCCAGCTCCTGCTCTGCTCTCGCCCCTGGGGCTCCCTCTGCTGCTGTGGGGCCTTGTGACTCACTTTCTCTGACTCCCTTCTGTTCCCCATGTGCTGCTTCCATGCAGACGGGCCCTTGGGACCCAAAGGGAGGTGGGTACATGGCACACAATGCCCCCCGCCGGCCTTGGGACTGGTTTGCCTCTGTGCTCTGTGGGTTTCATACCCAGGCTGCCGGGAAGGGGGCCAGAGGCTCGGCAGAGCAGCAGCTGGGCCCCTCTGCAGTCAAAGCACCAGGAGAGAAGCCTTGGGCAGTGTGGCTCTTGGAAACTTCTGGAGGTTTCCAGGCCAGAGGGGAGGAAGGGACAGTGTCTGCCCCTCCCCCAGGCTCCCTTGTCGGTGGCTCAGCCAGAGGCAGGCACCTGTGGCCCTCACTCCTGCCCTCGGGAAGCTCAGCCGAGGTTCTCTGGGGGCCTGGCCCTGCCTTCCCTCTGAGCCTCCCAGCTGGGCCTGGTGTCCCCCACCAGCAAGGCCAGACAAGCAGCCAGGCCCGGGGGGCACCTGGAGCCCAGCCGTCGCTCCCTGCCAGCATTCCTGGCCCTTCCATCCTGCGGTCACGGCCTCGGCTGTCCAGGATTGGCTGGTGGAGGTGCCCCCTCACGGCCCACATTCCCCCACGGGAAGCAGGAAGCAGCCCGGGTATATGGAATTGAATAGCAGGAAGTCTCTCCATTTACACAAAGAGAGGTGGCAGGCGTGAGCGGGCAGCCCAGCACCCCGGCCCAGGCCGCCCAGGCGGGCAGGCAGGGACCTGGGTTGCATCAGCTCCCCACGCCCACCCACGGCCCCCGTGGACGAGGAGAGTACCCGCAGGGACCGGGGTGGCCCCAGGGGTGCTGCTGCCCTCGCGCTTCCGCCGGGCTGGGTCCTGTCCTCCCCGAGGCTCTGACCCCGTGCGGAGCCCCCCGACAGGCGCCTCTCCCTCCACACAGCCCCCCATCAGCACTCCCCGCCGCTCCGACTCCGCCATCTCTGTCCGCTCCCTGCACTCAGAGTCCAGCATGTCTCTGCGCTCCACATTCTCACTGCCCGAGGAGGAGGAGGAGCCGGTAGGTGTGGGGGACTCGGCGCAGAGCGGCTTCCAGGGCTGTCACCGCAGCCGTGGCACGGAGGCACCTTCCCCTCCGCCATGCCCGCCCAGCTCACAGGGAGAGGGCGGCTGGGGCCTGACGGGAACTGCAGTGCTTGCTGGTCCGTGGTGGGGACTCGAGGGACCAGGCCGGGTCCCCTGGGCATGTTCCCCCACTCCCCCTTCTCAGGGCTGCCCGGGAACTGGCAGCGGGAAGCACAGGGCTCCAGCAGGGCCCTTTCTAGTCTCACCCCAGGAAGGAGGCGGGCGAGGGCGGCCAAGGCTGGGCGGCTGAACTCATCCTCCGGGGTTGGGCCCTGCCTCTGGGGCCACAGACCTCGCTCTCCCTCCTGGGCCCCGATCAAGCCCCCCAGCTCTAAGCAGGCCTCTCTCAGGACGTGACCCTGTCCTCAGAGGACAGCCAGGCCTGGAGCAAGAGCGCCTGGGTGCCTGGGTGGTGGCGGGGCTGAGGGTGGCCTCCCGCCATCGCCTGCCTTTCCCGCTTGGTTCCAGGAGCCACTGGTGTTTGCGGAGCAGCCCTCGGTGAAGCTGTGCTGTCAGCTCTGCTGCAGCGTCTTCAAAGACCCCGTGATCACCACGTGTGGGGTGAGCCCGCCGCCCTTCCCAGCCCCCCTGCTGCCAGAGGCCCCCACAGGACCCCAGGGCTCTCGGGGGCCGGGGCTGTGGCGCCCTGGCCTTGGTCAAGGCCTGTCCTGGCTGCACTGGGCTTGGGGTACAGCGAGGCCTGTGGCTGCCATGGCCATGGACTAGGGAAAAAGAGGACCCTGCGCCACCCTCAAGCCCGCCCTTTGCCTCCACAGCACACGTTCTGTAGGAGATGCGCCTTGAAGTCAGGTAGGTTTGTGCCCCGGCCCAGGCCTGACGCCGACCGTGCCCATGGCTGCCGAGCAGAGGCGGGCGGCTTCTCCCTTGTCCCCTGCACAGCGTCCGGCCCTGTTTGGCCTCTGCTGGGGTTGGGATGGGGCTGCAGCCGTCCTAGGGACGCTCAGGCTGAGGCTCGGGACCTCCATGAGCAGAGTGGGGACACCCCAAATTCCAGTGTGTCCAGACTCAGAGACCCCACAGTGGGTGTGGGCCGAGGCTCCCCATGCCAGGGTTGGCACCCTCTGGGGAGGCCTTTCTCACTGGCGAGGCTGTCGTCCTCCCGCACGGCGCCCGCTCCTGCCTGCCTCTCCGCACTCTGCCCTCTGCCCTCTTGGCCCCACCCCACACTTTTCCGGGCACAGCTGAGTGTCACAGGTGACACTCCCTCAGCACCTGCTGCTCCTTCTTGGTGGCCCACCTGTGCCCCCGTTCCCATGTTGCGTGCCTCAGAGGCGCAGATGGACAGATCTGGCCCCCATTAGAGGCTCATGCCCACCCGGGTGAGGGAGCGTGTGCCAGGCAGGCCGTGAGGGTCAGCACGCCCTCCTCTCCCAGAGAAGTGTCCCGTGGACAACGTCAAACTGACCGTGGTGGTGAACAACATCGCGGTGGCCGAGCAGATCGGGGAGCTCTTCATCCACTGCCGGCACGGCTGCCGGGTAGCGGGCAGCGGGAAGCCCCCCATCTTTGAGGTGGACCCCCGAGGGTGCCCCTTCACCATCAAGCTCAGCGCCCGGAAGTAAGTGCCCCTCCCTGGGCACCTCTGCCTCCCTGGGGGCTGCTTCTCAGGGCTCTGGCTGAGGCCTCCCCGCATCCCGCCCTGGCACAGGGACCACGAGGGCAGCTGTGACTACAGGCCTGTGCGGTGTCCCAACAACCCCAGCTGCCCCCCGCTGCTCAGGATGAACCTGGAGGCCCACCTCAAGGAGTGCGAGCACATCAAATGCCCCCACTCCAAGTACGGGTGAGTGGGGGGCGGGCGGGGGTGGGCCGGGGTGGGCGCAGGCCCTCCACAGGCTCCGCTGAGAGCTGCCCGCTTGCTGGTCCCGGGGAGGTAGGCCGGAGCTGGGGCCACACCGGGGTCTGTAATCCTCTCTGAGGCCCAAGGCCCTGGAAACCCAGAGGGGGAGCCGAGGGCGTCCAGGAAGGCGGGCGTGGACGCTCCCGCAGCCGGCCCAGCATGGGCGGATTTGAGCAAATGCTGGGGTTGAGAGCTTTGGAGAGGGAGGTGGGGGTGGGAGGAGAGGCAGGAGCCCAGTTCTTCAGGGCAGGGAGGTGGGCAGGGAGGCTGCCAAGCAGCGTGGGTTTTATCCTCAGGAAGGGAGGACCCCTTGAAGAGCTCTGCGGGGGTGACGTGATGGGATCTCACTTGTGAAGCAGACTGGGGGTAGCTGGATGGGGAGGAGGGGCAGGACGGCAGGTGTGGGTGGGGGCAGCTGGACCTGGGGTGCAGCGGCCACAGGGCTGGAGCATTTGAGGGGGATTCTTGGGGATGGGGAGGCACCGGCAGGGACCCGCCAGGCAGGCAGCTGTCCTGTCCCCGCAGGTGCACGTTCATCGGGAACCAGGACACTTACGAGACCCACCTGGAGACTTGCCGCTTCGAGGGCCTGAAGGAGTTTCTGCAGCAGACGGATGACCGCTTCCACGAGATGCACGTGGCTCTGGCCCAGAAGGACCAGGAGATCGCCTTCCTGCGCTCCATGCTGGGAAAGCTCTCGGAGAAGATCGACCAGCTAGAGAAGAGCCTGGAGCTCAAGTTTGGTGAGGGTGGGCACCGGGGCAGGCAGGGGCCTGGCCACTGCTCCGGGCACCAGTGACACCCCCTCTCCTCCTGCTACTCAGACGTCCTGGACGAAAACCAGAGCAAGCTCAGCGAGGACCTCATGGAGTTCCGGCGGGACGCATCCATGTTAAATGTGAGCGGGCGGGGCTGGAGGGGCTGGGTTGTGAGACCCGGGGAGGCCGGCGGCCCCGGCAGGGAGGCCTCCCCTGGCCTTGCCTACACTAGTCAAGATCAGGGGTCTTGTGTGTGGCAGGGGCTGCTGTCACCCCTGCCCACCCCTGGCCCAGGGCAGCAGGGGCAGAGAGGCTGCACTGGCCCCACAGCAGCCCTGCCCACCTGCCCTCTGCCCTGCCCTTGGCCCTGCAGGACGAGCTGTCCCACATCAACGCGCGGCTGAACATGGGCATCCTAGGCTGTGAGTATGGACCCGCCGTGGCTCCCGCCCACCCTCCCCCCCGGGCCCCAACTGGGCCTTCACCCACTGCTCCCATCTCTGCAGCCTACGACCCTCAGCAGATCTTCAAGTGCAAAGGGACCTTTGTGGGCCACCAGGGCCCTGTGTGGTGTCTCTGCGTCTACTCCATGGGTGACCTGCTCTTCAGTGGCTCCTCTGACAAGACCATCAAGGTGGGCAGGGTCCTACCTCAGTCTCTGCAGCCTGGCTGGGCTGGGCACTGCCACATGCCTGGCACTGCCAGCCTGCCTATGGGTGGGACCTTCTGGGCAGGGCCCTCTCCCATGGGCGGGGCTCCCTCACTCATTCCTGTCATGCTGCCCCTTGACACTGGGCTGACCTTGCTGGGACCCACTGTGGCCCTGGTCTCTGCAGGTGTGGGACACATGTACCACCTACAAGTGTCAGAAGACACTGGAGGGCCATGATGGCATCGTGCTGGCTCTCTGCATCCAGGGGTGAGTCCAGGCACATGTGTGATCAGTGATTCCCAGGACAGGAGACGTGGCGCTGCCACCCCGTGGGCCGTGAGCCATGAGCTCGAGCCTGTGTAGCTATGTGTGTGCCCCACCTATAGGGCACCCTCCACCCGGAGCAGCACTGTTTCCTGGGTAGCAGTGTGTGGGCCCTTGTGTGGCCTACACCATCTCCAAAGTTGTGTGTTCCCAATACCTGGCGCAGCCAGCCTCCCAGCAGAACCTTGTCCTGGCCCAGGTGCACCTTGCGCAACCAGAAGATAGGGGGGACCTTAGGGGGTGAAGGCAGGAGCTCAGCTCTCCCCTGCCTGCAGCCAAAGCCCAGGGCATAGAGACTACGGAGCAACTACCTTGGCCACTTTCTTGCCTCCAGGTGGCCCGCCTGCCTCCTGTCTCCTATCGTGAGGCTTTGTGGGAGCGAGCAAGTAAGCGTGTGCGTGAGAGATGCTCGCTTTCAGGAGGCGGCAGCTTGACTGCCAGCAGCCGGCCCTGGGACTGACTCAGGGCTGACGGGTGGGTAATTACCTCCCAGCTCGCTGTCAAATGCTTTCCAGGCAGGCATCAGGGGCTGGCCCGCCCCTTCCAAGGTTCCCATGTGGAGACTGGAAAATAGGCTGACGCTTAAGGACACAGCAGTGGCCTTGGCCCTGGGCCATGCTGCTGGTTCCTGATGGCTGGCATGGACCTCGGGCCCTGCCAGGGCGGTGTCAGCATGGACACAGCTTCTCCCACCTTGACACATTGTCTCTGCTTCCCCAGGTGCAAACTCTACAGCGGCTCTGCAGACTGCACCATCATTGTGAGTGGGGCCTACAGGCGGGTGGGCAGGAGGCGGCCCAGGCCCGCCCCAGTCTGTAGGTGCCCCAGGGACGTGTTTCTCCCCGTCTGGGCTCCAGACTCCAGGTGGCAGGGCTTGGTGCCCTGAGGCTGCCGGTCCTTCCCCAATCAGGTGTGGGACATCCAGAACCTGCAGAAGGTGAACACCATCCGGGCCCATGACAACCCGGTGTGCACGCTGGTCTCCTCACACAACGTGCTCTTCAGCGGCTCCCTGAAGGCCATCAAGGTACGGGTGGAGGCTGTGCCTACGTGTGTGTCACTGAGGCGTCCCTTGCCCGCCCAGCCCACAGTTGCAGCAATCCCTGCAGGTCTGGGACATCGTGGGCACTGAGCTGAAGTTGAAGAAGGAGCTCACAGGCCTCAACCACTGGGTGCGGGCCCTGGTGGCTGCCCAGAGCTACCTGTACAGCGGCTCCTACCAGACAATCAAGGTGCGCTTGGGCACACCTGGTGGCCACAGGGCCTTGCCTCCTACCAGCACTTCCCAGGCCAGCACCTGGGGCTCCATCTGCCCTGTTCCTACCTTCGCACATCCCCTGGCTGGGTGGGTGGGCTGCCCAGCAGTGCTGAAGCCCTGGGGGTGCGGGGGCCCTGGGGGTGAAGCACCTGGCCTGGGACCAACTGGCCCACGATTACTCATAGATCTGGGACATCCGAACCCTTGACTGCATCCACGTCCTGCAGACGTCTGGTGGCAGCGTCTACTCCATTGCTGTGACAAATCACCACATTGTCTGTGGCACCTACGAGAACCTCATCCACGTAAGGCCTGGGCATCTGGGTGCAAGGCCAGACTGTGGCCCCGTCTCCCCCGCCTTGCTCAGTGTCTTTGACCTGCCTGTGCCCACCCCTCCCAGGTGTGGGACATTGAGTCCAAGGAGCAGGTGCGGACCCTCACGGGCCACGTGGGCACCGTGTATGCCCTGGCGGTCATCTCGACGCCAGACCAGACCAAAGTCTTCAGTGCATCCTACGACCGGTCCCTCAGGGTGCGTGCTGGCCCAGCGGTGGCAGGAGGCTCAGAGGGCTGGCAGCTGAGCTCCGGCGGGCCCTCACGTCCCATGTGCCCCCAGGTCTGGAGTATGGACAACATGATCTGCACGCAGACCCTGCTGCGTCACCAGGGCAGTGTCACCGCGCTGGCTGTGTCCCGGGGCCGACTCTTCTCAGGGGCTGTGGATAGCACTGTGAAGGTCAGTGCCCGTGGCTCAGGCCATTCAAAGGGGCTGCACAGGATGGAGCGGGGGTGGGGACGAGGAGCTGGCAGCCCCAGCACAAAGTGGTGGAGGGCAGGTACGTGTGGCAGGTGTGGCTGGGGCAGGGCAGCCGGCCGCAGGACATCCTGGTGAAGCAGCCCTTTCTCTGCAGGTTTGGACTTGCTAACAGGATCCAGGCCAGGCTGTGGTTTCCCCTGAACCAGCCCTGGACCTTTCTGAGCCAGGCTGGCCACATGGGGTGGTCTCGGGGTTTCTGCCTGCCCCGTGGGCATAGGTGGACAGGCTCTGGCAGCCGGGCAGTGCCCTCCCCGTCCCATGCTCGGCGAGCCTCCCTCTACTCGGCACTGTCCTTGCTGCCCAGCCCCTCTCTGGGTGCCAGGTACGACGCTTGCCCCGGCCCACCCTCCATCCCCACCCTCCATCCCCACCCTAGATGGAGCGAGGGCCTTTTTACTCACCTTTTCTACCGTTTTTAGACTGTATGTAGATTTGGTTACCTCCTGGTTGAAATAAATGCTCCACAGACTGTGGCTGTGAGTGGGGACAGCTCCTCGGGACAAGGGGGCTGTGTGTGGCCTTGAGGTTGGTGTGCACAGGCACTGGCTGCTGTGAGTGGGGGGGCATGGGGCAGTTTCCTTTGGTGGACCCCAGGACTTCGGCCCACTCCGGGGCCTCCCCTCCCTGCTAGGAGGCAACTCGTCACACCCAAGCTGCTGGCCTCCAGTCCCATCTCCCCCAACACATGTGCCCCCAAAAAGTGAGCCAGGCACCTCTGTTTCCTGCTGTTTATTGACAGCCGACGGCAGCGCCTTGCCCAGACCTCCCCTGCCCACCTGCTGGAGCCCAGCCTGTGCCGCCCTCTGAGGAGAGGCCTGGGGGGACAGCTGGGCACGTCCACTCGCAGGGAAACACGGGGTGAGACAGCAGGAAGGGGCCCTGCACGCCGGGACGCCACCTCCGCCAGCCGCCTCCACCCGCCCCACACCACAATCGCTGGTTTTCGGCATTTTTTAAATTTTTTTTTTAAGAAACGTCAAAGTTGTGCCCAACACTGTGGATCAGCAAACACGATAGAGGAGACCAGTCAGTACTTCTTGGAGGGGGCAGGAGGAGAGAGGAAAAGGGAGGGCGAGAATGACCACACAACACAGCCTTGGACCATGAGCAGAAGCGTCCGTGGGAACTCCACTGGGGTGGATGGGCTGCCTGCACAGCCCCTGGAGAGGGGGCCAGGCACACCCTCAGAGGAGCTGCAAGCCCGTGGCCTGGCCTGCTACATGCCCTGCTTCCACGTGGCTGCCACGCTGACACACCCACATTCACCAAACCCACCCGCGCCCTGGGACGCAGCCACGCCAGGAGGAGGACACGGCCGCCGAGAGCAAGGCACAACCTCGAGTTCTTGGGGCGCAGAGAACTTAGGAGAGAAGCACGGAGGAGCCCCCGGCAGAGCACCCGCCCCCGGGCCCCAGCCTTCCACCTGTGCTAGCAGCCTGGGGCCTCCACTCTGGCCGGAGGAAGGACCGCAGGCAGACAGCCTGGGCCTCTAACAGCTTTTGTCCGGAGCTAGACTTCGTGTCCTTTCAGTTGGTAAATGGTTTTCTATAGAATCAATAATATTTCTTTCTTTAAATATATATTTGTTAAAGTTATACCTTTTTGTTTCTCTGGGGAAATCCGCCTCAGCTCATTCCCAATAAATTAATACTCTTGATAGCTTATATTCTGGGGGTGCGGTGGGGCAGGGGGGCCCTGACCTTGGTCCCCTGTCCCTTGTGCTGCGCCCGAGCGGCTGGCCGGGCGTCCCGATGGGCAGTTCTGTGCTGGGCCCGGGCCTGTGCGCTGCCCCATCCCTGGTCCCGGGGCGCCCTCCCCTCCCGCGCGGGCAGGAGGCCCAGCAGGTATTGCACGGGGAGCAGCAGGTGGGGAGGACCCGCGGGCGCAGGGTCTGCCTAGAGCCCTTGGAGCCCCCGGCCAGGCGGTCCCCGGTGGGCGCCCCGGCCCGGGTCCAGGGGCCGGAGTTGTGCTTCTGCAGGGCCCTGCCCGGCCGCTCGCGCCGCGCCCAGACGCGCCCATCCTGAGGTATAGGTCAGTGTGCGGGGAGGGCCCGGGCGGCGCGGGAGGGCCCGGCCAGGCGGCGTTCACTCCAGCATGGCATCCAGCTGGTCGGCCAGGTCGTCGAACATGCTGCCGATGTCGTCCAGGATGCTGCCAGTGCTCTTTTCCGCCGCCGAGTCGCTGCGGGGCGCGGGGCAAGGGGCGTGAGTGGGCGGGGCGGGTCTGGCCACGCCCACCCCGACCAGGACACGCCCACGTCCCGCATCTCCGTCGGCTTCCGCCTACCGCACGACGACCTCGGCGGAGCCCCGCTCACGGCACGCCCATCTCTGCCGAGCCCCGCCCATCTCTGCCGAGCCCCGCCCATCTCTGCCGAGCCCCGCCCATCTCTGCCGAGCCCCGCCCTCCGCCCGCCAGGCCCCGCCCCGCACCTACCGCGGGCCCTGCGCGTCCTCCTGCCGGATCTTCTCCTCCACCGCCTGCAGCGCCGCGGCCAGGCACGCGCTTGTCTCCTCCAGTTTCTGCCGGGCGCTGTCCCCTGGCGAGGCGCCTTCGGGCGGGGCGGGGGGCGCGGCGGCGGCGGCGGCGGCGGCGGCGGCGGCTCGCGGGGGCTTGGCGGGCACGTGCAGCGCGGGCGCGCCGGGGGACGGGGGCTTGGCGGGGCTGGCGCCCAGCGAGGGCGGCGTACCGGGCGGCTTGGCGAGGGCGGCGGGCGGCTGTCGCGCGGGCGAGGGTGCGGGTGAAGGGCCGGCGCTGCCCGAAGGCAGCCCCGCGACCGCCTTGACGGGCTTGGGCGCTGTGGGCGGCGGCGGCGGCTTGGGAGACACGGGCGGTGGCGTGCCGTGGGCGCGCTTCACCTCTGCGGGGAGGACCACGCTGGCACCGAGCGGGCACGAGTTCCGCCGCCGCGCCCCCTGCCCCAGCCTCCCGCGGCTTCCTCCCCAGCGGACCGGGAAAGACCCTGCTCACCTTGCCCCCAGCCCTGGATGGATGAGAGGGTCTGGGGACACGTTCCCACCCCACCTGGGCTTCCATCAAACCCAAGAAAAGGAAAACCCCTCAGACCACCGAGTAAGGAGGTGGAGCAGGGTCCTGTTGCCCCTTCACCCCACCCTGGCTGGCCTACCTGGGCTGCCAGGGCCTGGCAGCGGCACCTTCTTGGAGGTGGGTGTGGGCGAGCCCTGGAGCTTGGGCACAGGCTGCGTCAGGACGGGCTTGGGAGAGACAGGCGGCTTGGCCGGCTTCCGGGCTTCGCCCTCGGGCGGGGGCAATGGGGGTAGGTGCGCCAGGTCGGTGGGCGGGGGTTCGGCAGGCGGGGGCGGTGGAGGCAGCTCCGGAGGCCCAGCCTGCTCCGAGGCCGGTCGGCGGCGCACGGTGCCAGTGCCATTATGGTACACGGACAGTGGCGGTGGTGGCTCAGGCCCGGCCTCCCGCTCCTTGGCCTTGGGCCTGCGCTTGACCGTGTCAGACTCGGTCAGGATGAACTTGACGTTCTCCTGCTGGTTCTGCTTGGCCCGGATGCGCCTCTTGAGTGTGGCGCTGGCTTCCACCTTGGCCAAGGGCGGGCCTTCGACACCCGCCTCGCCCTTGGAGGGACCCCGAGGCCGCTGCCGGCCAGTGCCATCCTCCACAAAGGGGCCTGGGTCTGCCGACTCCCCAGGCCCCCGGCGGGCAGTGGCCAGAAGTCCGGTGACTGGCCCGCTGAGCGTGCGGCGCCGGTTCACCACCTCCCCGCCAGGCCCGATGGCCTCTTTGTGTTTCACTGAGGCCAGCACGGTGGCCACCCGGCCCGGCTCTGGGCTGGCAGGGCGGGGAGTGGGGTGGCCCTCAGGAGGCCTGCGGGCAGCCCGGCCCCCACCCCCAATGGAGGACAGCTCCAGCATGGCCGCGATGCTCTTCACACTGCCGGCACTACCCGTGTCCACGCTGCCGGCCAGGTCACTGGCCCGCCGGCACTGTGCCCGGACCCCCAGCAGGCCATCCTCAGGCTCGGCGTCAGGCACCGGCTCATCCGCCAGGTTGGCACTAGCCAGGGCCGAGCTGGAGCGCTTGGGTGGGGGCGGCGGGGGCCCCTTCTTTCGGGGCCGCACGGCAAAGGACTGGCTGCGGTTGACGTTCTTGTCGGCACCTGCGGGCGCCCTCACTGAGTGGCTGCGGCCCACGCGCCGCTGGACCGTGGCATAGGGGCCGGCAGCCGCAGGCACCAGCAGCTCGTCCCGCTCCGGCTCGCTGTCGGACGCCGCATAGCGATTCAGGCTGTGGGCCCGCTTCTTGGGCCGCCCCGGCTCCGCGTCGGCCTCAGGGGGCAGGCACAGTGTGGGCACAGCCGTCGGCACGGGTGGGGGCGCAGGCCCCGGGGCAGCCGGCCCCACCTCGCCCTCCACGGGCTGGGGCAGCACGTAGGCAAAGCCGCGGTGCGTCGGTGACTGAGGCAGGGAGCGGGGTGACATGGGGCGCTCTGTCGGCGGCAGCAGCTGCGGGGTGGGCTTCACCTTGGCCGTAGCTGGGGCTGGACCATGAGGTCCCCCAAGGGCCTGGGGAGAGCCTGGTCGGGTTTTGGTGGGCGTCTGGGGGGGCGTGAAGTGGCTAGTGCCTGGTGGGAGGACCTGCCGTGGCTTGCCAGGCACGGGGGGCACGCTGGCCCTCTTGATGCTGTGGCCGTGGCGGCCGGGCCGGGCCTCCCTGGGCGGGGTGCCGGGGGCGGGGCCCTCATCCAGGAGGTACTCCTGGCTTCGAGACATGGGGCTGCTGGGCCCAGGGGGCCCATCTCCCAGCAGCTCCTGCGAGCTGCTCATGTGCCGTGCCCGACCACCCAGGCTGGAGTCCTGCCGCGTGGTGGCCCTCGGGGTGGGTGGCAGGTGGCTGGAGGGCTTCTCAGTGGTGGGCCCCACCTCAGCCGGGCCAGTCATGGCAGCCTGCAGCTCGTCACTGAGCTCGCTGTCCTGGAAGGTGGTCATTTTAGGGGACTGGCAGTCGGCCGGTGTGGGCTCAGGCGGGGGCGGCGACTCGATGGCCATCACTTCAAGAGACTGGGGCGCCTTCCGGCGCAGGGGGCCCCCCTCATACTTGGCGTATTCAGCCTTCTGCAGCTCTGCCAGCTTCCTCACAGCGAGCATCAGCTTCTTCTGGTGCCCTGAGTGGGGCGCAGGGGGCAGGTCAGGTGGACCAGGAGGCGGAGGGGCAGGGGCCGGGCTAGGGGCGGGGCTGGGCTGGGCTTGGGGCCCAGCTTGGGGCTGGGGCGGGGCTGGGGCTGGGCTGGTGGCTGGTGGCTGGGGCTTGGGCTGAGGGTTGGGCTGGGGACGAGGGCTGGGGCTGGGGCCTCACCCAGCTTGGTGATGCCGATCTCCTGCAGGTCCTCCCAGGTGATGTCGGTGATGAAATCAATGTTCTCGTAGCCATTGTCCACCAACACCTTGTAGTACTGGGCCAGGCCGATCATGGACAGCCACACGGCCAGGTTAGCCTACAGAGCAGACACACAGAGGAGCCACCTGGGCTGGCTGCCCGCACCCTGCCCATCTACCTGGAGCTGGAGGAGGAAGGGTCACCGGGCCAGCAGGGCACAGACAGACAGGAGGACAAACGGATAGGCCGAGGTATTGGCACCAGAAATGTAGGCAGAGCCTCGGCTCAGGCACCGGACACTGCATGCCGCATATCGCACACATGCGCACACACGCACGGCTGCCCACATCCACAGGACACCCTTGTCGGGGGGGCAGAAGAAGGCACTTTCCCACCCGGCCAGGCAGCCACGAGTACAGCACCATGGGGAGACACACCCGAGTCATGGACACAGACGCATGGGGCCACACCTGGTACAGGAACACGCACATGATTTGCACGCTGCGCTCCCAGCCGTGCACAGGCACCAGCACCCCATCCCGTTTCACACTCTGACCTCTCACCCACATCACAGGGCCACACACATGCCACACAGCCACAACACACACACGTGCCAACACCCACAGCAATCTGCACCGAGAAACACCCGATCACTCCCCGAGCGGCATTCAGGCGTCCACACTTCCAGCTGGAATTCACTCATGCAACTGCTCTTGAACACTCAGCCACCCCCAGGTGCGCGGCAAGGCCCGTGGGACCCGGACCTGACCCCTAGGAGGATCCCCGAGCCACCAATTGAGTGAGGCAAGGCAGGGTGAGTGCAGACCCACGCGCCAGGTGGCTTTTGACAGCCACCGATCGCCTCTCCCGTTGGGAGCCCAGAGCTCAGTGTGAGGCCCAGAGAGTCCGCTTCAGTTGGGCTAGGCCTGGGCCCACCTTCTTCAGGCCCGGAACCCATCCCACTGCACAGGCACCTCCCTGTTGTTTTGCTTTGTTTGAGACGGAGCCTCGCTCTGTCGCCCAGGCTGGAGTGCAGTGGCGCAATCTCGGCTCACTGCAAGCTCCGCCTCCCGGGTTCATGCCATTCTCCTGCCTCAGACTCCCAAGTAGCTGGGACTATAGGCACCCGCCACCACGCCTGGCCAATTTTTGGTTTTAGTAGAGACTGGGTTTCACCGTGTTAGCCAGGATGGTCTCGATCTCTTGACCTCGTGATCCACCTACCTCGGCCTCCCAAAGTGCTGGGATTACAGGCGTGAGCCACCGCGCCCGGCCGCACCTCCGTGTTAATGACGATTGGCCATGGCGTGTGCAGGTATCGCTGAGAATGGGGGTGTCAGCTATTGGTGAGGGCCACACGTGCGGTGGAGCATGTGTGCACGCACACAAGCTGGTGGATGCCTGCAGGGTGTTCCATGCACACCTGCCAGGCGTGTGGCTGGCACGTACCTGGGTGCCTGTGAGCAAAGGCCGTAAGCATGGCCCCCTACAGTCTGCATGTGAGTGGCAGTGCTTGGAGGCTTGGTGGCTGGGGGTCCCTGTGGGGCAGCCTGCATGTGGAGGGAGTCCTGGTGAGAGCATGGACGTGGGGAGGGGACTCTCCTGGCTTCAGGCTCCCTCAGCAACGACGACCCCTGGACAGCATCACCTTGCCCCTGCCCCAGTGACAAAACAGGGGCTGATCGGGAGGCTCCCTGCTAGCAGGGCATCCTCCACTCTCCTCTCCCTCAAGCCCCTGAGGGCGGGTGGGAGTTGTGGCCAGGGAGGCAGGTTCTCTGTCTGTCTGTCTGTCTGCCCGTCCTGGGCCCAGCCCCTGGGATGCAGGTGGCCTTACGGGTTTGTGCTCAGGCAGCCAGTCAGGGATGCTTAGGCCGCTGATCTCTGCCGCGATCTTCTTCCGGTGGCCCGGCTTGGTGACACCAATGGCCGTGAGGTCCTAGGCAGTGGGGAGGCTTGTCAGCTAGGGGCTGGGCCCATCTGTGGGACGCAGCTGGCGCTGGCGGCGCATGGAAAGCTCACCTCGGGAGTCATGCGGCTGATGGTGGGCAGGTCGTAGCCGGCGCTGATGAAGTTGGGGGCGTAGAGCTGCAGCTGGAACGCGGTGAGCCACTGGCTCACGGCCTCAGAGCTCTGGAAGACACAAGGCACCCACTGCAGGCTCGCCTGCCCGGCCGCGCCCTGCCACCACAGTGCCGCCTCCTCTGCTTGGCCGGCCAGCCGTGCAGCCACTGCGTCCGCCGTCCGCTGCTCCATCTGCAGCAGGCCCCGGTGAGCCTGGCCCGTGAGTGATCCTCAGTCCGCGGTCCCGGAGGCGCCTCCTGGAGCATCCTCCACCCTTCCGCCTTCTTCTGGGATCTCCACCGGTGGGGGGAGGGGGGCGGGGGGGCTGCTACTGTCCGCCACACGCCTCCCTGACTGTCCCCTGCTCCTGCACCAGGGACGCCCCACGCCATCTTGGGGATGCAGGTGGTATGGCCCCTTGGGAGGGGGCTCTGGGAAAGGGGCCTCGGGCTGGACCGGAAGGTGGGCTCTGTGCCCACAGGCAGGGGCACCTTGCCTCCTCCACCGTGCAGGACTCAGCCAGCAGCTTACAGCTCTCCGGCACACGAGTGCACTCACACACCATACGCCGTGCCCATGCACACGCTGCACCATCTCATACCCATCCCCTTCCACCTGTACACAGACACGCGTGCCCAGCTCGCAGTCCCACCATCACACACACACACGCACACACAGAGGCACAGGTTGGCCCACACGCACAGCCTGCACAATGACGACACCCGTACACACAGGCAGACACACACACAACACACAGACTGACAGACAGAGGAGAGGGTCTGGCCTGGCAATGCCCCCGACCCCGCCGCTGCCAGGCCAGGCAGGCCGTGTAAGCACCCATCAGCCCATCGGCCTTACAGCCTCTCCCCGGAGCCCACGCTGAGAACACCCCCAAGCCCTGTACCTTGCCCTCCGATGCTGGCTCCAGCTTCTTGGGCGGCTGCTCCCCATAGACCTGCCCGGCGTGGGCCACTGGAGGCTGGGACCGGGCCACACCTGAGGACGAGAGTGGGTGGGGGACAAGGGCTGTCGGGCTGCTTTCCTCCATCGGGCTGCGTGGCAGCACCCTTGCTCTTACCTGCAGAGCCTTCCGGAGGCTTGGCGGGGCTGTCCCCCGGGCCGGACTCAGAGACGGACTTCTGGGAAAGCACCGTTGCCAGGAGCTGCAACCCAGAAACCCCGGCTTGTCACCTGCTCCCAGCCCTGGCCACCCTGGCCCTGGCCACTACCCCACCTACCTTGACGCCTTCAGAGCCCGCGTGTAGGGCGTGACCCCCGCTGCCCCGGCCGCCAGCCATGCCGCTAATGCTGCCGCTTCGGTCCCCACCTGCCAGCACAAGGGAGCAAGATGAGGCCAGTGCCGGCCCCTGCCTGGCCCCACGGTGGTGCCTTGTGGAAGTCCTGCCACCTCTGCCCTTCAGGGACCCAGCCTACCTGCAAAAGGCTTCCTCAGCACCCAGATCTCCTCTGGGGGTGCAGAGGGTCCCGATGAGCTGCTTCCCTGGGGCAGGCTTGGTTCAGTGCCTGCTCGGGAACCTGTGGGTCAAGCAAAGCCTCCTAAGTCCTGGGCCAGCGATGGCGGGTACTGACGCAGGGGAGGCAGGACAGAGACTGGCGCAGCCACAGCCGGGGGTCCTCTCTGCCCACCATTGTCTCCAGGGAGCTGATAGCCCCTCGGAAGACCCCTCCCACCCCAGACGTTTAGAGCAGGAGAGAGGCAGAGACAGCCAAGCCTAGGCATCCTGCCGGTGGCCCTGGGGTCCTGTGGGCAGGGGGCCAGAGATTGCTGGACGGTATGAAAGTCTCTGTACTGGGGAGTGGGGGGCAGGCAAGAAGCCCCCCACAAGCTAGAGCCAAGGCTCCCACTCAGGAGCTAGATGGCCATGGTCGGGGGCTGGCCCTGCCTGTCAACCTCCAGGTCCTCCATCAGCAGTAAACGGGCCCCTGGTCCCTTGCAGCTGCCACATGGGGCTTCACAGCCTGGGCCCCTGGCCTAGTCCCTCTCCTCAGCCTCCTGTTACTCAGATGTACCCAGCTCTTGCCTGCCTCAGCGCCTTTGGTTTTTTCCTTTTTTCTTCACCAAGAGCAAACACTTGAGTGCCTTTGTTTTAATCATTATTTTTTTTTGAGACAGGGTCTTGCTCTGTCACTCAGGCTGGTGCAATCTTCGCTCACTGTAGCCTCCACTTCCCAGGCTCAAGCAATCCTCCCACCTCAGCCTCCCAAGTCGCTGGGGCCATAGGCGCACAACACCATGCTTGGCTAATTTTATTTTTTGTAGACATGGAATCTCACTATGTTGCCCAGGCTGATCTCGAACTCCTGGGCTCAAACAATCCTCTAGCCTCGGCCTCCCAAAGTGTTGGGATGACAGGCATGAGCCACCACGCCTGGCGCCGCCGGCTTTTAACGCACGGCTCCTGCCACCTGGAACCCACCTGCCTCTCAGAGCATTCTCTGGCCTTCTCTGACTGCCTCATCTCAAGCAGGCCCTCCCTGTGCTCCGGGTCACATGTCCTTTCATGTTTACTTCGCTGTCCCCTGCCCTCTCCTGCCCCAGGACGAGCTCCTTGGGAGTTGGGTCCCCATCTGTTCTAGTGGCCGGTTCAGAACCAGACATGGCAGCACACAGTGCTTGGTAGAACGCATAAAGGAATAGGTGTGGGAACGGACGAGGAGACGGCCGCTGGGGCACCCTGATGCTCCCCACTCAACCCCACGCTGGCACCCAGAAACCCAGCCCTGCTGGGCCCCCACACCCTCAGCACACTCGCTGCTTCCAGCCCCCAAGCCCAGGGGCTCCTGCCTGCCCCCCAGGGTGGGGTGGAACTTGCCTGCTCGCTTGACAATGGCCTCGCCCAGGGAGGACGGGAAGTAGCCCACCCGGTCATTGCCCGTCCGGTTGTCATGGATGCAGCCCTTCCACCGGCCATCCGGATGCTGCTCGAGGACCTGGCCAGTAAGGTGGGGGGCGCTCAGGGAGATGCCCCCTTTCGCAGAGTCTCCTGCCCAGTGCCCCCCAGTTGCGGCGGGAGGGTGTTCTGGGGTGCGCACGCCCAGGTGCCGCCCCCTCCCTGCTGAGATGGCCCCTGGGGCCATGCTTACTGTGATGATGTCCCCTGCCTTCACGTTGAGGCTGGTCAGGTCGTAATTGTTGCAATAATCCTTGGTCGCCCGGACCTGCAGGGCCGCTGAGGCCTCTGGGGATACAGGAGGGGGCCCCCGAAGTCCTGCGGGCTGATCTGGCCCAGCCCCAGCCCCAGCCACTGCCCCTCTGCCCTGCCTGGGCCCACCTCGCAACAGCTGCTTGATCTCCCTGCTGGCCTGGGACGTGGTGAACTGGTGCACGATGTCCAGGGCTGTCTGGCTGTAGGTGTTCCTCACGTGGGCATTGATCCCGCTCTGCACATGTGAGAGATGAGGCTCTGTCAGGAGCCCCTACAGTCCACTGGGCCCAGCGCCCCTGGGCCCCACACTCACATCCAGCAGCAGCCGCACCACCTCTGTCTTTCCGCAGAGCGCAGCCTCGTGCAGGGCCGTGCCGGACTTGGTCTGGCGGTTAATGTCGATGCCGGCTTGGAGGAGGAGCCTGGCGGGAAGGCAAGGTGGACAGGCGGGGCCTTCCAGCAGGAGGCCGGCCCCAGCACCCCCAAGCCAGGCCTCCATTTCCAGGTACCCCAGCAGTCAGCTTGGGGGCTGAGGACCGTCCAGCCCTGCCCCATGTCTCTGACATTCACTGAGTGCTGAGCGCTTTTTTTTTCTTTTTGAGACGGAGTTTCACCCTTGTCGCCCAGGCTGGAGTGCAATGGTGCGATCTCGGCTCACTACAGCCTCCACCTCCTGGGTTCAAGCGATTCTCCTGCCTCAGCCTCCGGAGTAGCTGGGATCACAGGCACCTGCCACCACACCCAGCTAATTTTGTATTTTTAGTAGAGACGGGGTTTCACCATTTTGGCCAAGCTGGACACGAACTCCTCCCAAAGTGCTGGGAGTACAGGCGTGCGCCACTGCACCTGGCCTACTTTTTCTAAGACGGGGTCTCACTCTGTCACCCAGGCTGGAGTACAGTGGTGCAGTCATGGCTTACTGCAGCCTCAAACTCCCGGCCTCAAGCAGTCCTCCTGCCTCAGCCTCCAGAGTAGCTGGGATTACAGACATGTGTGACCATTCCCAGCTTTTTTTTTTTTTTTTGCCTTTGTTTTTGTAAAGACCACGTCTTGCTATGTTGCCCAGGCTGGTCTCAAATTCCTGGGCTCCTGCGTCAGCCTCCCAAAATACTGGGATTGCAGCATTTTGAACCACCGCACTCAGCTGCTTTTTTTATAAAAAGTAGAGATGGGGTCTCTCTCTGTCACCCAGGCTGGAATGCAGTGGCACCATCCTGGCTCACTGCAGCCTCGACCTCCCAGGCTCATGCGATCCTCCCACCTCAGCCTCTCAAGCAGCCGGGACTACAGGTGTGCATCACCACAACCAGCCGATTTTTTTTTTTTTTTGAGACAGGGTCTTGCTGTGTCACCCAGGCTGGAGTACAGTGGCACAATCATCGCTCACTGCAACCTCAACCTCATGGGCTCAAGTGATTCTCCTGCCTTAGCTTCCCAAGTAGCTGGGTCTACAGGTGTGTGCCAACACACCCGGCTAGTTTTTGTATTTTTTGTAGAGATGGGGTCTTGACATGTTGCCCAGGCTGGTCTCGAACTCCTGGCCTCAAGCAATCCTCCCTCCTTGGCCTCCCAAAGTGCTGGGATTACAAGTGTGAGCCGCCGGGGCACCCAGCCCACAGTGAGCACTGTTGAAGGGCCCTCCCTGTGCTAAGACTTCCCAGCTGTTATCTTGTCTGATGCTAGTGTAGGCGCTGCTGTGAACCCCACTTTACGGATGGGAAAGTGAGGCTCAGGGAAGTTCAGCACCTCCTCGAGCACACCCAGGAGCGGTGGGGCTGGGACAGAGACGTCGCAGAAGCCCCCTTCCCAGCCCCTGCAGCTCATCCTGTACATGGGCCCTGGAGGCCATGCCAGAGGCCTGACCAGGGACCTGGGACCCTGCCTGCTCCCGCCCTATCCCCAAGCCAGAAGCTGGTGCCCTGAGCCCCAGGCTGCTGCTGAACCCTGGGGACCCTAAGGCTGAGGCCCTCCCTGCTACCGGCTCTACCTGATGATGTCGATGTGGCCGTTTTTAGCTGCGAGGTGCAAAGGGCTGGTGCCGTTGGGGTCGGTGGCGTCTCCCGGCCGGGGCTCCAGCAGCGCCGCACACATATTGCTGCTGAGGAGCAGCTGGACCACCTTGAAGGAGGGGTCAGGGTAGGGGGGTCCTGATGTGGGGCTCCCCAGCCCCACCCCACAGGGCTCCACAGGAGACTCACCCCAACGCGGCCGAACTCGCAGGCCAGGTCCAGGGGCGTCTTCCCCGAGTTGTCCACCATGCACGGGTTAGACTGGTGCTGTAGCAGCATCTCAGACTGGGGGCCAAGGGCGCAGTCAGGTCCGCACATCCTCAGGCCGCGCTGCCCCGCCCCCGCTGCCCCGCCCCCGCTCGGGCCTCACCACATCATAGTGACCATGCTGGGCCGCCAGGTGCAGGGGGATGTGGCCCTCATCAGACGGGATGTTCACGGCCGAGCCCGCCTTCAGCACCAGCTTCATGGGCTCCTTCCGGCCCTGCCAGGCCGCATAGTGCAGCGGCCGCATGCCTGGGGGGCGAGGGGATGCTGGGAGCTGACCCTTGACCCCAAACCCAACCCTGGAGGATAGGGGGGTGCTGGGACCTGACCCCTGACCCCAAGTCCAACCCTGGGGGGTGGGAGGGCGCTAGGAGCTGACTTCTGACACCAAGCCCAACCCTTGGGGTTGGGGGCGGGGGTTTGCTGGGAGTTGACCTCTGACCCCAAGCCCAACCCTGGGAGGTGGGAATGCTGGGAGCTGACCCTTGACCCCCAAGGCCAACCCTGGGAGGTGGGGGGAATGCTGGGAGCTGACCCCTGACCCCAAGCCCAACCCTGTGGGTTTGGGGGGTGCTAGGAGCTGACCCCTCACCCCAGCCCCACCCCTGGCCTCCAGGACCCTGATCCCAGGAGGACCTGCCTGAAATCAGACTGAGACCCTGGGCTGAGACCTCAGCCAAGGATCCATGCAGGCCCTGGGGAGCCCCCCTCGCTGCCCCCGCCCCTGCCCCCACCAGAGGCCCTCGGCTAGTCTTGCCTTTGTTGTCCTTGATGTCCACAGCGGCCTGGGCCTCCAGCAGCAGGCTGATCAATTCCGTGTTGCCGTTCAGGGCCGCATGGTGCAGAGCCGAGAAGCTGGCACGTGCAGAGGACACATAGAGCAGAGGCCCTGGCGCCCCGGCCTTCCCGGCACCCTGCCCTCCCCCGGCACCTAGGCCTCTCTAGGAGCCACCCTCCCTTCCAGGCAGGCACCACCCGGCTCAGAACTCACCCATCCGGGTCCTGGAAGTTGACATTGATCTTCTTGGTGGAACCCAGGAGCTCTGGGGATGGAAGGAGACTCAGTGAGGGGAGGCTGTGCCAGCCCCTCCAGGCGGCCTGAGGGCAGGGAGAGGGGGCCAGCCATCTCCCCGGCAGGCACAAAGCTGCTGGGCTCTCAGTCTGCAGACACTCACTCGTCCACTCGTGCACTCACGCGTTCAGCTCTGCCCCGCAGCCTGCCCCAGGTGCCAGCTGCTCGGGCCTTGGTGTCCCATTGCCCTGAGATGTGGGGGTTCACAGTACTAAGGACTCCGGCCTGGAGTCCTTGTCCCCACCTGGGGATAGGAGGCAAGGCTGTGCACCCACACAGGCACACACATGTGCACGCACACCCCTCCCTCGGGACACTGGCTGAGCACCTGCCAATGGTGGGAGGGAGAGAGCCGGCCCAATCTGTCTCTCAGAAGGATCCAGATGGGGCCGGGGGTGGCCAGGGAGGCTGGAACACCCGGAAATGGGGGTATCTCTGGGGGAGGATCTGCGTCTCCACCGTGCAGCACCCCCACTGCCAGCCCTGGGCCACAGCCAGTGTGGATGAGCAGAAGTGGGAGGCAGGCGAGTGGGCTGGCACCTCTGAGCAACCTCACGCGAACGGCTGCCTGCTCCCTGGCGACTCGGAGCACCTGAGGCCAGAGGGGCCCACGCCCTCCCTTCAGGGCCCCAGCGTCCTCCTGGGGCCCCCCGCATCCTGGCCTCCCCCAGCCAGCTGCCAGAGGAGGGAAGCCCACCGATGCCCTCCCAGTGGGCTCTAGTCCAAGCAGACTTGGGCCAAACCCCCGCCTATCTGGGCCGTGGTTACATAACCCATTTGTGGGTCAGTCACTCTGAGAGGGGAGCTGGCAGGACAGAAGCCCCTTTGTCCAGGCCCAGGACAGGGTGGGGGCAGGAGCTGAGGGCAGGGGAGTTGAGGGAGTCGAGGCACAGGGCTGTCTGCAGGGCTTGCACAGTGACCCACAGCAGCCCCTGCTGCCCCGGCCTCAGTCCCAGCCACTGGACACAGGGTGCGGGTCCCCTGATGACCCACGAGGCTGGCCGAAGGAGCCAGACTGCTGTGAATTCGAATCTCTGCTCTGCCACTCACCAGCCTGTGTCCTTGGCTGCTGGCGCCCTCCCTGAGCTGGAGCCGGGGGTGCTAACAGGGCCTCCCGGAGGTGTGAGAGCATTCCCAGACATAAAGCGTGCGCGGCCTGGCACAAGTCAGGACTCGGTGCATGGCGATTACTAATATTAGCCGTACAGGAATCCCACCCCCAGCTCTCTCCAGCCAGGGGTTTCTTCTGGCAAGCAAAGTCGTCTCCAGCCTCACCGGCCCCTCCCCCTCTGCTCAGACACTGCTGGCACCAGTGTCCCTCTTGGTTAGTGGCAATGCCATCCTTCCTGACCATGGCCCAGGCCAAAACCTTGGAGCCAGGCCTGGGGCCTTTCCTGCACACCTATAGCTTGTCCGTCAGCTCTGCCTCCCAGACATCCCCAGAGCACACTTGGAACCCTAGCCCTTCTCCCCACAGCCACTGTCACCAACCTGGTCCAGGCCGGCATCTCTGGCAGGATAAGTGCCATCCCCTCCCCACTGGTGTCGCTAAGGTCTTCCCACATCCCTCGGTCCAACCTCCACACCCACCCCGTCGGGGTTCCCTGGGAAAACATGAGTCAGGCTCTGTGCCGTGGCTCACGCCTGTAACCCCAGCACATTGGGAGGCTGAGGTGGGAGGATCACTTGCAGCCAGGAGTTCAAGACCAGCCTGGCCAACATAGCAAGACCTTGTCTCTACAAAAAATAAAGGAAAAAAAAAGTAGCTGGGCACGGAGGGGTGTGCCTGTGGTCCCTGCTACTTGGGAGGCTGAGGCGGGAGGATCGCTTGAGCCCAGGAGGTTGAAGCTGCAGTGAGCCGGGGTCGCACCACTCACTGCATTCCAACCTGGGTGACAGAGCAAGACCCTGTCTCAAAAAAAAAAAAAGGAGAGAGAACATGAATCAGATCTTGCCACGCCTCTCCTGAAGACCCCCTGGCAGCACTGGTCTCACTGGGAGGGGAGGCCGACAACGGACAGTGGCTGTGCTAGGAGGGGAGGCTGAGACTGGACAGTGGCCGTACGTGGGGCTCCTGCTTTGCTCTCAGTTATCATTACTTCCCTCATTCCTGCTGCAGCTACACAGGCCTCCAGACGTTCCTCCAACATATCGGCTGCCCTGTCCAAGGCCTTTCCACATGCCCTGTGTGCACGTGCGGCCTCCTCTTCCCTAGTTAACCCCACAGCCTCCCTCACATTTTTCAGATCCTTACCCACAGGCTGCTCACTCAGCATGCCCTCCCCATCCGAAGTGACCCTGCCCGCCCCGCAGCTGCTGTGCCTGGCTCTGCAGCCCTCGTCACCACCAGCCACGTCAACCTCCTTCTGCTCTTGCTCCTACCCATCTCCATCACTCAACTACCAGCACCAAGGGGACAAGGGCCGTCATCTGTTCTGCTCACGGAGGAATCCTCGGTGGCTAAAATGGTGCCCCGCGCAGCTGAGGTGCTCAGTTGCGGACTGGATCGATCTCCTCATCCCCCACACTCTGCCTGGCCGCCGAGGCGACTTAATGGGTGTGCGGCCTGTGCTTGGCTCAGAAGGACCCCATGCCTGCGGATGCTCTCCTGTCGCCATCTCGAAATTCTTTTTCTTTTTTTTTATTGGAGATGGAGTTTCATTCTTGTTGCCCAGGCTGGAGTGCAATGGTGCGATCTCGGCTCACCACAACCTCCACCTCCCGGGTTCAAGCAATTCTTCTGCTTCAGCCTCCAGAGTAGCTGGGATTACAGGCACGCACCACCACTCCTGGCTAATTTTGTATTTTTAGTAGAGACGGGGTTTCTCCATGTTGGTCAGGCTGGTCTCGAACTCCCGACCTCAGGTGATCCGCCTGCCTCAGCCTCCCAAAGTGCTGGGATGACAGGCATGAGCCACCATGCCCGGCCTGAAATTCTTATTTTTGAGCAAGGGGCCCTGCGTTTACATTTTGCATGGGGACCTGGGAATTATGTCGTGGGGCCTACCACCATCCCTTGCCATTAGCTAAAGGGAGCGCAGGTGTCACTGTCCCGTGCATCCCCGCCAGGACCACACTCAGGAGGTTCTCCCCACAGAACGCTGACCCCCACTCTTCCCAGCTCCAGGGTGGACAGCCCTCAGCATGTCCCCAGGACTGTCCAAGCCAGGCCCTGTCCTCCCTCCCACAGCTGAGGCAGCCAGTGTGGAAACCACCTTCTCACCCAGCCACACCTTCAGGGGCTGAAATCTCGGAGAGGCTGGAGGTCAAAGCCCAGAAAGTAACATCTGCCAGTGGGGGAGGGTGTCTCCCTCAGGAAGGGGACCACCCCCATGTGAGGAGGGGTGCCTTACTAAAGCCATCTCGTCCCTCTCCCCACTTATGGTCTCCTCAAGGGGGAAACTGGCTGAAATTGGATGGCAGCAACTTGAGGTCTTGGGACACACTAACCCCCATTCCTGTGGGGGGACAGTGGGTACCCAGGAAGGTCCCAGAACTGAGAAGGGCCTGGGGCTGGGGGCTGTTTTCACCTGGAAACGGGTTCTCTGGATGAAGCAGGAGCAGAGCATGGCTGGAGGGGGCCGGGGCCAGGATGAAAGTCCAGGAGCCCCCCTCCCTCTCCACGAGGTCCCTAAGCCCTGTGACTCTATGACAGTAAAGGCCTTACCCCCGACCAGCCCTCTCACTGCTATCCTGAGCCTGTCCCCACCTCTGGGGTCCAGTCCATATCCCAGGCTAGAAGGGAGCTACTAGTGGGCTATTAGAAGGTGAGAGGGGGATGGGGAGCTGGCCCTCGGTGCTCAGGGGTGTCCTCCACGGCATTCTTGGGCCTGCCTCCATGGACAGGGGGCCTCCATGGATAGGGTCCGGGTCAGAGGGAAGAGTGGGTCCCTCCTGGCCAGCAGGAGGCCAGCCCCTGCACCGGCATCTCCCCCAGAACAGGCTCCTCTTCCCCTCAAGGACAGCTGCTAAGTGTGTGCGTGCGGGCACGGGAGGCTCCCTTCAGGGCAGGGCGAGTCGGGGGCTGGCTGAGCCTGGGGTGACTCTGGAGCAGGGGCTGGAGGGAAGGGACTGGGCAACCAGAGGGGACCATGGAAGCAAAGCTCATGGGGACAGCCCTGGGCTCACGGGGCCCTGGAGGATACTGCTGGACACCCCCCACCTCGTGGCCCAAACTCAGCTGTACTTTACTGAATCAAAATACATCTTACTCCAAAGCAGGCCAGCGTTGCCATGACGACGGAGCTAATTCATGGAGGGATTTCTCCTCTGATTTATTACACCCGCCCCTGTGAGTCAGAGAGCAGGAGCCGGGGCCAGGGCAGGTGTCTCTCCTGTCCCAGAGGCCAGGCAAGACAGGCAGAGACCCAGGTGAGAGTGGAAGCCCCCACACCTCCCCAGAATGGCCACAATAGAAGGGAGGAGGAACCTCCCCAGAGCTGAAGCCCCCACTTCCCCAGCCCCTGGCCCTGGGCCGTCCAAGACTGCGGTCATTGCTGGCATTTACTGAGCACTTACTGAATGCCTGGGCTGCAAGTGCCCAGGCTCACTGGTCTTAGGACCCCACCGTGAGGCTGACATCCCATCCTACAGACGAGGAGACTGAGGTCCACTGAGCTGGAGTTGTCTGTGTCCAAGGTCATGCGGCCACTAGGTGGAAACCTTTACCTTGCCTTCCCTCAATCCCTACACCTGCTCTCCAGGCTCAGCTGAGGCTGCCTCTGCCCACAAGCTCTCCCTTTCTGAGCCCCCGGACCTGAAATCAGCTCGGGGCCAGCCTGCAAGGCACCGGTGCCCCCTCTCTCTTACTGCACAGAGTGGACAGGAGCTAGCCAGTCATGGGCTGCTGGTGAAGTACGGGGGAGGGGGTCCTCCTGGGACTCCTAGGTGCCCCCAACAATCTCCCAGAAGCCAGTCCCAGTTCTCGGCATCCCCCTGGAGGAAGGGGAGGGGGACTCTCTGGCTTACAGTCTGTGGGGGTGGAGGGAGGAGGGAGGACGCCCAGACCCCACGTGCCGACCTGCAGAGCCCTGTCCGTGCCCGCACAGGTGCCCTGACACACTGACACGGCTATACGTGCGCAGCCGCACACGCGGCTGGTCCACACGCCCATCCATCCATCTCCGGCGGCCCCCAGGGAGGCTACGCGCTGAGCCAGGATGAGTGCTGGGACCAGGGCTCCAAGCTCCCAGCCCTTTCCTGGGGCCGGCCATAGGGCAAGCTGGGGATGGCCAGTGGTGGTCCCCCACTCCCTCATGGCCTCCTTTCCCAGCAGGGAAGCTGGAGACCCGGCTCTGCTGGAGCCTGCCTGAGCAGGGCCCCAAGCCCTTGCGCCCAGGCCGGCCCTGCCTGGAGTCCAGCCTGCCCTGGGCTGGGCGACCTTGGGCCTCTGCTCTCCCATCAGTAAATGGCACCCCACCGGCCATGCCAGGGCAGCCACACCCCCAGCGTGGTCCTGCCCCCACCTTCCCTGCAAAGCGTGTTATTAAACGTGGGGCGGGAGGGGGTCTGCTAGGGACTGTCACCTCCCGGGTCGCCCCTCGCCGCAGGGGCCCCCTCCCTGTCTTCCCGGTGCGTGTGGTGGGTGGGGGGGGCATCCGCCTCGCCCTTTGAAGGCCCCAGCAGAGACCTCCAGCTGTCAGCCCGCAGCCTGGGAAGGGAGGGGGACAGAGGTAGAGAGAGAGGGATGCGAACGCCCGCGGCCCGGGAGGCGGGTGCCGCCAGGTGCCCGCTGCGGGGCTCACGGTGGCGGCCGGCTCTCGGGGCCGCCCCATCTCCAGTGCTGGGGGCAGCGGGTGGAGGGCACGGACCAAGGGTCTGGGCGCTGCTGGCCCCGCCCCGCCCCCGGGGACCCGACAACGTCCCCTCCCCGCCCGGCGCCGGGTGGGGGGCTCCGCGCCGGGGAGGGGCCCCCGGGGCTCCCACCCGCGCCCCGCGCCCCCGGCACTCACTGGCCTTCCCGGGCCGCGGCCTCTGCAGCAGCCTCTGCGCGGTCCCTACGTCCTCCGCCTTCACCGCCTGCACCAGCTCCTGCTCCTTCCCCATGGCGCGGCCGGGGCCGCAGCGACGCGGCTGCGCTCGTGAGCTCGGCGCGGCTCAGAGGCGGCGGCGGCCCCGCGGCACCGGCCGCCTCCCCCGCCGCCTCCCCCGCCGCCTCCTCGCCGCCCGCCGCCCCTTCGCCCTCCTCGGGCTCCGGCTTGGGCTCGGGCTCCCGGCGCGGAGGGGGCGGGGAGCGCGTCACGGGCGGGGGGCGGCCCGGGGGCGGGGGCGCGCGGCGGGCGCGGGGCGGGGGCGCGGCACCTGGCGCCGCCTCCCGGACGCCGGGGTCCGCTCCCGGGCCGCCGACCTCCGTCAGCCCGCGCCGGCCGCGCGCCCGGGCCCGTGGCTCCGCCCTCCCCGCGCCCGCCCCGGGACGCCCCCTCCCCACGTGCGCGCAGCGCGCTCAGGCCAGGCCTCTGCGGACGCGGGCGGCCTGGGGCTGCTAGCCGGGCTGGGGACGCGGCCGCCGGGGGTGCACTGGGAGCCCCGACGCGGCGGCGGCGCGGGGCTGAGCCCAGAGAGGCTTCCAGAGGCTGCGGGACCCGCGGGGGACGGTTCCGAGGCAGCGGGCGGGCGGGGACCGGGCGCCGAGAGACCCGGGCGCCAGTGCCCCTGGAGCCGGCCCGCCAGGCTGTCAGGCGTTCCTGGCCCAGGGTTCCCGTGGGAGGTGTCGAGGGATTGTGAAGAGGAATCTCCCAATAATGAATTCGGTGTCAGGGAACCCGCACCCCCAACCCCCAAGCATCCTCCTGCTCCTCTCCGCAAATAATGCGGGCGCCACAGCTTCCCCCAGCCTCAGTCCGAAGCCTGACCCCAAGGTAGCCCCCACCACCCCCACTGAGGGAGCTCAACTCCCCACTCCCCGCACCGACTGGGGGTCGCCTCCATCTCCATCCACAGGGGCTGGAACCTCCCGCCGGCACCAACCGACCCCCGGCCCACGTCTGCCCACTCTCCAGCCTGCAGCCCAGGCAGGCGAGTCCTGCTTCCTGGGTGCTGGAGGCCCCGACTTGTGACCCTCTGAGCTCCTGGCTGAAGGCTTGGGCCACCCTGCGCCTCAGGCCCTCTCCCGTCAGGCCTGCAGCATTCTAGAGGCAGATCAGTGGGGGTCTGAGTCCCGACTCAGGCTCCGTTTCCCTCATCACCCAAGCGGGCAAGGCCGTTTGGAGAATTTGGGGAGGGTCGCACCCATTCTATGAGGCATGGCCTGGCACCCCACTCTGTGTGGCCCCAGACCATTGAGCAGGTCCAGGGGGACAGAGGAGGTCAGACAGCAGGGACAGGGAAGGTGACAGGCACCGGGGTCCCGGCATCCTGTGGGCAGCTGGCCGTTCCCGTTCCCTCCGTGGGGTCTCCTGTTAGGTTCAGGTAGCAGCCCTTGGTCTTCCAGCACTCCTGGGAGGGGTCCCCAAATGCTAGGGCCTTTCCTCTTGCCCTTTCCAATGACCAGTTGAGTACCCGCTGGGTCAGGCACTGTGCTGGTCACCTCCTAGATGAGGTTGGACTCACTGTCCCCATTTTACAGATGAAGAAACTGAGGCTCAGAGAAGCCAAGGGGCTCACCTGGGGTCCCAGAGTCTTGAGGTTGTAAGTCTGGGCTTTGCACCCGCACCTCTGGATGTGTCCTATTCCCCCTCTTAGTGGTTTGTGACCATGAGCTGGTCACTTTGTCATTCTTTTTTCTGAGACAGGGTCTCGCTCTGTCGTCCAGGCTGGGGTGCAGTGACGCCATCATAGCTCACTGCAGCCTCAACATCCCAGGCTCAAGCAGTCCTCCCGCCTCAGCCTCCTGAGTAGCGCCCGGCTAATTTTTTTTGATTTTTAATAGAGATGAGGTCTCAGTATGTTACCTAGACTGGTCTCGAACTCCTGGCCTCAAGCAGTCCTCCCACCTCAACCTCCCAAAGTGCTGGGATTGCAGACGTGAGCTACCACACCCAGCCCACTGCCTAAGTGTCTGTGCCCCTCTGTAAAATGAGGATATGCATGCTACCTCCCCTTAGGTTACTGGAGGATAAATTGTGATACTATCCACAAAGCATTTCACGGCAGGACTTAGTAAGTGCTCAAAAAAATGGCTGCTGTAGATATTGTGATATTCTTGGGCCTCTCTGCCTGTGCAGCAACTGTGTTTTGTGCATCTTTGTATCTACGCTACCTTGCAGTGTGAAGAGCACATAGGAAGAACTAAAAATAAAAATAAGATAGCTGCTGGCATTACTATTACTTTTATGTTTTGGACATGTTAAGGCAAACCACCCTGACCTGTGCTTAACACACAAACAGAAGCCCACACACCAAATGTTCAAATATTTAAACGCTACAAATCACGCCAGTCACCTGTTAAGTATGTTCTATTCTCCTACCTTGACAAATATACCTTCATCATGGCCTGAAAGCCCAAGTTCGAATTGAGAATTCTCAGATTCCTCGGGTGATGAACTGGCCCCCGTTTGTAGCTACCTCACCTGTTCTCTGCTCAGCTCCAGCACTGTCCACACCCCATAAACAGGCACCCCCTTAGTCGCTCCTCAGAGCTAGGGTGGGCACCCTGCTGCGTGGCCCACCTTCAGGAGGACAGACTGGGCAGAGGGCTGTGCCGATCCTGGAAGTGGGCTTGGGGCTGTTTGGGCAGGAAACTCCAGGGTCCTACGTGCTCAGAGTGTGGTCTAGAAGGGGCACCTAGGCTCCAGGTGGATTGCTGCTCAGGACCTCAGAGATTCCTCACCCCATGGGGTGCAGTGTGGCAGGAGGGGACCAGAGCCTTCTGCTAGGTGAGGATAAGCCCAGGAGGGACTGGGAAGCGTTGGATCTGATGCTGTAACCAGTAACTTTGGGTGAGTCCCCGATGCTCAGCTGCCTCATCTGTGAAATGGGCCAGCAGCTCCGCCTGCAGCTTAGGGCTGACGGGAAGGTCCCCATGAAAACAGATGTGTGTCTGCCTGGGGTCCCTGCAGCCTGGGGATGGGGGGGCAGGGCAGGTGGCCACTCTGGCTGGGGGATGAGGATGCAGAGGTGTGGGACTCGGGCAGCCCTCCAGGAAGTCAAGCCTCCAAGGATGATCCTGGGAGGGGGCCTCTGAGCCAGCAGAATTGCTGAGGCTCAGCCTGGAATGGAGCTGGCGGAGGCTTCACTGCAGCCTGGGCTGGCCTCCTTCCCAGATGTACGGTGTGTGCCGGCCAGCCCG
The DNA here is from genome assembly GCF_000001405.40 of Homo sapiens. Lineage (NCBI taxonomy): Eukaryota > Metazoa > Chordata > Mammalia > Primates > Hominidae > Homo > Homo sapiens. The sequence continues at coordinate 2,199,614 of NC_000016.10, forward strand.
CAGCCCCTTCCTCTGCCCACTGGCTGTGTGTCTGCTCAGGGGCTCCCTGGTGGTCCCCCAAGCCCCCAAAGCTCTGGTATGGGCATGAGGAACGTGCCCTCCCATGGGCTGGCTGCTGTGGCTCCTCTCATTCTTGTGGCACCGCCTCTGACAGCACTGAGCTGGGGCCCGGACCATCACCGAGGATCGACCCCCACACACCACCGTCCCAGCCTCCTGCCCCACAGAAATGCAGGAGCTACTCAGGTTGGGTTGGGGCCACGACCAGTTTGTCAGCTTCCCCTAGGCTTGGGACACATGCAGGCTCCCAGAGCTGGCCCCTGCCCTCAGCCCCCATGTGCCGCCCAGAGGCCCCACGGAAAAGGCAAACAGTGCAGGGCCCTGAGACACGTAGGACCCCACGCACCTAGCTGAGCCTGCCTCAGCCCCACCCTGTCTCCTGCTCTCTGCTCCCGGGTCTATGCTGCTCCAGACACTGCTGGGATTCGAAGGCGCTTCCTCTCCCAGCCATCCAAGCCCACATGCTCACCTCTACTCCCCAAAGCTGCCCCAAGCCTGGTATAGAGCCTGGTTAGAGAGCCCCTGTCTACTTCGAGAGGAAGATGAGGAGGACTATGGGGTGCAGGGGCTGCCTGGGGAGTAGTCACCTCACCAGAAGGGGCATGATCAGTGGCAGGTGGAGCCCCAGCAGGATGGGGCCCGGCCTAGAGCTGAACAAACCCTGGGCTCCACCACCTTCTAGCCCTATGCCCTCCACATGCAATTCTGCATCTCTGAGCCTCAGTTTTCTCATCTCCAAAATGAGGGTGATTCTTCCCTACTGGAGTCATTGTGAGGACTCCATGCATAAGGCAGGTAAAATGCTCCTATAGCCCAGCAATTCCGCTCTGCGTATTTACCAAGAGATGCAAACACGTTCTCAGACATTGGCACACAACCACACAACCATTCACAGCAGCCCCATTCATGACAGCCAAAAAGGAGGAGACACCCCAAATGTCCACCTATGGACGAGAAGATACATAAAACGTGCTCTAGTCATACAGTGGAATATTACTTAGCCATAGAAAAAGAATGTACTGGCTGGGCATGGTGGCTCATGCCTGTAATCTCAGCACTTTGGGTGGTGAGAGTTGTAATCACTCACCTCTCAGGACAGAGGCGGGTGTATTGCTTCAGCCCAGGAGTTCAAGACCAGCCCAGGCAAGACAATGAGACCCCGTCTCTACAAAACAAACAAACAGAAAGTTTACGCTGTGGTGTCAGCATTCAGGAGCAGGTTGTTCAGTTTCCATGCAGTTGAGTGGTTTTGAGTGAGTTTCTTCATCCTGAGTTCTAGTTTGAGTGCACTGTAGAAAGTTTTTTCTTTTCTTTTCTTTTCTTGAGACGGAGTCTTGTTCTGTCACCCAGGCTAGAGTGCAGTGGAGCGATCTTGGCTCACTGCAAACTCCGCCTCCAAGGTTCAAGCGATTCTTCTGCCTCAGCCTCCTGAGTAGTTGGGATTACAGGTGCCTGGCACCTCACCCAGCTAATTTTTGTACTTTTAGTAGAGACTGGGTTTCACCATCTTGGCCAGGCTGGTCTCAAACTCCTGAACTCGTGATCCACCCGCCTTGGCCTCCCAAAGCGCTGGGATTACAGGCATGAGCCACTGCACCCGGCCAAAAAGTTTTCTTTACTTTCCTTTTTTTTTTTTTTTTTTTTTAGATGGAGTTTCACCCTGTCACCAGGCTGGAGTGCAGTGGTACAATCTCGGCTCACTGCAACCTCTGACTCCCAGGTTCAAGCGATTCTCCTGCCTCAGCCTCCCGAGTAGCTGGGACTACAGGCGTGTGCCACCATGCCCAGCTAATTTTTGTATTTTTAGTAGAGATGGGGTTTCACCATGTTGGCCAGGATGGTCTCAATCTCTTGACCTCGTGATCCACTGGCCTCGGCCTCCCAAAGTGCTGGGATTACAGGCGTGAGCCACCGCGCCTGGCCTACACTTAGCTAATTTTTTTTAAGGTTTTTGCAGAGAAGAGGTCATCTTGCCATCTTGCCCAGGTTAGCCTCAAACTCCTAGGATCAAGCGATCCTCCCACCTCGATCCCCCAAAGTGCTGGGATTACAGGTGTGAGCTACCATGCCCAGCCAAAAGAAAATGTTACTAGATATGCTGAAAACCAGGAATTTGGCAGGTAAGGCGTAGAGGGAAAAGCATCCCAGACACAGTCAAGGGCTCAAAGGGGAGAACATGGCCAGGTGCTGTGGCTCACGCCTGTAATCCTAGCACTTTGGGAGGCCGAGGCGGCAGATCACGAGATCAGGAGTTCGAAACCAGCCTGGCCAATATGGTGAAACCCCGTCTCTCCTATAAATACAAAAAGGTAGCCAGGCGTGGTGCGGGGTGCCTGTAATCTCAGCTACTTGGGAGGAGTCTGAGGCAGGAGAATTGCTTGAACCCAGGAGGCAGAGGTTGCAGTGAGCCGAGATTGCGCCATTGCACTCCATCCCCGTCAGCAGTGTGAGATTCCGTCTGAAAAACAAAACAAAAGAAAACAAAAGAGGAGAACATGTCTCCTTTGGCCAGAGTACAGGACCCATGGAGTATTAGTCCATTTTCATACTGCAATAAAGAACACCTGAGACTGGATAATTTATAAAGGAAAGAGGTGTAGTTGACTCACAGTTCAGCATGGCTGGGGAGGCCTCAGGAAAGTTACAATCATGGCGGAAGGCGAAGCGGAAGCAAGGCACCTTCTCCGCAAGGCGGCAGGAAGGAGAAGTGGAGCAAAGGAGGAGGAACCCCTTATAAAACCATCAGATCTCTTGAGATCTCACTCACTATCATGAGAACGGCATGGGGGAACCTGCCCTCATGATTCAGTTACCTCCACCTGGTCTCTCCTTTGACACATGGGGATTATGGGGATTACAATTCAAGACGAGATTTGGGTGGGGACACAAAGCCTAATGGTATCACATGGAGAGGAGATGGAAGCCACAGGATGGGCCAGGGCCAGGGCCAGGCCCAGGAGTCTGGAGAGGGACAGGGACCCCTGAGGGCTTCTAATGGGGTGATCAAGTCATTCCTAGGTTTTGCTGGGGGTTTTTGTTTTGTTTTGAGAAAAGGTCTTGCTCTGTCACCCAGCCTGGAGTGCAGTGGCTCAACCACAGCTTACTGCAGCCTCGAGTTCCTGGCCTCGAGTGATCCTTCCACCTCAGCCTCCCAAAGCTGGGACCACAGGCACGCACCACCATTCCTGACTAATTTTTAAATTTTTTGTAGAGATGGGGTATCACTATATTGTTCAGGATGGTCTTGAACTTCTGGGCTCGAGTGATCCTCCTGCCTCAGCCTTCGAAAGTGCTGGGATTACAGGCATGAATCACTGTGCTGGGCTCAGACTGAGGTTTTTAAAAGGCCACTCTGGCCGGGCGCGATGGCTCACGCCTGTAAACCTAGCACTTTGAGAAGCTGAGGTGGGTGGGTCACTTGAGGTTAGGAATTCAAGACCAGCCTGACCAACATGGAGAAACCCTGTCTCTACTAAAAATACAAAATTAGCTGGGATGGTGGTGCATGCCTGTAATCCCAGCTACTCAGGAGACTGAGGAACCCAGGAGGTGGAGGTTGCAGCGAGTCGAGATCGCGCCATTGCACTCCAGCCTGGGCAACAAGAGTGAAAATCCGTCTCAAAAATAAATAAATAAATAAATAAATAAATAAATAAATAAATAAAAGGCCATTCTGCACTGTGGTGGACAGTTTGGAAGGGGGCCAGAGTGGCTGGGGCAAGGAAGGAGGCTTTTATGGGGGATGGGGGTGGTGAGCTAGAACCAGGGCAGTGGAAAGGACAGGAAGGTATATCACAGGTAAAATCGGTGGCTGAAGGGAAGGGAAGGGTGAGGGAGGGGAGGTGTCGGATCTTGCCCAGCTGTAATACAAGGTGGGCACTGCCCACAGAAGGGGAGCTACTCAGGGATGGGTTGTCTTGGCCCTGGAATATGGTGGACCCTGCGGGGCATTCAAGGGACAGTGTCTTAACAGGGAGCTGAGGCCATCAGAGCTGGAGACAGGGTGGAAGGGGCCCAGGACAGGGACAGCATTGGAAGCTCCAGAGCTAGCAGTCATCAGCCCCCTGGTATCTCGTGGGGTGCACAGAGTGAATGCTGAAGGGCCTGAGTCCTTGCGGGCAGGCAGGGAAAGAGACTAAATGTCGGGGACAGGAGCTAGGAGAAGGCAGCCTTTCAGGCATGGTGCCGTCAACCATGGCTCAGATGCGTCAAGAAGTGGGAGGGGGCCGGGCGCAGTGGCTCACGCCTGTAATCCCAGCACTTTGGGAGGCTGAGGGGGGCGGATCACGAGGTCACGAGATCAAGACCATCCACCATCCTGGCCAACATGGTGAAAAGTCTGTCTCTACTAAAAATAGAAAAATTAACTGGGTGTGGTGGCATGCACCTGTAATCCCAGCTACCCGGGAGGCTGAGGCAGGAGAATAGCTTGAACCCGGGAGGTGGAGATTGTGGAGAGCCGAGATCGCACCACTGCACTCCAGCCTGGCAACAAAGCGAGACTCCGTCTCAATAAAAAAAAAAAAAAAAAGAAAGAAGAAGTGGGAAGAGGCCGGGCGCAGTGGCTCACGCCTGTAATCCCAGCACTTTGGGAGGCTGAGGTAGGCGGATCACTTGAGGTCAGGAGTTTGAGACCAGCCTTGCGAACATGGTGAAATCCCGTCTCCACTAAAAATACAAAAATCAGCCAGGTGTGGTGGTGCGTGCCTGTAATCCCAGCTACTCGGGAGGCTGAGGCAGGAAAATCGCTTGAACCTGGGAGGCAGAGGTTTTGCAGTGAGTCGAGATTGCACCACTGCACTCCAGCCTGGGCGAGAAAGCGAGACTCTGTCTCGAGAGAAAAAAAAAAAAAAGGTGGGAAGAAGGAAAAGTATCCACTGGATTTAGCAAAGTGAGATTGTCAGTGACCTTGAGGAATTTCCACTGGAGAGCTAGAGAGCTGGGGGTAAAAGGCAGATGACTGGGGTTGCGGAATGAGTGGGAGGTGAGGACGTGGAACTAGAAAAATGGTGAGGACCGCTCTTTGAAGAAGATAATTTGGGATTGTTTTATGGTGTTTTTTTAAAGGCTAACCGGCAGGAAGGAGAGGAGGTGAAGGTATAGGAAGGAAGGCTCCATGGGAACTATGGCCTGGTCAAGGGACAAGATGCACCCCCTCTGCGGCCAGAGGAAGGGGTGCAGCCAGGTCTGTAAGAGCAGCAGGAAAAAACCATGCGACAGCCTGTCTCAAGGGTGAGGGCACCGGCGTGGAGCTCACAGAGCTGGAATGAGGGCCTGTGGTTTTGAGGGGGACCCTGGGCTCAGTGGGATGTCCTGAGGGTCAGGCTGGGGCTGGGGTGCCAGATCTAGCAAGTAAAACTACAGGATACCCAATAAAATTTTTTTAGCATAAGTATTTCCCATGCAATGTCCTGGATATACTTACACTAAAAAAAAAATTATTCGTTACTTGTCTGAATTCAAGTCCTGTAATTTTCAGCCAATCCTAGCCCAGCGTGGCGCAGTAGTGGGTCAGGGAGGGCACCGGAACAGCGCGACCCGACAGCCCGGGAAACGGACAGCCGTGTCAGAAGGGCAGGTGCCAGTGGGCAGGAGGCCGGAGAGAAAGCCGCAGCTTCCTTCCACCTCGCGCCGGGCCCGCGGCCGCGCACGGGGACCGCTCCGAGTTCCTCCCGGCGGGAACCCCCCGCCCCAGAACTTTGGTCTCGTCCCACCCACCCCCGCCCGCGCCATGGTCTCGCCCTAGGGAGCCATCGATAACTCTACGCTCGGCCTCGATCGACTCGCTCCGGCTCCCCTCGCCGTCCTGGACACGGCGGAGTGCGGAGCCGCCCGTAAGGTACGGAGGCCGCGAGCCAGGGGCCGGGAACCGGCTGCTGGGTGGCTGGGAGAGCACGGCCAGGGGAAGCCGGCCAGCAGGACGGAGCAAGGGCGGTCACCGGAGGAAAGGGGAGCTCGGGGGTCCAGCCAGACTGCGCCCTTTCCCATCAGGGCCTGCCGCTGGCCTGCTACGCATGCGCAGCCGCAGCGCTCGGCTTTCCCCGGCCCATCCGCCGCCTTGCGCACGCGCAGCCCGCCCCTGCGGCAGAGTGGCGCCCGCGCGTGACTCCCCCCTGCCGGCTGCGGAGGTGGGGGGGGGACGGCGCCCCCGCCGTGTGCGTGGGGCGGGGATGGAGCACGCGCCCTGGAGCCCCGGAGCCAGGTATCACGCGTGTGACGCGTGTCCCTGAACCTACCTGCGCTTCTTGTCCCAACTCTAAAATGGGAATGATAAGCGCCATTCGGCAGCGCCTTGTGGGTCTATAATCTACTTAGCACAGAGAGTGTCTTCTAAGTACTTCACATCCTTCTCTGCAGATGCTCTGACCTTTGACCCCTGCCGTTCAGCTCTAGGGCCCGTGCAGGCCACACCATGAACACCTCCCCAGGCACGGTGGGCAGTGACCCGGTCATCCTGGCCACTGCAGGCTACGACCACACCGTGCGCTTCTGGCAGGCCCACAGCGGCATCTGCACCCGGACGGTGCAGCACCAGGACTCCGTATCCTCCACCCGGGGCGGGCAGGGCGGCGCTGGGGGGATGCCTCGTGTGGGGACCACAGCCTGTGTGAAGGCCAGATGGTGGAGGCCTGGGGGGCCCTGGCCTCAGGGCTACCTTCCCGTCATCCTCCTTAACAGTCCCAGCAGGTGAATGCCTTGGAGGTCACACCGGACCGCAGCATGATTGCTGCTGCAGGTATCTGTGATCCTTGATCTCTAAACTCCTGAGCTCTGGTGGGTCGACCTCAGCACAGCCAAGCTTCAGTTCAGCCTGTGTCCCTAGGTTACCAGCACATCCGCATGTATGATCTCAACTCCAATAACCCTAACCCCATCATCAGCTACGACGGCGTCAACAAGAACATCGCGTCTGTGGGCTTCCACGAAGACGGCCGCTGGATGTACACGGGCGGCGAGGACTGCACAGCCAGGATCTGGGACCTCAGGTGCGGTGGGGAGGGGGCGTGCTGCCCGGGGCTGGGGTGGGCTGCTCTGGGAGACCGTTTTAGGTTGGGTTCTCTTCAAGCAGAGGCTGAGACAGGGAGCTTCCTGTGGGCGACTTACTGAGAGAAGTGAGGACAGGAGGAGAGTGAATTGCATCAGAGCGCGAGTCCTGCCTTGAGCCCGGAGCCAGCTTGTTATTCCCCTTCCACCAGCCACTGGCTTAGGCTCCCTGCTGGAGCAGAGGGCCCTGCGTCCCAAGTATTTCCCAAGAGGCAGGTCCTTCAGCAGAGGGAGGGGAGGAATGGCCAGGCCGAGGCCATCTGGGTAGGGCACCAACAAGCCCAGATGGACAGCATGTGCCCCGGCCCGGCCCGCAGGTCCCGGAACCTGCAGTGCCAGCGGATCTTCCAGGTGAACGCACCCATTAACTGCGTGTGCCTGCACCCCAACCAGGTGAGGGGTGCTCATGGGGCCAGGCACCCTGGGACTTTGGAGGGCTGGGCTTGGGCCCTGCCTCACCACCCCTGCACCCCAGGCAGAGCTCATCGTGGGTGACCAGAGCGGGGCTATCCACATCTGGGACTTGAAAACAGACCACAACGAGCAGCTGATCCCTGAGCCCGAGGTCTCCATCACGTCCGCCCACATCGATCCCGACGCCAGCTACATGGCAGCTGTCAATAGCACCGTGAGTCCTGGTGGCAGGTGCTGGGTGCGGGCAGCTTGGCACTCAGCCCTCAGCCTCTGCAGGTGGGCTTATTCCTGGATGTCCCTTAGCGGCCCCCTCCTGCTTTCCCCATCCCGGGCACTAACACCCACCTTGCCAGCAAAGCCAGAAGCCTTAGTGTCGCTCCCGATGGCTTAGTCCTGTCTGCAGGTCGGTCACTCCGCTTTCTGGAGTCTCTCCCAAGTCGATCCACTTCCCTCTTTTCACTCTGTTGCCTCCTGGTCCCAGTCACCCTTGTTTCTGGTGACGGCTGACACACTCTCTGAGGCTTCCTTTCCCCCTCCCTGACCTCCCCTGGCCCCTGACACGTTCTCTCTTGGATGCTTCTAGTGGTGCCTGGTCAGTATCAGCCAGGTGGCGTCATTCCCCTGAGGAGACCCGGGGCTGCTGGCCTCGCCCGTAGGCTGCTGTGGCGTGGCCCCTGCTCTTCTCTCCAGCCTCATTTTTTTTCATTAACTTCATTTAATCCCAGTGCATCACTTGTACCTCTTGCCCCCGGATTTCCCTTCTGCTGGCCTTTGTCATGCTGTCTCTCTAGCTGGTGCCCTTCTCCTGTCTACTTCCGTTGGCCATCGGCATCCTCCAGGAAGGAGAATTTGAGTCCTTGGCCAGGCGTGGCCTCCTGTTCTTGGCTTGCCAGGTGTGGCCCTTGCTTGGGGCCAGGCTTCCCAGGTGCCTTCTGCAGGCAGGACCAGAGGGGCCTGCCTGCCCCTCACCCGGGGTCCCCATGCACAGTTGGCCCCCAGTGTTGGCCCCCAGGGCATCCTTCCCTGTGTCTCAGACCTGAGGCCTTGGGCCCTCCGTGACGGTCCTCCTGACCTCTAGGGAAACTGCTATGTCTGGAATCTGACGGGGGGCATTGGTGACGAGGTGACCCAGCTCATCCCCAAGACTAAGATCCCTGCCCACACGCGCTACGCCCTGCAGTGTCGCTTCAGCCCCGACTCCACGTGCGTGCAGGGCCTGCTGGCCCGGGAGGGGACCTGCCTGGGCTGGGGGCTGGAGAGGGGAGGGGCTGCTGGATGGAGTGGCTGCTGCTGGACACGCCCCATGCCCACCCACTAGGCTCCTCGCCACCTGCTCGGCTGATCAGACGTGCAAGATCTGGAGGACGTCCAACTTCTCCCTGATGACGGAGCTGAGCATCAAGAGCGGCAACCCCGGGGAGTCCTCCCGCGGCTGGATGTGGGGCTGCGCCTTCTCGGGGGACTCCCAGTACATCGTCACTGGTGAGCCCCGCCCTGGCCTCCCCCATCCCTGGCCCCCGGCGCTGGCCTCCAGAGCCAGCCCACCTCGGCTGCAGCTTCCCCTCTGCTGGGGCCGCCTGCTTGGCCTGCACCTGCGCTCTTAGCCCTGCACAATCTCCCCCTCCAGCTTCCTCGGACAACCTGGCCCGGCTCTGGTGTGTGGAGACTGGAGAGATCAAGAGAGAGTATGGCGGCCACCAGAAGGCTGTTGTCTGCCTGGCCTTCAATGACAGTGTGCTGGGCTAGCCTGTGACCCCTCGGGACTGCCTGGTGCAGGTGGTGGCAGCTGGAGGGACCCATGCAGCACCCAGGTCAGAGCAGACCCTCCCCTGCCGGCCTGCGCCAGCTGGACCTGATGGCCCCCTGTGGCGCCTTGACCTGCTGGGCCAGGCTGCCCTGGGACTCTCAGCCCCCAGTTGCTTATCCAGATGTGACAGAGCTCGACCCAAGCCAGGCTGCACACTCCTGGACTGGGCTAGCCTGCACTGCCTGGGAAAGTCGGCCGAGGGCCCAAAGCTGCTGAGGGGTCTGAGGCTGGTGCCCACCCCCAAGCTAGTGTGTTCTCTGCCCCTCCCTGCCCGCGTTTCAGGGCCTCGGTCCATAGAGAACACCACCACCATGGCCAGGTGGAAGGGTTTATTAGTCCCTGCCAGCAGCTGTCCTCCCTGGTGCAGGTGGCCTGGCCAGCCCACTGGATTGGGGACGGGCCAGGCTGGGCCAGGTCGGGGGCTCAGTCTGGGAGGTAATAAAAGCAGACCGACACGCAGATGTTGCTCGGGAAGCAGATGTCGATGCAGAGATAAATCAGCCGCTGTCTCCGGGGCCCTGTGGCGAGGGTGCCGTGAATCTCCAAGGGCTCCGCCCCCAGCTCCTCAAACCATCCCGAGGGCCTGGCCTTCCCCCACAGCGGTCCTGACTCACCCTCTGCTCGCCGGGCCCAGTAGATGGGGGTCCTCATGCACAGGCGCTGCACCAAAGCCCCCGCCTGGGCGGGGTCCACTTCGAGGCTCCCCTGCACTGCCAGCAGCTCCTGGGTGTGGTGGGTGTCCTGGCTGGGGACCCAAGCCTCTTGGACCTGTTGAGAAGGCTCTGGTGGGCGGTGGGACAGGGCTGCTCCCTGCTCCTGGCTTGGCAGGGCCGGGTACCCTCCAACCCCCAGTGATGTCCCCACCCTCAGCTCTTGTCAGCAGCCTGGGCTTAGGGCGGAGAGAGCTTCCTGTTCCCTGAAACCACAGCTCCAGCCTGTCCCGTACTGGGCTGCACACAGGACCCTTTGTCTAGCCCCTGGCCCGGGCCTGCGCCCAGCAGGACGGCTCACCTTGGAGGTATCCACCAGCAGCCGCAGGGTCTCCCGATCACTGTCCTCCATCAGGCGGAGGAAGCAGACCTGGTGCTCCTCAGGGCGGTAACAGATGCAGCCCTGGGGAGGCAGGGGGGTGAGGCGGGGCCCCCCAGACCGACACCTGCCAGGGTGACCCCTCCCTGCCCACTCACGCTCTGCCCGTCGAACAGCACCGCCCAGCTGTGGTTGCTCTGAGGTGGGGTCACTGTGATGGTCGCCGCGTTCCGGGCCACGTCCACCAGGATGGTTTGGTTGGGCCGGGGCATGTGGGGGCTCGGGAGGGTCATTCGCAGCGTCTGCAGCCTTGGCTGGCAGTGGGAGTTGGAGTTCAGCCGGGCAGCTGTGCAACCCCAGCACAGCCTCCAGCTCTGGGCTGCAGGACTCCTGACACCCCTGAGTGGGCCCTTCCACCCCTTGGTCCTCTGGCTGTCTGCTCCTAGGTGGTGTCACTGCCTGCTCCGCACCCTTGCTCTGCTGGAGGCTGGGATATGCCAGCTTCCCTTCTCCCTTTCCACTGTCCATGTCCCTGGTGCTGAGGAGGGGCTCACCTTGGGAGGGCCCTGAGCAGAGCCAAGAAGCCCTCCAGCCACAACCCCCACAGCGGCCAGCACCAGCAGCAGCAGCAGCAGGAGCAGGCTCACGGCTCTCCAGCCCCCGCAGGAGGGCTTGGTCTTCACCTGGGCGTGCATCAGGGTCAGAAGGGTCATGAGGGTTAGACATCAGGGAGCAAGTGGGCTGGGGAAGGGAGGGGCTGGGTGGCCTGGGGCACCCCCTGGGTCCTTGCTGCAGGAGTAACGGGAGGCACTCACCCCTGTAGGCCCAGGTTTGGGGCGCTCAGCACAGCAGCTTGCTGGTTCCATCCTGCAGCCCCTGCTCACAATGTGCCGATTGTCTGCGTCCCTTGTCTGCAGCCTTGGCCAGGGGAAACTCAGAACAGAACCCCTCCCCTCCTGACCCTGCGCCTCCCCCTCAGCTCTGGATCTGATATCCAGGTCAGAGCCAGGACAGCCCCTCCTCCCACCTGGGGGATGCCTGTCACCAGGCCCGGCTCCAGACACCTGGCCTGTGCAGACTGGAGCTCAGGGTCTGGGAGGCGTAGGGCTCGGCCGCGTGGAAATCCAGTCCGGCTGACCGACTGGAGGGCAGCCCAGGCCCGGCCAGGGTGACTCGCTAAGTGTGGTTGGGGTGGATTTCGTTTTCCTAAAGTGGCCTGAGTCTGTCAGGTTATCCTTGACTCCCAGAGTTGGGCACAGGGCCTGACACGCCACAAGCTGTCAATACGTGCCTGTTCAGTGAATGACAGGTGTGGGACTGTGCACCCCCAGCCACTTCCCAGCCCCCGCACACCCAAGACCGGGGGTTCCTGAAGCCTGGACCACAGACAGGCAGCCTGCTGGAGCCTGTGCCCCTGGGACAGTCAGGCCAGCCTCGGGGGCCCGCCTAGCCCAACTTTTTTTTTTTTGAGACGGAGTCTCGCTGTGTCCCCCAGGCTGGAGTGCAGTGGCGTGATCTCAGCTCACTGCAACCTCTGCCTCCCGGGTTCACACAATTCTCATGCCTCAGCCTCCCTAGTAGCTGGGATTACAGATACATGCCACCAAGTCCCGCTAATTTTTGTATTTTTAGTAGAGATGGGTTTTCACCATTTTGGCCAGGCTGGTCTTGAACTCCTGATCTCAAGTAATCCACCTGCCTCAGCCTTCCAAAGCGTTGGGATTACGGGTGTGAGCCACTGCGCCCGGGCCAGCATTACTTCTGAGCTCTGCTCCCTGCCCTGGGCGCTCTGACACGGCAGCCCACCAGCTTCACTCCAGGGCCCTTTGCTTCCCTGGCTTCCCTTTGTGCCTGGCTTTCCCTCATTCTTCAAAACATCTTCCTCTGAACCAGGCTGGGAGTGGGCAGTTGGCATTCCAGCTCTGGAGTTGGAACCCCAGTTACCCATCTACTTTGAGTCCTCCCACCCGTGGTGAGACGGCATCACCCGGGCCAATGCAAGGTGAGAGCAAGGACACCTGAGCCAGTGTGGGTTTGAGAGTTTAATCTGTGCTCTGGCGCCCACAGTGCTGCAGCCCCTCATGGGCCAGAGACAGGATGCACGGGGACTCCCAGCCCCTACCCGGCAAGAGAGGCATCACTGAGGCTGCATCTGCCATGCGCTCCTGGTGTGACTGCACCCTGTCAGGCCAGACCCGGCTTGAGCCAACTTAGCCAAGCCAGCGTCAGTGTCACCAGCCTCATGGGTGGAGCCACCCTCATGCTGCTCTGCAGCACCCTCTGAACCCGATATCCCAGGCCTGGGAGGTGCTGAAGGCTCAGGACGCCTCTTATTGCTCTGAAGTCTTTGTGACCAAGTGGAGTGCTGTGACTGTGGGGCCAAGAGAGAAGCTGCCAGGTACAGGGAAAGGCGCTGGTAGGGAGCCAGCCAGAAGGTGCAGCATCCCGGGATGGCCCTGCTGAGTCTGCTGTCAGGCCTGTGAAAGGTCAGCAGAGCCAAGGAGCAGGCAGGAGAGGCTGGAGCCCCGCCCAGAACCTTGGCGAGCTGGTGGCCCTGCCAAGTCCTGCTGGCCACTGAAGAGGGAATCCAGGGCAAGGCAGGTGACCTCCTGGGCCACCAGTCTCTAACCCCTACCCCAGCCTAGGGAAGGGGAGGACAGGAAGAGACTGGATGCTTTGTAAAGGACTTCCTGTTCTTGGGGACATAACTCTCGTCCCCTCCCAGAGCCCTGGATGACTGACAGGCATTCCTTGGCCAACACATGCTTGAGCCGCGCTGCTGGCTGCAGGGCACCTGGATGACAGGCATTCCTTGGCCAACACATGCTTCAGCCGCGCTGCCGGCTGCAGGGCACAGAGGCTCCTTCAGTGGAATTTTGCCTACGACACAGAGCACAGCTATTAATACACTTAAAATTCAAATCCATTGCCTGACACAGTTGTTCAAAGTTAAAAACTGGTAGCAGCACTGCTCTGAGCTCCCTGCACTGCAGCCCGGAGTTCAGTGAAGGCGTCCACGCCATGGTAGCTGCTCCGTCCAAATCACCTGGGTATAAATGCACACTTGAGACAGCAGAGCTTTAGCTGGGCTGCGTTTACAGAACTGGGCAGCAGCCCTGGGTATCTGAAACGGAACAGACACTCAGTTGTGACATCAGAGTGGTTTTCAAGGAAGTAAGGGAGGTGGGAGAGTGGTGAGGGCAGCACTTTGCACCCAAGGGCAGGGAGATGCCACCTGGGAGCAGCCGCCTCCTCCACTCCCACCCTGCTGGGAGGCACAGGGACACAGAAGGCTCCGCTGGACTTTCAGTCATACTGATGGGGCTCTGGTCCATGCAAGCCTCTCCCAACAGTCAGAATAATCAGTCCCTCTGCCCCCTGAGGGGCTGGATCCCTGAATGAGTTTTTCAATAAAATACAGGACACACACCCCTAGACCCGCCTCAGTCCCATCGGCAGGCCCTGGTTACCTGAATCCCGGACAGGTGCAGAGCCTGCCCCTGCCAACCCCACCCAAGGCCCAGAACCCAGCCCACAACGCCTTCCAAGCCTAAAAGTGCATCTTCGATTACAAGCATCTGTAAACAAAATCGTCCCCCAAACGTGTACTTACAAGGTTAACAATGAATGCCTTTGCTTAACTCCAATTACACTCTTTGAAGCCACTTAGCCGAGCAGATGCTTAAGCCCCACCTATTAATTTGGGTAACTGGTTTTCAATTTCTTTTTTTTTATTCTGCAGATTAAAGACACTCAATCTTTAACCTTGAAGGGCAGGCAAAAGGTCGGCTATGCTGTCAACATAGAAGTCAGGGACCATTTTCTTCTTAGACACGCAGTCACTTTCCTGATTATTCTTCACATCCCCTAGAGTGGAGACTCCGGTGAGGGTCAGGATGGTCTTCAGGCCACAGGTGGCGCCTAGGAGGATGTCTGTGTCCAGGCGGTCTCCCACCATGACGGTGCGCTCGGGGTTGATGCCGTATTCCTGGGACACGCAGTCGAAAATGAAGCGGCTGGGCTTCCCGATGATGTCGGCCTGGCGCTGGGCGGCCATCTCCACGGCTCGGACCAGACACCCGGTACCTGCGGGGCACAGGGGACCGGGTCAAAGGGCAGGGAGGGGGCCCGCCGCCCGCCCCCCAGCCTCCCGCCCCAGGGCGCACGGACCCGCGATGAAGCGGCCGTTCTCAAGCGGAAGCCGGTTGTCCATGTTGGTGCCCACGAGCAGGCAGCCGGGCTGCTGCAGGTAGCGCAGGGCCTTGGTGAGCTTCATGTAGCTGAAGTGCGGGTCAAAGCCCACCACCACCGCGCGCACGTCGGGCTCCAGCGGCGCGTGCAGCCAGTCGCCGGGACCCTCGCCCTGCAGTGGCTCGGGCCCCACGCCCACGCTGGCGACGCCCACGGCCTCCAGCTCCGCGGCCAGGGCTGGGCTGCCCAGCACGTAGGCCTTGGGCGCGGGGGCGCCGGCCAGGCGCTGGCGCAGGTAGAGCGCGGTGCAGTAGGCCGTGCCGAAGACCTCCAGGCTGGCGCCGGGCCCCGCGGGGCCGCCGAAGCCCAGGCGCCGCAGCTTCTCGGCGTAGGCAGCGCGGGTCTTGCTGCTGTTGTTGGTGATGAAGCCCAGGCGCTTGCCGCGGGCTCGCAGCGCCCGCAGGGCCTCGGGCGCGCCAGGCACGGCGGTCTCCCCGCGCCACAGCACGCCGTCGCAGTCGAACAGCAGCGTGTCCACGTCGGCCAGCAGCGCCTGTGCCCGCTCGGCGCTCAGCCGCACGCAGCGGGCGTCGTCGCCACCGGCCTCCGCCGCCGCCATCGCCGCCCGCCGGCCGCCGCCGCCCGCCGGCCGCTCCTCGCAGCCGCCCGCCGCGGCGCCCTCCCCGCCCCCGGGGCGCTCATTGGCCCAGCGCCTCGCGCCCGCCGCCCATTGGCCTGCACCTTCGCCAATCCGCCCCCGCCTCCCGCGGGCTGCGGGAGCTCAGCGCCAATCGGTGAGGCCCGGCGCGGGGAGAGGGGCGATCATTGGCTACCGGCCTTGGGACGCCCCGGTGATTGGCTGGCAGGGCTCCAACCGGCATTCGGAGTGAAGCGCTCGCTGCGGAAATGCGCCAGAGGGGAGAGCAGCGCAGGCGCAAGGCCGCTGTTCCCGGGCTGCCGCGGGCCGCTCACCCATTGGAAGCGAGTGGTCAGCCTAGGTGACGAGGCCCTTCACGGAGTGACCCGGGCCAGGCCGGCTGTCCATTGGCCGGTCTCTCCCGCGGGCATGGGCGGGGCTCTCGCAGGAGCGCCGCGGGAGGGGGCCGGGGCACCTTCGTCGGCCGTGCCCGTGCCTCTGTGCCGTGGACGCGCTCGGGACACGGGGCCACCACGTGGGTCGCTTACCGGCCAGTCCCGCGAGCCAGCCCGGGGCTCCTTCCCCGGCAGGCGTGAGTACGCGCCTCAGTCCTTTGCAAAAACGCGTTCCCGGTTCCTTGGAGGTAACACGAACCAGCCATTACCAGGCTGGGGGATTAGGGTCTAAGGACACTGTCTAGAACCTGGTACTCAGTGATTGCTCGCCGTCATCGTCATCAATTATTAGGTATTTAATTGAGGCAAAACATTACAGTAAAGGGCATGAAAACCGTGCAGCTCGATGGAAGTTTTACATTTATTATTATTTTATTTACTTATTTATTTACTTTTTGAGACGGAGTCTCGCTCTGTCGCCCAGGCTGGAGTGCGGTGGCGCCATCTCGGCTCACTGCAAGCTCCGCCTCCCGGGTTCACGCCATTCTCCTGCCTCAGCCTCCCGAGTAG
Source organism: Homo sapiens (assembly GCF_000001405.40). Taxonomy (NCBI): domain Eukaryota; kingdom Metazoa; phylum Chordata; class Mammalia; order Primates; family Hominidae; genus Homo; species Homo sapiens. The sequence continues at coordinate 2,215,761 of NC_000016.10, forward strand.
CTGGGACTACAGGCGCATGGCACCACGCCCGGCTAATTTTTTGTATTTTTAGTAGAGACGGGGTTTCTCCGTGTTAGCCAGGATGGTCTCGATCTCCTGACCTCGTGATCCGCCCGCCTCGGCCTCCCAAAGTGCTTGGATTACAGGCGTGAGCCACCGCGCCCGGCCTTTTATTTTTTTAATTATTATTTTTTGAGACGGAGTCTCTTGCTCTGTTGCCCAGGCTGGAGTGCAGTGGCGCGATCTCGGCTCACTGCAAGCTCCGCCTCCCGGGTTCACGCCATTCTTCTGCCTCAGCCTCCTGAGTAGCTGGGACTACAGGCGCCGGCCACCACGCCTGGCTAATTTTTTTGTATTTTTTAGTAGAGACGGGGTTTCACCGTGTTAGCCAGGATGGTCTTGATCTCTTGATCTCGTGATCCGCCCACCTTGGTCTCCCAAAGTGCTGGGATTACAGGCGTGAGCCATGGCGCCCGGCCGGAAGTTTTACATTTTTACATGTATATATATATTTTGCGACAGGGTCTTGCTCTGTCCCCCAGGCTGGAGTGGAGTGGCTAGATCACAGCTCACTGTAGCCTTATCACAGCTCACTGTATCCTTGACCTCCTAGGCTCATGTGATGCTCCTACCTAAGCCTCCAAAGTATTTGGGACCAGAGGTGTGTGCCACTACGCCTAATTTTTTTTTTAATTTAAATTTTTTGTAGAGACGGAGTCCCACTATGTTGGCCAGGCTGGTCTCCAACTCCTGGCCTCCAGTGATCCTCCTGTCTTGGCCTCCCAAAGGGCTAGGATTACAGGCGTGAGCTGCCGCACCCAGCAGATTTTTTTACATATGTATATGCTTGTGTAAACATAACCCAGACCAAAGTATAAAGTATTTCCAACACCCCAGGAAGTTCCCTCTTGTTCCTATCCAGTCAATAGCAGATAGCACATTGCTGACTACTTTTCTGACTCCTATCACCATAGAGTCACAACCAAGCCTCCGGACTGCTTTATACTTGGGATTATACGGTATGTGCTTCTGGCTCTTGCTTCTACGGTTTAACATAATGTTTGTGAAATTCATCCTGGCTGGGTGCTGTGGCTCACACCTATGATCCCAGCCCTTTGGGAGGCCGAGGCGGGCAGATCACCTGAGGTCAGAAGTTGGAGACCAGCCTGGCCAATATGGTGAAACCCCATCTCTGCCAAAAGTACAAAAATTAGCCGTATGTGGTGGCACATGCCTGTAATCTTAGCTACTTGAGAGGATGAGGCAGGAGAATCGCTTGAACCTGGGAGGCGGAGGCTGCAGTGAGCCGAGATTGCACCACTGCACTCCAGCCTGGGCAACAGAGCAAGACTCCTATCAAAAAAAAAAAAAAAAAAAAAAAAGATGACTTTGACTTTGAGCAGAACTGGATTTGACAAGAATCACACTCTGCTTTTACCACAGAGCAACAGGTAGTTGATTTGAGACAACGGCTGGAATGGGAACTGTTGATGATACCCAGCCATGGGCCATCTTCTCCCACACTTGCCCGGCTGCCTTGGCTTCCTGGGCACTCTGTGAGCACCTAGGCCGCTGCACCGCTCCTTCCCTGCATTACCTCCTCAGAGTCACAGGACAGGCCTGAGAGGCAGGGATTATTCACATCTCCATTTATAGATGGCCAAACTGAGCCACCGAGAGTCGCCGGCTGGACAAGGTTGAGTTGGGATTAAACTCAGTCAACCCCAAAGCTGAGCTCTGCCCCATCTGGTCGGCTTAACGTCCTCAGAATATGCCTGTATGTGTGCAGGTAGGAGGGGAGGCATGGTCACTTGTGGGGAAGGTCCTGGCGGAGGCTGGGAGGAAAGTGCGCTTTATAGGAGAGGACTGACTTTGGGAACAGGGTGATGTGGCCCTGCATCTGGGGCTAGAGGACCCCTTTGGGTGCCCCCCACACAGGAGGCATTCAGTCTCTATCTGTGAGGGGATGGCCCCAGTGTCTCCCCAAGTAAGGATCTTGTACTGCAAGCCGACCTGGGGATGGCTTTCAGTGGCACGAGAACAGACACTATTTCACCTTAACAGAGTTGCATCAATTTACATTGCAATAGAAAATATAAGTAGCCCGCTAGGCGCGGTGGCTCACGCCTGTAATCCCAGCACTTTGGGAGGCCGAGGAGGGCAGATAACCTGAGGTCAGGAGTTAGAGACCAGCCTTACTAACATGGAGAAACCCCATCTCTACTAAAAATACAAAATTAGCCGGGCGTGGTAGCACACGCTTGGGAGGCTGAGGCAGAATTGCTTGAACCCAGGAGGCGGAGGTTGCAGTGAGCCAAGGTTGCACCACTGCACTCCAGCCTGGGTGACAGAGTGAGACTCGATCTCAAAAAAAAAAAAAAAAAGGATTTTGTAGTTCCTGTTTGGGTCTGGCTGTGGAATGTCCACAGGCATTATTCTGTTGAGCCAGGCTGAGGCCTGCATGGGAAAGGAGGCCGTTTGGAGAAAGGGAGGGTCTAGTCTTGCTGCCTGTGCCTGGCCTCTCTGCCTTCCAAGGGTCTATCCACTCCCATGCTTGCCAGTGGCCTGGGCTCTGGGCAAAGCAGGGCCTGAGGTCACCTGATCAGGATGCCCTTTTCTTTTTGAGATACGGTCTCACTTTGTTACCCAGGCTGGCGGGCAGTGGTGCCATCTCAGCTGACTGCAACCTCCGCCCCACCAGGTTCAAGCAATTCTCCTGCCTCAGCCTCCCTAGTAGCTGGGATTATAGGTGTGTGTCACCACACCTGGCTAACTTTTGTATTTTTTTTTTGTTCGTTTTGAGACCGAGTCTCGCTCTGTTGCCCAAGCTGGAGTGCAGTGGCGCGATCTCGGCTCACTGCAACCTCCGCCTCCGGGTTGAAGCGATTCTCCTGTCTCGCCCTCCCGAGTAGCTGGGACTACAGGCGTGTGCCACCACACCCGGCTGATTTTTTTTTTTTTTTTTTAGTAGAGACAGGGTTTCACCATGTTAGCCAGGATGGTCTCAATACCCTGACCTCGTGATCCGCCCTCCTTGGCCTCCCAAAGTGCTGGGATTACAGGCGTGAGCCACCGCGCCCGGCAACTTTTTTTTTTTTTTTTTTTTTTTTTTGAGACAGAGTCTCGCTCTGTTGCCCAGGCTGGAGTGCAATGGCATGATCTCGACTCACTGCAACCTCCACCTCCTAGGTTCAAGCGATTCTCCTGCCTCAGCCTCCTGAGTAGCTGGGATTACAGGCACATGCCACCAGGCCTGGCTAATTTTTGTATTTTTAGTAGAGACGGGGTTTCACCATGTTGGTCAGGATGGTCTTGAACTCCTGACCTTTTAATCCCCCCGCCTCGGCCTCCCAAAGTGCTGGGATTACAGGCATGAGCCACCGTGCCCGGCCCAACTTTTGTATTTTTAATAGAGATGGGGGTTTCTGCTGTGTTGGCCAGGCTGGTCTCAAACTTCTGACCTCAGATGATCCGTCTGCCTCGGCCTCCCAGAGTGCTGGGATTACAGGCGTGAGCCACCGCTCCCGGCCCCCTTTGCCTCTTAAAGGCCTCACCTCTTTTTTTATTTTTATTTTTATTTTTATTTTTATTTTTATTGATCATTCTTGGGTGTTTCTCACAGAGGGGGATTTGGCAGGGTCATAGGACAATAGTGGAGGGAAGGTCAGCAGATAAACAAGTGAACAAAGGTCTCTGGTTTTCCTAGGCAGAGGACCCTGCAGCCTTCCGCAGTGTTTGTGTCCCTGGGTACTTGAGATTAGGGAGTGGTGATGACTCTTAAGGAGCATGCTGCCTTCAAGCATCTGTTTAACAAAGCACATCTTGCACCGCCCTTAATCCATTCAACCCTGAGTGGACACAGCACATGTTTCAGAGAGCACAGGGTTGGGGATAAGGTCACAGATCAACAGGATCCCAAGGCAGAAGAATTTTTCTTAGTACAGAACAAAATGAAAAGTCTCCCATGTCTACCTCTTTCTACACAGACACGGCAACCATCCGATTTCTCAATCTTTTCCCCACCTTTCCCGCCTTCCTATTCTACAAAGCCGCCATTGTCATCCTGGCCCGTTCTAAATGAGCTGTTGGGCACACCTCCCAGACGGGGTGGTGGCCGGGCAGAGGGGTTCCTCACTTCCCAGTAGGGGTGGCCGGGCAGAGGCGCCCCTCACCTCCCGGACGGGGCGGCTGGCTGGGCGGGGGGCTGACCCCCCCACCTCCCTCCCGGATGGGGCGGCTGAAGGCCTCACCTCTTAATGCTGTTACATTGGGGATAAAGTTTCAGCATGAGTTTAGAGGGGACAATCATCCCATCCATACCCCTAAATCCCCTGGATACCGGCTTCTCAGTTACTCCTCAGCACACCATGAATGGAGGTCTTTTGGGGCTCTGCACTCACCTCCTCCATGGCTTCACCTCACCCACCTGTCTCCTGGTCCTCCTCCCCAGCAGCTCCCCAGAACCCTCAAGCTCCAAAAGCTCCAACCTGCTCTTCGTTCTGTTTGCCCCACTCAGAGACCACCCATTCTGGCTCTCAGTGGCTTTCTGAGCCCCTTCCTGCTTCTGCTTAAGCCCTAAAATCCCCTTTTTTTTTTTTTTTTTGAGACAGAGTCTCGATCTGTCACCCAGGCTGGAGTGCAGTGGCGAGATCTCGGCTCACTGCAACCTCCGCTTCCCGGGTTCAGGCCATTCTCCTGTCTCAGCCTCCCGAGTAGCTGGGACTACAGGCAGCCGTCACCACACCCGGCTAATTTTTGTATTTTTACTAGAGACGGGCTTTCACCATATTGGTCAGGCTGTCTTGAACTCCTGACCTCAGGTGATCTGCCCGCCTCAGCCTCCCAAAGTGTTGGGATTACAGGCGTGAGTCACTGGGCCCGGCCTAAAGTCCCTTTTTCTGTGCAGCAGTTAGAGGGATGTTTCTGCAACACCCACCATCATTCCCTCTGCTCAAAACCTTGCAGTGGTGAGCAACCTACTTGCAGAAAGCGGGCCCATTGTTACCCCAACCTGACTGCCGATCACCTTACCTGAGCCTGGAGGTGGAGGCTGCTAGGATCACACCAATGCACTCCAGCCTGGGTGACAGAGTGAGACCCTATCTCAAAGCAAACAAAACAGGGCCAGGCGCAGTGGCTCACGCCTGTAATCGCAGCACTTTGGGAGGCCAAGGCGGACGTATCACGAGGTCAAGAAATCAAGACCATCCTGGCTAACATGGTGAAACCCCATCTCTACTAAAAATGCAAAAAAATTAGCCAGGCATGGTGGCGGGCATCTGTCGTCCCAGCTACTCCGGAGGCTGAGGCAGGAGAATGGCGTGAACCCGGGAGGCGGAGGTGGCAGTGAGCCGAGATCATGCCACTGCACTCCAGCTTGGATGACAGAGTGAGACCCTCAAAAAACAAACAATGAAAGTCACATATTGTAGGACATGTTCACAACAGGTAAATTTATCATGGAGGCAGAAGGTAGACTGGCGTCTACCCAGGGCTGGCAGGGAGGGGCGGATGGGGAATCACTGCTTCAAAGGCACAGGTTTCCTTTCAGGGTGCCGGAAAGGTTCTGTACCCACATAGCTGTGATAGTTGCACAACACTGTGAATGTCGCTAATAGTAAATTTTATGTGCACTTACCACAGTTTTTTTTGAGACGGAATCTTGCTCTGTTGCCCAGGCCGGAGTACAGTGGCACGATCTCGGCTCACTGAAACCTCTGCCTCCCAGGTTCAAACGATTCTCCTGCCTCAGCCTCCTGAGTAGCTAGGATTACACGCGTGCACCACCACACCCAGATAATTTTTGTATTTTTAGTAAAGACGTAATTTTGCCATGTTGGCCTGCTTGGTCTTGAACTCCTGATGTCAGGTGATCCACCCACCTCAGCCTCCCAAAGTGCTGGGATTACGGGAGTGAGCCACTGTGCCTGGCCCACAATTTTTTAAAAGTATGTAAGAGGGCTGAGGCAGGCAGATCGCTTGAACTCAGGAGTTCTATAGCAGCCTAGGCAACATGGCAAAAACCCATCTCTACAAAATATACAAAAATTAGCTAGTGATGGGCACCTGTAGTCCCAGCTACTTGGGTGGTTGAGGTAGAGGCTGCAGTGAGCTGAGATCACGGCACTGCACTCCAGCCTGGGCGACAGAGCAAGGTGCTGTTTCAAAAAAAAATCTGGCCAGGCTCGGTGGCTCATGCCTGTCATCCCAGCACTTTGGGAGGCCAAGGGGGACGGATCACCTGAGGTCAGGAGTTCAAAACCAGCATGGCCAACATGGTGAAACTCCGTCTCTCCTAAAAATATAAAAAAATTAGCCGGGTGTGGTGGCAGTTGCCTGTAGTCCCAGCTACTCAGGAGGCTGAGGCAGGAGAATCGCTTGAACCTGGGAGGCGGAGATTGCAGTGAACCAAGATCGTGCCGTTGCATTCTAGCCTAGGTGACAGAGCGAGACTCCATCTCAAAAAACAAAAACAGGCCGGGCGCGGTGGCTCATGCTTGTAATCCCAGCACTTTGGGAGGCCGAGGCGGGCAGATCGTGAGGTCAAGAGCTTGAGACCATCTAGGCCAACATGGTGAAACCCTGTCTCTACTAAAAATACAAAAATTAGCTGGCCATGGTGGTGCACTCCTGTAGTCCCAGCTACTCGGGAGGCTGAGGCAGGACAATCATTTGAACCCAGGAGGCGGAGGCTGCAGTGAGATCGCGCCATTGCACTCCAGCCTAGGTGATAGAGTGAGACTCTGTCTCAAAAACAAACACCCCAAACAAACAAAAACCAAAAACAACCCCCATCTCCAAAACCAAAAATTCAACGTGGCTGGGAGTCGTGGCTCACGCCTGTCATCCTAGCACTTTGGGAGGCCGAAATGGGAAAATGGTTTGAGGCTAGGAGTTTGAGACCAGCCTAGTCTAAACAGCAAGACCCTGTCTCTATTTAAAATACATAATGCAAATAAATTTTAAAAAATTTAAAAAGTGGCTGGGCACGGTGGCTCACGCCTGTAATCCCAGCACTTTGGGAGGCCGAGGCGGGCGGATCACGAGGTCAGGAGATCGAGACCATCCTGGCTATCACGGTGAAACCCCGTCTCTACTAAAAATACAAAAAATTAGCCTGGCGTGGTGGCGGACACCTGTAGTCCCAGCTACTCAGGAGGCTGAGGCAGGAGAATGGCGTGAACCCGGGAGGCAGAGCTTGCAGTGAGCCGAGATCGCGCCACTGCACTCCAGCCTGGGCGATAGAAAGAGACTCCGTCTCAAAAAAGAAAGAAAAAAAAATTAAAAGTATATAAAAGAATAAAACAGCTTCGCAGAGCTACCCATGAGCCATCCCCGACCCGTGTTCTTTTCCCGTGACCCGGGTAACCATCTTGGGAGGCTCTAACACCCTAGGCGGTCAGTGGGCAGCAGGCACCACACCCCTGGTTGGAGCTGTGGCGGCTTCCCAGCAGCAGCCGCGGGCGGGGCGACCTGTCCTTAGGTACGGAAGCGCTGGGGCGCGGCTGCCTAGCAGCCGCCAGTCCGCTCGCCCCTCGCGTTCTCTGGCTCTCAAATCCGAGTGCAGCCTCGAACATAGGTCCTTCTGCCGCCCCGCCCCCTGGCTGGCAATCTGCTCCACCGTAACCACGCCCTCCCCACAGTCCCGCCCCATCTTCGCTCTCAGCGCGCCCGGCCCCGCCTCTGCCCTTTAAGGCCACACCGCTATCCAGGCCCGGCTCCCCGCCTGTCCGTCAATCCGCTCCGGTTCTGCCCCGCCCTCCTCTTGCCGTTCCCTCACGCTGGCCTCGGCGCGGCCCGTTGTTATGACGACATGGTCGTAAATCCGCCATCTTCCTGCGGCGCGTTGCGACATGGAGGGCGCGATGGCAGTGCGGGTGACGGCCGCTCATACGGCAGAAGCCCAGGCCGAAGCCGGGCGGGAAGCGGGCGAGGGTGCAGTTGCGGCGGTGGCGGCGGCCTTGGCCCCCAGCGGCTTCCTCGGCCTCCCGGCGCCCTTCAGCGAGGAAGGTAACCGGGCCGACCCGGAGGGTGCGGCCGGGGTGCGGGCAGTTCATCCCGGGCTGGCAGAGGCCCGGATGGCCCGAGCTGCGGGCTCGACCGACCCTCCCAGACCCAGACACCTCGCGGATCTCGCGGGACCCTCACAGCCCTCCACGAAACCCCCAGGTTTGCTGCGACCCTCACGGGCCTCTCCTGCGGGGCGCCTGTCATCCCCCCTCTCTGGTGTGCGTCCACAAGTGCTCGCGGGTTGCTGAGCCCCCGGGCGCCCGGTGTAGACATTCGCAGACGCCGGCGTCCCGGCCCTTCTCTGCCTCCGATGCCTGAGCCTGGCCCTCCCCTCCTCTGGGCCCCTTCCTCCTGCACCTGATGGGCGTCTAGGGCCCTGTTGGTGGTTCCAAGAGGGTGGGGCCTCGGTTTCTCCAGGATCTGGGCTCTGGGCCTGTCCGTAGGGAGGCAGCAGAGCCTAGTGCAAGAGGGCTGGTGCACTGCAGCCAGCCTGTGGCCCCTTCCAGTCCCACACTTGCCGCTTTCTAGTTCTTTGATCCTGGGTAGGTGACCCTACCTCTGTGAACCTCTATTTCCCCTACAGAATGGGGCGGCGGCTTCTGCCAGTAATGTAACAAGCCCTTATCCTGCTTTAGGTTTTTTCATTCTCAAACCAGTCCTGACAGGTGGATGTTATTGTTATTCTCATTTTGGGGATGAGGAAAATCGAAGGTTGGAGACCTGAAAGTGACCGGGTGGGCTGGGTGCGGTGGCTCACGCCTGTAATCCCAGCACTTTGGGAGGTCGAGACGGGCGGGTCACGAGGTCAGGAGATGGAGACCATCCTGGCCAACATGGTGAAACCCGTCTCTACTAAAAATACAAAAAAACAAAATTAGCCGGGCGTGGTGGCGGGCGCCTGTAGTGGGGAGGCTGAGGCGGAGAATGGCGTGAACTCGGGAGGTGGAGCTTGCGGTGAGCCGAGACCGCGCCACTGCACTCCAGCCTGGGCGGCAGAGCCGGACTCCGTCTCAAAAGAAAAGAAAATGACCAGGGTCACCCAGGTAGTTAAGTAGCAAGGGTTGGATTGGATCTCAGCACTGTGAAGGCCTTCACAGCCCCTTTAACTTCCGGGCTCTGCTGCCTCATAGAAGCATCATGGGAATTAAAATAAAGATTGTGGCCAGGCGCAGTGGCTCACGCCTGTAATCCCAGCACTTTGGGAGGCCAAGGTGGGTGGATCACCTGAGGTCAGGAGTTCGAGACCAGCCTGGCCAACATGGTGAAACCCCTTCTCTACTAAAAATACAAAAATTAGCTGGGCGTGGTGGTGCGCGTCTGTAATCCCAGCTACTTGGGAAGGTGAGGTAGGAGAATTGCTTGAGCCCAGGAGACGGAGGTCGCAGTAAGCCGAGATCGCACCACTGCTCTCCAGCCTGGGTGACAGAGCAAGACTGTCTCAAAAAAAGAAAAAAGATTGTGTGTCATGTGCCGAGAGCAGTGTTGGGGATGCACTAAGGGCTCATTCCTGGGGGCACTGAGAGCTTTTGGAGATGGAGCTTGGGTCTGTACCCTCTGAGCTTGTCCTATGAGGCTGCAGATGGCTGGGCACTGTGGCTCATACCTGTAACCCCAACACTTTGGGAGGCTGAGGTGAGAGGATCACTTGAGCCCAAGGAGTTCCAGACCAGCCTGGGCAACATAGTAAGACCCCGTCTCTATTTTCTTTTTTTTTTTTTTTGAGACGGCGTTTCTCTCTTGTTGCCCAGGCTGGAGTGCAATGGTGCGATCTCGGCTCACCGCAACCTCCGCCTCCCGGGTTCAAGCTATTCTCCTGACTCGGCCTCCTGAGTAGCTGGGATTACGGCACGCGGCATCACACCCGGCTAATTTTGCATTTTTAGTAGAGACTGGATTTCTCCATGTTGGCCAGGCTGGTCTTGAACTCCCGACCTCAGGTGATCTGCCCGCCTCAGCCTCCCAAAGTGCTGGGAATACAGTCGTGCGCCACCGTGCCCGGCTCCTCCCAGTCTCTGTTTAGGAAAAAAAAAAAAAAAAAAAAAAGGCTGGGCGCAATGGCTCGCGCCTGTAATCCCAGCACTTTGGGAGGCTGAGACGGGCGGATCCCGAGGTCAGGAGATCGAGACCACCCTGGCTAACAGGTGAAACCCTGTCTTACTAAAAATACAAAAAATTAGCTGGCCGTGGTGGCAGGCGCCTGTAGTCACAGCTTCTCAGGAGGCTGAGGCAGGAGAATGGCATGAGCCCAGGAGGCAGAGCTTGCAGTGAGCTGAGATCGCCCCACTGCACTCCAGCCTGGGCAACAAAGCGAGACTCCGCCTTGAAAGAAAAAAAAAAAAGATGCAGATTGGGTCAGACAGGAAGGGAGGTTGTTAATGATTGGGTTGAGGGTGGTCTTGTCTTTGTCCCCATAGGATTCATAGTCTCTGCCTTTTTTCCTTGCCCCTTCTCGTTCCAGCTTGGAGAAGGGCAGTGCCCTCATGGCGAGGAGTCCCTTTAGAGGTTGCTGGGCCTGCTTGTGGCCTTGTCTGGTGTGAAATGGGCTGGGTGTGTCCCCTTCTGGGGTAGGGGGTTCTTCAGTGGCAATGCCCTGGAGCCGAGTGAGACACAGGAGTAGGGTGGGAAGGGGAAGAGGGTGGTGGGCACCTTAGAGCTTGGTTTGTGACTGGGAGCCATCAGGAGAGGACGACTCTGTTGGGTGGCCCCTGCAGGCGAGTCATAGCTGTGGTTTGGCCCTTTCTCCGCCCTCAAATTCAACAGTAAACATTTGCCCAGCTCCTTCGGGCATCAGGCCTGGGTTTGATCCTGCCGAGGGACTGAAGGTGAATGGTCAGAGCTGGCAGGCTTTTATGGAAGCAGAAGAAACAGCTCCTATCCCTTTGTGTAAACAGGTACTGTCCCTGACACTCAGCCGTTTGGTGACCTTGAACTTCAGGTCATTTTCCTAGGATGGGAATAGTTCTCTCCATTTCCACAGGGTGCTGGCAAGATTTGGTGACGTCCCCAGTGAGGTGCTTGGCACACAGTGAGGGGGTGGTCTCTTCTGCACGACCGGGGTCCGGCACAGCAATGGTGACGGGCTCAACCTTGGGAACCAGTAAAGTCCCAAGTCAGTGAGCAGAGTGGTTGTGGGTCAGCTCCCTGCATTTGCCTCTCAGCCAGAGCCAGTGGGCATCAGTCTCCTGGGCCCCAGCCCATTTTACAGATGAGGAGATGGCCACTCACATGCTCCAGGGCACGCTCAAACTCCCGCAGTTTTTGTTTGTTTGTTTTGTTTTTGTTTCTTTTAAGGCAGGGTCTTGCCCTGTTGCCCTGGCTGAAGTGCAGTGGTGTGATCATGGCTTACTGCAGCCTCCACCCCTGGGCTCAATCAATCCTCCTGAATAGCTGGGACTACAGGTGCATGCCGCCACACTTCCACGCTTGGCTAAATGTTTGTTTTTTGGTTTTGTTTTTTGAGATGGAGTCTCTCTCTGTTGCCCCGGCTGGAGTGCAATGGGGAGATCTTGGCTTACTGCAACCTTCGCCTCCCAGGTTGAAGTGATTCTCCTGCCTCAGCCTCTCGAATAGCTGGGATTACAGGCATGCGCCACCAAGCCTGGCTAATATTGTTTTTTTTGAAACGGAGTCTCGCTCTTTCGCCCAGGCTGGAGTGCAGTGGTGTGATCTCGGCTCACTGCAAGCTCTGCCTGCCGGGTTCATGCCATTCTCCTGCCTCAGCCTCCCGAGTAGCTGGGACTATAGGCACCTGCCACCATGCCTGGCTAAGTTTTTTGCATTTTTAGTAGAGACGGGGTTTCACGGTGTTAGCCAGGATGGTCTCAATCTCCTGACCTCATGATCCGCCCGCTTCAGCCTCCCAAAGTGCTGGGATTACAAGCATGAGCCACCGCCCTAATTTTGTATTTTTAGTAGAGATGGGATTTCACCATATTGGTCAGGCTGGTCTCGAACTCCTGACCTCAGGTGATACACCTGTCTCAGCCTCCCAAAGTGTTGGGATTACAGGTGTGAGCCACCACACCCAGCCTAAATGTTTAACAATGTTTTAAAAACTTTTTTTTTTTTTTTTTTGGTAGAGATGGGTCTTGCTATGTTGACCAGGCTCGTCTTGAACTCCTGGGCTCAAGCTATCCTCCCACCTTGGCCCCTTAAAGTGCTGAGATTACAAGTGTGAGCCACCATGCCCGGCCCCAGCAGTCTTAAATCCTGGTCCTTTACTGTCCCCAAATTAGCATGGAGGAGTCCCTCTGCCTCCCAGCCCCTCTCTGGGCCTCTCGCCTGTCAGTCGCTGAGGTGGGTTTTGAGCATGGCAGCCTTAGCAGGTCCCTGCAGCCTAAGCGTGCTGTCAGGGCCACCCTCTGCTGGGTGCTGACCTCCTGAGGGTGGGTCTGGCCCCTGCAGACCTGCAGAGGATAGGGGCTGTACCTTGGGATGACCTTGTTTTGGGCCCGAGTGTGTTCTCAGCAGCCTGGGGAAGTAGCTCTGCTTCTGATGGCCTCCTGGGGGAATCTGTTCTAGGGCTGGAGGAAAAGCCAGACGGAGCCCTGGCTGCCCAGCCTCCGCCTTCCCAGGCCCTGCTGACAGCAGGCTCGTTGCAGATGAGGACGATGTGCACAGATGCGGCCGCTGCCAGGCAGAGTTCACCGCCTTGGAGGATTTTGTTCAGCACAAGATTCAGAAGGCCTGCCAGCGGGCCCCTCCGGAGGCCCTGCCTGCCACCCCTGCCACCACAGCGTTGCTGGGCCAGGAGGTGAGCCCTCACCCACTCCCCCATCCCCTCCCGGGTTCACCTGACAGGTGGGGGAGGTGGCCGCGCTTCAGGATGGACCTGTGCAGCCGGTTCCGGGGGCCACGTGGGCGGGCAGAGGGCAGGCACCTGGCTGCGGTGTGGGAGGGTCCGGGTGTGTGAGCCTGTGGTGCTCTGGGGCGTCCTGGAGGGCCTGCGGTGGCCCAGCCTTCTTGGCAGCCTCTGGTCGAAGCCCGTGCTGTTGGGGGCCGGGATCTCTTCTTTCTTGGAGCTGGAGGGTCTCCTTTGGCTCTGGGGTACCATGGCAGCTTCTGTCTCTTTGGCTTATCTTCTGTCCTGTGCACACAGTCCCTAGGGACTTCACACGTGAAGTGTGGCCCTGGGGGGTCCCGCCATCTCATCAGCAAATGGCCACCTTTGCTGAGCCCCACGCCCAGCTTGGGCTGGATACACAGGCCTGTGAACCCCGCACACGCCGCAGCGGGCGCTTGTCATCCGCATTGCACGGTCAGGAGAGCAGGCTCAGAAAGTGGTCAGTGGCCTCTGGCCACCAGTGGGCCGTGGCCCAGATGATGCTGGACCCTGGACACCCCACTCTGAGCCTGTGCTCTTTACCTGCTCCTCCCAGAGGTGCCCCCTCCTCCAGGAAGGCCTCTGGCCCACACCTCCAGGGCCCTCTCCTCACACCGCTCTGCCGGATGTGGCGGGCTGGGACTGTGCCATTGTTCCTGCAGACTGGCCCAGCTTCCTGCCAGAGTTGCTGCTCCCTCCCTGCAGGCGCCCTGTGCTCCAGGTCCAGCCCACGTGGCCAGAGGTGTGAGAGTGACGGCGCTGACCCTGGCCCGGGGGTGAAGGGATTGGACTGGGACCGGTGGTCGTGTTGGGGAAGAGGAGAGCCCCCACCCCAGCCGTCCCAAGGACGTGGACCCAGGCCTGAGCACCACAAGTCACACCTCCACAGCTTTACACTGGCAGAGCCCAGGCCTCTTCTCTGAGAACTAACTCTGGAGCATACAGACGACTCCCCTGTTTTCTTCCCCCTTTGGCAGGTGGTGCCGGCAGCACCAGGCCCAGAGGAGCCCATCACTGTGGCCCACATCGTGGTGGAGGCGGCCTCTCTGGCAGCAGACATCAGCCACGCATCTGACCTTGTTGGTAAGCCGACTTCCATGAATCGCTGGCCTGATAGACCTTCGTGGTTGGGGCCAGAGGATGGGGCCCCTGCTGCCTGTATGCTCGTCTCTCCCGAGACCAGGGCCTGGCTGGGAGGGGCCGCGGCCTCGTGGCAGCCTTTCTGCGGGCACAGCCTGCAGGAGGAGGAAGCGTTGGGCACTGGGCCTTCCTCAGGTGTCCACAGTGGCCGGGGGCACACCCAGGCACCAGGGAGTCATTGGGCTGTGCTCTCTCCCGTCAGCTTTCCCGGGTGGTCTCTGCCGTGTCCCTCCCAGAATCTTCCCCACTTCCCTGCCACCCCCTGGTTCCTGCTCCCTGCCCGTAGGCAGCAACATCCACCAGGCACCCACCAGAATGGCCCACTCGCCCAGCAGCGGCTCTGGAGGGTGGGTACAGGGTGGACGGGACTCTCCCGCCTCTCTAGCTGGGCTCGGACTTGCTGCTGGCCGTGGCCTGCCCTCCCCAGTGCTCCCTCTGGTGTGGGAGTGGTGATTGCTACACTGGTCCTCATGGGGCTTTTATGAGCGTGCAATGCCAGGACTCTTTGATGGCTACTTTTTAAGTGAAGATGTCTCTCTCCCTGATGTGCTGTGGGAGGGGCTGTTGCGAGGTCTGGATGGGCAGGCTCTCATCGGGGACAGATGCTTGTGCAGGGGGGCATTCAGAGGCAGCCAGGGCCTGGGCAGGTTGAGGGAGCTAGGGGCTGCTGGGGTTGGGGGTGCGGCAGGGGCGAGTGGCTAGGTGTGCAGACGCGAGGGAAGGAGCTGTCTAGGGACCTGATGCTGTGGGAGGTGGGGCGGGGCATGGCTGCTGCCTGGGGAGCCTGCTGGACCGGGGCTGAGGCAGGCGGGGAGTGGGCAGCTGGACAGGAAGTAGGTTTGGGCACCAGGCGGAACCTGGCCTTGGGCAGCCCTGGGGACTGGCTGCAGCAGGAAGAGGGGGTGGAGGAGCCGTGGCGGAGGCCAACCCGGGGCCTGGGAAGGGCACCTGTGAGCAGGCTGCTCTCCAGGAGGCAGCCAGGGCACCTGTCTCACCTCCGTGCTGCCTTTCCCTGGCATTCCTGCGACCAAGACACTCATCAATGCCACTCAGAGCTCGGAATGTTCATGTGGGAGGTGGGGCGGGCTCTGGCCTTGACCTGGCGTTTGGTTTCTGGGATGGTGGCGTCACCTGGGAGCATGAACTCCTTAGGTTCTGGCGGGGTCTCTGGGCTGGGTCTCTGGCCAGCCAGGCCCCTTTCCACCCACCTAAACTCTAGCAGCCTCCAGCCCTAGGCTCAGCACCCCTCCCTGTGCTTCAGCAGCCCCTCTTGGCACCCCTGCCACTCTGGCACCCCTGGGATTTTCCCCTTTGCGGGCATCCTGGGTACTCTGTGTGTGCCCTTGGCCAGTCAGCAGGCCCGGTGGGCTTAGTCCAGGGCTGCTAGCTCTCCTGTTGGCCTCTAGTGGAGATGGCAGAGGGTCCTGCCTGCTGGTGGCCAAGGGCTGGGGCGTGCCAGGTCCTGTCTTTGCGGGTGCAGGGGTGCGGTCAGCTGTGTGGGCAGTTGGAACCCACCTCCAGGCCCTCCTGCCGCTTCGCGGAAAAAGTTCGCGTCTCCTCTGGCCTCGCAGCAGCCATGTTCCCCCAGGTCCTCCCCATCAGAGGCCTCTGTCCTTTGGAAGATCACTCCTGGGGCATCGAGCGTGTAAGGGCTCGGGCAGGAGAGGCTCTTAATTGTTTCTGAGTCACCACGCTTTTGTCGTGTTTCAAGAGAACAGCTTGTCAAAACAAGACGCCAGCCGGACTGAGGTGGTTTCTAAGCAGTGGCTTCACAGCTGTTTCCCACTTGTCATCTTTATGAGCAGAAAACCTGAACTGTGTTTACAACCTAGCTTTGCACATTGTCAGATTTTTCCCAGCATCCTCCAGAAGTGCAAAAGCCCAGCTTCCTCGCCTCAGGCTGTCCCGGGTGTCTGGAGAGCGTTCACTCTCCCAGGCCAAGCCTGCCTTGGGACGGGGCTCTGGCCAGGCCTGCCTGCCCTGCTGCAGTGGCCCAGCCCATCTCCTCCGATGGAAGAGTGGCCCCGGACGCACATCCTCCCTATGTTGGTGGGAGCAGTGGCAGGAGCAGTGGCAGCGAGCAGGACAGGCGGCTGTCTCTTCACCCAAGGACCTTGTCACCAGGATTCGCACGTCCTCCTGGCTTTGGGGATGGGGCATCTGTGCTCCATGGTGGGTCTCCCTGTGGACACATTTAGGGGCCCTGGAGCATCTCTGGGCAGCCTGACAGAGTCGGGAGGTGTCTCTCCACCTCTCACTCTGACCTGGAGAGGTGAATGGGACCTTGGCTGTTGCTCGGACCTGTGTGTTGAGGGCTCAGTGCAGGTTGGGTCCAGGGTGTGGCTCAGAGCAGCAGGTCCCCTCCCCTGGAGCCAGCAGTCTCTGGGGTCTCTGGACAGGGGCAGGTCCTGGGGCTTAGGCCCAGATGCTTCTCCTAGGTGGTGGGCACATCAAAGAGGTCATCGTGGCTGCTGAGGCGGAGCTGGGAGACGGTGAGATGGCCGAGGCCCCGGGCAGCCCCCGCCAGCAGGGGCTGGGGCTCGCAGGGGAGGGTGAGCAGGCCCAGGTGAAGCTACTGGTGAACAAGGATGGCCGCTATGTGTGTGCGCTGTGCCACAAGACCTTCAAGACGGTGAGCCGGCGTGCGGGGAGCCAGTGTGTGGGTGGCAGGCCCCCTCCTGTTCCCCCAGGAGGGCCCTGAGCTGCCACGCCCTCCCCCACAGGGCAGCATCCTCAAGGCCCACATGGTCACTCACAGCAGCCGCAAGGACCACGAGTGCAAGCTCTGTGGGGCCTCCTTCCGCACCAAGGGCTCACTCATCCGGCACCACCGGCGGCACACGGGTGAGCTGGCCGCACCTCGGGCTGGAGCCCGGTAGCACCCCGATGGTTGGCCCTGGGGTGCCCCAGCCTCGCATTCCCCAGCTTTGGGGGATGAGGCGGGGGCCCCTGCCTGCCTTCGCCTTGTCACCTTGTCGCCAGCCTGCTGGGGCTGCCCGGGGCTGACTAGGTTCTCTCTGCAGATGAGCGCCCCTACAAGTGCTCCAAGTGTGGAAAGAGCTTCCGGGAGTCGGGTGCACTGACCCGGCACCTCAAGTCTCTCACCCCCTGCACAGAGAAAATCCGCTTCAGTGTGAGCAAGGACGTGGTTGTCAGCAAAGAGGACGCACGTGCAGGTCAGCATGGTGCGGGCAGCTGCCTGGTCCTGGGGGCTGGCTGTGGACGCAGCCGCCACTGGGGTGTGTGAGGGATCTTCACTCCCTCACTCCACCTTGAAGGTTCTGGAGCTGGAGCTGCCGGCTTGGGGACAGCCACATCATCGGTGACAGGCGAGCCTATAGAGACTTCACCCGTGATTCACCTGGTGACAGATGCCAAGGGCACCGTCATCCACGAAGTCCACGTCCAGATGCAGGAGCTGTCCCTGGGCATGAAAGCCCTGGCCCCAGAGGTGGGGGCGACGGGGGGCCCCGGAGGGCTGCTCTGTCTTCTGCCTGCTCGGTGCCAGTCTTTGTTCTGGGCACTGGCTCCAGGGGTCTGAGCCAGGCAGGCGAGGGCTGGGCTTCCCACAGGGAGAGCAGGGCCAGTGGGAGCGCCATGGGGGTCTGAGGGTTTGCACAAGGCTCCTGGCGTGCGTCTGCCCCATGGGGTGGGTGCTGGATGCCAGGCTGCCTGGCCAGCCTCCTCTCTCTGCCTCCCCTGCAGCCCCCCGTCTCCCAGGAGCTCCCCTGCTCCAGCGAGGGCAGCCGTGAGAACCTGCTGCACCAGGCCATGCAGAACTCCGGCATCGTCCTTGAGCGCGCTGCTGGGGAGGAGGGTGCCCTGGAGCCAGCTCCTGCTGCCGGGTCCAGTCCCCAGCCCCTGGCAGTGGCAGCCCCGCAGCTGCCGGTACTGGAAGTGCAGCCGCTGGAGACAGTAGGTGCCAGCACCACCTGCGGGCTCCTCCCAGGGCTGGATCCCAGGGGCTGTCCCCACGCTGGCCTTCGCCTCCCTGAAGTGGCTTTCTGCAGTGACTTTGTCCATTGATCTGTTTACTGCCTTCCCTGGGGCCACAAGGGAGCCTGCCAGGGTGGGGCCCATGGTTGTGTTCTTGGTACTGCCAGGGCACAGCCTGCCCCGGGTGCTGGAGACCTTCCTGTGGTTCCCCAGCAGGTGGCCAGCGAGGCCTCAGCGGTGCCCAGGACCCACCCATGTCCTCAGTGCAGTGAGACCTTCCCGACAGCAGCCACCCTGGAGGCCCACAAGAGGGGCCACACCGGTAGGTGATGGGTGGGTGTGTGGCCCATGGCAGTGGATGGGCTATAGGTGGCCGGGGTGCTTCTGGGTGTCCAGGGTGGGTCCATAGACAGCAGGGAGCCAGGGGATCTGTGGGCAGGTGGCAGGCGGCCTGGCGGGCCCGCGGGTGATGGGCTTGGCCTGATGCTGTGTGTGGCTGCAGGGCCGAGGCCGTTCGCCTGCGCGCAGTGTGGCAAGGCCTTCCCCAAGGCCTACCTGCTCAAGAAGCACCAGGAGGTGCACGTGCGTGAGCGCCGCTTCCGCTGTGGCGACTGCGGGAAGCTCTACAAGACCATTGCCCATGTGCGTGGCCACCGGCGCGTCCACTCAGACGAGCGGCCCTACCCTTGTCCCAAGTGTGGCAAGCGCTACAAGACTAAGGTGGGTCTCTGGCCGCAGGACCCTGGCGCCTGATCCCCCCATCCTGCTCCCTGGCCGTGGCCCAGGTGCACCCCCTTCCCTGCCTCCACCATGCTCAGTCTTGACCCAGCCCCTCCCTTGGGCCACAGGCGGGAGGGGAGAGCTGTAGTCTGTTGTGGCCAAGGCCAGGCTGGCACTGACAGGTGTCTCCACAGAACGCACAGCAGGTGCACTTCAGGACACACCTGGAGGAGAAGCCGCACGTGTGCCAGTTCTGCAGCCGTGGCTTCCGAGAGAAGGGCTCACTGGTGCGGCACGTGCGACACCACACAGGCGAGAAGCCGTTCAAGTGCTACAAGTGCGGCCGTGGCTTCGCCGAGCACGGCACGCTGAACCGGCACCTGCGCACCAAAGGTCTGGGCCGGTGGAGGTGGGAGGGGGAGGGGAGGGGGCCGGGGCTTGCCTAGCCCTGACCGAGTCCCCACCCACAGGGGGCTGCCTGCTGGAGGTGGAGGAGTTGCTGGTGTCTGAGGACAGCCCCGCGGCAGCCACCACCGTCCTCACGGAAGACCCGCACACAGTGTTGGTGGAGTTCTCGTCCGTGGTAGCTGACACCCAGGAGTATATCATCGAGGTGGGTGTGGGGCCCTGGGGCCGTGCTGGGACCCAGGGGCAGCCAAGGCTGACCTCTGTCCTTCTGCCCATCTGCCCAGGCCACTGCGGACGATGCGGAGACCAGTGAGGCCACGGAGATCATCGAGGGCACCCAGACAGAGGTGAGGGGTAGGGCAGGCGGGGGCGGGGAGGCTCCCTGGCACAGCCGCTCTTGCTGAGCCGTGGCCCTGCAGGTGGACAGCCACATCATGAAGGTGGTGCAGCAGATCGTGCACCAGGCTAGCGCCGGCCACCAGATCATCGTGCAGAACGTCACCATGGACGAGGAGACGGCGCTGGGCCCAGAGGCGGCTGCCGCCGACACCATCACCATCGCCACCCCCGAGAGCCTGACAGAGCAGGTGGCCATGACGCTGGCCTCGGCCATCAGCGAGGGCACTGTGCTTGCCGCCCGGGCAGGGACAAGTGGCACTGAACAGGCCACTGTGACCATGGTGTCATCAGAGGACATCGAGATCCTGGAGCATGCAGGCGAGCTGGTCATCGCCTCGCCGGAGGGCCAGCTGGAGGTGCAGACGGTCATCGTCTAGCATGAGGTCTGCGGGGTCCTGGCCGGGCAGGGACAGGGCAGAGGACTCTGAGCGCCCCACCCATGCCTGCCTGGCCTGGTAGAGAAGATGGCACAGGATGGAGGCGCCCCAAGACGGACAGTGTACATAAGAGTTTCTTGTTGCTTTACAATAAAACATGAGAACCTGCAGCTTGTGATGTTGTGGCAGTGGCAGCCTCCGCGGCTGGTGCCACCACCTTTGCCCAGGCCCCCGCAGCAGCACCTGCCTCCCAGGCCACTCCTAGACTCACGTGCCTGGCCGCCCCACCCAGGGGCTTCTGCCAGCCCTGGCGGCGCCTTGGTGCTGTGTGGGTGTCATTGGCATGTTGACCAACAGCCTCCTGCCCTGCCCAGCTGGAGCTGTGCCCCCAGCTGCGCTGCCTGAGGCCTGTGGGTGGGTGGGAGGACCAGGGACGGGGACAGGGAGATCTGGGAGCCTCGGCCTCCACCGCAGGGTGAGCAGGTGGAGCAGCAGCAGGAGATGCTGGGTAGGGAGTGTGGCTGGTCCTACCTGCGCTGCCTTGCTTTCCCTGAAGGGATTCTGCTCAGGGAGGCAGAGTCTAGGCGACCTAATTTCTAGGGGCGAGGACAAGAACACAGCCGCACCGGGATGTGGCTGACCGTCTACCTCCCTCCTAGGGGGCTGGCAGGGGCTTCTGGGACGGTTTTGGGACAGGTCTGGGGCACCAGAACCGGCTCAGGCAGGTCTCCCACCCCTTACCCTGGGGGTCTCCATGGGAATGAAAGCCAGGAGTTCATCAGGCACCCAGCTGAGTCGAGGGGGCGGGACCCAGTGCAGCCCGGCCCCTCCCTGGCCCAGGACCTCAAATACCGGCCCCTGCCTTGGTGCCAGAGCTACTGCCAGAGGGAGTCAGTGCAGTCCTGTGTCGGACACGCCCGCAGCCTGGACCCGGGATCCCCATCCCCCTAGGATCTCTGAGCCTCGGGCCTCTGCACCCACATCCAAGGTGAGTCTCTCGGCTGCCCTGAGCTGGGGCTGGATGGGCCGGACCCTCCATTCCGGCTGCAGCTTCCCGCGCAGTGAGAAGGCAGCGGTCCCTGAGAGCCCAGCAGTGCCCTGGGAGCCTGCAGAACGCAGGGGCGGATTCCGCGTCGCACTGGCCGTCAAGGGGCGGCCGCGGAGGGAAGGGGTGGGTCGGTGGGTCTGACAGCGGGTCTGCGTAGGCGGCAGCGTCTGTCCCTCCCAGCCTCTCGCTCCGCGCCATGGGCGGGCCCCGGGCTCTGCTGGCCGCACTCTGGGCGCTGGAAGCCGCCGGGACCGCCGCGCT
Organism: Homo sapiens; assembly: GCF_000001405.40. Classification (NCBI taxonomy): domain Eukaryota; kingdom Metazoa; phylum Chordata; class Mammalia; order Primates; family Hominidae; genus Homo; species Homo sapiens. The sequence continues at coordinate 2,236,882 of NC_000016.10, forward strand.
TCGCATCGGAGCCTTCAACATTCAGAGCTTCGGTGACAGCAAAGTGTCGGACCCCGCTTGCGGCAGCATCATCGCGAAGGTGGGGCCCGGGCCGGGGCGGGGCGGCGTTTAGGGGTGCTGACCGCGCTGACCCCCGCACCCGCCGCTCCTCCCCAGATCCTGGCTGGCTATGACCTCGCGCTGGTGCAGGAGGTGCGAGACCCAGACCTCAGCGCCGTGTCCGCGCTCATGGAGCAGATCAACAGGTGTGGTGGGCAGGGCCCCTCGTCGCGACCCCCCGCCGGGATCTCGCCCCGGCGCGGCGCCCCGACCCTGAGCGGGCCCCTGTCTCCGCAGCGTGTCCGAGCACGAGTACAGCTTTGTGAGCAGCCAGCCCCTGGGCCGGGACCAGTACAAGGAGATGTACCTGTTCGTGTACAGGTGAGGGGCGGGCCGCAGGGAGGGGCGCGCGGGGCCGCAGGTCGGGGGCTCAGCGGGTCCTCCCCATCTCCTAGGAAAGACGCGGTGTCGGTCGTGGACACCTACCTGTACCCAGACCCCGAGGACGTCTTCAGCCGCGAGCCCTTCGTGGTCAAGTTCTCGGCCCCCGGCACCGGTGAGCGGGCCCCGCCCCTCCCCTCCCGCCGAGCTCTGACGCCCCCACCCCTTCCCGCAGCAGCACAGAACCTGGTGCTGATCCCGCTGCACGCGGCGCCGCATCAAGCCGTGGCGGAGATCGACGCGCTCTACGACGTGTACCTGGACGTGATCGACAAGTGGGGCACCGACGTAAGCCCACCCCTCGGTCCCGGGGTCCCTGCAGGCGCGCCCCGGGGGTCTGGTTCATGAGGGCGGGACCTCGACGGCTCCTGCGGCGGCTCAGACACGGCTCCGCGGCGCCCGCAGGACATGCTGTTCCTGGGCGACTTCAACGCCGACTGCAGCTATGTGCGGGCGCAGGACTGGGCCGCCATCCGTCTGAGGAGCAGTGAGGTCTTCAAGTGGCTCATCCCTGACAGCGCCGACACCACGGTGGGCAACTCAGACTGCGCCTACGACCGCATTGTGGCCTGTGGCGCCCGCCTGCGCCGGAGCCTGAAGCCCCAGTCGGCCACCGTGCACGACTTCCAGGAGGAATTCGGCCTGGACCAGACTCAGGCGAGTGGGCCGTGGGGCGGTGCTGGTCTTGGGTCCCCACCGCCCGGGCGCACGCAGGCAGCAGGGAGGGTCCAGCGCCCAAGGCAGGGCCACCTCAGCTTCCTCCCTGCACCAGGGCTCGTTTCCAAGGACCCTGGAGAGCCCGGCCCACCCCATGTGGAGCTCTGGGCAGGCAGGGTACCTTGCCTTTCCCTCAAAGGGCCAGTGGTGACACCCTCTGCCCCGGCCCCTGCCCCTGCCCCACCGCAGGCAGCAGCAGGGGTGGGCACCCAGGCCTCACCGGCCCCTCCCATCCCTGTGGGTGGGGTGCACTTTTCCCCTGAGGCTCACTCTGTCCCCACAGGCTCTTGCCATCAGCGACCACTTTCCAGTGGAGGTGACCCTCAAGTTCCACCGATGACTCGAGGCCTGGCTGGGGCATGCCACCTGCAGACCCTGGCTCTGAGGAATGGCCCAACAGTGGCCCCTTCAGGGTGGCAGCCACCCTTCAGTGAGGCCCCAAGGCAGAGTCGGCTGGGCGTGGACCAGGGGCCATGGACACGTGATGTGCTGCTCTGTACCTCCGTTCCCCATCTGTGGGACGGGCTGCATCCAGCGACCTCATGGGGTGTTGTGAGCCCCATGAGGGGTGCAGGGGGCACTGCCCGGCAGATGTCTGCTCAATAAATGAGCTGCTCCCGGTCGGGCCCCACAGCTTGGCTCCCAGGCCTCTGTCCTTCCTTAGGACCCAGCCTCAGCTCCTTAGGGGCAGCCATGGCCTGGGCTGCCCACCCCATGTCCTGGTGGGACGTGGCTGCCCCCGGAGCCTGCTGGCCCCAGAAGGCAGCTCAGGGATGCTCCTTGCTCATCCTCTGTGGAAACTACAAACACTCCCAGGAGCCTGTACTGTGAGCACAGCTGGGACAGGGATGGCGCCAACACACCAGCCTCCTGGGCCCTCGGGGCTCTCAGAACAGCTCTCCCCAGGCCCACCCCGCAGCCCCCATTCCAGGGCCCTGCAGGGGCCCCCAGGCACTTGTCTGTCTCAAGAGCCCGGTCTTACCCAGCACTGCAAGGGGAGGCCAGCCCCAGCTAGTCAGCAGCCCTGGAGCTTTTGGAGAGCCTGAGAGCAGTGGGCGGGCTGGACTCCTCCCTGCCCAGGCAGGTGGCTTGGGACTAAGGTCCCGTGCAAAGAACCGCCCAGCTCGCCGTGGCTCAGCCCTTCAAGGCTGCTGCCCTGTGCCTGGGCAAGGACACATTAGGATAGGGAAAAGGCAGGCCCACGGGTCCACTGGGTCACTGACTGGGGCCCGATGAGGTTTCTGGTTTTTGAAACATCACATCTTAGCAAGATGTGGTAACTTGGTCTGAATCGCATGGGAGGAAAAACCTTTGTTTCAAGGGTTTGGATGAGTTTGGTTCTTGCAAAATCCTTCTTAAGGGACATTTGGATCCCTGGCAGCACAGCTGCCTCCAGAGTCCCACTCCCGCTGGCTCAGGATCCCCCAGTTGCTCTGATTCACTGTGCGCTCTTCATCCTGATGAGTAAGGGCAGTGACCAAAGGGCTTTTCCCTGGGGAGTTCTGTGTGGGTCATGGGGGCCAAGACCACCTGGCCTTACACCTAAGAGCAGGCAGTCCAAAGGCCAGAATGGATGACCAGGGACTTGACTTACGATTCTGCCTTGGGAACAGAGACACTCCGTGGCAACCTCACCAGGTCCAGAATGGCATCCCCTGCCAGTCACAATCCCAAGTCAAAAGGCTGCCCTCCAACTCCCCTTGCCTGACGGGCACAGGCACCCATGTGTGTTTGTGTGTGGCTGGGCCTTGGGCCACTGGGCTATGAGGAACAGGAACTTCTACGTAACATCAGCAAAATGAAACGCTGGCAGTACTTTTAAGTTGAAAAATACCTTGTTTAAGACCTCCCTGGGACCCACAGGGGCACGTGTGGCCGTAAGCCTGTGGCAGCCCAATCGTTAGCCTTTTTCTTCTTTGAGCCTCTCTAAGTACATCTGCAGGGACTTCTGGATGGAGTCTTTGGAGATGAAGCTGACGAAGTTCTGCACGTCCGCATCGCGCTGCGTGACCAGGCGGCTGGCCGTGGCCTTTCGCATCATGGCCTTGGTCAGCTGTCGAGCATGGTCTAAAGAGAATGGGACGTGCCACTGAAATCCCACTTTCAGGGGCAGTGGGGTGATTCCCAACTTATTTTTTATTTTTATTTTTTGAGACGGAGTCTTGCTCTGTCGCCCAGGCTGGAGTGCAATGGTGGGATCTTGGCTCACTGCAACCTCCGCCTCCCGAGTTCAAGTGATTCTCCTGCCTCAGCCTCTTGAGTAGCTGGGATTACAACCGTGTGCCACCACACCCGGCTAATTTTGTATTTTTAGTAGAGATGGGATTTCCTCATGTTGGCCAGGCTGGTCCCGAACTCCTGACCTCAGGTGATCCACCCATCTCGGCCTCCCCAAGTGCTGGGATTCCAGGCATGAGCCAGCACGCCCGGCCCTAATTTTTTTTTGTTTTGTTTTGTTTTTAAAGAGACAGGATATTCTCTGTCGCCCATACTGGAGTGCACTAGTGATCACGACTCACTGCAGCCTTGAATCCCTGGGCTCAGGTGATCCTCTCACCTCAGCCTCCTGAGTAGCTGGGACTACAGGCGTGCACACACATCCTGGCTAATTTTGTATTATTTATTTATTTATTTTTGAGATGGAGTCTGTCTCTGCCACCCAGGCTGGACTACAGTGGCGTGACCTTGGCTCACTGCAACCTCCGCCTCCCAAGTTCAAGCACTTCTCCTGCCTCAGCCTCCTGAGTAGCTGGGATTACAGGAGCATTACCATGCCCGGCTAATTTTTGTATTTTTAGTAGAGAAGGGGTTTCACCATGTTGGTCAGGCTGATCTCGAACTCCTGACCTCAGGTGATCCACCCTCCTTGGCCTCCCAAAGTGCCGGGATTGCAGGTGTGAGCCACCGCGCCCAGCGACTTAACGTGTCATTTTCACTCAACTATATTATGAAGAATATTTCCACGACGCAGGAGGCTGAGGCAGGAGAATGGCACGAACCCAGGAGGTGGAGGTTGCAGTGAGCTGAGATCGCACCACTGCACTCCAGCCTGAGCAAGAGGGAGACTCCATCTCAAAAAAAATAAATAAAATAAAAATAAAAAAATTTCCATGGCACTATATTAAATACTGTCTTACAGCACAGGAAATGGCAGCACAGCCTTCAGTCATTTGTATCAGGGTTGGCAAATCTGGCTTCTCAAGGCCCTGAAGCTATGAATAGTTTTTACTTTTTTTGAGAGGAGTCTCACTCTGTCGTCCTGGCTGGAGCGCAGTAGCATGATCTTGGCTCACTGCAACCTCCGCCTCCCAGGTTCAAGTGATTCTCCGGCCTCAGCCTTCCCAAGTAGCTGGGATTACAGGTACCTGCCCCCACACCCGGCTAATTTTTGTATTTTTAGTAGAGACGGGGTTTTGCCATGTTGGCCAGGCTGGTCTAAAACTCCTGACCTCAGGTGATCCGCCCACCTTGGCCTCTCAAAGTGCTGGGATTACAGGCTTCAGCCACTGTGCCGGGCTGGTTTTTACATTTTTGAATAGTTGAAAATCAAAAGAAGGTTAGTATTTTGTGACATGTGAAAATTATGTGAAACTCAAATTTCAGTGTCCATAAAATTTTTTTTGTTGTTTTTGAGACAGAGTCTCACTCTGTCACCCAGGCTGGGGTACAATGGCATGATCTTGGCTCACTGCAACCTCTGCCTCCCAAGTTCAAGCGATTCTCCTGCCTCAACCTCCCAGTAGCTGGAATTACAGGCACGTGCCATCACGCCCGGCTCATTTTTTTTTTTTTTTTTTGAGACAGAGTCCTGCTCTCTGTTGCTCAGGCTAGAGTACAGTGGTGCGATCTCAGCTCACTGCAAGCTCCGCCTCCCGGGTTCACGCCATCCTCCTGCCTCAGCCTCTCGAGTAGCTGGGACTACAGGCGCCCGCCGCCACACCTGGCTAATTTTTGTATTTTTAGTAGAGACAGGGTTTCACCGTGTTAGCCAGGATGGTCTTGATCTCCTGACCTTGTGATCCGCCCGCCTCGGCCTCTTAAAATGTTGGGATTACAGGTGTGAGCCACCGCGCCTGGCCCATTTCTGTATTTTTAGTAGAGATGGGGTTTCACCATGTTGGCCAGGCTGGTCTTGAACTCCTGATCTCAAGTGATCTGCCTGCCTCAGCCTCCCAAAGTGCTGAGATTACAGGCGTGAGCCACCGCACCTGGCCCACTGTCCATAAAGCTTTGCCGGAACACAGCTATACCTGTCAGTTTACGTCTCCTCTGTGGCTGCTTTCTGCTACAAAGGTCTTACCTACAGAGCCCACAAGCCACCTGGCCCTTTAGAGACAGAATTTGCTGGGCCCTGGTCTATACCATCGCTGATATGACCAGCTCTTTTTCTATGAAGTGGACAATTGTCTTTGTAGTAGGTTGAAAAGTGTGCCCCAAAAGATAGGTCCAAGCCCTAACCACTGCTCTGGAACTTGGAAGTGTGACCTTATTTGGAAAGAGTCTCTGCAGATGTAATTAAGTTGGGATCATCTTGGATTTAAGGTAGGTCCTAAATCACATGGCAGGTGTCCTGAGAAGGGAGAGAGAGACCTGAGACCCACAGAAACACAGGGGAGAAAGCTGCGTAAGGATGGAGGCAGAGATTAGAGCGAGGCGCCCACAAGCCCAGGGAGGCCTGGAGCCAGCAGAAGTGGGCGGGGCAGGAAGGAGCCTCCCTGGAACGCAGGGAGGAAGTGCAGTCCTGCCCACACTTTGATTTTGCACCTCTGGTCTCCAGCACCGTGAGATGAGCTTCTGCGGTCTGGGCCACCCGGTCTGTGCTGCGTTGTTACAGCAGCCTCCTGACACCCACATGGCTGTGATTATCAACAGTCTCCCGAAGTCACGATGTCCACAGAAAACCTTTGGGTGGAGAACCTTCTGGTCTCCCCAGCATCATCGGGCGCCCGCCATGCCCCGTGCCTCACCTGGAATGGCCATCCACTGGGCTATCGCTGACAGCGCAGTGCTCTGCACCTGCTCCTCCGGGACCACCTGGTCCACTATGCCCACCTGCAGGGCCTCCGCCGGCGGGAAGAGCAGCCCCAGCTGCAGGGCACGCTCCGCCGCCCGGTGCCCGATGGTGTTCTCCAGGGTGTCTTTCAACCTGGAAATGCAGACACCCACTCACCACATGGCCCCAGGCGGGTCTGTTCCCTCCACAACAAGCATGGAGCGTGGCTGCAGCCCAGGGCCTTACCAGAAAGGGGCGATGATGCCCAGCTGGGTCTCATTGAGTCCTATGCAGTACCTGGGGTTGTCCGCCAGGATGCGGTAGTCACAGGTCAGGGCCACCAGGCAGCCTCCAGCGGGGCAGGCTCCCTGCAGGGAGAGGCCGGACAGGGCTCTTAGGTGCTGCTGGTCCCAACCACATTCCAGAGGGCCAGGTCCAAGGAAGGAGGGCCTGTGCCCTTGGCGCACCCCGACCCCCGCAGGGTTCAACACCCACAATGGTCTGGGCTGGGCTGGGTGTGCACTGGGAAATGGATGAGGAAGGAACTGGCCCCTTAGCGCTCGGCAAGGAGGGTCTGAGGCTCGTCCTCAGCCGAGGGTCATTAGTTCTTCGGCAACAGATAAATCACTTTTAAAAACCATTCAGTTAGGGGAGCAAGTCGCTTGTCCTCTCAGTGCTTTTACTCAATGCTAAAATGCCACACAAGCATTTAGTCATAACTGTCATGCCCCAAGGGGGCCCCGATACCACCCCAGCAGCTAGCGCAACCAGGATGTCCTGGGAACCCCACACTCACCCTGTGGTCACTGCAGGTACCCACTGCCCCGCGCAGGACCCATCCTGTCTGCATGGCCGTGCACCCTTGAGGCTTCCTCTCACACCAGCCCTCCCCTCCACCAGGCTCCGGCCCACACCCGGCTTGTCACAGCCACCCCGCAGGACACCCTGGTTCCTGAGGTTAAGCCCCCGTGTTGTTCTCGGCTTCCCTGGCCTTCCCCCAGAAGGGATGGAGTGATGTTTCCAAAATGTGGGTCCGATCACCCACTCACCCACACAGCCTCCACCCAGGCTGGCATCAACCCCAGGCCCTGGTCCCTACCCACTGGCTCTTTTCTGGGTCTTGTCTGATTGACCCAGGCCAGGGCCCTCACCCGAGGCCCACCTTTCTCAACACGCCCCGTGGTCTGCGATGGCGCTCACCTGTGCACATCTCAGGGCCTCTCCAACCGTCCCCTTCCCCTGTGAGAGATTCCAAGGGCAGGACAGTGTCTGTCCCACCCCCTGGCGCTGGCCCAGAACAGCCAGCGAGGCCACCTGGGAGTGGGGACACTCACGTTGATGGCGGAGACCAGCACCAGGTTGGACTGGTACAACCGCAGCCACAGCTCCTGAACGGCCTTCCAGTACCCAGCGTAGTGGGCGGGGCTCCTCCCACACATCTCCGTCAGGTCCAGGCCGGCCGAGAAGACACCCGGGCGGTCCTGCAGGGGGAGCCGGGGCCACATGCCCATCAGAGTCCACCTCCCAGCTGGCATCACAGCAGGAGGGCTGGGGAGCCCAGGTGCACGACGCACAGCAGGGCCAGGTCACGCTCAGGGTGTGGGTGCTGCCCCACAGAGCCAGGACTAGGCGCTCCAGGGACTCGGCCAAGGCTTCTCCTGGACCTGGCTTCCCTGTACTTCCCAGAACATTCTTCCCTTTCCCGCTTCAAACTGGATAGGAGAGGACAGGCAGCGCCAGGCACCTCTCAGGGACATAAGTGCGCCGGCCCTCTGGCTCTGCACGCCTGGCTCGGGCAGAAGAACCCAGAGGTGTGGTGAAGACTCCTGAGAATCCAGAGGAGCTGCACGTTCTGAATCATTTACCCGCAAAGGGCCAAGCAAGCCAGGGACCCCCGTGTGGACCAGGAAGTGCTAGGGTGGGAGAATGATCTGGAATGTGTGGGTTTCTCAGCAGCTACCAAGGAAGGGCGAGGGGTGAGCACAGGTGGAAGGGACCCTCCCACGGCTGGAGTAGCGGGCGCCAGCACAGGAGCCTCAGACTCCCAGTCAGGGCTGCCGGCCAGGGAGGCGGGCTCGGGGAGGAGTGGAGAACCCACCCTGGGGACCCTGCATGGTCACAGCCCCCTGAGCAAATGACAAGGGTACCTTCCCCTCTGCACAACACGGCACGTTTTCCTCCCGAGGGCCAGACCCCCCAAGGCTGTGGGTGAACTTGTTCCTGCAGCTGAACCCAGCTCACCCTGACTCACACAAGCAGAGCTGGGTGGATGTTTACCCCGCCCTGTCTGCAGGAAGGAGGGCGACAGCCACCTAATGTGTGCGAGGAGGAGGCGGCTGGGACAGATGGGATGGCCTCCACATCCTCAGGCGATGTGAAAAAGCCAGGAACGGTGCGGGTGGGCAACGCAGCTCCGCTGTTCCCAAACAGGTGTGAGCTGGTGCCGCACAGAATGGGTAGGCCGGTCCTTTGTTTCTACAAAACGCGTTCTACTTCCGTTACTCAAAACCCAGGCCTGGCGTGGTGGCTCATGCCTGTAATCCCAGAGCTTTGGGAGGCCAAGATTGGAGAACTGCTTGAGGCCAGGAGTTCAAGACCAGCCTGGGCAACATAGCAAGACCCCGCCTGTACAAAAAAGTAAAAATTAAGCAAAAAAATTAACCAGGTGCAATGGCTCGCACCTGTAATCCTAGCACACTGGGGAGCCGAGGTGGGAGGAGTGCTTGAGCCCAGGAGTTCAAGACCAACGTGGGCAATAAAGGCACTGTCTCTCCCAAAAATTTTAAAAATTTTCAAGATTCAAGAATCGCTTGAACCCAGGAGGCGGAGGTTGTAGTAAGCCAAGATCACGTCACTGTACTCCAGCCTGGGCAAGAGAGGGAGATTCTGTCTCAATAAATATATAAGGCTGGACGTGGCCAGCACTTTGGGAGGCCGAGGTGGGCAGATCACTTGAGGTCAGGAGTTCTAGGCCAGGCCCTGTAAAGCCACGCCAGCCTCCGAGGACCCCTCACTCCCCTCACCTCAGCCAATGCCCGCTTCTCCTCAAGGGTCCCATCCTCCTGGGCCTGACACTGCTTACTGCCCCTCGGCGATGTTGGTAATGACACCGTTCCCACAGATGACACGCCTAGCGTTCGCCAGCACTCAGGCAACATTTAGAGTCCCCTGCACAAGAACTCAGACCAAAGAGGTTCACCCTTGAGAACTCGCCCTGAAGACTGGCCCACAGAGGATCAGAGAGCATGGGTATTGTTCGCAGGACTGGCTCAGGGCACCCAAGTGATCCTAGTGGGGAGCACTCCAGGAACCCACCACCAGGTGTGCTTAGGGTCCAAGGTGACCCCATAGATGCATGGCTCTCCCTCACTCGCTGCCCACAGCTCTCCCCAGTGTCCGCCTGGACGACGGCCCGGGCAGGGAAGGCTGTCTCCCAGGAAGGCGGTCTCCCAGGAGGGCTGCCTCTTGGGAAGGCTGTCTCCCGGGAAGGGCGTCTCTTGGGAAAGCTGTCTCCTGGGAAGGCTGTCTCTGAGACTGGTCCACCTTCACCTTTGGGAATGATCTGCTTGAGGCCCATGGCAGTTTGGGTCCCTGCTGGGGCACACCCAGACGGTGCTCCTGGAAGCCTCCCGTGAAGGCGCCTGGAGTCCAGGGTGGTGGGGCTGCCGGCTGGCCTGTGCCACACGTTGGCAGGCTCTGCCTCTTCCATGTGCAACAGGCCTGGGCTCACATCAGAGAACTCAGGCCAAGAACTCGGGCTGGGGTAGGGAGCTGAACTAGCACCTACCGAGGTCAGAATGACACCGCGGAAGCTCTTGTCATTCTCCAGCTTCTCCAGGCTGATGACCAGCTCCGTCAGAAACTCCAGGCTCAGGCTGTTCACTGGGGGGTTCTTGAATTTCATCACAGCGACCCCTAATTTAAAGAATGAGAAGAGAAAGCTCACACCTGGCACTGGAAAAGCAGCCTGACCAGCCTGCACCCTCAACTAAGCCATGATAGCTGTGCATTTTGGGGGTTTTATTTATTAATTTATTTATTTAGAGACAGAGTCTCGCTCTGTCACCCAGGCTGGAGTGCAGTGGCGCGATCTCAGCTCACTGCAAGCTCTGCCTTCCGGGTTCACACCATTCTCCTGCCTCAGCCTCCTGAGTAGCTGGGACTACAGGTGCCCACCACCACGCCCGGATAATTTTTTTCTTTTAAGTAGAGACAGGGTTTCACCGTGTTAGCCAGGATGGGCTCGATCTCTTGACCTCGCGATCTGCCCACGTCGGCCTCCCAAAGTGCTGGGATTACAGGCGTGAGCCCCCGCGCCTGGTCCTATTTTTATTTACTTTTTTGAGACGGAGTTTTGCTCTTGTTGCCCAGGTTCAAGTGCAATGGAGCGATCTTGGCTCACCGCAACCTCTGCCTCTTGGGTTCAAGCGATTCGACTGCCTCAGCCTCCCGAGTAGCTAGGATTACAGGTGCGTGCCGCTACATCCAGCTAATTTTGTATTTTTAGTAGGGACGGGGTTTTCTCCATGCTGGTCAGGCTGGTCTTGAACTCCCAACCTCAGGTGATCCGCTCGCCTCGGCCTCCCAAAGTGCCAGGATTACAGGCGTAAGCCACAGCGCCCGGCCTGGGGGTTATTTTTTTATTATTATTATTTTTGAGACAGGGTCTCACTCTATCACCTAGGAGTGCAGGGGTGTGATCTCTGGTTACTGCAGCTTTGACCTCCTGGGCTCCAGCGATCCTCCCAACTCAGCCTGCTGAGTAGCTGGGATTATAGGCAAGCGCCACCACACCCAGTTAATCTTTTTTATTTTTTAGTACAGACGAGGTCTTATTTTGTTGCCCAGGCTGGTCTTGAACTCCTGAGCTTAAGTGGTCCTTCTGCCTCAGGCTCCCAAAGTGCTAGATTACAGGAGTGAGCCCTTGGTTTTTTACATTGAAGTAAGATCGATATAACATAAATTAACAATTTTATTTATTCTATATAAACTGCATGCTTTTTAAATCAACCATTCTCTCTTTCTCTCTCTATCATTTTTTTCTGAGACAGAGTCTCGCTCGTCGCCCAGGCTGGAGTGCAGTGGCGCGATCTCAGCTCACTACAACGTCCACCTCCCGGGTTCAAGCGATTCTCCTGCCTCAGCCTCCTGAGTAGCTGGGACTACAGGTATGCGCCACTATGCCCAGCTAATTTTTGTATTTTTAGTAGAGATGGGGTTTCACCATGTTGGTTGGCCAGGATGGTCTCGATCTCTTGACTTCGTGAACACCTCGCCTCGGCCTCCCAAAGTGCTGGGATTACAGGTGTGAGCCACCATGCCCGGCCAAATTAACCATTTTCTATCTTTATTTTTTTTTTGAGACAAGAGCCTCGCTCTGTTGCCCAGGCTGGAGTGCAGCAGCGCTATCTCGGCTCACTGCAACCTCTGCCTCCTGGGTTCAAGCCATTCTTCTGCCTCAGCCTCCTGAGAAGCTGGGATTACAGGACACACCACCATGCCTGGCTAATTTTTGCATTTTTAGTAGAGACGGGGTTTCACCAGGTTGGCCAGGCTGGTCATGAACTTCTGACCTCAGGTGATCCTCCTGCCTCGGCCTCCCAAAGTGATGTGATTATAGGTATGAGCCACTGTGCCCAGCCTAAATTAGCCATTTTTAAGTAAACAAGTCAGGCACTTACACAATTCAGTATACTGACTGTGTTGTGCAACTATCGCCGCTGCCTAGTTCCAGAACCTTTTCATTGTCCCAAAAGGAATCCCTGTCCCCATGAGCAGTTGCTCCTCATCCCACCCCTAGCCCCTGGAAGCCGCCAGTCTGCGTTCTGTGTCTGCGGTTTTCCTGCTCCAGCCATATTCCATATCACTGGGATACCGCCGGGCTTTGTTGTCGGCTTTGTCCACTTAGTATCATGTGTTCAAGGTTCATCCATGTGGTTGTCATTCCTATTTATTTATTTATTTATTTTATTTAATTAATTAATTTATTTTTGAGACAGATTCTTGCTCTGTTGCCCAGGCTGGAGTGCAGTGGCGCGATCTCGGCTTACTGCAAGCTCCACCTCCGGGGTTCACACCATTCTCCTGCCTCAGCCTCCCAAGTAGCTGGGACTACAGGTGCCCGCCACCACGCCCGGCTAATTTTTTTTTGTATTTTTTAGTAGAGATGGGGTTTCACCGTGTTAGCCAGAATGGTCTCAATCTCCTGACCTCGTGATCCGCGCACCCTGGCCTCCCAAAGTGCTGGGATTACAGGTGGGAGCCACCGGGCCCGGACTCAAAAACATGTTATCTTAAGGTATTGGAATGGGTAGTGTGGACTACACATTGTGAATATACTTACGGCCACGGGGTTGTACATTGCAAAATGGCTAGAATGGTAAATGTGAGGCATATTTTAAAGATTTTTATGTACACACACACACACATTACCTCCGGTAAAAAAGGAAAAGTGTTCGTACAATGACAATTTTTTTACTCGAGTGCCTCCCCACTTTACCATATAAAAAGACAACGTAAGCCGGGCGCGGTGGCTCACGCCTGTAATCCCAGCACTTTGGGAGGCCGAGGCGGGTGGATCACGAGGTCAGGAGATCAAGACCATCCTGGCTAACATGGTGAAACCCCGTCTCCACTAAAAATACCAAAAAAAAAAAATTAGCCGGGCGTGGTGGCGGGCGCCTGTAGTCCCAGCTACTTGGGCGGCTGAGGTAGAAGAATGGTGTGAACCCGGGAGGCGGAGCTTGCAGTGAGCGGAGATCGTGCCACTGCACTCCAGCCTGGCGACAGAGCAAGACTCCGTCTCAAAAAAAAAAAAAAAAAAAAAAAAAAAAAGACAAAGTAGAGTTTGGAGTCAGAAAGTCAGGCCTGACTGAGATTGCAGTGAGCCGGAACCGCGCCATTGCACGCCAGCCTGGGTGACAGAGGGAGCCTCTGTCTCAAAAAAAAAAAAATAATAATTTTTTTTTTTGCATTTTGTTGAGATATATTCAAATATGCTACAGAAATGATCCCTTCAGAAACTCAGTTTTTACAAAAATTAGTGGGCATAGTGGTGGGTCCCTGTAATCCCAGCTATTTGGGAGGCTGAGGAGGGAGAATCGCTTGAACCCAGGAGGCACAGGTTGCAGTGATCGGAGATTGCGCCACTGCACTCCAGTCTGGCGACTGGAGAGCAAGACTACATCTCCAAAAAAAAAAAAAAAAAAAAAAAAAGTCAGTTTGAAGTTGGTCTTAGTTTGTCCCTCTCAAGTTTGTAGAGAGAGCCCAGGCAGCTCCCTCAGCCCAGACAGAGAGGACGGAACCAAGTTCAGAGGCACCAGGAGCCTGGAGTCCTGAAGCTGTGCAAAGTTGGGCACAGCCCTGAGTCTGGGGGGTTGGGGAGGGCAGGGGCTGTGACTTACTTGCGGAGGGGGAGGGCCTCCTCTCAGGAGCCACAGCAGGGACTGCTGCACCGGGAGGTCCAGGTCAGCATGTCCTGGAAGCAGAACTGCTGGCGCCTAGGCGTGCCCTCTCGGTGCCCTCAGCTCGGCCTCCTGTCTGGAGGGAGCGCACAGGCTTCTCTTCCAAAAGTACTTTTTCTATCCTTTCCAGTGGGTTTTACCAAGGGTTCTGACGGGCGGGTAGGTACGAGGTTCTGTGCCACATGGGAGTGTTAACAAACGTAATTTTATTCCAAAAGATTCCAATTCTTTTCCACTTCCAATTGAATAACTTAGATAACAGCTCATATCCCCGCCAACTTTATTTTTATTTATTTATTTATTTTGAGACGGAATCTTGCTCTGTGGCCCAAGCTGGAGTGCAGTGGCACAATCTCGGCTCACTGCAGCCTCCACCTCCCAGATTCCAGCGATTCTTCTGCCTCAGCCTCCCAGGCATAGGCACGCACCACCACGCCCAGCTAATTTTTTTCTTTTGTATTTTTCAGTACAGATAGGGTTTCATCATGTTGGCCAGGCTGATCTCGAACTCCTGACCTCAGGTGATCCGCCCGCCTCTGCCTCTTAAAGTGCTAGGATTACAGGCGTGAGCCACCGCGCCCGGCCTCCGCCAACTTTAAAAACAGAAACTTTTATCTCATGACGAACGAACCCAGGTAGAGCGGCAAGGTTCTGTTTCGAAACTTGGGTTCTAAACACAAACCGAGCGTCGACAGACGTGGTTCTCCGACAGCACCCCGCGAGCGCGGACCCCCGCGGGTCCTGACCCCACGCCCGCCCTCCCTCGGCGCCGCCCGCTCACCTGCGCCCGCGTCCGGCTCCACCAGCACCCGCTGGCTCCCGAAGCGCCGCGCGCCGTCTCCGCCGCCGGCCGCCCGCTCCGTCCGCCCGAGGGCCGCGCCCGGGAGCCGGGCCCCTGCGAAGGCAGCGTGGGGGAGCCCGTTAGTTCCCGGTCCTGGCCCCGGCCCCGGCCCGATCCCTGCCCACCCCGGGTTTCGCACCCGCGCGGAGCAGAACGCGCGCCGGGACTCGCACAGAAGCCACCAGCGCCATCTTGACCGCAACGCGCGGGATAAAGGTCGCGGGCTGAGCTCGCCTCCTGGGGAGGGGGCGGAGCCCCCCCAACTAGGTCCCGCCCCGTTCCCAGAGGCTGGTCAACGCCTCCACCTACCGGCCGAAACAGCCGCTCGCCGCCCTCCGGCTTCACCCCGGGCAGCCGCGCGCTTCCGGGGCAGGCACCTGGATCTGGGCCAGGGCTGGCCTACAAGGAGGCGCAGGCCCACTGCTGAAGCAGCCACGACCAGCTCAGCGCCAGGGCAGGCTCTTCTACAGCGCGGGACACTGTAGGCAAGAGGCTGCCGGTGTTCGTGACCGCGAGCTCTCGGCCGGGCCCAGCTACTGCAGTATCGGCGCTGGAAAGGCGATCAAAGCACGGAACCCCTCCCGAGGGGGCCGTCAGGGAGGCCAGGGGCTGCCTGGGGTGAGCCCGGCCTCCTGCCCCTTTGGGAACAGGATCAGAGCTGCAGGTTTAGTCACCGAAATGGGGGTGGGGGCAGCAGAACCCAGCGGTAAGAACAGGCCACCCGCCTTGCTCAGCACAAGGGCAAGTGCACAAAGGCCGGACCGCAGTGGCACCTTTTTATTTGCAGAGAAATGCCGAAAGATAAGAATACAGTCTGTTCCCGCTGGGCCGTAAGCGGCAGCTCGGGAGTGGGCCTTTGTACTGTCTGGTGTGGGGTTTTGGTCAGACCACTGGGAGCACTGGGCAGTAAGGTCCCAGCTGTGTTGGGTGGTCTCAACTTTTGTTCTCATCTTAAGCATTTCCAATTCTTCCTTGTGTCCCAAACCAATTTTTGAGGTGGAAAAATGGCCACTTAACGGAGGAGGAAGCAAGCCTGGCATGGTGACACACACCTGTAACCCCAGTGACTCAGGACCAGCTGGGTAACATAGCAACAACTTGTTGCTACAAAAAATTCTTAAAAATTAGCTCCTGCTGCTGGGCGCGGTGGCTCATGCCTGTAATCCCAGCACTTTGGGGGCCAAGGTGGGCAAATCATGAGGTCAGGAGTTTGAGACCAGCCGGGCCAATATGATGAAACGCCGTCTCTACTAGAAATACAAAAAATTAGCTGGGCATGGTGGCAGGTGCCTGTAATTCCAGCTACTCAGGAGGCTGAGGCAGGAAAATCACTTGAACCCAGGAGGCAGAGGTTGTAGTGAGCCAATATTGCGCCACTGCACTCCAACCCAGGCAACAGAGACTGTCTCAAAAAAAAAATTAAAAAATTAAAAAAAAATTAGCCCCTGCTACTCTGGACACTGAAGAAGGAGTTGGAGGCTGTAATGAGCTATGATCGCACCATGGTACATACTCCAGCCTGGGTGACAGAGCGAGAGTCTGTCTGAAAACACACACACATTCCAAGGTGGCGATAAAACCATCTCCTTCTATTTGTCCACCCTAGGAGCAACCTGGTCCCCACAGCACACAAACCCTAGGTTCTCCTGGCTGAAAGCATCGGAGGTGCCACTGCGGATGGTGAGGAACAGAAAGTTACTAGGGGCGAGGGGACAAGTGAGAAGGCAGTGAACCCAGAACTAGATTTGCATTCCGATCTTGGGTTTATTCAACACAATTCTTCCACTCTACACAACAAAGTACAAACACAATGTCATCTAAAATGCTACAAAGGTATAAAACTCAAAAGAGAAATTTTATAGTACTGACTGTACAATGAAAGCAAAAAAGAAAAAAAATAAAAGCAATGTACATGTTGCCAAGATAACCTGAAAGACCACCATGAACGGCAGGCACAACCATGGCTGCGTGATGACTCCGCAGAGCTGGCTCTCCACTCACTCGCCAATTTCAGAGTACAGTGGTGGGGTGCGGTGTGTGCATCGGTGCACGGACAGACAGAACCACGAGCAGCAACTACCATGGGTGAGAGGATCTTTGAGGGGGTGTGACCCTTGAGGTCAGAAGAGGCCTCGAGAGGCCAGGCCTAACAGGGTTGGCAGCTGCACTAAAGCCTGGGGCAGCTCCCTTTCCAAAAGGACACTGCCCAGCAACAGCAAGGGCACGGCCTGGCCACCATCCCAGGTCATCGGGGAAGGGAAAAGTGTGCTCCCAGGTAAGCAGGGTCAAACCACCCCCAAGAGCCTCACTTTTCCCTGGTGGCTCTGCCACTGAACTGACTCTTAGAAACCGGAAACGGATGAGCTTTCTAGCCAGAAAACCGGAGGGAATCTTGACAGGCACACAGCATCCAAACCAACAGCACTTCTGCAGCCGGGGCCCGGCTGGCAGAGGGGTGCTGCCTGCTGCCTGCAAATCCTGCCAGAGTCAAGGGTTTGCTTTCCTACTGGTCTTCCTTTGGCTAGAAAAGTGACAAAACTGAGCTGGGTGGGGTATAAGTTACAGGGGCGAGAGCTTCAGTGGCCTGTTTATCGGGAGGAGTTGGAGCTGGAGCGGCTCCTGTGGCGGCGGCGGCCCGGGGACCGTGATCTCCGGCGCACGGGGGACCTGCGCCTCGGGGAGCGGGACCTGCGGGAAGAGGAGAAACCACATCAGAGTAGCTCAGGCTGTAGGGGCAAGCTAGCTTCTTTCTGGGCAATTCCCCATAGTTTTACTTTTTGAGATGGAATATCACTCTGTCTCCAGGCCAGAGTGCAGTGGCACGATCTCAGCTCACTGCAACCTCTGCCTCCAGGGTTCAAGCGATTCTCCTGCCTCAGCCTCCCATGCAACTGGGACTACAGGCGCGCGCCACCACGCCCAGCTAATTTTTGTGTGTGTATATATTTATTTTGAGATGGGGTCTCACTCTGTTGCCCAGGCTGAGTGCAGAGGCGCAATCTCGGCCTCCCAGGTTCATGCCATTCTCCTGCCTCAGCCTCCCGAGTAACTGGGACTACAGGCACACGCCACCACGCACAGCTAATTTTGTTTTGTTTTTTTTAGTAGTGACGGGGTTTCACCGTGTTAGCCAGGATGGTCTCGATCTCCTGACCTCGTGTTCCGCCCACCTCGGCCTCCCAAAGTGCTGGGATTACAGGCGTGAGCCACCATGCTAGGCCTAATTTTTATATTTTTTGTACGGATGGGGTTTCACCATGTTGGCCAGGATGGTCTCGACCTCCTGACCTTGTGATCCACCCACCTCAGCCTCCCAAAGTGCTGGGATTACAGGCGATTGCTACCACACGTGGCAAAGTTTTACCTTTTTTTTTTTTTTTTTTTGAGATGGAGTCTCACTCTGTTGCCCAGGCTGGAGTGCAGTGGCATGATCTTGGCTCACTGCAAGCTCCACCTCCCGGGTTCACGCCATTCTCCTGCCTCAGCCTCCCGAGTAGCTGGGACTACAGGCACCCACCACCACGCCCGGCTAATTTTTTTGTATTTTTAGTAGAGACAAGGTTTCACTGTATTAGCCAGGGTGGTCTCGATCTCCTAACCTCGTGATCTGCCCGCCTCAGCCTCCCAAAGTGATTACAGGCCTGAGCCACCATGCCTGGCAGAAGTTTTACTTTTTAATACTAGAAGTTGGGACAGGTCCCACCTGATGGGCCTGCCCTGAGCTCTTGGGAACGGGTGCTTGTGAGACCCAAGGCAGAAGCCCAGGCTTTCCTCCTCTTCCCCAAAGGCTGAAAGCACAGCTCACCACCGGCAACGGAAGACCAAACTGTGGCCTCTGCCGAGGGATTACCACCCCCGCCCCACAACTCTTCTGACCCCCAACTTCTCCCTCTCCTAGCTCTTCTTGTTAGCTCAGAAAAAGGTGGGCCTGCACCTGGGCTCACAGGTCTAGTGGTCTCCTAGGAAGGCCACACCACGCCACTGCCCAGACTCAGAAAGCTGTGTTGGTGCAACTCTAGGGCGTCTCCTGCCTGTGGCTTACTGCAGCTGTGGCCCTCCTGCTCTCTCCATGAGCTCTGAAGGGCTCCTGCTCTCTGCCAGCCCGCACAGCAGTGGAAGGCAGGCAGGGCTGAATAAAGGGTCTGAAAGTCACTGCGGTCACATGAGGTTTGTGGCCTGATCAGTCCACTGAAACTACAAATTGTTTACCTTCTCCTCATCCGTGGGGGAGACCTGCGCCACATAGGCGGTGGTGGCAACATTCTCCTGGGAGGGCTGAATCTCCTGGGGGGTGGCCTAGGCCAGGGGGCCAGCACGGCGGTGGCAGTGATCTCCTGGCCATCAATTTGTCCTGTTGAAAAAGACAGCAAGTCATAAAATATCTAACAAGCATCTACCCTAGACAATGCATGCCACAGTGAAAGACAGGCCTGGGGGGACAATGACAATGTAAGATAATCACAGAAACAGGGCCGGGCATGGTGGCTCACTCCTGTAATCCCAGCACTTTGGGAAGCTGAGGCAGGTGGATCACGAGGTCAGGAGATCGAGACCATCCTGGCTAACATGGTGAAAATGTCTCTACTAAAAAGACAATAAATCAGCTGTGCGAGGTGGCGGGCGCCTATAGTACCAGCTACTCGGGAGGCTGAGGCAGGAGAATGGCGTGAACCCGGGAGGCAGAGGCTGCAGTAAGCAGAGATCGTGCCACTACACTCCAGCCTGGGTAACAAGAGCGAAACTCCGTCTCAAAAAAAAAAAGATAATCACAGAAATAACATCATGACTAATGTTTCATGAGGAAAAGAGGCATAAAAACTAACAGGACACACCAATCTCCACGTGTCGAGGCAGCCTCCCAGGTCAAGAGTCATCCAAGTCAAGAGCTAAAGAATGTGCTGGAGGCCAGACGCGGAGGCTCACGCCTGTAATCCCAGTGCTCTGGGAAGCCAGGCAGGCGGATCACAATGTCAGGAGTTCGAGACCAGCCTGGCTAACATGGTGAAACCCCATCTCTACTAAAAATACAAAAATTAGCCGGGCGTGGTGGCGTGTGCCTGTAATCGCAGCTACTCGGGAGGCTGAGGCAAAACAATCTCTTGAACCCAGGAGGAGGAGGTTGCAGTGAGCTGACATCATGCCACGGCACTCTAGCCTGGGCAACAACTGAGACTCCGTCTCAAGAAAAAAAAAAGAAAAGTAAAGAATGTGCTGGAATCTGCTAGGTGGAAGAGAAGGGCTATGCTGGGCCCTGTGCTGGGAAGGACCCAAAGCACTGGTGAGAGAAGGTAGCATCGAGAGCGAGTGACAGGCAAACAGAAGGCCCCAGGGCCAGGGTGGGGCTTCCTCGCAGGACCATGCAGGCAGTATCCGCGTTTGCGCTTCCTTCTCCTCCAACCAAGGGAAGCTGGGTCTGGGGCTAAGAGAAGTGGGAGAAGTTCTCTTAGGAGGGCTCTGCAGCACTGAGAGGGGCCTGAATCAACATCAAATGATTTGGCAGGGAAACGGAAGGATTCAGGGGACAGCTGGGAAGTAAAATTGCCAGAGCTTGGTGATGGATGGGATGGGGGTGGTGAGGTGTGAACTTCCACTGACGGAGAGGTGGGGCTGCGGTGGGAAGCTGCATGAAGGAAATTTTAGGAGATGCCAAAGACTTTGTGTTTGGAAACAAGCAGTCTCAGAGAGGTGGCTCTGCATGTAGATGGCACTGAAACACACGCCATGTGCATGAAGCGAGGAGAGGCAGTGTGGGATGTGGGCTCCAGGGAGAGAGGAAAGGAAATAGAGGTGCAAACCCAGGAACCCCAGGGGAGCATGCACCCCGACCTCAAGAATTGTCTGGTAGCTGGGGATACTGGGAGCCCAAGCGCAGCCCCTTCTGTGCCCTAAGGGGTAAAGGGCTCTTTTGTTTTCTCAACTACCTTTAAGGCACATGGGGACTAACTCCGGCATGTGGCTATGTATTCAGAACATACTTAAGAGGTTTAACTTCAGTAAACTCAGCCTAAGTTAGCCCAAATTAGGGATTTCACAGCACTGACTCTATAATAATGAAGAAAAATCCATCTTCTGTGTAGCTGCCAGTAAAGGCCAACCCCTTCTCATCTCCTATGGAGACAGCATGGACTCACTCCATTCAAAGACAGAAGGGGAGACACACAAAAAAAATCCTACCAGAATCTTACGAAAAGTTGGAATGTCTGTAATCACGCCCACCCAGAAGGTACCCGGGTCCCCTGGGTTTTTAGCTCAGCAAGCACTCAGACTGTCAAACAGCAGATAATCAGCAGACTCCACAGCAAAGGTGTGACTTACAAGGCCAACAGCTGATGTGAGCGCACAGAGCTCCTAACCCATTTCAGGACTTAAGAAACTTGAAAGAAAAGTTAGCCAAATATCAAGGAAACTTTCCTAATGCCTGAAGGGCAATTACTGAAAAAAACCAGCTAAGCTACTTATACAGTTTGTAACAGGGCCTCGGAAGACGGAAAGTTCTGGGGCACGCACACTCCACTCCCCACCAGGCCTGGCAGCCCAGACAGCACTGTGGGCTGTGTTCTCAGTGCCAGCGGCCTCAGTCACAGCAGCAGGGAGTGGAGCAGAGATGACTCCACATGCCTCAAAATGCTGCACTGAGGACAAAATGCCACCCGAAACTATTCACAAGGGTCCATGTGCTTTTAAAACCATTCTGCCAGATACAAATAGCTATAAACGTCATGAGTGGTTATGAGATACAAGTGTTTAAGAAATAAACTGTATAGATTCAGTAAATCCAGTCACTCAGCAAAATAAACTAAAAATGCTGAAATACTGGGAAACTTCTGGTTCTCAGAAATGATTAAAGGAAATATTCCCATATAAAAAGCCAAATGTATTCTATGTAAGAAAACTGAATTTGATCCTTAAGCTTTTAACAGATTGGAAACTCTCTAAAATGTTAATCTACGCATATTTGCTAATTTTTTTCCCCCAAGAATAGTGTTCCTTTAAACTGGAGCTACAAAAAAAAGGTGTTCCTAAAACATCTTTTCGGTAATCACACACCCACTAAGAACTGGAATCCATGCCGGGCGCGTTGGCTCACGCCTGTAATCCCAGCACTTTGGGAGGTTGAGGCGAGAGGATCACCTGAAGTCAGCAGTTTGAGACAGGCCTGGCCAACATGGTGAAACCCCATCTCTACTAAAAACACAAAAATTAGCCAGGTGTGGTGGCGGGAGCCTGTAATCCCAGCTACTTGGGGAGGCTGAAGCAGAAGAATTGCTTGAACCCAGGAGGTGGAAGTTGCAGTGAGCCAAAATCATGCCACTGCACACCAGCGTGGGCGACAGAGCAAGACTCTGTCTCAAAAAAAGGTGTGGGAGGTTGATTGTAAAGAAAATTCTGTATGTAAACATGCTGGCTAAAGTTAAAGGGGTATCATCTAGTTTTTCTGTAAATTAAGCATTAAAATTACGTTTAGGCCGGGCGCAGTGGCTCACACCTGTAATCCCAGCTGCTTTGGGAGGCCAAGGCGGGTGGATCACCTGAGGTCTGGAGTTCAAGACCAACCTGGCCAACATGGTGAAACCATGTCTCTACTAAAAATACAAAAATTAGCTGGATATAGTGGAGGTTGCCTGTAATCCCAGCTACTCGGGAGGCTAAGGCAGGAGAACTGCTTGAACCCAGGAGGCGGAGGTTGCAGTGAGCCAAGATTGCACCATTGTACTCCAGCCTGGGCAACAAGAGCAGAAAAAAGTCTCAAAAAAAAAAAAAAAAAGGATTGGGTTTTAACATTAACAGCACACTGATGTAAAAGTGAAATTTGGCTTATTTGGTACCAAAAATTATACAGGAAGCACTACCAAATATAAAATTGGGTTTGGCTTTGTTTGGGCTGTATTTGTATAAATGTTATTGATATGTGTCCCAAAATCACGTAAAACTCCTACAATTGCAATATATCCTAGTGTACATGATCAGTAATAATTATAATTGTTATGTTAAATTATTGTGTGCCACAGAGCTAACAAATTTCGTCAATTGTGTCTTTAACTATGGCTGCCCTAAAACCTTTTTGTCATCCATAAACAATTGTTGTCTTGTTTTAATCCTTTTTAGAAGGTGGTTTTATAATCAGCTATAGAGTTCTAACAGTTGCTCTTAAATACAGATTTCTAATAACTTTGCAGATTGTGACATCAGAATAAAGAAAAAACATTCAGGACTCTTAAAGAGCTAAAATAAGGCCGGGTGCAGTGGCTCACGCCTGTAATCCCAGCACTTTGGGAGGCTGAGGCGGGCGGATCACGAGGTCAGGAGATCCAGACCATCCTGGCTAACAGGGTGAAACTCCATCTCTACTAAAAATACAAAAAATTAGCTGGGTGTGGTGGCCGGTGCCTGCAGTCCCAGCTACTCGAGAGGCTGAGGCAGGAGAATGGTGTGAACCCAGGAGGTGGAGCTTGCAGTGAGCCGAGATTGCGCCACTGCACTCCAGCCTGGGCGACAGAGCGAGACTCCGTCTCAAAAAAAAGAAAGGTAAAGCGTTCATTAATATCAAGCAGGGCAGAAATTAACTGCATAAACTGAACTAATAGAACACTGAAGTAATCTTTTTAACTTTTTGCTTAAAATATTCCTAATCCTTTTATTTTTCAAAGTCAAAAAAAGTTTTAAGCTATCAACAATTAAGTATACGCCTAGGAACAAAACTTGGAGCATATTTGTTTCTCTCTACCTAATTTCTTCAGAATTTGGAAACTATTTGTGTGTGTGTGTGTATTCTTTTTTTTTTTTTTTTTTTTTTTTTTGAGACCTAGTCTCACTTTGTTGCCCAGGCTGGAGTGCAGTGGCGTAATCTTGGCTCGCTGCAATCCCTGCCTCCTAGGTTCAAGCAATTCTCCTGCCTCAGCCTCCCAAGTAGCTGGGACCACAGGTGTGTGCCATCATGCCCGGCTAATTTTTGTATTTTTATTAGAGACGGGGTTTCACGATGTTGGCCACGCTGGTCTCAAACTCCTGACCTCAGGTGATCCATGTTGCCCAGTCTATTTGTACGTATTCTTAATTTATAGCAATATAGTTATTTGCGTAAGTGCAATAAAAATCCGTTTTCTTTTGTAACAGAACACAAATAAAAAACCGGCCTCCTATTTTGTGTACACAGTCCCTGTACAGGGTTTCTAATCTGAGGGAAGTAAAACATGCCACTTTCTAATGGACAAAAACCTCAAGTTATCTTGGAACCTCAAGAGGAGAGGATTTCACCCAACTCACAGGTATTTAATTGTACATATCCATGGCTGGGCTTGGGTTTAAAAAGGTATTATCTCAGATAAAAGGCCTATAGAAAAAATTATGGTTCTTGCTCCACTGTATACAAATAATTAAGCCAAATATAATAAAGCAAACCAGTCTTGTCTTTTAATAAATACCAGTCCTATTTGTCTTTTAATAAAAATGGGAAGCCCCCAAAAAAAATTGTTGGCTGGGCATGGTGGCTCATGCCTGTAATCCCAGCACTTTGGGAGGCCGAGGCAGGCGGATCACAAGGTCAGGAGATCCAGACCATCCTGGCTAACACGGTGAAACCCCGTCTCTACTAAAAATACAAAAAATTAGCCAGGCATGGTGGTGGGCGCCTGTAGTCCCAGCTACTCGGGAGGCTGAGGGAGGAGAATGGCATGAACCTGGTAGGCAGAGCTTGCAGTGGGCCGAGGTGGTGCTACTGCACTCCAGCCTGGGCGACAGAGCCAGACTCCGTCTCAAAAAAAAAAAAAAATTGTTTCAAAAACTATAGTACACCCAAATACTGTTCTCAATTTTTTCCTTTTTTGTTTCCTTTTTCCTAATTGGAAATCACTGAAATCTAAGCTATGCTTTCCTCAAGCCCTGTAAACTGAAGACTAAACTTGGGAAGAAAACAGCAGCAACCTACTTCTATGTGTGGCTGTTGCATCCTATTACGTTTCAGCAGGTGCTGCCTCGAAGCCCCCAGAACAGAAAGTGCTACCGGGAACAAATCCACCTCTTCCACTCCAGCGCTGTGTTTGGTGCCCCATGACGACAACCCTCTCTCAGCAGGAAGCAGCCAGAAAGATTACAATGCTTCATCTCCCTACGATTCTCGTGATTAATAAATACATATACATGCATGATAAAAAGCATGAGCAAATTGACAGTGGGGATTGTGGCAGGCCAGGTCTCACTAACGCAGGCCTCTGTAACAAGTGTTTTAGTACTGTCTGAGTAGTTAAATATTAAAAGCCAAGGCCCTTATACAAAGGCTGGGATATAAGAAAAGCCCACCAAAAGTTTAGCTTAGGCCTTTCCTGGGCCTTAAAACATAAAATAACGAAGAATACGTCAGGACCCATTTAGGATTAAGCCAGTTTTATTGGGAAGAAAACTCCCCAAACTGCTGTGATTTAGCAGAAGGCAAAGCAAGGGTAATTACCCCAGCACTCACAGCCATTTAAATTAAGTCAATTTACTGAGGCTCCAGAGGAAGGTCTTCAAGACTCAATCCTTAGTTAATAGATTAAAAGTCAGTAACTTATGTCTTTACATAAATGTACACATATGTATAGACATATAGCTTAAAAAATATATAAGCTCTGAAAAACTTTGTAATTTTAAGTTGGTCTGGCAATAATTTCCAGGCCTTTTCCCTGCAACTGGTTGCAGAAATAAAAACTCCACCTACTCAGTTAATGTGCATCTTGTTATTGGGCCATGAGAAATAGCAGCCCAAACCTCAGTTTGGTCCAGGAACTGCACCCCAGCCTGGGCAACAAGTGTGAAACTCTGTCTCAAACAAACAAAAAGAAGTGCAGCCCAGTTGGAAATCAGTTTGAAAGCCCCTCGCGGCGGCGGGTCTCTGAGAGGTCAGGGTTATGTGGCAGGGTCACCCACCTCCATCCATGTGCTTCAGCGCCTTCTCGGCTTCATCTGGATTCTCAAACTCTACGTACGCATAGCCTTTGGACAGATGGGGATGCATCCTTTCCACGGGCATGTCAATCATTTTAATTTTCCCATAGGTGGAAAATATCTCCATGATGTGATCCTAGAGGGAAAGAAGGGTCACGCCAACGCCCAGCTACCAGTCAGTCACGTCAGACGCAGAGAGCTCAGCACATCATGACTAAAACCTCGGCAGGGTAAAACATTCCATCTGATGAGTACCAGTGTTGTTCTGGGATAAATCTCCCAGACACATGTATTAATGGTCCACCAAGAGGAACGAATCAATGCTGTACTCAAACCACATGCCACCACCCCAGTCCTCCAAAAGGCTACATTCTAAGTTCATCTGCAGGCACAGGCCTGCTTGTCCACACCCCACTGCCCACAGGAGAGATCCATGATCCTCACCTTTGTCACATTCCGGGTGAGTCTCCCAATGTGCACTTTGGTGGGCTTAGGAGATGGGCTCCGCCTTTTCCTCTCCTTTTCATCTCTTTTAGGTGGTTTGGATCTGATTGAGAAAACAAAACACCAGAAACAATTTCTGTCAAGTCAAAATGTACTAGACGCCTTTCGAGTAAGCTCTTATCTGCTTGTGTGACAGTTTTCATAAGGAAGACTTTCCTGCTAGTTCACATACATTATTCCTGTCTCAGAAATCCTATTAACACAGAAAGACTCCTTTTGGGTCCCTTTTATAACCTCGATGGTAAATCTGTAGCCCCGAGCTTGTAAACTTTAGCTCCCAGGCGCAGGGCACTCACTTGGAGCGGGAGCGCCTCCTGTTGTCGTGTCTGCGCCGAGAAGGACTTGGAGAGCCAGAAGAGCTGCTAGAGCTGGAGCTGCGGGAGGTGCTGGAGCTTCCTGAGCGGCTGGATGCTGAGGAAGAGCTGGAGCCACTGCTTGAGCCAGTGCTGGTGCTGGAGCCTGAGCTGGAAGTCGAGCTGGACCGAGACCTGAGGGCAAGATGAGGGGTCACAACCACCACACACCAAGTCTCACAGTACAGACGCCTCCTCCAATTCTGTTGTGCTCCCCCCAGGAGAAACCTGCTGTTCGGGTGCCTCCAGGCCTCACTGCTTTCAGCAGTGGGGAAAACATCACCCCCCAATCCCCCAGCAAGTCAGAGCCCTAGGTGTCACATTGTGTGTGGGACAGGACAGAGGTGATGGGCTGCCTTCTACCCATACAGAAGCCTTTCCTGCTGGGAGGCAAAGGACTCTGGCAAAAGTCACAACTGCCAACTCAGGCTGGGAAGGCAGCTGCTGGCTGATGCTGACCCAGGCTAGGTTGATTTTTTCTTTTGAGACAGGGTCTGCCACCCAAGCTGGAGTGCAGTGGCATGATCTCCGCACACTGCAGCTTCAACCCCCTGGAATCAAGCCATCCTCCTGACTCAGCCTCCCGAGTAGCTGGGAGTACAGGCGTGTACCACCACACCCGGCTAGTTTTGTTTATTTTCCTCAAACTCCTGGGCTCAAGCCATCCTCTTGCCTCAGCCCTCCCAAGTAGCTGGGACTACAGATGCATGCCACCACGCTCAGCTAATTTTACAAATTACTCTTTTTTTTTTTTTTTTGTAGAGACGAGCTCTTGTTTTGTTGCCCATGCTGGTCTTGAACTCCAGGCCCCAAGCAATCCTCCTGCCTCGGCCTCCCAAAGTGCTGGGATTATAGGCATGAGCCACCACTGCACCTAGCCAGTCTGCCATAAATTAGGGTCTCTACTAACAATCAGAGGATGTGTTTTCTTTGTAAATAATCAAGAAAACCGAGCCATCTGTGGGGAGTGGGGGTGTAGCTGTGGCACAGGTCCTCTCCAGGCTCCAGGCCAGCCCGCCCCACCTGGTACTGCTGCTACCACTGGAAGCGCTGCGCCTCTTTCGGGTTTTGTCCCGGCCGCGATCCTTCTCACTCGACTCCTTGGTGGCCCCTTTATCTTTTGAGCGATCCTTGGACTTCTCATCTGAGCGGTCTTTGCGTTTGGTAGGTGAAGGAGCCCTGGATGGTGAGGAAGAGTGTGAGATTGCGTGCTCCTCTGACCAAACCCAAACAGCACAACCCAAAACGGGGGATCAGCATCAGCAGGGCCACAGAGACCCGAGGTGACCACAGAGCAAAGTGGTCTGTGGCTCAGAACACTCACTGTAGAATGCAGAACATTCTCAACTTTCCCCTTTCTGCGGGTCCCTAGCAGTAAGCACCCCCAAGTAGCACTAGAAAAATCTTACAGAAGGATTACCTAGTGCTGGACTTTTTATTATTTTCTTTGACTCCTAGCAAGCTCTTCTTTTTCACTCCTGATAAATCCATTCTCCCCTTCTGAGGTGTTCAAAGCAGCAATGGCGGCCTCACTTATCTGAACTCTCACTTCTAACTTGATTCTGAGAAACGATCCCTAATCGATTGCAATTTACGCCAAAGAGCAGCCTAATAACAAGATAAAAGGGTTTAAAGAGTGAACGAATTGGCAAGGCAACAAGTCTACTTTGCAGTCAAAAGCTGAGCACACAAAAAGGCAGCAAGGGAGCACGGTAAGCAATAAGTGTCCACACAGTCAGGAACACATAGGGACAGTCCCCATGTGCTCCTGGAGGCGTCTCTACCCCGCAGAGGAGGCACAGGTACAACTGTCGCCCCAGCGTATCTTTTTCTTAAAAAATGGAGATGGTGGAGACCATCACTGTTATTTTACAGGCTGAACAATTCAGTTTTCACCCACAAGTTTGATGAGCCCCTGCAGTCCTTTCAAAATGCCACAGCACCACATTCACATGCAGAACAGAGAAAAACCTAACTCAAGGGTGGTCTCCAGATAGGATTAGATCTCCTGTTTTATTGCAATTTCCCCTTAGGATACACTGGATGTGACTGGAAGCAAAAATCATTTCAAAAGCGACTGGTACCAGCATCAAAACACTTAATACCCAAAAGCAAGCAGATGAAATGTACCATATGAACATCTAAAAAGCAGTAGAAGAATCATTTTAAAAAGCAGTTATTGCACTGTACTTTAATAATATGCATATTGAGTGCAGGGGAAGACACATGCAAGTCTGCAATTCACTTTTAAAGAAAAAATAAGATTGATGGGTGGCTAGATACACCATACAGCAAATATAGCAGAAACGTAACTTATAGACTATTAACCTCTGATTTTTTTTTTTTTTTTGAGACAGAGTCTTGCTCTGTCACCCAGGCTGGAGTGCAGTGGTGCGATCTTGGCTCACTGCAACCTCCGCCTCCCGGGTTCAAGCATTTCTTCTGCGTCAGCCTCCCGAGTAGCTGGGACTACAGATGCACGCCACCAGGCCTAGCTAATTTTTGTATTTTCAGTAGAGACAGGGTTTCACCATATTGACCAGGCTGGTCTCCAACTCCTGACCTCGTGATCCGCCAACCTCGGCCTCCCAAAGTGCTGGGATTACAGGCGTGAGCCACCAGACCCGGCCCTTAAGTGGTCTTTATGTGAGTATTAACTGTATAACTCGACCTTCCTGTGTTTTTTTTAACATTTTTCAAAAATAAGATGGAGAAAAAAAGTAGGCATTGAAATTGCGTGAGAGACTGCCTGCCATGTAAGAGTTTAGCAAAATGCCTGGAC
Source organism: Homo sapiens (assembly GCF_000001405.40). NCBI lineage: Eukaryota > Metazoa > Chordata > Mammalia > Primates > Hominidae > Homo > Homo sapiens. The sequence goes on from NC_000016.10 coordinate 2,265,935, forward strand.
TGCAGAATGTGCTCAAATAACGGTAACAAATTACTCAAAAACAAATTACTAATTAGTTATGGGCCCTATTTTCCAGGGACTTCTGCCTTCAGTATTTCTAGTAAGGCTCTGCACAAGCTGCAGGAGTTGTTAAGTGAAGATCTCAGGAATGGAGTCTCAGCTACTTCTGTCTCACCTTCTCCAAGAGCCAGTTGGTAAGGAGGACACAGCACACCAATGTGGTCCTGGTTTCCCTGTGCAGTGCACGCCAGGGGTGCTTCAAAATGCTGCTGAAAATACGTTCTGACCCAAGAAAGAAAAGCACCTGGCTTTGAACAGTCAAATGAGAGCCAAGGAGGGCCGAACGCCACCTTTGCTGCTCTTGTCCAGGGGTAAAATGTTTTGCTTTAGAACAGTAAGGTTCTGCAGACACCCAGCAGATAGTGCCTCGACACTCTTTGTGTCCTCGGACAATCAGTGAGTATCATTCAGAGTATAATTTAGAGTCTGGAGCCAGAGGGCCTGGGTTTGATTTGAGGTTTTACTGTGTGATTTTAGACAAGTCACTTATCCTTTCTCAAGTTTCTCATCATCAATATGGTGACAATTACAGTTCCAACCTTATAGTTACCCAGGGCATTAATTAAAGACTCGATAAATGTTAGGAGCAAGAGTTGTATCTCCACGTCCGGAGGCTCCTTCCCCCACAGACACTTGTCTCCAAAGTTACACTAATTTCTGAACTCTCAGCTGGGTTCCTGCACCCACCCGCCTTCGAATCACCTGCAGCAGCACTGTCCAATAGAAACCGTGTGAGGAGCCACAAGCATCACCTGAAATTCCTTAGTAGCCACGTCACAAAAATGGGTGAAATTAATTTTTAACGTTTGACACATCCAAAATATTATCTTTCCAACATATAATCAACATAAACATCTAATAAAAGTTTGCTTTTTTCCTAGTCTTCTAAAACTGGTGTGTGTTTTAATATTTCAGTCTTGATTAGCTGTATTTCACATGCTTAGCAGCCACATGTGGCCAATGGCTACTTGGCTGGACAGCACAGACCTAGAGTGGAGGTCACACCCGCAGATTCCAGCCCCACCCCCCCAAGAACTAAGATCTGCCCGAATGTACTTGGTGAAATCAAACACCACCAGTTATTCTTAAGCACTCCAAACACTAAGAACCACTGAGTAAGCGGACGCCTTGCTGGGTGCGGTCGAGTGCTAGAAAGCAAAAGTTGAGGTTCTCTGTTCACCCAAGTTCAGGTACCGGCTCAGGACCTCGGTTACCTCCCCCATCCTCCGGAAAGGTGCGCGTCCAACAGCCAGAGAGAGGAGAGAACAATTAGTTAAATCTCGAGGAGAGGGCGTTTCGGCACAAATCTTCAGAGCACCTTCCCCATTTAAAAGTACATTTCAGGCACAGTTCATGCGGAATCAAGACAAAAAGCCTACTCCACGTTTCTCCTCCAACAAACTTAACCTTCCCGTATCCGCCCCTCTGGGGTAACCCATCAAACTGAGCTCGGCCACCGTGCTCGGTCCATAGTGGGCCGTATCCCCACGGCCTAGCGCCGATAATTGCACACGGGAGTCCGGGAAACGTTCGCGGAGTACACGTTTGAATTAATGACTCCGAAGGGGGGATCGGCCGACCTTCCACCGCATCCCACAAAGAAACTCCGCGCCCGCCGACACCGGCCCGACACGCCGACCTCGCCGCTACCCGTCCGCGTTCACTCACAACTCCCCCGTCCAGGCGCCGGGCCGCGAGCGCTTCCAGGGCAGGGCCTGGCGTTGGGGGCTTGGGTCTCCGGCCCGGCGGGAGGGCCCCAAGGGCGGAGGCCGCGCTCCCCGCTGGTCTGAGTCCCGCGGGCCTGGCTGGGCCACCGCCGAGCGGACGAAGCACAGGCGCCCTTCCGTCCGCAGCGGCCCCGACCACTTCCGGGCCACGGCCTCGACACCTCCCACTCCGCCCGCCCCGGGCCACACTCTTTCTTCTCGGAGCCCGCACCGCGCTGCCAGGCCACCGCCGCACTGCGGGGCTGAGGAGTGGACCGGCTTCACGAGGCGTCCTGCCGGGCCTGCCGGGCAGCCCCCGAAACACGGATGCAGTCGGATTCCGCCCCAACTTACATCTTCCCGCCGCCGCCACCTCCTCCTGCTTTCCTCAGCCGCCGAGGCCGGCGCCGCTCTGACGTCAGAGTCAAGGAGCGGGAAGTCGCCGCCGCCCGGCGCGCAGCGATGACGTAAACGCCTGGCCCAATGGGCGCCAGCGAGGAAGCGTTAAAGAGTCAAGGCAGTTTGTGGGAGTCGCGCTGGGGACGTTCAAGGTGTCTCCTAGCCGGTAAAGTCCCTGGGACTGACCGGGCTGGTTGCACGCTTACTGGAGCGGGCACATGGGTAGCCTGTTGAACCTGGGAGGGCAGCGCGATGACCGAGGCTCGTCCTCCGGCGCGGAGGGTGTTAACGCGCCCGTGCCCCGCCCCTTTCCTTGCGCGGGCGCACTGGGCCCGCCCGGGCAGACTCCGGCCCCTGTCGCCGGCGGTGGAGGCGGGGCTCCGGGCCGGGCTGTGCTGAGGCCGGCGGGGTGGTAGCACAGGAGGGGTTCGCAGGCTCTGCGGCCGTGCGTGGCGGGGCGTGGGGGCCCGCAGGGCGGAAGTAGCTCGGAGAGACGGGCTGGGGCAGGGCGTGCGTTCGTGCGGTCAAAATCCACTGGTGGCGTTTGGGGTGTTCCCGTGGACGCGGCCTCCCGGCAGGCGGACCTCCACCGGGTGGGCGCGGCAGGCGGGCTGTGCGGGCAGGAAGAGCGACGAGCTTGAGAGTGGGAGATGGGGTGCAACGGCGGGCCTCTCCGGGGAGGTGACACTGCCGCTGAGACCCGAATGGAAGGGCGCGCCCGGCGGGGGAACAGCAGGCGCCGAGGTTCGCTGGAAGCAGGGAAGGGAGGCCCGGGTACCGGCTCGCAGGCCCGCGCGAGCTTCGCGGCAGCGGCACGGAGCGTGTGAACGGCGCAGCGCCGAGGCTTCATCCATCGGCCGGTGCAGGGTCCGGGCAGGGAGCACTGTCGACCAGGGTCCGACCCTGGGAGAGTCCAGAGGTGGCGCCTCTGGCAGGGACAGAGGAGGGGGTGACGCTGTAGGGGTGCAGGCAGGAGGCTCCGCGTCAACTCCCCACACTGACGGGGCGGATTTTTTTTTTTTTTTGACAGAGTCTCGCACTGTTGCCCAGGCTGGAGTGCAGCGGCGCGATCTCGGCTCACTGCAACCTCCGCCTCCCGGGTTCAAGCGATTCTCCTGCCTCAGCCTCCCGAGTAGCTGGGATTACAGGCGCACACTACCACACCCGGCTAATTTTTTTTGTATTTTTCTGGTAGAGACAGGGTTTCACTATGTTGGCCAGACTGGTCGAGAACTCCTGACCTCGTGATCCGCTCCTAGGTTCGCCTTGGCCTCCCAAAGTGCTCGCTCCTGGGCGTCCCAAAGTGCTGGGATTACAGGCGTGAGCCACCGCCCCCGGCCGAGGGCGGGTTTTGTTCTCTGCTGTGCCTGTCAGGCAGTCGTTGCCCTGTGGTTATTTGTGGAGGGATTGACGGTGCGCTGAGCTTCAGACTTTGTCTGAACAGCTTCGTGGCAGCAAGGAAGGGAGAAGGGAACAGATCCAAGCCGATCTTTGGGAGGAGAGAACCAGCATGACTTGGAGACTTTAGATGTCAGAGCAAAGGACAGGGTGCAGCTTGGTGACCCGGAGTGGGTGGGTGGGTGAATGGATGGATAGATAGTGGGGATGTGGTCTGCCATCACTGCCCTCTTCCCTGTGTGGGAAGCCAGCTCTTGGTGACTTCCTGCCGAGACCCACTCCCTCTGGCCCTGTCCGAGGGTGTCAAGTGTGCCCTTGACCCTTCACCCTGGGCTAAGGGATGTCCAAGGAGTTGGGGACAAAGGCAGCTAGGAGGAGGAGCTACCTCCCGAGTCTGCTGCAGTAAGTCACCAGTGTGTTCCTGTGGGTGGAGGCTGGCAGGCCCATCAGTCTGGTTTGGGTACCCGTTGGATTTGGGTTTGATGACATGTAAAGTGAGTTAGAGTCTCTGCATTACTGTCACACCTGCTGTGCCCAGGCATGGAAGATTAAGTGGAACAGAGGGGCCGCCCCCCTGCTGAAGGGGCCCCAGAGTCGGCGCTAGGGGAGGGGGCAGCCTCGGTGGTCCAGGCAGGCATAGGCGGAATTCTCTGAGGTGGCATTGGAGTCCAGTGGTCAGAGGTGCTAAAAGGCCCCAAACCTAGAGCCCATGCCCAGGGCCCCACTGACACCTGGTGGGCAGGGGCAGCCTGGTGACCCCACATGACATGGGTGGGCGTGACGCAGCACCAGCTGGGCCGACAGCCCTCCCCCTGCTGGTTTTTAATGCTCTGCAGTAATGTCATTTGGCCTGCGAATAAGCTTTCACACATTTTATATTAAATCTACAAGTATGATTTATTCAGGCACTTACGAATTTAATCAAATTTGTTTCTAAATATTACTGATTTTTGTTATCAAATGTGCCATCAGCTGTTGAGCTTTGAGAATTGAGCATCCTGGCTTTTGCCATTTTGAGGATCAGCAGAAGCATGTCTGGAAGAAATGTGAGAAAATAAAACTCAGGAGCCTACCCCCACCCTGCCCTTCCAGGAGCTCAGCCCCAGAGCCAGGCTGCTAAGGCCATGGAGGCTGAGGGCAGTGGAGCTGGGGTTTCTGGAGCCTCAGGGGCCCTGGTTTGCTGGAAGGGCAGGCAGGGCTTCATGGAGGGCATTAGGCAGTGGCCAGAGCCCTGCAGTGCTGGGCATGGGCTTCTCGTGGGCTCTGGCCACGGCCCTGAGCTCCTCCCCTTACCTTCCCAGAGCGGAGGGTCACCTGCTGAGCTGGGCACGGGCTTCTCGTGGGCTCTGGCCACGGCCCTGAGCTCCTCCCCTTGCCTTCCCAGAGCGGAGGGTCACCTGCTGACAGTTTGGGGCGGCTCTGTCTTTGAGAGCATGCCCTCATGAAGGCAGAATGTCCTCCCTGCCTCCATCCTCTGTGGCCCGGTGGCTCCTGCAGTGCCTGCCCTCAGAGGCTGGTGGCCTGGGACACAGGGATGAGGATGGGCTTGGTGGTGCTGCAGGTCACAGTGGGTCATGAAGGAGCTTTGGGGGTGTTGCATTCTCTGGTAAAGCACAGCAAGGGAGCCCTTTTACCCACTACTAAAACCTGGCTCTGCACTGAGGCCATGCGCAGCCCAGTCAGGTGGACGAGGGGGTAACGACTGGACCGTGGGGAGGCATCAGAGGAGGAGCTGCTGAGAGGCGGGTCACCACAGCCTGGTGCCTGTCTGGAGAGGGTGGGGCTGGGGGAGGTGCTGGCCAGGTCCATGGGGGTGGCCAGGCTGGGTCTGAAAGGGCCTTGCGCTGGTGTGGGGTGAGCTTGGTCTGTTGGGAGAGTATGCAGTTCATTGGGGCCTCCCTGGCTCCAGGTTTGCATGTCTGAGGAGTGGGTATCATCAGGGCCTGGGGCCTCTCCAGTGGGCATGTCTGAACTCTCCCAGGGTTGGGAGCCTGTGCTCATCACAAGCTCAAAGCACTCCATTTCTGCTACCATGAAGTCAAGGATGGTGACTGTGAGCCGCCTGGGACCTGAGCTGCCTGGGACTGTGACTGAGGCACCCGGGGTGCCTCTTAGGGCCTTGGGTTTGGGCCCATGGCTAGATGAGCCTTGGTGATTCTGTGGTATTGCCTGGGCCAGGTGGACCCAGGGGCAGCTGCGGCTAGTCCATTTGGAGCTCCTTCAAGCCGAAGCATCCAACACCAGTGTCTGTGAGGTGTGGGCCCGGCCCCAGGAGCGGGGCCTGGGCAGCCCCGTGTGTTGAGGAAGGAAGGCAGGGCCCCCGCTCCCCGGGCCTGACCCCACTGCTTCAGCCCCCTCCTGCCTGCCTACAGCCTGGCCTCGAGGGCCCATCAGGTGAGGGGACCCCACCTGCACCACCCCGTCCTACCTCCTGGAGGAGGCCTTGCCCCTGACAGGCAGCCTCCAGCCCTCCCACCCTGATCCCTGTGTGGGATGGCCAGAGCATGCCCAGCATGCTGGGGTTCGGCGGTGGGGGGCATCTGGAGGGAGGGACATGTCAGTTCGGGGAGGGATGAGCAGCCTAAGTGACTGCAGTGCTGGGCCATCTCCTGCATGGTGGAGCTCCCCTCGAGCCGCCTGTCTGCAGGGGGCTCTGGCCAGTAGTGCAGCCGGGCAGGGTCTGTACGGCACAGGCTGCACCAGCCTCCATGCAGACCAGTCTGTGTGGGAGTGGGGGTCTCAGAGGGCCCAGCCGGCCTATGCCATGAGCATGGTGCTGGCCCAGAGGGGGAGCTGAACAGCAGCTGGGTCGGTGCGTTACCTGGTGGGGCAGCAGACAGCAGCTGCCCTGGCTGGGGTTCAAGCCCCGGGCTGGCCTGGTGGAATCCCCTCTCCGTCACCCCCAGGTTCTGTTCTTGCAGGTGTCAGGCCTGGGGCCTTGAGACAGACCTGCAGTCTCCACCACAGCCACAGTGGGTGGGGTCTGGGTCCTCACGGAGGTGATCCTCCACCCCCACACCTACCTTGTGCATGGCAGTGGTGTCTCCTGGAGCTGGTGAGACCCCACCTCACTCAGGAAACCCCCCAGACGCCCCCAGGCAGAAGTGGCCATACTCCAGGGCCTGCATCCCTGTGCCCCACAGTGCGCCCTGGCCGGTTGGTTGTAGGAACTCAGAAAAGCAAAGCAAACAGGATGGTTCCCTGCTGGACACATTACATTCCCTGCTGGACACATTTCTATTGCAGATCTTTAGTCCAGGATTCCAGGGTAGCCAAGGTCACCTGAGTCCTGGGGACTCTGGGCCTGGTCTCTGAAAGCAGCCAGTAAGACAGAGATGGGAAACCCAGCAAGATGGAGTGAGCCAAGGGCACAGTTGGGTCCAGGCGCAGCAGGGAGCTGCCTGGGGGTGACACACACTTGACGGAGGCCACTGCACACACCCTACCCCGGCCTGAACTTGAGCACTTCCTTTTTTTTTTTTTTTTTAGATGGAGTCTCACTGTAGTCCAGATGGAGTGCAATGGCGTGATCTCGGCTCACTGCAAGCTCCGCCTCCCCGGTTCACGCCATTCTCTTGCCTCAGCCTCCTGAGTAGCTGGGACTACAGGTGCCCGCCACCACACCCGGCTAATTTTTTTGTATTTTTAGTAGAGACGGGGTTTCACCGTGTTAGCCAGGATGGTCTTGATTTTTCGACTTCATGATCCGCCTGCCTCGGCCTCCCAAAGTGCTGGGATTACAGGCGTGAGCCACCATGCCCGGCCAAGCACTTCCTTGAACACAGAGGTGACCATGAGGAGGGAGGCGTGAACCAGGATGACGGGGCAGCAGATGGAGCCTGCCTCCCTGAGACCTCAGGTGACCGAGTGCTGGACTGCCTCCTCCTGCCTACATGGCTGAGAAATAAACTTCTTTTTCAAACCACTGTGACCTGGGGTTTTCTGATACCCTCAGCAAGCCTGTTCCTGTGGCCTGGTGTGGGTCCCCTGACCTGTGGCCTGGGCTGCCTGTATCCGGCCTGCCCCTCTGCTCCGCTGTAAACCTGTGATGGCAGTGGAGGGGCTTGGCCTGGGCCCGCCCCACCGCGAGGTCTTCCCCTCTCCGAGTTCTGGGTGTGGTTTCAGTTGAGCCACGCCGTTGGACTGGGCCGGCCTGGAGGACAGAAGGCACAGGCTCTTCCACATACCTGGCTCGTGGCCCATGGGCCGTCTGCTCACGGGAGCCCTGCACCAGGCCATGCAGAGCAGTGAAGTCAAAACCTCGTTTCCCAGGTCTAAGGTGAACTGGGAGCAGGGCAGGAGTTGGCTCTGTCAGATGCCACAGTTGTTTGGGGACAGTGTCCGTAGAGAATGTGTGGCCCCCCTCCGTGGTCTAGGGTGGAGCGTGGATAGGCCGGTCACTCCTATCCCTGGGCCCAAGGCTCTTTTCCCCTGCCCTCCCGTGGGCTGGGAACTGCCACAGCTCAGACAAAAATCGGCCAGGGCAGGGTCCTGAGGCTTCAGTCCCAGGCTCCTTAGGGCACCCCTGGTGACCCAGCTCCAGCACTGAGTTTCCAGAGGCCTTGAGGATTTCCCTGGGATGCCAGATGGGCCCTTCCTGCTGCTCCTGGGGTCATCTAAGCTCCAGGCTTGGGTGCAGCCCTGGGCCCCTGCCACAGACGCCCTGAATGCACCTGCCCCTCCCGGTCCCCACGCAGCAGCCTCCTGAGCTGCGGATCATTTTCCTAAGAAGGCATTCTACTTGTGCCAGTCCTTACTTAAAGACCCCTGCTGGTGCTGGCAGCGTGCTACCGGGAAGGATGGTATCTCCTGTGCGTGTCCTGTGTACGCTGGCCTCACACGTGTGTGCCTCATGCGGGCTGTGCCCTCAGTCCTATACGCTCTCCCCAACCCTCTTTTAGGGTGTCACAGGAGAAAAATGACACATTCCTAAATCTCTAACACATGGGCTTGAAAACAAGTCTGAGGATGCCCTGCAGAAGGGCCATGGGCATGGACATGGAGCTGGGTGGCCTCGTGCACTGACCTTTCCCTCTTCCTAGCCCCAGGCCCGACCTAGAGGCCACAGCCCCTGCGGACAGGCTGTGGGGCCAGAAGGGCCCACTTCAGAACTTTTCTCGTGGGCAGTGTTTAGGCCACAGCCACCCATGTGTAGGGGTGGCTACACATGGGTGGCTGTGGCCTAAACACTGCCCAAACACGTTATATTTTTTATAACATGGAACTAGATGGCAGAAGTTTAAAGGGAATAAAAGAGCTACTGGAGACGATTTGCAGCTTTCATAAATTTCCAGAGACTGATAAAAACACAGACTTGAAATTGTCCCAAATGAGCCAAAGTGATGAAAACAAGTCTTTTCTAAAACTCTGAATTCTAAGGGAATGTAAAATGCAGAAGTTCAAATCGGGTTTAGAAAACCATAAGAAATAATAGTGCATTCGCCGGGCATGGTGGCTCACGCCTGTGATCCCAGCACTTTGGGAGGCCAAGGCAGGTGGATCACTTGAGGTCAGGGGTTTGGCAGCAGCCTGGCCAACATGAGACCTCGTCTATACTAAAAATAAAATTTAGCCATGCATGGTGGCGCATGCCCTTAGTCCCAGCCACTCCGGAGGCTGGGGTGGGAGGATTGCATGAGCCCAGGTGTTTGAGGCTGCAGTGAGCTGTGATACCACCACTGCACTCCACGCTGGGCAGCAGAGCAAGATCCTGTCTCCAAAAGACAAAACACAAAACAGTGCATAAAAAGGGGCCAGGCACGGTGGCTTATGGCTGTAATCCCAGTACTTTGGGAGTCTGAGGTGGGTGGATCACTTCAGGTCAGGAGTTCGAGACCAGGCTGACCAAGATGGTGAAACCCCGTCTCTACTAAAAACACAAAAATTAGCTGGGTGTGGTGGCGCGTGCCTGTTGTCCCAGCTACTCGGGAGGCAGAGGCAGGAGAATGGCTTGAACCCGGGAGGCAGAAGTTGCAGTGAGCCAAGATTGCGCCACTGCACTCCAGCCTGGGCAACAAAGCAAGACTCCATAAATAACTAAAAAGGGAGCTGATGAGGAGTTATTTCTGGGAAATGGCAAATGCCCACGGGTGACCCTGATGCCAGCAGCTTCTCTCCCACCAGACCTGTGCTTCCCACACAGCCCCACCTGCTCTTGTCTTTAGACTAAGAGCCTGTCACCGGGCGTTGATCTAGCCGGCTTTTTCCTTTGTGTTATGGGCCTGTTCCTTCACCTCAGTGTATTCTCTGCGTGTGCTCCCTTCTGGGAAAAGCAACGTCCCACGTTTGTGTGATTGAAATGTGAAAGGAGAGCCTCATGTCTAGATTGTGGGCGAGTGATTGAGCCCTGTGACCGCTCGCGCGTGTGACCCACAGACTGTGACTGTGTCCCCTCAGCATTTATTTTCTGGATGGTCACAACGTATTCAATGTGTCCTTGAGACAGCCACCCAGCCCTTAGGGTGGTCCCTGCGTGTCCTGGGGCGGGCGACTTCCTGAGGGTGCAGTGCTGGAAACAGAGACTGCTTCGAGCCTGGCCACCTTCCCTCCTGTGCCGGCTGCTTCTAGGAGATGCTGTGGGACGGTGCCCGGCTTCGCGGTGACTACCATGCCCTAAGGAGCAGAGCCTCCAGGATGCCCCCGGGCTGCGCTGGACGCTAAGACCCCAGCACCTAATCACAGTCAGCAGCTTCCCTCCACTGACAGTGATCTGCATGGTCCATTCCTGGCGGCCTGGGGGCCTCGCTACAGTTCAACCTGGCTGGCTTCCCGCTTCCTCCCCAGGGGAGATTAGTGTCGTGTGTAAACTTGGACAAGTCACTGGGTCCTCTCTCCAGGGAGTGCCTGGAGAAATTCAACCCCCAGCTCAGCTGCAGCCCTTCCTGGGTCAGCTCTCCACCCAGAGACCCCGGAGCTTGCCCGCAGACTGCCCGGCCTGCCCCAGCTCTGGGAAAGTGAACTCCAGAGTATGCAGACATGGAGATGCGCATGCTGATCCTGGGCATGAGGGCTGGGCTGCACTCGTCCATTCTGTGCATACTGCCTTGAATTTTTCATATCCATCATAGAAAAAAGTGATTAAAAATAAAGGATGAGATAAACTTGGAGAGAGAGGATGTAAGATGGGCCCTGCTTGCCCGTCCTGTCCCTGCCTGATGGCGAGACAGCCGCCACCCCTCATCGCCCCTCCTCTGCGGTGGGCGGCTGCAGGTGGGCGAAGCTCAGGAAGACCTGTTCCAGCGAGATCTGGCTCACGGAGTAGTCGTCCACGCCGTACTTTTCCTTGGCTTTCTCCAGAATACCGAAAACCTTTGGGGAGCAGAAAAGTCACTGGTAGGAGAGAACAGGGCCCAGGCTCCTCTGCGGGACCTGGGAGTCCTCTGGCAATAGGGGCTGATGAGGCCCCCACAATCCTACCCCTGCCCAGCGCCACCCCAGAGCCCCAGAGAGGTCAGCCCTGCGACGGCACCGTGCTCCCAGGTAGAGGACGCTGGCTAAGCAGGAGCCAGCGGGGATGGGGCCCAGCCTCCTCCCTGTGCTGTTCCCAGCTCAGATTACAACCTTGAGCCAGTGATGTTCCCTTTCTGAGCCAGTTCTTTTTTTCCCCCATATTTTTTTAGAGAGAGTCTTGCTCTGTAGCCCAGGCTGGAGTGCAGTGGCACAATCATAGCTCACTGCAGTCTCGAACTCCCAGGCTCAAGCGATCCTCCCACCTTAGCCTCCCGAGTGGCTGGGACTACAGGTATGCATGATACCTGGCTAATTTTTAAATTTTTTGTAGAGACGGGGTCTATGTTGCCCAGGCTGGTCTAGAACTCCCAGGCTTAAGCAATCCTCCCTCCTCGGCCTCCCAAAGTGCTGGGATTATGGTGTGAGCCACCATCCCTGACCCCTTTCCTGTTTTACACTGAATTCCTTTTACCACTGATAATTTTGGATATAAAACCCCCAAACCAGCACGTATCAGGCTGAGTGTTAGGGGAGAAATGGAAAGTGACTCCTCTGTGGAAAGAGCCTGCAGTCACCACAGAGGGAGAGACCCCTGGAGGGACCTCCCCCTGCCCCATGAGTGCCCAGTGGGGCCCCAGGGACTGCCTCACCTTCGCCCAGCTGAGGTCACGGCCCGGCAGGTGGTAATGGACCATGCCTTGGTGCTCATCTTCCAGGACGCTGCCTGCACAAAGGAGAGACGGTGTTGCTGTGAGCGCCGGGCTGGAGGATCGGGGAGGGTGCCTGGGTGCTCAGCACTGGAGTCCTCGTCCCAGGGATTGGGGAGATGGGACTTGGCGGGGCGAGGCACAGACGCTCCGCACAGCAGATGGGAGAGGCCTAGGTAGGGGCCCAGGGCCCACCCAGTGGGGGCTGCCGGGGCCGGCACACACCTGGAAAGGTCAGGTCCACGAAGGCCTTGAACTCCTCCAGCGCCTCCTGTTGCCCTTCACTCTGCACCTTGGCCCGCAGGGAGTAGCCGCTGCCGAACTTGCTCTTGAGGTGCTGGGGGCTGCCCAGGCACTTGAACTGCCCCTGCACCATGATGGCCAGCCGGGTGCACAGGGCCTCACACTCCTCCATGCTGTGGAGAGGGCGGGACCTCAGATAGGGCTTGGGGTGCCAAAGGCTTGTGCAGACAGGAAGGCATTGGCTCTCCGATCAGGCTGTTCCTGATACCCATGCTCAGTGTGGCTCACGGGCAGACTCTGCACCAGATGCTGATGGGTCTCCTGGCCACCTGGCTCCTCCATGGCCCACCCGGTGCTGAAACTTCCAGTAACCCACAGACCCAGGCTCTACCTGTGGGAGGTGATGATGATGGCCTTGCCAGACTCTCGGGCTCGTGCCACGGTGTCCCAAAGCAGGCGCCGGGCCACGGGGTCCATGCCAGTGGACGGCTCGTCCAGGAAGATGACAGCAGGCTCTCCGATCAGGGCGATGCCGGTGCTCAGCTTCCGCTTGTTACCACCACTAGAGGCAGGAGGGTGCCAGGTGGGGGAATAAGGCTGAGAGTTAGCATTGGCTCCCATGTCCCAGTGGAGGCCCGTGTCCCAGCAGCGGCCCACACCCAGCAATTGCAGAACAGCCCTAGTGAAGAGGAAGGAGCTGTGTGTGCACCTGGAAAGCCCACCGCATAGGGCTGGAGGCCCCAGAGAAGGCTGTTCCCAGGGGCCCGGTGCACGCACCTACATGGGAAGACATCTGCCTGCACCTAAAGGGGACCTGCCGACCCTGACATCTCTCACTGCTGGCTTTGTCCCTAGGTGGCAGGCACTGTCAGGGCAGTCCCTTTCCTACGTGGAGCTACCTGGGTCACACCACCACATCCCAGCTCCATCCTGGAGCCACAAGCAGGAGCTCTGGCTGCTGACCTGAGCGGTCACTCCCAGCTCTATGCTATGGGGACCTTGATTCTGACTCCACTCTGGGAAGGGCCAGGGCTCGGGAGGTGCACCTGTACGTCCTGACCAGCTTGTTGGCATGTGGCTCCAGCAGCAGGCCCCGCAGAGTGTTCTCCACGCAGGCCCCGATGTGGCGCTCAGGGATGCCCCGGAGCCGAGCGTACATGACCAGCATCTCCCGGCCTGTCATGTGGTCCAGCAAGGCATCAAACTGCGGGCAGTAGCCGATCCGCTGCCGCACCTGGGGTCGGAGCATAGCCGGGGAGGGAGGCGGGTTGGAGGGAAGCCTCCTTCCTCCAGAGGACCACGGGGACTACCCTTGAGGTGCCCACCACTGCGCCTGTCTGTGGTTCCTGCCAGTGTGTGTACACGGGGGCGCTGGAGCTATGCACAGGCCGTGGTGGCTGCCCACAGTGGAAGCTCTTGGAACAGGGACACAGGAAGGATGTGCCTGGTGCAGGGAGGCTTCCAGAGCTGCTCTCAGAGCCTGGTCCAGGACAGGCAGCCATGGGGTTAGGTGGTGCAAGAATGGCCTTTACGTAGAAGCAGACTCAGAGCTGGCTACCCACTCATTCACACCTGGGACATCTGATGTGCTAGGACTCTTTCTTCTCCCTCTAAGAAGAAAGATTTGTGGGCACCACGTTTGGGGTGAGTACTGCTTGGTCAGATGGTGCAGCAGCTGTTCTCTGCACAAGTGACCACGTCCAGCTGAATTAAGACGTGCCTGCTGCCATCTGCTTAGCTACCTTCAGCAGCTGGTCGGGGGCAGGAGTGCCTGGGTTCTGTGGATTCCAGAGACTGGATTTCTTTTTCTTTACCTTCCTTCTTTGGGGTTCTCAAGCTTCCAGAATTTTTTTTTTTTTTTTTGAGACAGAGTCTTACTCTGTCTCCCTTACACTGGTAGAGCGCAGTGGCATGATCTCGGCTCACTACAACCTCTGCCTCCCAGGCTCAAGTGATTCTCATGCCTCAGGCTCCCGAGTAGCTAGGATTATAGGCACCTGCCACCATGCCCTGCTAATTTTTGTATTTTTCTTTGGTAGAGACAGCATTTTGCCATGTTGGCCAGGCTGGTCTCGAACTCTAGACCTCAAGTGATCTGCCTGCCTTGGCCTTCCAAAGCTGGGATTATAGGCGTGAGCCACGCTCCCAGCCCAGAATCTGTTTTTAATCAGTTTGGGGAAAGTCTTAGCCACTACCTTTTTGGCTACTACCCCCTGCCACTCTCTCTCTCTCTTCCTTCTGGAACTCAGATTACATGTACTGGGGACTTCTCACCCTCTCCTCCATTGCTAGATCACATACGGTTTTCTCTCCCCTGCATAGATTTTCAATTGCATAATTTATTTCTGTAGACACAGTGAGTTTATAATCTTTTATAATCTGGCCTGATGATGCAGATCTAACGCCTATGTGCTTGTCCCCCCATGGGGCCTGTGTCTATTGCTTCCAGCCATGGTACCATCTCCTCTGTTTGTTTGCTGTGCATTGCCTGTAAGCCCTGGAACCCTCTATGGGGGAGTCTGCAGCCTAGGATGAGGCTTTCCTCCCGAGAGGGCCTGCATGTGCTCTGGCCCAGGGCCTCTGCTGTCCAGGCACCCCTGGTGTGAGCTCAGGAGAGGACTCCGCGGCCACTTCTCAGCCCCAGGCCCTGCTTACCATTTCCCCTGCTCTGCTTGGCACACTTGAATTCCCATGCAGGCCCCGGGCAGAGGTGCAGGAGGGCTGCCTCTGGTCCTTCTGCGGGGGAGCTGGTGGGGCTCAGCTCAACATGGGAAAGCTGGGCGGGCCCAGGGCCTTCCATCCCTTCACTCAGCAAGGCCTCTAACCCCACACCTGAGCTGCCTGGACACAGAATGGCCTCTGCACAGAGGTGGCTGTCAGTGCTGAATGCGCCTCTCTGGGCTCACGGATGTTGGCACCCATCTCTCTCCCCTCCCATCACCTGCTAGTTCTGGCGAAGCTTAGCTTTAGCTCATTACCTTGTCTCGCTGTCCAGAGGCATGTGCTGGGCCCATTTCAAGCCACAGATGCAGCAGCTGTTTGGGGACAGCATCCCTCTGTCCCTGCCTCCAGGGTGCCCCCTCCAGCCATGCCTGTCTCACCCCTTCAGAGCCTCCCTGGCTGCACCCACCTTTCCGACATCAGAGCTGATTCTGTGACCCCCGACAAAGGCATCCCCAGAAGTGAGGCTCTCCTCCCCGGTCAGCATTTTGAAAGTCGTGGTCTTCCCGGCTCCATTGAAGCCCAGCAGGCCGAAGCACTCCCCTTTCTGCACCGCGAGGGAGAGCCTGTCCACGGCCAGGAGGGGCACCCGCTGCTCGTACACCTGCAGGCACCCAACAGAAAACACGGAATGCGGAGGCCTGGACGCAAAGCAGAGCAGTCTGAGCCTCAGCGCCGAAAGCTTCCAGGGATGGGGTCGGACCCTGGGGACAGCCAGGTAGTCAGCTGGCAGGAAGGACTCCACCCCAAATTGCAAGGGTACCTTGGAGAGCTCCTTGATAATCAGAGGTGTGTGGAGCAGGGAGTCCGGACTGGGGGCCAGGATGCGGGTCCTCTCGTCCGCTACATCTTGGTCCTCAGGAAGCACAGGCATCCGGGTGTATAATTCTGTCTGATTGACCAGGACAAAGACCGCATGCGTGAACCCAGCCGCAGGGCGGCTTCCGTGGAGAAGGGAGGGGCGGGGGTGGATGTGGGAGGTCTGGTGGGACTAAGGCCTTCAAGGCTTCTCGTCCCAATCTCAGGCCCCACAGGTGCGACTCAGACCTTTTACTAGAAGACACAGTGGTCTTACGGGGCTAAACTAGCATCCAGGAGACATAAACTATCTGAGGAAAAAGAACTGTGCGGGACTCATGGAGAAAAATCATAAATCTGCTGGGGAATATAAAATAAGATTTTTAGACAATTTTTTTTTTTTTTTTGAGACAGAGTCTCACTCTGTTGTCCAGGCTGGAGTGCAGTGGCGCAATCTCAGCTCACTGCAAACTCTGCCTCCCAGGTTCAACTGATTCTCCTGCTTCAGCCTCCCGAGTAGCGCGCCACCACGCCCAGCTAATTTTTGTATTTTTAGTAGAGACGGAGTTTCACTGTGTTGGCCAGGCTGGTCTAGAACTCCTGACCTTTGGTGATCCGTCCACCTTGGCCTCCCAAAGTGTTGGGATTACAGGCATTAGCCACCATGGCTGGCCTGAAAGTAAGATTTTTGTTTTCAGATTTAGAGATGGGGTCTTGCTCTGTCACCCAGGCTGGGATGCAATGGTGTAATCATAGGTCACTGCAGCCCGGACCTCCCAGGCTTAAGCCTCCTGTCTCAGCTTCCCTAGTAGCTAGGATTACAGGTGTGTGCCATCATGCCTAGCTAATTTTTAAAACTGTTTAGAAGAGATAGGGTCTCACTATGTTGCCCAGACTAGTCTTGAACTCCTGGCTTCAGGTGATCCACCTACCTCTGCTTTCTAAAGTGCTGGGATTACAGGTGTGAGCCACCATGCCTGGCCAAAGATTTTAACACGTGGAGACAGTTCCCTTTTTAGAGAAGTCTGACTATTTTAAAGAAGTGAATTCCCCCTCGGCTAAGCTGTATGTGCAATGCAATGTCAACACATTTGCTTTTGTTTGTTTGAGGGAGGGGATGGAGACCTGAGAAAATGAACGTTTTCAATAAACACGTGGAGCACCCCTCAGCCCCACATCCCCTCCTCCGGGCACTGGGTGTCCCTGGGCACCACCTCTGCTCAGCAGGACTGGGCACCCCTCAGCCCCACATCCCCTCCTCCGGGCACTGGGTGTCCCTGGGCACCACCTCTGCTCAGCAGGACTGGGCACCCCTCAGCCCCACATCCCCTCCTCCGGGCACTGGGTGTCCCTGGGCACCACCTCTGCTCAGCAGGACTGGGCAACCCTCAGCCCCACATCCCCTCCTCCGGGCACTGGGTGTCCCTGGGCACCACCTCTGCTCAGCAGGACTGGGCACCCCTCAGCCCCACATCCCCTCCTCCAGGCACTGGGTGTCCCTGGGCACCACCTCTCCTCAGCAGGACGGCCCTGGGCCCCCAGGCTGACTCCTCGGCAGGGGCTCACAACTCGACAGCCCTTGTGAGTGGCGAGGGCTGTGCCCCGCCCTGGCTGTAAGTGCCGGCTGGTGCTGAGGCCGTACAGTGGGAGACCATCTGGTGCAGGAGCTGCCTGGTGGAGAAGGAGGTGGAGCTGCCCCAGGTTGTGCTGGGCCCAAGCAGAGACGTGGGGAGCATCTCGCCAGTGTCCTGGGCTCCCGGAGCCACTCACCAGTGTCCGCCTCCTCCGGAGGGCGCAGAGGATGCCCCTGAGTCTCTGAAGCAGGTTGGTCTCGATGAGGAAGAGCAGGATGAGGTAGGCGCACCCTGAGGCGGCCATGGAGGCCACAAACCGGCCGACCCCCGGGGCGCTCCAGGCATAGAAGTTCTCCTGGTACTGGATGTCTGTGGGGCGAGGGAGTCACTGTGCCCCGAGGCCTGGGGCACCCTCCTCCCCTTCCAGGTTCCCGGCCCCCACTCCCCTCCCCAGGCTGCTCAAGGCGCCTGTAACAATGTCCCCTCCATGGGGAGATGTGAAGGCCAGTAGGTCACAGCTGCCTCTCGAGGCACCACAGCTCAGAGAGGGGCCAGGCACGTAACAATCCAATGCAGTCCCATGAGCGACATGGCAGACCCAGGGCAGCAACAGCCCGCCTGAGAGGCACAGGCTCTGCGTGAATCCTGGGCTGCCTCCTGACCAGGACAGAGACCGTTACAAGCACCGAGGGGTGTGTGGGAGGCTGAGGAGGCCCCACAGGACAGGTCCAAGTTCTGTCCCCCTGGACCTGGGGTTGTGATCTTGCTTAGAAACAGGGTCTTTGAATATGTGATTAGTAAGGATCTTAAGGTGAGACACTGGATTAGTGTGGGCCTTAAACCCAACAGCAAGTGTCCTTATAAGAGAAATGCAGAAGGAGATTTGAGACAGGAGACAGGAGCTGCCATGCGAGGATGGAGGCGGTGGTGGGGAGTAGGTGCAGCCAGGAGCTCAGGATGCCTGGAGCCTCCAGGAGATGGGAGAAGCAGGAAGGGTCCTCCCCTGAGCCATGGGGGATTCACTCCTCGTGCTAAGCGCTGGTCTGTGGTTCCTTGTTACAGATGCCCAGACACTGAGGCAGGTGGGAGAGTGGGAGCTCAGGTACAGGGCCTGGGAGCGAGCGGGCGCGAGGGGGCTGCTGTGGGAGGTGGGGCAAGGCGGTACAGAGGAACGCACCAGCCCCAGGCCACTCAGACGCAGAGGAGCCCCTGCCCTAGGAGGCCCCTCTGCAGTGACCACGTCCTGAGGACGCAGGGGTGCTGCCCGGGGTCGGGGCTGGGACACTCACTATATTTCTTGCAGTAGTGGGCGGCGACCTCGGAGGAGGTGCAGTACCTCCGCGTCTCGTAGTTCTCGTAGAAACTGCTGACTGCCATCCCCAGACAGTGGTTGGGCAGCACCAGGAACACGTGATCCAGGGTTTTGGAAAGTTCTTCCAGTTTTACAGCTGCGTTGGGGAGGTAAGATCAGTCTGCGCTGGAGGGCACACCACACCCACCTCCAGGACGGGCCTGGTCAGGGCGGGCACAGGGCCTTATCCGTGCTGTGTGGAGTGAGGGGGCACCTCCCAGGGACGCCCCTGCCGGCTCTGCACAGGGCAAGGACGCCGCAGACGCCTGCCCACCAGTCATGGCTAGCCGGGCAGGGCCAGCTGGGGCAGAGGGGCTGGTGAGCATGAACTGGGCCCATTGCCTGAGTCCCGCCTCGGCTGTGGCTGGTGCCTCCCTGTCTGGGCGGAGTGGCTCCGTGGATGGCCATGGGGGCTGCGGGTGGTCTCCAGGTGCCCACCTGGGATGCGCATGATGGTGACCATCAGGAAGGTGGCGATGCCTGACAGGATGTTGAAGATGGTCAGCCTCGTGTAGGCAGTGGCCGCCCCCAAGAAGAAGAAGTTCATCAGGTACATGAGGGGGATGATGGCCCAGCCGTAGAGCAGGAGCAGCAGCAGGGTGTCAGCCATGTGGCCGTCCCGCGTGAAGGCACGCACGTCGAAGGCCTTAAACACCACCTGCGGCGGCACAGGGAGGCGCTGCTGTGCATGCCAAGCTGAGAGGAGCTCACGGGTAGGGAAGGGGTGAGAGGAGCATTTGGAGGTCCTCAGACCCCTCCCGGTCAGCTGGCCCATGTCCATCAGCCCCACAGGCCACGTCTGGCCCCCGCGGTGGCTTTCAGCCCCAGGACCCTCTCTGTCCCAGTTTCCCCTCGTCCCCTTGCACCCGGAGCTGTAACCAGGATGGCTGCTCCGGGTGCTGCCCATGCATGGAGGGTAAAGGCTGAGGGTGCAGGGAGGAGGCGAGGGGGCAGCCGCCAGGGGATTCCAGCTGTCCTCCCTGAGTCGGGCCGAGCTGCCGGCCTAGGGGCTGCCCAGCTGGTTCCGGTTCTGCACAGGGGTCCCAGGGCAAGCCCTCTGCGGTCTGCAGGGGAACGGATCCAGCACCCTCCGGCGCTCACCAGCAGCAGCAGACTGGGGATGAGGAAGGAGATGAGGTCCCACAGCAGAGCAGAGAGCCAGAAACTGGCCACGTGGACTCCACTCACAAACTGCACATGCTTGGCCTGCACGGCCCTCTCGCTGACCGCCAGGATGGAGAACGTGCTGGCCAAGAATGCCATGGCGAAGAGCAGGTTGAGGGCAATGTCGAATCCCTTCCGGCCCCTGCGGGGGACAGAGAAGGTCAGGGACGGAGCACAGCACGTCTGGGTGGCAGGAGAGGTCGGGTTCTCGGTTATGACCGCCCAAGGCATGCAGGGCAGCAGCCCAACCACTAAAGGGGCTTATGGGAGAGCACAAGCACCATGGTTCCATACCGGGAACATCTGCCCCCACCGGAGAACGGTTCCTCTGGAATTCCTATGCTGACCATGTGACAATGGCAGCGTCACTCTCCCTCATCACCCCGCTCCCAGCCCTCAGCCCCACGGCTGCCGGCGACCTTGCCCAGGTGTGGAGGTCCCGAGCCCCACCTCCTCCTGGAGTGTGGCAAAGGGAAAGCCTCTCCTGGCCTCTGTGTGTCATTCTAGGATCCTGAGTTGATGGCAAGGAGAGCAGATCGAGGGCTGTTGCTTTTCTGCTCTTGGGGCAGGGATGGAGCCAGAAGCTGGGACGCAGCCATCGCCAGGCCTAGGCCTAGCCTGGAATGTGGGTGGAGACGACACTGCCCTGAGGAGGAGTGGCTATTCTGAAATTAACAGAATTTTTGGCCTCCTCTGGGTGGTTCCAGGAGCTCTGGGGGCTCTGTGGCCGGCATAGGGGGTAGCCCTGCCCACACAATGGCATGGCAGGCTCCCGACGTGCGGCCATCTGAGGAACAGGGACGGCAGTTCTTGCCAAGTCCTGCTCTGCTCACCCTCCATCACCTCAGCTCATGTGCCCAGCAGGTCACACTGCTGGAGAGAGCAGTGTGGAGCGAGGACAGTGGCTGACAGGAGCCAGGTAGATTTAGGAGGAGAAGGCAGGGCTGCCTGCCGAGCCTTCATGGGTCCCCGTGAGGACCGCAGTGCATGGGATGGCCCACAGCTGATCTGCTGTCACAGGGAGTTGGGGCTGTGGATGGTGGAGGAGGATGTGGCAGGGGTTTCCCACCAGACCCAGGGGCTTTGGGAGGGCAGACACAATGCTCTATCTATGGGCCCGTGGCAGTGCCCAGGGCAGTCAGTCCTGGGGGCTCTGGCCAGGGCAGACAGGGACGGGCAGTGCACATACTCGTTAAACTGGTCCTTGGCAGCCTGCAGGGCGCTCCGGGGCTGGGGGAAGTTGGAGACCACAATGGAGGCGTGAGGCCCGCACAGCAGCTTGAACAGAAGGTTGTCCACGACGGCCAGGGCAGTGGCTGGAGAGTGGTACGCCTGGTTGTTGAACAAGGCGTTGACGACCGTGCGCTCTCCCACATCTCTGAAGGACGCTGCCACAAGGCACCGCTCATTAAAGCCGCCCCCCTCCACAGAAGCCCTGAAGATCAAGAACTCCTCCAGGTCACCTGGGGAGCAATGGCAGAGTCAGGGGACACAGGAAGAGGTGACACCTGGGCACCCCCTGCCACCTGAGCATGGCTAATCAGGGACCCAATAGAGTGGTGCCAGCATCCTCTGAGCTGCCCGCCCCATCACCCTTCTCCTAAGGAGAGTATAATTTCTGGCAAGGTTTTGTCATCATTCAGTATGTGGAACTTTGAATGCCAGTCAGGAACCGGGAAAGGAGCTGCAAAATAAGAAAACCTTCCAGTAGGTTCCATTAACCAGAGCACGGTCCCTGTTCTGAGCCTGGGGCAGTATCCAACTATGACTACCAAGACTCTTTCTTTTTTTTTTTGAGACAGTCTTGCTCTGTCACCCAGGCTGGAGTGCAATGGTGCGATCTTGGCTCACTGCAGCCTCCACCGCCCAGGTTCAAGCCATTCTCCTGCCTCAGCCTCCAGAGTAGCTGGGATTACAGGTACCCATCACCACACCTAGCTAATTTTTGTGTTTAGTAGAGACAGAGTTTTGCCATGTTGACCAGGCTGGTCTCGAACTCCTGACCTCAAGTGATCCACCTGCCTCGGCCTCCCAAAGTAGTGGGATGACAGGTGTGAGCTACTGTGCCTGGCCAAGAACTGTGAGTTTTAAGATGTTGAAAGAAAACACCCTGTCACACGAAGGCACACTGTGGCCAGCATCATCACAAAGCAAAGGTAACTTGAAGTCACTATGCTTCTGCATTTTGCCCATGAATGATCCTGAAAGACACAGCTTCAGTAAAAAGACGCCTGACAAAGCCTGGCCCCAGGATGCCAGTGTCTCTGGCACCTCCAGGGCACTTCCCCTGACTCAGTGCCGTGATCTGCCACCCAGGGGACATCCGCAATGTTTCCAGGCATGTTTGATGGTCATGATGGGGTGGGGCAAGGTCAGGGATGCTGCTGAACCTCCCTCAGTACATTCGGAACAGCCAAGAACCATCCTCCCCAGATGTCGACCCTGCTGCAGTCAGGAAGGCGAACTCTGGCTGCAGGACTGGCCCCCGATGCCCCCGTCCCGCCCCCGGGATGCCCCTTACCGAGCACCTCGCGGGGCTCCTGTCCCTCAGCCTGCAGTGCGTCTTTCAGATGCTCTGACAGCTGCTGACCCAGCTGGGAGGTCCCGGGAACTGAGAAGGGCACGACGGTTCTGCCGTACTCGCCCAAGGTCAGCCTCAGCATGGGGTCGTCGAAGAGCTCCGAGGAGTAGTTGATGGCCAGGAGGGCCAGGGTGACGCAGGTCAGAGGCACCAGGACCTGTGCCGCCACCATTTTCCACTCGCGCCAGCTGTATGCGGCCTTCTTCAGGAACATGGCCCAGAATTGCTGGCAGTGCAGGGCGAGCTGCGGCAGAGGGGACGCAGGTGACACCGGCACCGCTTGGGGCCCAGCGCCTGACCCCCACCCACCTGCGGCAGGTGCTGTTCTGTGTGACGCCAGCCTGGGGGCCTGCAGCTGAGGTTGCACCGGAGACTCCCAGAGCGTTGAAACGGCCGTGGGAGGAGCTCAGTGCACCACATGGCAGGGTCACCTGTGCAGACTCTGCAGGTCTCCATGGGGCCCTGCACGTTGGCACTATTTTATTTTTTTGAGACAGGGTCACTCTGTCACTGGGGGTGGAGTGCAGTGGTGTGATCTCAGCTCACTGCAACCTCCACCTCCTGGGTTCCTACCTCAGCCTCCCAAGTAGCTGGGATTACAGGCGCACACCACCACACCCAACTAATTTTTGTATTTTTAGTAGAGATAGGGTTTTGTCATGTTGGCCTAGGCTGGTCTTGAACTCCTGACCTCAAGTGATCTGCCCGCCTTGGCCTCCCAATGTACTGGGATTACAGGCATGAGCCACCACACCCGGCCCAGACACTGTTTCATTGTCTCAGGACAGTAGAGGACCAGCTGCCATCCCCTGCCCTCCCCCTGCCACAAGGAGACACCACCACACAGGTCACAGGAAACAGATGGCCGAGCCTCCCAACCAGCCTGACTGCCTCGTTCTCCAGCTTCTTTCCTTCCTGGTCCTCCGAGACAGAGAGCGTCAGGGCTTTGAGATCAGGCTGACCAGGGATCAGAATGAGCTCTGTGACTCTGTCACATCTGACTTTGGCCCAGGCCTCGGTTTCCCATCTGTGAACCGAGTGCATCAACCAACCTCCGTGTCGTTGGCTGCTAGAGAGCCTCATCAACACAGAGCTGGGCACCCGACAAGCTCCTGTTGAGCAGGGTGCTGTGCCTGAGGTAGAGCATGAGAAATTCCAGTTGCTCCATTCAAACGCTTCTCCCTGCCGACCCATGCGGTGTGAGCCGCTGCCCGCCCTCTGCCCGGTGTGCTGACTCTCCCGGACCCTGTTTGCGCCCTCGCAGACTCTCCTCTGCATGGGCTTACATGAGGCGTTTGGGGGCTGCTCGCCCTTCCCCCGCCACCCGCCCACCCACCTGGGCACTCACCCCAGTGTTGAGCTTGACAGCGGTGCGCTCCTCCTCGATGAGGGCTCCAATGCCGTCGGAGGGGTCCATGGCCCCACAGAGGTTGCTGTCCACAGCCCAGTCGCTGGCGCGCCTCTCGTGCTGGTACTGCAGGGCAGGGAGCTGGATGGCCTGGATGTCCATACTGCTGTCCACCAGCTTCCCGACCCTGTGCCGATACACACAGGGACCGGTCAGGACCCAGCTCCCCGGGTGGGTGGAGGGAGGGACTATGGTTAGAGGCACTGAGGGGAGCAGTGTTGCCGCAGTCCTTGGCTTGCTCATGCATCTGCTTATGTGTTTCCTCACTCATCAGTGTCTCCGGCCACCATGCACAGCTAATTTTTGTATTTTTAGTAGACATAGGGTTTCACCATGTTGGCCAGGCTGATCTGGAACTCCTGACCTCAAGTGATCCACCCACCTTGGCCTCTCAAAGTGCTGGGATTACAGGCATGAACCACCAAGGCTGGCAGAGGAGGTGATTTTTTAATATTATGTGAATTACATCACACACACACACACACACACACACACACACACACACACACCCCTTCCTAGAGCTCCCCGCCGATTAGGAAACACAACTGAGGCTGCAGCAGGCAGGAGGCACCCCCCGGCTGGCTTAGCAACATTGTCAGGCCACACTTGGAGCCCGTGTGAGCCCTGTCTGCCTGCTTCTTGCTCCTGTGTGCAGGCTGCCGTGAGGCCTAAGTACCTGCTCCTCTGGCCCTTGGCAGAGCCCTTCTCCCTCACTGGATTCTCCCAGTCCCACTCATCTTTCATGATCTGCTCAGAGACACCAAGTGTTGCCATCTCGTCAGTATTCCCTCTGATTAAAAGCCTTCCTGCCCATGGTCTGAGCTCCGGTGGGCGCTTACCAGCCTGGCTAGCTCTCCCCAGGTCCTAGACAAACCAGGAAAAGCTTCTGATTATTTTTCTCTTGAGACCAGGAGCTCAGAGAGGCCAGGGTCAGGTGTGGGGCCTGGAGCTGAGTCACAGGTGGGCCGTGTGGTGAGTATGAGATGGGGCCAGAGAGGCCTGAGACCTTGAGAGACAAGAGGCCCTGTGGCTGCTGAGACGCAGCAGGATCAACCCGGGTTCTACCCTCAGAGCCGGCTGACTCCAGGCCAGCCCGTGGTTTCTTTCTGTTATGTTCATGCTTCCTTCCTTCCTTCAACCAGGATTCACAGAATCAGTCAGTCAGTGCTCGGTCCTGTGTGGGACACAGGTCAGCGGGCAGTCCCTCCCTCCCTCCGCCGCCTTGCCTGGCCTTTTTCCCTGGGTCTGTTCCTGGACACATGGTCCCCTGCACAGGTGTCCCCAGAGCATGCACCACCATGTCCTGCATGTATGATCACCTATTCTGTCGCCTCCTCTAGGCTGTGGGCTCCCTAAGGAGGAAAACCTATCTCACGTTTTTTTCTTTTTCTTTTGACACAGGGTTTTGCTCTGTCCCCCAGGGTGGAGTGCAGTGGCACAATCTCAGCTCACTGCAACCTCCACTTCCCAGGTTCAATTGATTCTCCTGCCTCAGCCTCCCAAGTAGCTGAGATTACAGGTGTGTGCCACCATGCCCGGCTAATTTTTGTAGTTTTAGTAGAGATGGTGGCTGGGGGTGGTGGCTCACGCCTGTAATCCCAGCACAGATCTTCAGGTGGGTCACCTGAGGTCAGGAGTTCCAGACCAGCATGGCAAAACCCCATCTCTGTTAAAAATACAAAAAAACTAGCTGGGCGTAATGACGTGCGCCTGCAGTCCCAGCTACTGAGGCTGAGGCAGGAGAATCGCTTGAATCTGGGAGGCAGAGGTTGCAGTGAGCTGAGATTGCACCACTGCACTCCAGCCTGGGAGACAGAGTGAGACTCTGTCTCAAAAAAAAAGAGATGGGATTTCACCATGTTGACCAGGCTAGTCTCAAACTCCTTGGCTCAAGTGATCGCCTGCCTCGGCCTCCCAAAGTGCTGGGATGACAGGCGTGAGCCACCACGCCCAGCCCCCATGCAGTTCTGAGGGTCTGGATGAGATAGTTCCCATCTTCATTAACGACACAGGTATCTCCCAAGGACGATCTAAGCCCAAGAAGAGCTGGGCACGCCTCTGACGCCGTGTGCCAGCTAGACCCGTGGCGGGTCTAGGAGGGACCCCAAGGCAGTGCAGGCCCCTCACGTGTGCCGCCGTTTCCCACGCACACCAATGTTGCTGACAGTCACAATCTGCACTTGGGGCTCTGACGGCGGCCACTGCCCGCCCCACCCCAGGCTGTTCCTCCAGCCTCACGTGGGCATTTGAGATCATAACCGAGGTGACTGTTTATCACTGCACTTTTTAGAAGTCCTCGGCTGAGCACGGTGCCTCACGCCTGTAATACCAGCACTTTGGGAGGCCAAGGTGGGCGGATCACCTGAGGTCAGGAGTTTGAGACCAGCCTGACCAACATGGAGAAAACCCATCTCTACTAAAAATACAAAATTAGCTGGGTGTGGTGGCACATGCCTGTAATCCCAGCTACTCGGGAGGCTGAGGCAGGAGAATCTCTTGAACCCAGGAGGCGGAGGTTGCGGTGAGCCGAGATCGCACCACTGCACTCCAGCCTGGGCAACTAGAGTGAAACTCCATCTCAAAAAAAAAAAGTCCTCTGCAGCACGGAGCCCAGTCCTAGGTGGACGGAAATGCGCATTTACTGACCGAAGGAAGACTTCCTCCATGGTGGTGATGGATGCCCCAAAGCTGGCAATGCCCAGCTCTTTCTGCTTCTTCTCCAGTTTAGCAAAGAGACCTTCAAACCTGAAAAACAGACCCAGCATTATGAGTCACTTCTCAGTGACTTTCTAGATAATTTGTTCCTAAAGCATCACCCCCCCTCGGCCAGGCACAGTGCCTCACACCTGTAACCCCAGCACTTTGGGACGCCAAGGCGGGCGGATCACCTGAGATCAGGAGTTCGATACCAGTCTAGTCAACATGGTGAAACCTGTCGCTATTAAAAACATAAAAAATTAGCCACGTGTGGTAGCAGGTGCCTGTAGTCCCAGCTACTCAGAAGGCAGAGGCAGGAGAACACTTGAACCCAGGAGGTGGAGGCTGCAGTGAACCGAGATTGCGCTACTGCACTCCAGCCTGGGTGGCAGAGTGAAACTCTGTCTCAAAAAAATAAATAAATAAATAAAATTAAAAAAATAAGGAGGCCAGGTGCAGTATCTCACACCTGTAATCCTAGCACTTTGGGAGGCCGAGGTGGGCGAATTGCCTGAACTCAGGAGTTCGAGACCAGCCTGAGCAACACGGTGAAACTCTGTCTCTACTAAAATAAATAAAACAAAACAAAACAACAAACAACAACAACAACAAAAACTACCCAGTCATGGCGGCTTGTGCCTGTAATCCCAGCTACTCGGGAGGCTGAGGCAGGAGAATTGCTTGAACCCGGGAGGCGGAGGTTGCGGTGAGCTGAGATCGCACCACTGGACTCCAGCCCGGGCAACAGAGCAAGACTCCGTCTCCAAAAACTAAACTAAACTAAACTAAAATGAATCACCCCCCTAATCCCCCTATAGAATGGGGCAGGGGCCACAGGAGGTTAATTCCTTGAAATACCTTTTTTTTTCTTTTTTTCTTTAGATGGAGTTTTGCTCTGTCACCCAGGCTGCAGTGCAGTGGCACAGTCTCGGCTCACTGCAAGCTCCGCCTCCCAGGTTCATGGCATTCTCCTGCCTCAACCTCCAGAGTAGCTGGGACTATAGGCGCCCGCCACCACACCCAGCTAATTTTTTGTATTTTTAGTAGAGATGGGGTTTCACCGTGTTAGCCAGGATGGTCTTGATCTCCTGACCCTGTGATCCACCTGCCCTGACCTCCCAAAGTGCTGGGATTACAGGCAATGAGCTACCAAGCTACCGTGCCTGGCCAAAATGCCTTTTTTTTTTTTTTTTTTTTTGGAGACAGGGTCTTGGTCTGTCACTCAGGCTGGAGTGCAGTGGTATAATCTCGGCTCACTGAAGCCTTGACCTCCCGGGCTCAAGCAATCCTCTCACCTCAGCCTCCCAAGTGTCTGGGGCTACAGGTGTGCACAACTACACGTGGCTAAGTTTTTTTTTTTTTTTTGAGACTGAGTCTTGCTCTGTCACCCAGGCTGGAGTGCGGTGGCGCGATCTTGGCTCACTGCAAGATCTGCCTCCCGGCTTCATGCCATTCTCTTGCCTCAGCCTCCCGAGTAGCTGGGACTACAGGTGCCCGCCACCACGCCCGGCTAATTTTGTTTTTGTATTTTTAGTAGAGATGGGGTTTCACCATGTTAGCCAGGATGGTCTCGATCTCCTGACCTCGTGATCCACCCGCTTCGGCCTCCAAGTGCTGGGATTACAGGTGTGAGCCACCGTGCCTGGCCATGTGGCTAATTTTTAATTTTTTTGTAGAGATGGGGTCTCACTATGTCGCCCAAGCTGATCTCCTTCTCCTTCTGCCTTGGCTTCTGAAAGTGTTGGGATTACAGGCATGAGCAACCATGCCTGGCTAAAAGTGAGGTTCATATGGTTTGATTCCCTGGTTTTTTCTTTCTTTTTTTTTTTTTGAGATGGAGTCTCCCTCTGTCACCCAGGCTGGAATCCAGGGGTGCAGGGGTGCAGGGGTGTGATTTCGGCTCACTGCAACCTCTGCTCCTGGGTTCAGTGATTCTCCTGCCTCAGCCTCCTGAGTAGCTGGGATTACAGGCACCCACCACCACGCCCGGCTAATTTTTGTATTTTTTTTTTTTTTTAGTAGAGACGAGGTTTCACCGTGTTGGCCAGGATGGTCTCGATCTCCTGACCTCATGGTCCGCCCGCCTTGGCCTCCCAAAGTGCTGGGATTACAGGCGTGCGCCACTATGCACAGCTGCGAAACACTTTCTAAGAATAAAATTAATAGAAGAAGTCACAAGAGAAAGGATGTTGCTACATTAAGTACAAAATCTAGGCCGGGTGCAGTGGCTCACACCTGGAATCCCAGAACTTTGGGAGGCTGAGGCGGAAGGATCACTTAAGCCCAGGAGTTCAAGACCAGCTTGGGCAACATAACAAGACCCCATCTCTACAAAAAAAATAAAAAAACTAGCCGGACATGTTGATACACACCTGTAGTCCCAACTATTCGGGAGGCTGAGGTGGGAGATCACGAGCCCAGGAATTCAAGGCTGCAGTGAGTTGTGATTGCACCACTGCACTCCAGCCTGGGTGACAGAGCAAGACCTTGTTTTTAAAATAAACAAATGTGGCCAGGCATGGTGGCTCATGCCTGACATCTTAGCACTTTGGGAGGCCGAGGTGGGTGGATCACCTGAGGTCAGGAGTTTGAGACCAGCCTGGACAACATGGTAAAACCCCATCTCTACTAAAAATACAAAAATTAGCCGGGTGTGGTGGTGCACGCCTGTAATCCCAGCTACTTGGGAGGCTGAGGCAGGAGAATTGCTTGAACCTGGGAGGCAGAGGTTGCAGTGAGCTGAGATTGTGCCACTGCACTCTGGACTGGGCAGCAGAGTGAGGCTCCATCTCAAAACAAATAATAAATAAATAACAAATAAAATAAATAAATGTAAAATGGAAAAAAATCTGACAAAATCAAACAACAAACTGGAGAAAAGTGCAATAAACTGATATTATCCAGATAATATCCAGACTGATAGATAGTGTCATGGAACACTGGCTTCCCTCCCCTTGCTGGTTCTGCCGTGTGTGTGAGACAGTGATGAGCAGGTGGTAACATCTCCAGCTCTGACACTGAGACCAAATTCACCACCCACATACAAATACAGACTCGGTTTCACGAGTAGTTCTGAGTGCAGCCGCAGCACGTGTTGAGCCTGGTGTCAGAAGGGGGAGTGTGAGCCCTGCATCAGCGCTGAGCACCCTTTTGGTGAGTCAGATACGTGCTTCTCCTTTTCAGGTCCTAATTATGTTTCTCCTTGCTAGGAGGCCTGGCACCTAGGACCCAGCCAAGCAGATTCATCTGGGCTGATGGTGCCCAGGCTGAGGGTCTAAGAGTGCCGACTGGCCAGGCCAGAGAGGGGCAGAGCAGGTGCCTCTGAGCACAAAGCCCTCATGGCCCATGGGGATCCCATCTTGGATGTATACCTGTGCGTGCCCTCCCTGGGAGGCGTACCTGTGCGTGCTCTCTCTGGGAAGGATGAAAGACAGCTCGGCCCCAGCGCTGCTCTCCAGCGTGGCGTTGGGCACGTGGTGGTGGACCAGCTGGGAGATGTCTTCCGGGTTGCAGTGCGGCTCCTTCACCAGCGTCATGTGATAGCCGGCACCTGGAATACAGGGCCACGTGTGAGATCTTTGGCTGATCCCCCAGGTCTCTTCATGCCCACCCCGGGGTCTCTAGGGCTCACACCAGGCAAGCTGGTGGGAAGGAGGCTAGAGAACCGGAGGTGGGCAGCTGAAGCAGAATGAATGTGTCTTGGAGCTCCCTGTGCTGTCCCAAGGGTGTCACCTCCCGCTCCTGCTGGGAAGAGCTGCTGGGGATCTAGGGTGCTGAGCACTGTCAGGGGCACCTGCTGGAAGGTGGGGTCTCCCCCCAGCTATACAAGCACCAGGGAAGGATATCATCAGCAGCGACGGACCACGTGTGAGGGCTTCTGTCTTGTGGGGTTAACACTGATGGTTATGGTGTGGTTCTAGGAAGGGACTGTCAGCAGGAGCAGGAGCAAGAGCTACCGGCTGCAAGACCGCACTGCACGGCACTATCAGAGATGCATCTCACCTCTTTCCCAACGTCACCGTGCAGGAGATGGAATTCCATGTCCTTTTTTTTTTTTTTGAGACAAGTCTCACTCTGTCACCCAGGCTGGAGTGCAGCTGCACAATCTTGGCTCACTGTAACTTCTCCCTCCTTGGTTCAAGTACTTATTCTCCTGCCTCAGCCTCCCCAAGTAGCTGGGATTACAGGCATGCACCACCATACCTGGTTAAGTTTTTGTATTTTAGTAGAGACAGAGTTTTACCATGTTGGCCAGGCTGGTCTTGAACTCCTGACCTCAAGTGATCTGCCTGCCTTGGCCTCCCAAAGTGCTGGGATTATAGGCGGTGAGCCACCACGCCTGGCCCCATGTCCTCTTTAGAGACAAGGATGCCAGGCCCAGGAAGAACAATGGCTCTGCCAACTGGGCAGTGGGGCAGGAAGTGGCTAGTGAAACTCTCAGAGGCCGTGGTGGATGGTTCCTCATCTCCTAACGCCTGCTGTCCTCCCTCTTGGTAACAAAACCCTGGTATCTTGGCTGAGCATGTGGCTGCCCAGGACAAAGGCCATCCCCTCCAGCCTACTGCTGACCACACTGGGTTGCCACTCAGTCACTAGGGGGCAGAAGTGGGACGTGAACTTGGGGGGTGTCCTGAGGGGAGGAGGGCTCCTATGTCTTTGCTCCACCCCGTTGGAATGTGGGGGACGCTGGCACACCCAGATCGTGCTGGACCAGGAGGTGACCTTGAAAGGGAAGCCGTAGTTGCACAGTACAGTCAGAGGTCTGGGCCCAGATCCTGTCAGCCCCTGCTGGCCCTGGCCATGCTGTGAGCTGCTCTCACGTGGGAGCTGCCATGTTGGTGCGTGTGTTGGCCTCTCCAAGGGCAGTGCTGCTCCTAGTGGCACTAGGCTTGGCCTCTGTTCTTCTGGTCATGGCTGAACCACATCCTAACCAAATTGAGACTTTCAGCTCCATTTCCTGCCTCTTCCCTCTCACAAGCCCCCCTGCCTGGTTGGGCTCTCCACCCAGAGGCAACAGACAGGAAGTCTAGAAAAGGCCACCCCTGCCTGATCTGAGGGCCCTTCATGAAGGTAGCAGCCATTCCCTCAGCACGGCAGCCAGGACACCGACCCTGTCGCGGGCTGGCCCCACCGCTCACCGTATTTCTGCTTGAGGAACAGCGAGGACCCGCAGCACTGCAGCTCCCCCTTGGCCATGATGGCGATGCGGTCTCCCAGCAGGTCAGCCTCGTCCATGAAGTGGGTGGTCAGCACGATGGTGCGGTCACTTTTCTGCCGCTGAAGAAGATCCCAGATGGCCCTCCTGGAGATGGCGTCCATGCCCGAGGTGGGCTCGTCCAGTATCAGCACCTGGAGGGAGAGACACAGTCTCGCGACGCTGGTAGAGCCACACCCCGGGCCCAGGCTGGCCTTGCGGTAGGCCCCATCGAGGGGTTCGCGGAGCCGGCTTGAGTCCTCCAAGGATGGTGATGGCCTTGTCTGGGGTGTCAAGGGCCAAGGTGCCCGGGCCATGGCGGAAGGGCCATCCCAGGTCGAGCAGGAGGGGAACCCACTGCCTCCAGTCCCACCGCCACACCTTGGAGCCTGCGATGAGGGCGATGCCGATGGAGAGCTTGCGCCTCATGCCCCCGCTCAGGAAGCGGCTCCGTGAGTTCCACTTGTCCTCCAGGCCGATGATGTGCAGCATCTGCTTGACTTCTTCAGGGCACTTCTGACGTGACAGGCCCTTCAGCTGCAACGACAGGGGACGCAGGGAGATGCAGGGCTCCTGGCGGGAGGCCGACCCTGGCCAGCGAGGTTCTGGTGAGAGGAA
This sequence comes from Homo sapiens, assembly GCF_000001405.40. Classification (NCBI taxonomy): domain Eukaryota; kingdom Metazoa; phylum Chordata; class Mammalia; order Primates; family Hominidae; genus Homo; species Homo sapiens. Next base: position 2,298,003 of record NC_000016.10, read on the forward strand.
CCTCTCCTTGACGTAGCTGGGGAGATGCAGGGCTCCTGGCGGGAGGCCGACCACGGCCAGCAAGGTTCTGGTGAGAGGAACCTCTCCTTGACGTAGCTGGGGAGATGCAGGGCTCCTGGCGGGAGGCCGACCACGGCCAGCGAGTTTCTGGTAAGAGGAACCTCTCCTTGACGTAGCTGGGGAGATGCAGGGCTCCTGGCGGGAGGCCGACCCTGGCCAGCGAGGTTCTGGTGAGAGGAACCTCTCCTTGACGTAGCTGGACTCAGAACCCTGGCTCCTGCCCTCCTGGCTCCCTTCCTCCAGTTTAGCTCCTCGGAAGACTGCCCCAGAAACTCGAGCACATCAGTGGAAACACCCCTGCACACCCCTGGCCCCCAACTCACCTGGGCGTAGAAATAAAGGTGCTCTGCGACTGTCAAGTTGTCAAACAGGATGTCGTGCTGCGGGCACAGGCCCAGGCTCTTCCGGATCTGAACCATGTCCTGGGAAATTTCATACCCGCTGATGTATGCCCGTCCACTGGTGGGGGGAAAGAGACCTGGGGCCCAGCAGGAGACCCCACATTCAGCATGAAGATCCTGCTCGTCAGCACCCGCGGTAATGACCCCCCACCCCCTCTCTGTCTCCCCTAATTTCCTCTGAGGACCCTGCCCATGAGAGGGCACGGAACCCCACTCCCACTGGGGTGGGCTTTGGCTGGGCCAGTGGGAAAAAGAAGCGGCATGGAAACAGCCCTGCCACTGGGACGCACAGCTGGTCAGGGAGGAGAAACCCACGACACACACACACAGAGTCACCACAATCAGCCCCCGCCCCGGGTCCCAGCCTGTGCCACTGCCAGACACTTTGGTGCTTGGGGAAGACAGAGTGAAATGCCAGTGGCCGGTGTGGTGCACAGGGGAGAGCTCTCAGAGAGGGGTTTGGTGACAGAATTAGCATGGGGTTGAGCTGCTCCTGCGTGGTGGCCTCTGTTTTCACTGACCCTGTCAAGCTTGGGTATTCACAGACAGAGGCGGTGAGGAGGGCAGGGGTCCCTGGGGGTCCCCCTGCATTCATGGACAGAGGCGGTGAGGAGGGCAGGGGTCCCTGGGGGTCCCCCTGCATTCACGGACAGAGGCGGTGAGGAGGGCAGGGGTCCCTGGGGGTCCCCCTGCATTCACGGACAGAGGCGGTGAGGAGGGCAGGGGTCCCTGGGGGTCCCCCGGCATGTCCCGGACAGAGGCGGTGAGGAGGGCAGTCCCTGCTTGTGCCCCTGGGCCTGCAGGGCTGAGGTGCATCTCCTGCCGCTGTGGTTGGGGAAGGCCCGAAAGCCCCATTGAGGGAGTGAGGCGGGGCTGGCGCTGAGATGGTGTTAAAGGGGGGCCTGCTGGTGGCAGGGGCGTGAGGCGCCTGGCCCTCACCTGTGAGCATGGAGAGGGTGGTGGTCTTCCCGGCACCGTTGTGGCCCAGCAGGACGGTGATCTGTCCCTCGTACAGGTTGAGGTTCAGGTCTCTGACGGCCGCCCTGTCCTTATTTCCCACCCTGAACACCTGCAGGAAAGGCAGAGGCTGCCCTGGGCTACCCACAGCCCCGAGGCCCACGGCCAAGGCCTCTCCTGCTCCCCTGCCCGACCGTCTCAGAAGGAACCAAGCCTAGCGTCACCATCAGTGTGCAGAGGGGAGGGACGTTTCGGGCAGATGCTGCTCCTGGCTGCTCCCCTCCGGTCTCCCCCAGCCCCAACACGTCCCAGACACCCTCAGTGTCTCTGCAACCCTGGGAGGCCCATGAGGCCGAGGCACTGCTGGACGGCTGAGTCTGGCATTTCCTGAGAAGCTGGAGATGTGGTCTGTGCCCTGGGGAACCGGTTAGAGGGCAGCGGAGGGTTCCTGCCCTCCTTCAGGGCAGGAGGGAGCAAGGCTCAGAGGGAGCGCCTGACGGGCTATGAGGTCTCACTGCCGTGCTGGTAAGTCTTCCCATGGTCCTGGCAGCCCCGGCCCTCCCTGTCCCCACAGGAGGCGGCACCTTGGACAGGTGCTTGATCTTGATCCCCGCCACCAGGTCCTCTGGCTCGGCTTCAAAGTACTCGTTTCTGAGTGCTTTCTCGGGGTCACTGTCTTCTTCCTCCTTCCCTGCAACCGCCCTTGGCTTCCCACACCAATAGGAGGGCTGGGAGGGAAGCAGACAGCTGTCAGTTTGTTTTGTTTGTGACGAGCAAAGCAACAACCAGCAGACACACTAGATGCACACAGCCATGCAGCCTCTGTCCCAGGACTTCGAGGCACTGCTGTGGAGAAGGCGCTACTCAGGGAGAGCCCCAGAGAGTCCCAACTTGTTTCATCCCTGTGAAGGCTCTAAGCCTCAGTTTCCTAACCTGGTAAGTGGGTGTAATGGTTACATACAGGCTTGTGAAGATGAACTCAGATCCGATACAGGGCAAAGGGAGTTTGTCAGCTATGAAATTTCATAGACAGAAGTTATCTAACGCTCCAGTCCAGAGGGATGTTGGAGCCAAAATGGAAAGAAAGCTGTGTCCCCATGCCACCCGGCTGTTTCTTTGCTCAAGCCCCACATGAGTTCATGACTGTAAGCAAGAGAAGCCGAAGGCGCCACGCCTCCCTCTACTATGAGGAAGCCTCTTCCCATCTTCTCTGTGGCCATCACAGAAATAACTCAGTGCATGGGGTAAGAACACAGGCACACACCTCACACAGTGCCCTCGAGGACAGCCTGGTGCCTACATGGAGGCAGTCGACACAGTGGTGCGGGCAGAGCAGCAGGGAAGGTGGAAGCAGTGCCTTGGCAGGATCAGTGCCAGGGCAGCTGCGGGGCGGGGACTCGTTTACCCGCAGCTCCACGCCCAGTGCACTTCCAGCACCTGGAACGGCATCTGGCACACACTGCACTCCACTGGTTCTCAGGGACACAGCTCTCATATGTAAAGTGATTTTAAAATCAGAATGCATCTTGGCTGGGCACGGTGGCTCGAGCCTGTAATCCCAGCACTTTGGGAGGCCGAGGCGGGCGGATCATGAGGTCAGGAGATCGAGACCATCCTGGCTAACACGGTGAAACCCCGTCTCTACTAAAAATACAAAAAAATTAGCCGGGCGTGGTGGTGGGCGCCTATAGTCCCAGCTACTCGGGAGGCTGAGGCAGGAGAATGGCGTGAACCCGGGAGGCGGAGCTTGCAGTGAGCCGAGATGGCACCACTGTACTCCAGCCTGGGCGACAGAGCGAGACTCCGTCTCAAAAAAAAAAAAAAAATCAGAATGCATCTTAAACTATAAAATGCCATAGTGTAAGTGTGGCATTTTTCTTTCTTAGTGATAGACAAAGTAACCATTACCTCTAACGGTCAGTGTCATCTTACAGTTGATGGATTACAGTAGTGAACACTTGATAACTACTTGTGGAAGCAAAGAATGAAAACAGAAATGGCCTCGGCTGGAGGTGGTGGCTCACGCCTGTCATCCCAGCACTTTGGGAGGCCGAGGCGGGTGGATCACCTGAGGTCAGGAGTTCAAGACCAGCCTGGCCAACATGGCGAAACCCCGTCTCTAATAAAAATACAAAAAAAATTAGGTGCGTGTAGTGGTGGGTGCCTGTAATCCCAGCTACTCAGGAGGCTGAGGCAGGAGAATCACTTGAACCTGGGAGGTGAAGGGTGCAGTGAGCTGAGATCGCGCCACTGGACTCCAGCCTGGGCAACAGAGCTAGACTCCGAATCAAAGAAAAAAAAAAAAAAAGAAATGACCTTAACTAGCCATCGGTAGGGAATCAGTTAAGTATATGTTGATGGGCCCACAGAATGGAACACTGTGTGTCACTATAAATGAAGGTGGTTTGTTGGGAGCAAGCCCCCCAAAGTCTGGCCATAAACTGGCCCCAAAACTGGCCATAAATAAAATCTCTGCAGCAATGTAACACGTCCATAATGGCCATAACACCCAAGCTGGAAGGTTGTGGGCAAGGAACACCTGGCCCGCCCAGGGCGGAAAACCGCTTAAAGGCATTCTTAAGCCGCAAACAAAAGCCTGAGAGATCTGTGTCTTAAGGGCGTGTTCCTGCTGCAAGTAATTCGGCCCATCCATCCATTTCCCTTAAGGGATACTTTTAGTTAATGGAATATCTATAGAAACAATGCTAATGACTGGTTTGCTGTTAATAAATATGTGGGTAAATCTCTGTTCGGGGCTCTCAGCTCTGAAGGCTGTGAGACCCCTGATTTCCCACTTCGCACCTCTATATTTCTGCGTGTGTGTCTTTAATTCCTCTAGTGCCGCTGGGTTAAGGTCTCCCCGACCGAGCTGGTCTCGGCAGTGATTCTTAAAAAGGTAATACTTAGGTAGAAATATATTTATAAATATAACAACATTCATCAATATGTTTAGATAATAGTTTAAAACTATATTTATAAATAGACAAACATATATATGTATTTAAGATATCTGAGTTGTACTGTTAGGTTAAGAAAAGCAACTTGTAAGCATTTTTTACAATATGATTCTTTTTTTTTTTTTTGAGACAGGGTCTCATTTTTTCACCAAAGTTGGAGTGTGGTGGTGTGAACATGGCTCACTGCAGCCTCCTGGGCTCAAGTGATTCTTCTGCCTCAGCCTCTCAAGTAGCTGGGACCACAGGCATGTGCCGCCTGGCTAATTTTTTAAATTTTTTATTTATTTTGTAGAGATGGGGTTGCACTATGTTGCCCAGGCTGGTCTCTAACTCCTGGCCTCAAGTCATCCTTCCACCTCAGCCTCCCAAAGTGCTGGGATTACAGGGATGAGCGACTATGTCCACCCCGATCCCATTTTTTTTTTTTTTGAGATGGAGTCTCGCTCTGTCGCCCAGGTTGGAGTGCAATGGCACAGTCTCAGCTCACTGCAACCTCCGCCTTCCGGGTTCAAGCAGTTCTCCCTGCCTCAGCCTCCCAAGTAGCTGGGATTAGAGGCGCCTGCCACCACACCCAGCTAATTTTTTTTTTTTGTATTTCTTTAGTAGAAACAGGGTTTCACCATGCTGGCCAGGCTGGTCTCAAACTTCTGACCTCAGGTGATCCACCCATCTTGGCCTCCCAAAGTGCTGGGATTACAGGGGTGAGCCACCACACCCGGCCTCCAATCACATTTTTATGAAACTATGCTATATGTCCATCCATCTGTGCTCTATGACAGTAAGTGTAGAGAGGGAAACCCAGCAAAGTACATACCAAATGTCAACAGTGTTCATCTCACCAGTGGGAATGAGCTATAGATTTCAGGAATCCGAACTTTTTTTCTCTCTTTTTTTTTTTTTTTTGAGACAGACTCTCGCTGTGTTGCCAGGCTGGAGTGCAATGGCGCGATCTTGGCTCACTGCAAGCTCCGCCTCCCAGGTTCATGCCATTCTCCTGCCTCAGCCTCCCGAGTAGCTGGGACTACAGGCACCCGCCATCACACCCGGCTAGTTTTTTTTTTATTTTTTATTTTTAGTGGAGATGGGATTTCACCTTGTTAGCCAGGATGGTCTTGATCTCCTGACCTCGTGATCCACCCACCTTGGCCTCCCAAAGAGCTGGGATTACAGGCGTGAGCCACCACGCCTGGCCGAATGTGAACATTTTTATAAGAAGCTAGATTTTGTAGGTAGAAAACCCAATAAGATACTTTTCACAAGAAAGGAGGCAGGATTGAGGAGGGAGGTGGGCAGCAGAGGCTGCGTGCGTGGGTCTTGCAGAGAGGGGCCAGAGCAGCCGGTTCTCTGCACCCCTCTGTCTCAGGCTCTGAAGCGGAAGGATTACTCTTGGGCATGGAGGGTCTTTCTCTCTCTGAACCAGTCCCAAGGGCCCTCGGGGGACACGCCACTCCCTGTGCACAGGGCAGGGTTCTGTGTGCCAGCCCCACGCAGGTGCTGCATGCTGGGGACTCAGAGGGGTCCCTGAGCAGGTACTGGGGACACCTCTGCACTCAGAGAGGCGGCGGCTCAAGAGCAGGGCATCAGAACTCACCATGATGAAGAAGTACCAGGGCTGAGGCACGCCGAACTGCCCTGGGAAGACGGCCTCCATGTACCAGGTCACCAGGCCATAGAGCACAGAGTCCAGCAGCAGCATCCCCAGCACCTGCCCGAAGCAGAAGTCGTCGTCCACGTTGACGGGACTCAGGAGGTCTCGCCACTGGATGCCCATGCCTGGAAGACACATCAGGAAAGTGGCCCGAAAGCCAGCAGGCTGGGGGGCCCAGGGACCCGAAGCCCCTGATGGCACACGTGTGCACATTTGACCTTGCATGGCCACTGCTTGGTTGGCATGCCTTTTCCCTTCCCGGTTTTATAACAAGTTGGACAGCTTTCTTCAAGCCTGGAAGATAAACTCAGGTTACAAAATAATTAAGTCACAGACCAGCAACAGCTCATTCACTGACTAGACAGGCTTGCATTTAATCTGTGACATATATGCACATATGTACACACGTACATATGCACCCACATCTATGATTTCGGTAAGGCCAACGTGGGTCAATGTGCATTTAGCATAAGTCTTTTTTTTTTTTTTTTTTTTTTTTGAGATGGAGTCTTGCTCTGTCGCCCAGGCAGGAGTGCAGTGCTGCGATCTCGGCTCACTGCAACCTCTGCCTCCCAGGTTCAAGCAATTCTCCTGTCTCAGCCTTCCAAGTAGTTGGGATTACAGGCGCATGCTGCCATGCCTGGGCTAAATTTTTTTTTTTTTTTTTTGAGATGGAGTCTTGCTCTGTCTCCCAGGCTGGAGTGCAGTGGCACGATCTCGGCTCACTGCAAGCTCCACCTCCCGGGTTCACGCCATTCTCCTGCCTCAGCCTCCTGAGTAGCTGGGACTACAGGCGCCCGCCACCGTGCCTGGCTAATTTTTTGTATTTTTAGTAGAGACGGGGTTTCACTGTGTTAGCCAGGGTGGTCTCGATCTCCTGACCTTGTGATTCGCCTGCCTCGGCCTCCCAAAGCGCTGGGATTACAGGCGTGAGCCACTGCAACCAGCCCTAATTTTTTTGTATTTTAGTAGAGATGGGGTTTCACCGTGTTGCCCAGCCTGGTCTCGAACTCCTGAGCTCGGGCAACCTACCCGCCTTGGCCTCCCAAAGTGCTAGGATTACAGGTGTGAGCCACTGCACCCGGCCAGTATAAGTCTTTATTTGTTTATTATTTTTTATTTTTTTGAGATAGAGTCTTGCTCTGTCACCCAGGCTGGAGTGCAGTGGTGCAATCTTGGCCCACTGCAACCTCTGCCTCTGGGGTTTGAATGATTCTTCTGCCTCAGCCTTCGGAGTAGCTGGGATTACGGGAGCACGTCACCACACCTGGCTAATTTTTGTATTTTTTTTAGACAGAGTCTCACTCTGTTGCCAGGCTGGAGTGCAGGGGCACAATCTTGGCTCGCTGCAGCCTCCACCTCCCAGGTTCAAGCGGTTCTCCTGCCTCAGCCTCCCGAGTAGCTGGGACTACAGGTGTGCGCCACCATGCCCAGCTGATTTTTGTATTTTTAGTAGAGACGGAGTTTCACCATGTTGGCCAGGATGGTCTCGATCTCTTGACCCCATGACCCGCCCACCTCAGCCTCCCAAAGTGCTGAGATTACAGGCGTGAGCCACCGCGCCCCGCCAATTTTTGTATTTTTAGTAGAGACAGGGTTTCGCCATGTTGGCCAGGTGGGTCTTGAACTCCTGACCTCGAGTAATCCACCCGTCCTCCCAAAGTGCTGGGATTACAGGTGTGAGCCACCCCATCCAGCCTAGTATAACTATTTTTTTACATTTTAATTTTGTAGTGATGGGGGTCTTGCTATGTTGCCCAGGCTGGTCTCAAACTCCAGCCTCAAGCCTTCCTCCTGCCTCGGCCATAAGTCTTTTTTAATCACAGAAATATTTCAAACACGTGTAAAGCTCTCTTTAATGGAGCTCGTGTTTCTCATCATCTCTCTGGTTTGCCAACATTGCAGTCCTGACAGTGCTGGGGATCTGTGTGTCCAAACACCCTCTGTTTGGCCGAGGACCCTGATGGAAATAATGCTCTCCAGCCTTGGTGAATTTGCACTTTCAAACAACCAGAGATTTGTCTGTTTTAATAACATTCACTCTAGCTGGGCGTGGTGGCTCACATCTGTAATCCCAGCACTTTGGGAGGCTGACACAGGAGGATTGCTTGAGGCCAGGAGTTTGAGACCAGCCTAGGCAACACAGACAAATTAGCCAGGTGTGGTGGCACGTGCCTGTAGTCCAGCTACTCAGGAGGCTGAGGTGGGAGGATCACTTGAGCCTGGGAGGTCGAGGCTACAGTGAGCTATTATCATGCTACTGCACTCCAGCCTGGGCAATGGAGTAAGACCCTATCTCCAAAAAAAAATTGTTAAAAAGAAAGCAAAAGAACAAAGTTTACATTTTATCAACACACGAGTAAACATGGAAACACAGATATGTAAAAGCTAAAGTGTCAGAAGACACTGCCGACTGTAGAGAACCGTTCTAATGAAAGACAAAGCAACGCTGGACACTCCCACCTCCTTCCACAGACCCAGACCTTGGCAAGCTGCAGCTAGGAACTGCATGGTGCCATGGCTTGACTGGGCCCCCCAAATTCATGTGTTGGAGACTTGACCCCCAATGCAGCAATGTTGGGAGGAGGCCTAACTGGAGGGGCTCAGACCAGGTTTGGTGCCCACAGCAGGCTTTGCAGAATGAGAGCCCACAGGCCAAAGGCCGACCAAGGAAGTGTTTTACTCAATTTAATTTCATAAAAATTAAGAAAAAAAGTGGGCGGCTCACGCCTGTAATCCCAGCACTTTGGGAGGCCGAGGCGGGCGGATCACAAGGTCAGAAGATCGAGACCATCCTGGCTAACACAGTGAAACCCCGTCTCTACTAAAAATACAAAAAATTAGCTGGGCACGGTGGCGGGCGCCTGTAGTCCCAGCTACTTGGGAGGCTGAGGCAGGAAAATGGCATGAACCCGGGAGGCGGAGCTTGCAGTGAGCCGAGATTGCGCCACTGCCCTCCAGCCTGGGTGAAAGAGTGAGAGACTCCGTCTCAAAAAAAAAAAAAAAAAAAAAAAGAAAAGAAAAGAAAAAAAGTGAGTCGTGATGATGCCATTGCACTCCAGGCTGGGTGACACAGCGAGACCCTGTCTCAAAAAACAAAAAAGAAAAGAAAAAAAATGCTGTCGTTTATCACTTGTTTCTCTCTTAGGCGTCTCTGCTGCCATCACCAATCAATACAGGAGGCACTGGGAAGATGCTAATTCTACCCTTTACCAAGAGCAGTGGTTGATGAAAAGTCCTCGAAACCCAGCCAGCCTCAGTGGCTCACTCCTGTAATCCTAGCACTTTCGGAGGCCGAGGGCAGATCACTTTAGGTCAGGAGTTCAAGACCAGCCTGGCCAACATGGCAAAACCCCCTCTCTACTAAAAATACAAAAAAATTAGATGGGCATGGTGGTGCATGCCTGTGATCCCAGGTACTCGGGAGGCTGAGGTGGGAGGATCACTTGAACCCAGAGGCAGAGGTTGAGATGAGCCAAGATCGCACCACTGCACTCAAACCTGGGAAACAGAACGAGACTCTTGTCTCAAAAAAAAAGAAAAAAAGTCCTCAAAACCCTAGACTTTGAGATCTCTGATGTAATAATTTTATTTTATTTTTTTGAGACGGAGTCTTGTCACCCAGGCTGGAGTGCAGTGGTGCGATCTCAGCTCACTGCAAGCTCCGCCTCCTGGGTTCACGCCATTCTCCTGCCTCAGCCTCTCGAGTAGCTGGGACTACAGGCGCCTGCCACCACGCCCGGCTAATTTTTTGTGTTTTTAGTAGAGACAGGGTTTCACCTTGTTAGCCAGGATGGTCTCGATCTCCTGACCTCGTGATCCACCGGCCTCAGCCTCCCAAAGTGCTGGGATTATAGGCGTGAGCCACCACGCCCAGCCTTTCTGATGTAATAATTTTGAATGTCTCAGGAAGCTGGAAGAGGCCAGATGTGGTGGCTCACGCCTGTAATCCTGGCTATTCAGGAGGCTGAGGCAGGAGGATTGCTTGAGGTCGAAAGTTTGAGACCAGGCTGGGCAACACAGTGAGACCCCATCTCTATAAAATATTTAAAATAAAAAAAAATGAAAACTGAAAGAGGCTCAGGTCACCGACTTAGATCCCACCATCAGTCAGATGCGTATGTGGTGCCAACGCTGCTGGATGCTCCAACCCTCTTGTCCTCCGAGCTTTGGGCTTCTTCGGCCCACTGCCCTGTGGCTCCCATCACCTCCTGCTGTGCCGTGGAGCTGGGCTTCCCTCGCCCGGGGCCGTGTCCAGCTATCCAGCCCACACTCAGCGCTGTATGCGGATGCTGCTGCCTTCAGTGGTCCCAACTGCCTGCCAACCGTCCCAGGTGGAGCCTTGCTGCTGGCGGCTCTTGTGGTTGGGTGCTCTCGAAGGTTACTGATTCGGAAAGAACAGGCTGGACAAGGCAAACACTCACCTTTCGCCTCAAATTTCCCAATGAGCTGGGCTCCCATTGCCATGGCGACATTAGACAGGAGGCAGGAGCAGAGCTTCTGGCTCAGAGTCATCCAGTTGTACCGAGGGGCCACGAAGAAGTAGGGGATGTAGGTGAAGAAGTAGAGGAAGCCTCCGAAGGCTGCTGCCATGTTGGCTGCAGGTGTTGGAAGACCCGGGGGGCGTGAGCGTCAGTGCCCTCAAAAGGGGCTTGGGCTCCCCGAGGTACAGGCAACCCCCTACTCCTGGGGCCGAGCCACCCAACCTGCTCCTGGCACTTGCCATCTACACGGGACACAAGCTCCAGCACGGGGGGACACCAGGTGTGGCCGGCAGCCCCTTCTCCAAGTGAGTAGTGCCCCCATCCCAGGGACCCCCACACCAACACCTCCAGCCCCTCCTCCACCTCCCATCCAGCTGCCTCCCTGACACTGCACACCTCACGTGGCTGATCCCAAACCCCTGATTCCCGCCTAAGCCCCACTTCTTTTTTTTTTGAGAAGGAGTCTTGCTCTGTCGCCCAGGCTGGAGTGCAGTGGCACGATCTCGGCTCACTGCAAGCTCCGCCTCCTGGGTTCACGCCATTCTCCTACCTCAGCCTCCTGAGTAGCTGGGACTACAGGTGCCCGCCACCACGCCCGGCTAATTTTTTGTATTTTTTAGTAGAGATAGGGTTTCACCGTGTTAGCCAGGATGGTCTCGATCTCCTGACCTCGTGATCCACCGGCCTTGGCCTTCCAAAGTGCTGGGATTACAGGCGTGAGCCACCGTGCCCAGCCTGCCTAAGCCCCACTTCTGCCTGGGTTGCCTGATCTCTCTCATTTGTTCATTCATGCATTCGTCAGATACGCACTGAGCACCTACTCTGTTCTAAGCACCGGGAGGCAGCCCCACACAAAACAGAGAAAATCCCTCCCCTCCCACGCCTGGAATATAGCGGGGAGACAGAGAGCAAGGTGTGCTGGATGGAGACACATGCTGGATGCAGCAAGGAGGCGCAGGATGGGAGAAGAGGCTCCCGACGGCCGGGAAGGCTTCGAGGAGGTGACATGTGAGAAGGAGCCGGAAGAGGTGAGAGAGTGGATTACGGAGAGTGGAGAGATGGGCATGTTTTCTGTCCATGCCAGCAGTGCTCAAACTGTTTGGTTTTCTTTTCTTTGTTTCCTTTTGAGATCGAGTCCCCCTCTGTCACCTAGGCTGGAGTACAGTGGTGCCATCATGGCTCACTGCAGCCTCCACCTCCCGGGCCCAAGAAGTCCTCCCACCTCCGGCTAGGGAGAGCAGCTAGGACCACAGGCACGCAGTACCATGCCTAGCTAATTTTTAAATGTTTTTGTAGAGATGGGTTTCCCTATTTTGTCAGGGCTAGTCTAAAGCTCCTAGGCTCAAGGGATCCTCCCGCCCTGGCCTCCCAAAGTGTTGGGATTACAGGTCTGAGCCACCGTGCCCAGCCATCAAAATCTTTGGTCTTAAGACCCTTTTCTATCCTTAAAAATTATTAACGACACCAAAGGGCTTTTTAAATGTGGGTTATATATATATATCCATATTTATTCTGTGAGAAATTAATACTAAGAACATTTAAAAATTCTGTTAAATTTAAGAATAACAGTAACAAATCCACTACAAGTCAACATACATTTATGAAAAAAACCCCGGCTGGGTGTGGTGGCTCATGCCTGTAATCCCAGCACTTTGGGAGGCTGAGGTGGGCAGATCACAAGGTCAAGAGATCAAGACCATCATGGCCAACATGGTGAAACCCCGTCTCTACTAAAAATACAAAAATTAGCTGGGCATGGGTGGTGGTGTGCGCCTGTAGTCGCAGCTACTCAGGAGGCTGAGGCAGGAGCATCGCTTGAACCCGGGAGGTGGAGGTTGCAGTGAGCCGAGATCGGGTCACTGCACTCCATCCTAGCGACAGAGTGAGACTCTGTCTCAAAACAAACAAACAAACAAAAAAACAAACAAACAAACAAAACACCCACACACACACACTTTCCACAATTTACTGAGAAGAGCAGCAGTGGTTTTTCCAACTTTTTTTTCTTTCTTTTTTTTTTTTTCTGAGACAGGGTCTCATACTATCGCCCAGGATGGAGTGCAGTGGTGTGATTTCAGCTCACTGCAACCTCTGCCTCCTGGGCTCAAGCGATTCTCCCACCTCAGCCTCCTGAGTAGCTCGGACTACAGGTATGCACCACCGGGCCAGGCTAATGTTTTTTTTATTTTTAAGTAAAGACAGGTTTTCGTCATGTTGCCCAGGCTGGGCTTGAACTCCTGGGCACAAGCAATCTGCCCACCTTGGCCTCCCAAAGTGCTGGGATTAGAGATGTGAGTCACTTGACCGGCTGATTTTTTCTTTTTCTTTATTGGTCTTTTTCCCCACCTCTGGTGCTTCAGTCAGGAACGATGTTTCGCATTTTTGTAAACCTCCATAATGTCTGACTTAGCAGATTACAGCTCGGTCCTCATATCTGCCTATTTACTCTTTTCTTTCTTTTCTTTTCTTTTTTTTTCTTTTTTGAGATGGAGTCTCGCTCTGTCACCAGGCTGGAGTGCAGTGGCACGACCTTGGCTCACTGAAACGTCTACCTCCTGGGTTCAAGCAATTCTCCTGCCTCAGCCTCCCGAGTCACTGGGACTACAGGCGAGCGCCACCACACCCAGCTAATTTTTGTATTTTTAGTAGAGACGGGGTTTCACCATGTTGGCCAGGGTGGTCTCGATCTCTTGACCTCGTGATCCGCCTGCCTCGGCCTCCCAAAGTGCTGGAATTACAGGCGTGAGCCACCGCGCCCAGCCCTATTTACCCTTTTATGTTGTTTGGTTGATGTATATAAAGAAAATCTGCCTTCCCACAGATATATAGTTGGAAAAGTAAAGGGTATTGTAATGGTTTTTACAGATATCTGTGGATATTCTTCTTTGATACTATACCATGCAAGCGCCACTGAACAAGCAGTAATTTCGGAAAGGTTAGTTGCCATGAAGTAACCAACGAACTTTTTGCGCTCTGTTACATTAACATCCATTGGTTTATCCTGCAGTTTGGATTTTTTTTTTAATTTTTGGAGAGAGAGTCTCGCTCTGTCGCCCAGGCTGGAGTGCAGTGGCACGATCTTGGCTCAATGCAACCTCCGACTCCCAGGTTCAAGCAATTCCCTGCCTCAGCCTCCTGAGTAGATGGGATTACAGGCATCCGCCACCATGCCCGACTAATTTTTGTATTTTTAATAGAGACGGGGTTTCACCATCTTGGCCAGGCTGCTCTTGAACTCCTGACCTCGTGATCCACCCACCTCGGCCTCCCAAAGTGCTGGGATTACAGGTGTGAGCCACTGTGCCCGGCCTAATTTTTTGTATTTTTAGTAGAGACAGGGTTTCACCATGTTGTCCAGGCTGGTCTTGAACTCCTGAGTTCAGGCAATCCGCCCGCCTCAGTCTCCCAAAATGCTGGGATTACAGGCATGAGCCACTGCGCCTGGCCACACTTTGGATTTTTACTCTTGTATGATTTTATAACATGATGCATTAGTTCGTTTGGAAAATACTGCTTTTTGAGTTACACAAATGTTCCAAACACTGGCATATTTTATCATACAATATTAAAAAAATTACATTTGTTAATGTTATCACTGGCTCCATAAAAAGTTAAGTACTAGGAAGTCACAGATTTGAGTTTGCAAAATTCTATTTTTTGCCTGAAAGCTTGAACTGCAGTATTGATGTCAGAAACTACCAGTTGTTTTCCTTAAAAAGACAGGCTCCTACTGGAGAAAATGCCTACCAAACACCCGAGGGGGAATAACTATAGTCTAGTGGTTGCTCCTTCAAGCAAAAATGGTGCCCCATGGAAAAAGTGGCTAGTTTTGCTGACAACTCAAGCAACTGTACATGTACTTTTCCTCAAGATAATCCATGGTTCAGTACAAGTACTTTATGTGTACATCCCATTTCGTCACACAGAATACTAAATGAAGTATATTTGAGAGTCGAGATTTAATAAAGTTTTTTTTTTTACTGCTTTGTCAAGGACATTCATGAGTGAAATTGGCATTTTTCTTTTTTTTTTTTTTGAGATGAAGTTTCACTCTTGTTGCCCAGGCTGGAGTGCAATGGCACAGTCTCAGCCCACTGCAACCTCCGCCTCCCGGGTTCAAGTGATTCTCCTGCCTCAGCCTCCCGAGTAGCTGGGATTACAAGTGCCCACGACCACGCCCAGCAAATTTTTTTTGTATTTTTAGTAGAGACGGGGTTTCACCATGTTGGCCAGGCTGGTCTCGAACTCCTGACCTCAGGTGATCTGCCCGCCTCGGCCTCCCAAAGTGCTAGGATTACAGGCATGAGCCACCATGCCCGGCCGAAATTGCATTTTTTTTTTTTCAGCCTGAGCAACATGGTGAAACCCTAACTCTACAAAAACTACAAAAATTAGCTGGGCATGGTGTTGTACACCTGTGGCCCCAGCTGCTTGGGAGGGAGGCTGAAGTGGAAGGATCACTCGAGCCCTGGGAGACAGAGGTTGCAGTGAGTCGAGATCAGGCCACTGCACTCCAGCCTGGGCAACAGAACGAGACCATGTCTCAAAACAAAAAAAATTTAAAAAATAAGCTGGCATTGTTTGTTTGTTTGCTTGCTGTGAGTATGTGGCAGTGGAGAACACAGTGATAAGTATGGCTTGGTGTCTTGATTTATGCTTAGGGTCTGGTGGTTTTGCTCATCATTGTTTTTGCACCGTCACTACAAATGTCAGCATGGTGGAAAAGGCAAGCAGCATCTGGGTGTCACTATAAGACCATCTGGGGCCAGGTGTGGTAGCTCACGCCTATAATCCCAGCACTTTGGGAGGCTGAGGCTGGTGGATCACCTGAGGTCAGGAGTTCAAGACCAGCCTGGCCAACATGGTGAAACCCCGTTTCTACTAAAAATACAAAATTAGCTGGGCATGCTGGCTTGCACCTGTAGTGCCAGCTACTCAGAGGCTGAGGCAGGAGAATTGCTTGAACCCAGGCAGCAGAGTTTGCAGTGAGCCAAGATTGTGCCACTACACTCCAGCCTAGGCAACAGAGTGAGACTCTGTCACAAAAAAAAAAAAAAAAAAAAGAAGAAAGGGGGTTGTAAAAGTATAGTTTAAAAAAAAAAAGAAATTAAGAGGCCAGGCGTGGTGGCTCATGCCTGTAATCCCAGCACTCTGGGAGACGGAGGTGGGAGGATCACTTGAGGTCAGGAGTTTGAGACCAGCCTGGACAACATGGCAAAACACGGTTTCTACAAAAATAGCTGGGTATGGTGGCGGGCGCCTGTAATCCCAGCTACTTGGGAGGCTGAGGCAGGAGAATCACTTGAACCCAGAAGGCGGAGGTTGCAGTGAGCCAATTGTGCCACTACACTTAGCCTGGGCAACAGAGCGAGATTCCATCTCAAAAAAAAAAAAAAGTAATTAACAGACGTGAAAGACTGAGAGATACCCCCTCACACCCATTAGGATGGCGACTATAAAAAACAATCAATCAGAAAACAACAGGTGTTCACGAGGATGCAGGAGACTGGCAACCTGTGTGCTGCTGGTGGGAATGCGCACCGGTGCAGACACTGCGGGAAAGACAGTCTGACAGTCTCTCTCAAAAGTTAAACATGGAATTGCCATAGGATTCAGCAACTTCACTTCTGGGTGTACGCCCAAAGAATGAAAAGCAGGGACCCATGTCCAGCACAGCACACTCATGACAGCCACAACACAGGGGCATCCAAGAGTCTGTCAATGGATGAACAAGTAAACAAAATGTGGCCCCATCTACATTATGGAATATCATCTAGCCTTGAAAAGGAGGGGAATTCAGGCTACAACACAGATGAACCTTGGGGATGCTATGCTCAGTGAAATAAGCCAGGCACAGCATATAAACACTGTACGATTCCTCTTACATGAAGTCCCCAGGGTCATCAAACTCATAGGGACAGGAAGTAGGGTGCTGGTTTCCAGGGAAGGGGGGTGGGGGAGTCAGTGTTTCACAGGGACTGTTTCAGTCGGGAAACATGAAAACCATTCTGGAGGTGGACATGGGGGTGGGTGCACAACGATGTGAATGCTTAAAGCGGCCACAATGGTAATTTTTTTTTTTTTGAGACCAAGTTTCACTCTTGTTGCCCAGGCTGGAGTGCAGTGGCATGATCACGGCTCACCGCAACCTCTGCCTCCTGGGTTCAAGCAATTCTCCTGCCTCAACCTCCCAAGAAGCTGGGATTACAGGCATGTGCCACCACACCTGGCTAATTTTGTATTTTTAGTAGAGACAGGGTTTCTCCATGTTAGTCAGGCTGGTTTCGAACTCCCGACCTCAGATGATCTGCCAGCCTTGGCCTCCCAAAGTGGGATTACAGGCATGAGCCATAGTGCCTGGTCTTTTTTTTTTTTTTTTTTTTTTTTGAGACAGAGTCTTGCTCTGTTGCCAGGCTGGAGTGCACTGGCACAACCTCGGCTCACTGCAACCTCCGCCTCCTGGGTTCAAGCGATGCTCCTGCCTCAGCCTCCCGAGTAGCTGGGACTACAGGTACCCGCCACCACACCCGGCTAATTTTTGTATTTTTTTTTTTTAGTAGAGACGAGGTTTCACTGTGTTGGCCAGGATGGTCTCAATCTCCTGACCTCATGATCCACCCGCCTCGGCCTCCCAAATTGCTGGGATTACAGGCGTGAGCCATGGTGCCCGGTCATAAATTGTTGTATGTATTTTACACACACACACACACACACACACACACACACACACACACAGCAAAGTCTGATGAGATATTACCCGAAATCTCATTGAAATTCGAACCGAAGACACATGAGCCCTCAGATCGAAATGTTCATAAAGAAAAATCACACCTAGACTTTTGGCAGACTCCCACTAACGATGAGTATCGGATGGCAATAAGGTAACATTATAAAATTGCCAAGGAAGAACACCTATCTGTGGAGAATTTCACAGGCAGCTAAAATACTATACAGGAGTGAGGGCAAAATACAGACACCTTTGGACATACAAAGTCGAAAGCACTGACCACTTACCAATGCCCACTAGAAGAACTACTCAAAGATGTGCTTCAACACAGAGAAGAGTGACTCTAAAAAGCCAGGTACACGAAAATCACGTGCACATCAGATATGTTGGCAAAGCACAGGAATGTCACATAGGAAGTAACTGCTTATGATTTTTTTTCTTTTTTTGAGACAGGGTCCCTCTCGTTCTCCAGGCTGGAATGCAGTGGTACAAACTCAGCTCACTGCAACATCCGCCACCTGGGCTTAAGCAATGCTCCCACCTCAGCCTCCCAAGTAGCTAGGACCACAGGGGCATGCCACCACACCTGGCTAATTTTTAAACTTTTTTTTTTTTTTTTTTTTTTTTGTAGAGACAGGGTCTTGCCATGTTGCCTAGGCTGGTCTTAAACTCCTGGGCTCAAGTGATCCTCCTGCCTTGACCTCCTAAAGTGCTAGGATTACAGGTGTGAGCTACCATGCCTGGTCACTTAGGTTTTCTTTAATAATAAAACAAACTAGACAACAACAAAAGTTAGGAGGTCAGGCATGGTGGCTCACACCTGTAATCCCAATGCTTTGGGAGGCTGAGGTAGGAGGATCACTTGAGATCAGGAGTTCAAGACCAGTCTGGGAAACATGGTGAGAAAAAAAAAAAAAAAAAAAAAGCTAGGTGTGGTGGCAGGTAACGGTGGTGTGAGCTACTCAGAAGGCTGAGGCTGGAAGATAGCTTTGAGCCCAGCAGTTCAAGGCTGCAGTGAGCCGTGTCTGTGCCATTGCACTCCAGCCTGGGCAACAGAACAAGAGGCAGTCTCAAAAAAAAAAAAAAAGAAAAAAGAAAAGAAAAAAAGAAAAGAAAAAAAAAAAAAGGCCAAGCGCAGTGGCTCACACCTGTAATCCCAGCACTTTGGGAAGCCAAGGAGTATGGATCGCTTGAGGTCAGGATTTCAAGACCAGCCTGGACAACATGGCAAAACCCCGTCTCTACTAAAAATGCAAAAAAAAAAAAAAAAAAAAAAAAAAAAAAAAAAAAAATTAGCCAGGCGTGGTGGCACACGCCTGTAATCCCAGCTACTCAAGAGGCTGAGGCACAAGAATCACTTGAATCCCAGAGGCAGAGACTGCAGTGAGCCAAGATCGCACTAATGCACTCCAGACTGAGCAACAGAGCAAGACTGCTCGAAAAAAAAAACAAAAAACTGGGAACCTCTAAAAGTACTTAGAGTGGTGGTGAGGTTGGAGTTTTACCTGGGAGGAGCCTGGGCATACTGAATAACTTCACTTTTTGGAATTTTAGAGGTAAGTAATCAAGTGAAACATTAAAGGTAATCACTAAAAAAAGAGAAACACAACTTATAGCCTCTGAACCATCCGAGGTAAAAGGCACTACAGAAGGCCAACAGAAGGCAGGAAAGGAAAACAAAGAAGCAAAAGAGAATGATAACAAAGTGACACACAAAATCCAGACAGGAAAAATGATCTTCAACGTAACTGTCACCGCAAGGCTCTGCACATGGCCGGGCTCACTGTCCTCACTTCTGGCTCGCCTTCCCTTTGGGCTGCTGGACAGCACTCGGCATGGCCAGCCACACACCTGCCTTCTCTGAATTCTCCTTCTCCCTAAATTACGCTGACTTTCCTCCTTCCAGTCCAACCTTCCCCTGGTCAGCTCCTCCCTGGGCAGCTCCACCAGGCCACTCTCCCTTCCGATCACAGCCTCTGGGTTATTTCCATGCAGATGGCCCTTGGCCCCTTGGCAACCCCACTCTGCCCCATGACTGGGGCTCACCTTTGCTGAAGAAGGTGCTGACCATGAAGCTGAAGGAGATGGTAGAGATGGCGAAGCACAGCAGGAAGGCGAGCACCAGGGAGGGGTCGCTGCGGGACAGCACGGCTACATTTGGCTTCACCTGCAGGGCACAGGCATGAGTCGGGCGTGGTGGGCCGGCAGAGGTGGACCAGGAGGACTCCTGACCATCCCTGGTCACAGGGACGCGGCTCCACCGAGAGGAGTGGGACATTGACAGCTCCTCTCCCCCATGAGGGACAGACTCTCTCTGAAGTCTCTGACCACAAAGTTCTTCCCAAGAGGGCCCTCCTGGGGTGCCCTGGCTCTCCCCGTCCTCACCAGAGCCCCACCGACGCCATGCTCACCTTGACACAGAAGAGCAGGGTCATGAAGGAGGCGGCGATGAGGAGGAAGAGGAAGAACAAGAGGAACCAGGCACTCCAGTGCAGCCAGCTGCTGAGCCCCATCATGCGCATGTACTCCTGGGGAGAGAAGCCATCACGCTGCTGGGGGCCCGTCACTGCCCGCCATGATGGCATGTGCCAGGCTGGACGGCAGCAGGCCTGAGTCCGACTGTCCCAGCAGCCCTGCATTCGACAGGGTCTTACTATGTCGGCCAGGCTCATCTTGCTCAAACTCCTGGGCTCAAGTGATCTGCCTGCCTCAGCCTCCCAAAGTGCTGGAATTATAGGCATAAGCCACTGCACCCGGCCAGCCCTCCATTCTGTAGAGCGATTCCACACTCCCAGTGCATGCTCCCCAGTCTTTCCTGGTACTTGAGATCGTCCCCCGAAGCTACGTCAGGCGGCAGGAGCCCAGCCCTTCTGGGGGTGGGCCGAAAGACCCTGCCAGTTCCCAACCACGTCAACACCAGCCTCCATGGCTGTGAGACGTGACCACAGATCAGACCATAGCTGTGGATGCCATAGCCATTCATTCCCTCAACCTCCCCTACTCTGAAAGGAGGGGCCCAGAACCTCTGCAGTGAAGGACGAGGCGCAGTGATGGGTCGGCTCTGACCACACCTTCCTTCCTCACCTGCCCCACCAAGGAGTCAGGCGTGGTGATGAGGAAACCCAGTTCCTTCACTGACCAAAAGCGCCTGGGGAGTCCTGGGGCGGCCACACTGACCAATACGGCAGCCAGCAGCCAGGTGTGGCCGTTTCAACTGAAGTTAATTAAAAATAAAGTTAAAAATTCAGCTCCTCATTTCTTTTTCTTTCTTTTTCTCTTTTTCTTTTTTTTTTTTAGATGGAGTCTTGCTCTGCTGCCCAGGCTGGAGTGCAGTGGTGCGATCTTGGCTCACTGCAACCTCCACCTCCCGGGTTCAAGAAATTCTCGTGCCTCAGCCTCCCAAGCAGCTGGGATTACAGGTGCATGCTACCACGCCTGGCTAATTTTTGTATTTTTAGTAGAGACACGGTTTCACCTTGCTGTCCAGGCTGGTCTTGAACTCCTCACCTCAAGTGATCCGCCCACCTCGACCTCCCAAGGTGCTGGGATTACAGGTGTGAGCCAGTGCCCAGGGCTAGCCCTTTCTTATGCATAATTTCTGACCTACAGAACAGCGGGAAGAGGAGCACAATGGTCTCTCACATTCCCACCACTTAGGTTCAGTAACCGTTTCACGTTTTGCCCTATTTGTTTGATCTGTGTATCTGCATATGTGCACACTTTTTTTTTTTTCAGGATCATTTTATAGCCCACTGCTGACTCCCTCAATGCTGCATAGTTTTATGAAAGTTATTTATGGCACCAAGCAGATGAACAACTGGGCAGCCTCAAAATGAGCCCCTAGCCAGGTGTTACAGCTCATGCCTGTAATCCCAGCACTGTGGGAGAATGAGATGGGAGGCTGAGATGGGAGAATTTCTTGAGGCCAAGAGTTTGAGACCAGCCTTGGCAATATAGAAAGACCTCCGGCCGGGCACGGTGGCTCACGCCTGTAATCCCAGCACTTCTGGAGGCCGAGGCGGGCGGATCACAAGGTCAGGAGATTGAGACCATCCTGGCTAACACGGTGAAACCACGTCTCTACTAAAAATACAAAAAATTAGCTGGGTGTGGTGGCAGGCACCTATAGTCCCAACTACTCGGGAGGCTGAGGCAGGAGAATGGCGTGAACCCGGGAGGCAGAGCTTGCAGTGAGCCGAGATCGCACCACTGCACTCCAGCCTGGGCGACAGAGCGAGACTCCAACTCAAAAAAAAAAAAATACTAAAACACCAAGCCTTTGGACATGGCCTCCCCAGGACAGCGCGGTTTCTAGAGTGTTGGGGAGCCAAAGCGGGCAGTCACCTTCAGCCTCCTTTCCTTCTCCTGCACGACAGCACGGGCAATGGTGAGCGCGGTGTAGGTGAAGCTGAGCAGCAGCAGCAGGGGCAGCTGGTACTGGATGGCCACGAGGAAGGGGTCTGCGATGAACGGCGGGTACGGGAACCTCTTGATGGTCACCGTCAGTCTCTGGAACAGCTGGCGTGTGGCGGCATCGGCATGGTACTCCATGATGGCCCGGTCCACAGCATGCTGCACGGCCAGGAAGCCTTCCCGGATGTACCCTGGGTGCGGGAGCAGAGGATGGCCCAGCCACCTCGAGGAGCTGCTCTCGAGGGCAGAGGGCCACGTGCATGGGGTCCATGGGGGAAGAGATGCTTGGGGCAACAGAGTGACTTCAGCTCAGGACCCCCGTGGCCGCTCAGTGGTCCCACGGGAGAAGGAAGGAAACGCACCACACACTGACAGCAAATGAGAAGAGAGATGTGATTGTCACTTCCACTTTGTAACTAACACAACACACAAAAAAAATCACACACATGATCACTTTTTTTTTTTTTGAGACGGAATCTCACTCTGTCGCCCAGGCTGGAGTGCAGTGGCGCGATCTTGGCTCACTGCAACCTCCACCTCCCAGGTTCAAGCGATTCTCCTGCCTCAGCCTCCCGAGTAGCTGGGACTACAGGTGCACACCACCATGCCCAGCTAATTTTTTGTATTTTTAGTAGAGACGGGGTTTCACCGTGTTAGCCAGGATGGTCTGGATCTCCTGACCTCATGATCCACCCACCTTGGCCTCCCAAAGTGCTGGGATTACAGGCGTGAGCCACTGCACCCGGCCTTTTTTTTTTTTGAGACAGTCTTGCTCTCTCACTCAGGCTGGAGTGCAGTGGCGCGATCTCGGCTCACTGCAACGTCTGCCTCCTGGGTTCAAGCAATTCTCCTGCCTCAGCCTCCCGAATAGCTGGGATTACAGGTGCACACCACCACGCCCAGCTAATTTTTTTTTTTTTTGTATTTTTAGTAGAGACGGGGTTTCACTATGTTGGCCAGGCTGGTCCCGAACTCCTGACCTCAGGTGATCTGCCTGCCTCAGCCTCCCAATGCTGGGATGACAGGTGTGAGCCACTGCGCCCAGCCTGAGGGCTGAATTCTCATCAGGCATATTAGTGGGTCTAAGGCATGGACATCTGGAGGCAAAACTGAGGCTAGAATTGACCAGTCCCTGTGCCATGCCAGTCTCACACACGTTATATCTCCTGGGGCTTTACTAGGAGCTTGTTTTTCCAGCCAACTTTTCTTCCCCCTCAGGTTCTCTGTCTTGCTGAGGACTAACCGACTATTCTTAATAACAAAACTTTTTTTCTCTAACAAAAGATATTTACTCTGTGTCATTTGCCACAAAGGTTTTCCCCAGTCTGCTATGTGCTTTTTTTTTTTTTTTTTTAAACCACCATTAGGTCTTTTCGTGTCTGGCAAATTTCCAGTTTGTACATGCTGAAATCTGTCAGTCTTTTCCTTTGAGATTGGTTTTCTCTTGCTTCCAAGCTTAGGGAATTGTTCCCCAAAAACAGGAGGGAGCTGAGCAGCTCCTGCCTGGGCCCCAGTCTCAGCAGCCAGTGTCCCCTCCTGCAGTCCCCTGCTGCAGGCAGCAAGCATCATGTGTGACAGCTGGACATAGCTTCTCCTGAGCTCCAGGCTGGGTGACCTGTCAAGGGCATCGCTCTGGGGCCTCACACACCCCACACCAGGTCTTGTTCATCTTAGTTCTAGATGTAAAATCTTGCCCTAGAGCATTAGCCTGGTGACAGCCCTGGCACCAGTAAGGGACATCGCTAAGCGCTGGCTGCATGCATGCTGTCTCCTGCCTGCCTGGCACTTGTGTCTCAGAATCATGCCTCATGGAGGGATGGGACGTTGCTGTGACTTCCATGGCAAACTTCCATGAGTTCTGTCTCCTGCCAGACCCGTGAAATACGACGTTCTCCAGAACACCCTGGACTTCCACCCAGAACCTGCAGTGGGGTCTTTCTTGGCCTGACAGCTAAGCCTAGTCCTGGGTCCGAGTCACTTCTTGGCTGTCCCTAGCTCAGTTCCAAGACAAGACCATGCTTCAGAGGAGGCACACGTACCAACCACCTGCCCAGGTCCACACGAAGACACACACTGATGGGGCATCAGAGTAACCAAGATCTGGCTTCCATGAACACCACACTGATTCCGTCAAACCATGGATCAGGTGCACAAGGACCACGGAGCTAAAAATGCCAGTAAGTCTGTACACAGAGAAGGCCCGGCAGAAAAAGAAAATGTAAACCAAGCCCCATGAACTCAAACGGGAGCTTTTAAAAGCTGACGTACAGCCGGGTGTGGTGGCTCATGCCTGTAATCCCAGAACTTTGGGAAGCCGAGGTGGGTGAATCATGAGGTCAAGAGATCGAGACCATCCTGGCCAACGTGGTGAAACCCCGTCTCTACTAAAAATACAAAAATTAGCTGGGCGTGGTGGTGTGCGCCTGTAATCCCAGCTACTTGGGAGGTTGAGGCAGGAGAATCGCTTGAACCTGGGACACAGCGGTTGCAGTGAGCCGAGGTCGCGCCACTGCACTCCAGCTTGGCGACAGAGCAAGATTCTGTCTGAAAAAAAAAAAAAAGAAAAAAAGCTGAAATACAAATGTTTCATTCAAGAGCACGTCTTCCAGGATATAGAGAAAGGGCCTTTGCTATCTTCAAGGATTATTTTAGTCTTTCAGAAACCAGTTATACTGGATGTTTTACTTTTCCTATAAACAAGAGTAAATGTTCCTGAAAAGTATTTCTTTCTTTTTTTTTTTAATTATACTTTAAGTTTTAGGGTACGTGTGCACAATGTGCAGGTTAGTTACATAGGTATACATGTGCCATGCTGGTGTGCTGCACCCATTTACTCGTCATTTAACATTAGGTATATCTCCTAATGCTATCCCTCCCCCCGCCCCCCCACCCCACAACAGGCCCCAGTGTGTGATGTTCCCCTTCCTGTGCTGGGAAAACTGGCTAGCCATATGTAGAAAGCTGAAACCAGATCCCTTCCATACACCTTATACAAAAATTAATTCGAGATGGATTAAAGACTTCAATGTTAGGCCTGAAACCATAAAAACCCTAGAAGAAAACCTAGGCATTACCATTCAGGACATAGGCATGGGCAAGGACTTCATGACTAAAACACGAAAAGCAATGGCAACAAAAGCCAAAATTGACAAATGGGATCTAATTAAACTCAAGAGCTTCTGCACAACAAAGGAAACTACCATCAGAGTGAACAGGGAACCTACAGAATGGGAGAAAATTTTTGCAATCTACTCATCTGACAAAGGGCTAATATCCAGAATCTACAATGAACTCAAATAAATTTACAAGAAAAAACCAAACAACCCCATCAAAAAGTGGGCAAAGGATATGAACAAACACTTCTCAAAAGAAGACATTTATGCAGCCAAAAGACACATGAAAAAATGCTCATCATCACTGGCCATCAGAGAAATGCAAATCAAAACCACAGTGAGATACCATCTCATACCAGTTAGAATGGCAATCATTCAAAAGTCAGGAAACAACAGGTGCTGGAGAGGATGAGGAGAAATAGGAACACTTTTACACTGTTGGTGGGACTGTAAACTAGTTCAACCATTGTGGAAGTCAGTGTGGCGATTCCTCAGGGATCTAGAACTAGAAATACCATTTGACCCAGCCATCCCATTACTGGGTATATACCCAAAGGATTATAAATCATGCTGCTATAAGGACACATGCACACGTATGTTTATTGCGGCACTATTCACAACAGCAAAGACTTGGAACCAAGCCAAATGTCCTGAAAAGTATTTCTTCAAGAAATACTTTTGCAAAGTGGGGCTGCCCCCATATGACTGTCACTAGTCAACAGCCCGGGCTGGTAACACGAACCCTAACCGAGCTTCTCACCAGGTTCTCCGCCATCAGGGGATGTAGGTTCCCTTGGTCCTGGGTTTGGGAAAAGCGGGAAAAGGGAAGTAGTGTGCCAGCCTTCTGTCTCTTTCAGGAAAAAGGAGCCTGTTTGGGTCCACATGTAATTTCTCCGTGTGTAACTGAACCGTAGGTGATATTTCACCTGTGGAAACAAAGAGAAAACCAGCTGTTCCGAGAGATCCAGACAGAGGGGCAAACAACAGGGTGGAGTGGGAGAGCGCTTGGGGGGCTGTCACAGCCGAGAACTCACCACTCCCCCGCCTCTGAGTATCTCCAACAGGCCCCGGAATGTCACACTGAGTGGTCCCTGTCCTAGCAGGAGCAGGGAGCCACACAGGGGCCCCTTTTGGGGGGTGGTTCTTGGCCATTCCTAATTCCATTGTGAAGTGCCACCGAGTGTTCAGGATCCCTGGAGGGCCGCCAACCACAATGCTAGATGGACTTGATGGCTTCCTAATTTTAATGCCATCAGGCAAGCAAAAACCTCACTTTCTTTCTTTCCGCCAGATCATATTTAAGTCCTAAATACCTACTACTTTCCTTAACTATCTTATTAGACTCTGTTCTGGAGACCAGTAATATCTTTCATAAAATGAGGGAACAGAAAGGAGCTTGGGGCGGCCACAGGCAGGTGCATTTTCTAACCTGTTCTGACCCGTGGGTTTAAATGTCACCAAGATCCCCTTGGCGGGGACTGTGATGATATTATCAGACCCAAAGGAGTGACTGCTATTGACTTGCAGGCAGGCAGAGGTTTAAGGGAAAGCAGTGCCTTTTACAGGTTGAACTAGTGACGCGGGAGGAAGCGGAGGCCTTGCTGATGGGCTGTGACTGCTCGGCCCGGCCGCACGTCTCACCGCCAGCGGCAGGGGCTCCTTGCTGTGGTTGAAGGGGTGCTCGAAGACCACGGCGGCCAGCACGCTGGACGAGCAGTTGTCGTACCTAATGTAGTCCTCAAAGTCCTTCTCGGAGGGAAAGCCGCGCACTGCAAAGAGAGAGCACGGGAGCTGTGGTTGCCCAATCGGCCCTCCTGCTTGAAAAATCTGCGTGGTTCAGGTCACTGGCAGATGAAAGACGGCAAATCCTCTAGGGCTTTGTAAACCCTTCCTGAGACTCAAGGCAGCTTTCATCTTTGGCAGAGAGACAAGCTGCCATCAAGGAGGGCAGAATGGCAGGGTCAGAGCCCCAGGCAGTGAGTTCTCCTGGTGCGGGTTTTTTGGAGCAGAGCTGGAGGCTCCGGGTAGCGCCTGCAGCAAGGCCCAGGGGAGCAAACCCACCACCCACCCTGCAGTGGGCTCTGCAGCCCGGGGTGGCTTCTCTTTCTCAAAACCAGAATGGTGTGTTTTTACAAATGGAGTGGATGCTAACTCAGAGTGTCTCAAAGGCTTTTTCTATCATCTGGACACTCCTTAACAATTCAGAAAGGGTTTTACTGTCGTCATTTTGTGAGGGACCAAGGCACTTCCTCTGAGTATTTGCTACAAGGAATTAAAGCCCGGGAGGTAAATGCCCAAATGAGGAGGGGAAAATGGAGGACAGCTTTCATCCCGACAGCAAGGGTTTAGGAACGGTGAGCAGCACTCACAGTGGGAGTTCCCTTCTCAGGCTTTCTCATCACTGTTTTCAGAGCTGCCCACCCAAAACCACGTCCCAGAAAAGGTTCTTGGCACCACACGGTCAAACTGTGCCCTGCCCTTGTCACAGAAGGGCTTTCCCTGGCTCAAGTCCACCCAGGCATCCCTGTAAAGTCCTGTCCACCCTACTGACCATCAGATGCAGTTCCAGGGCCTGGTACTGCTAAGGCTGCTGCACCTGCTGCTCCCCGGGGTCCTCACAGCTCTGCACAGGTGGGCGGCCAGCCCTGGTCCCATTGTACAATCAGGCATGGCCACAGAGAAGCTGGGGGATTCCTTGGGTGGCTCAGCCGCCGAGAAGAGATTTGATGCTAGATGGGCTTGATGGCTTCCTAGTCTTAGGGCCATCAGGCAAGCAAAAACCTCACTTTCTTTTTTCCCTTTTTCTGCCAGGTCGTATTTAAGTCCCAAATATCTGCTACTTTCCTTATGTATCTTATTGGACTCTGTTCACAGAGGCCTGGAGACCAGTAATGTCTTTCATAAAATGAGGGAACAGAAAGGAGCCTGGGGCAACTGCAGGCAGGTGCATTTTCTAACCTGTTCTGCCCCATGGGTTAAAATGTCACCAGGGTCCCTTTGGTGGGGACTGTGATGGTGCTATCGGACCCAAAGGAGAGACTGCTATTTACTCGCAGGCAGGCAGAGGTTTAAGGAACAGCAGTGCCTTTTACAGGTTGAAGTAGTGATGCGGGAAGAAGCAGAGGCCAAGTCTGCACAGGGTGAACTCCTCACCCAGCTGCTTCGCACATCCTGGGCTCGACCCCTGCCTGCCCAGCCGCGTGGAGGCACCACTAGGCCTGGCACCGAGAGCCCCGGCATGTCTCACCTCGCATGTTGATCACAAGTGCCCTGCGCACTGTCTCAGTGACGGTCTTGGCAGCGTCACTGTGAGAAGGGATGTAGGCAAGCTCCCAGGTGTCTCCTGGCGGAGGGAAGGTGAAGAACAGAGGCAGCTCCTGGATGGACTGGCCCGGGTAGATGGTGGCGTTGGGCACATTTTCCGACTGAATCTTCAAGCGGAGCCAGATGAGGATCCCAGAAAACAGCAATGGCAGGAAGAGTTCCAGGACCGTCACCAGGACCTTCCGCTTCTGGAAGAGATACAATAGGGCACGGTGATGGGCTGCAAGGCAGAAGCAGGGGCATGCAGACAGCCCTTCCCTCAAGGGCATCCCCAGGAGCCTCTGGGCTAGGCACGCAGCTGACCTCCCTCCAGAGTCTGGACGCACCTGCAGGGTGTAGTTCTTCCAGAGGAGGAGCGCCAGCTGCCTGAGCACAGCCATCGTCTTGCTGAAAGGGACGCCCAGTGCTAGTTACAGACCAAAGACAGAGAGTGTGGGTGCGCAATAGAAACACGCAGAGTGGGGATTTGGGGAAAAGCCATGGACCCTTTTTCCTCCATGTCTCTCACCTTCTTTTGTGCCACTTTAACTCCAAACACCCCTGGAGGGAAGGGTACAAGGCCTGTGCCATGCCCACCCTCAATCCTCTACCCTGCACATCCAAAGAGCATAGTCTTTTTGGCCAGGTGCAGTGGCTCATGCCTGTAATCTCAACACTTTGGGAGGCCGAGGCAGGTGGATCACTTGAAATCAGGAGTTCGAGACAAGCCTGGCCAACATGGTGAAACCCCGTCTCTACTGAAAATACAAAAATTAGCCAGGCGTGGTGGCAGGCGCCTGTAATCCCAGCTACTCGAGAGGCTGAGGCAGGAGAATCGCTTGAACCCGGGAGGCGGGGGTTGCAGTGAGCCAAGATCGTGCCACTGCCCTCCAGCCTGGGGGCAACAGAGTAAGACTCTGCCACAAACAAACAAACACCAAAAAAACCCAAAGAGCATAGTCTTTTTGGAGCCCAACTTGTTCCTTGGTGAATGTAAGATCAATGACATGCTTTTTATGTGCACTGTGACTTCTGCAGTAGTTTTTAAAATTTTTTTTGTTTCTTTTGAGACAGGGTCCTGCTCTGTTGCCCAGGCTGGAGTGCCATGGTGCGATCACAGCTCACTGCAGCCTCAACCTCCTGGGCTTGTGATCCTCCCACCTCAGCCTCCCGAGTAGGTGGAACTACAGGTGCATGCCACCAACACCCGGCTGGTCTCGAACTCCTGGCCTCAAGCAATCCTCCAGCTTCATCCTTGTAGTGCTATTTACCATTTGATAAATGCTATTAGGATGTTCTTGGTGGTTAATATGGATTTGCTATTTATTACCAAAATATTCAGGCTTATGGAATTCCACTTACTGACTGACCAGCTTTATTCTTAACCAACACTGAACCCATAAAAGAAAACTGAACATAGTGTCCTGGGTGATTTCTAAGGTTTGGAGAGAGCTGTGCAGGGAAGGGGAAAGGAGGGACTTGGAATTCTGGCCCCCATTGGCCTTGCTGCCCCGGAGCAGGCCCGGGTAGGCAGACATGCTGGTGGGGCCATCAGTCACACCCTCTCCTTGGCCCTAAAGACCGGCTTTTCCTGTTGTTATTACAGGTACTGGCATCAGAGCCTCGCAGCAAAAAGACTAGCCATTTTCTTTTTCTTTTTTCTGTTTTTTTTGGAAACAGAGTCTTGCTCTGTCACCCAGGCTGGAGTACAGTGGCGTGATCTTGGCTCAATGGAACCTCCGCCTCCTGGTTTCAAGCGATTCCCCTACCCCAGCCTCCTGAGTAACTGGGATTACAGGCGCCTGCCACCACGCCTGACTCATTTTTATATTTTTAGTAGAGATGGGGTTTCACCATGTTGGCCAGGCTGGTCTTGAACTCCTGACCTCAAATGATCCGCCCGCCTCAGCCTCCCAAAGTGCTGGGATTATAGGCGTGAGCCACTGTGCCCAGCTGCCATTTTCATCTTTACCATCTGTCCAACGAAAATTCATCCAAAAAATAATCTATCCTATATTATATAGGAACATGATATTTAAATCTGGCACATATAATGGGGAAAAAAATCTGCCAAAAGATGATCAAATACAGGTGATAGCAGAAATGAGAGCTTAGATCTGTAAAGGTATTCCCTCAATTTAGCTAAAATCTGTCTTACTAAATTTCAAATATCAGAAACAGAGGCTGGGTGTGGTGGCTCATGCTTGTAAACCCAGCACTTTGGGAGGCCGAGGCAGGAGGATCCCTTAAGCCCAGGAGTTCGAGACCAGCCTGGGCAACATAGCAAGACCCTATCTCTATACAAATAAAGTAAGAAAAAGGAACACAGACACTGAACCCAGAGTTAAGTTCATCTCATGAACTTCAAGAGTTCATGAGCTGCTAACCTGCTAGAGAAGTAGGTGGTCTGAGTAAGTTCAAGTAGGCGCTGCAACCCGCAGGAAATAGGAGAAACGTGCTCTGAAAACTGAGTGTAAAGAGGGCGAGGTGTGCAGACGTGGCTGCTCTGTCCTGGAGAGGCAGGGAAGGCGATGGAGGAGGGGCAGTCTAGAGAGCCCCTGGTGCTGGTCCACTCGCTACAACTGCAGGCAGAGAGGAGTCCTTCCCGCTCAGCGTCCTTCATGTGCGGAAAAGCCTCCTTGACTCACAGTGGAAGAGTTTCAGGTTCAGTTGCTCAGCTCCACACTCATGGCTGATCCAAACCCAACATCATCCATCAGCCAGGTTAAGATGCACGGGATAGAAAGGCAAACAATTAGCGAGTCATTCCTAGATCACCATGAGCTAGCGCTCCCCGACAATGACCCGGGAGACTCCAGCGCACGGGGAAGGGTTTTTTTTTTTTTTTAAATGACCCATTTTACTTTTGGTTTGGTTTCAGTCCATTGAAAATCATTTATATCAAGGCTCTTTTTAAATTAAAACTCTTGCTTTTTTTTTTTTTTAAGATGTGGCTGTTGATATCTAATAATATTCAAAATTTATGCTTTAAAGGGTAGTCAATAAATATTTACATGAAATACAACTGCAAACAGTTAAAAATTAATTTAAAATATGACTTTTAATGAATCATATTGTTAAAAAGTGAAGAAATTAAAGCTAAAATAGTATGAAGTGCTATTAAGGGGCAACTTAATAAATTATCCCAATTCTTTTAAAATTAATAAGGTAGAAGACCTGTCTCAAAGTCAGTTGCTGATGATGAATAAAACAGCAGTGACTTAAAGATACACATTAAGGCCTGTGGTTTATAAAAGGTTTCTAGAAGTGGTTTAGGCAAAAAGAAGAGGCCGGTGCCTCCATTTGGGGCCATCATCCCGGGGAAGTACACTCCAGATGGGCGTGGGGTTGGCTGAGATGAACGTTCTGCCTCTACCAAGTGAGGAATATAAAACCGTCACAGTTCAAAGAAGTCTTCTGGTTAGAGGAACAGACAACCTCCCTTACTGGAAGTCTGGCCAAGAAAGGAAAGATCCCCATGCTTAATCTTGTCCTCTCCAGTCCCAGGGCTGGGAGAGAAGGTCAGAAAGATAGACCACCCCCCTTCCCACACAGGCTGCAGGGCAGTACCAGGGAACTCACCTGGGTCCCAGAAGAGGCTCCACACAGCAGGTCTCCCTTCAGGACTACTGGGGAACTGGCCAGGAGGAGGCGGCTCCGCACAGAGGGCTCCGGGGTGGGGCCTGAGAGCCTCTGGAGTGGGGCAGGGCAACCCTGAGGTTTGGGAACACCGTGACCTCGCAGGACATCAGGAGGTGCCCAGGGCTCACAGGCATGACTCTCCAGCACCTTTGG
This sequence comes from Homo sapiens, assembly GCF_000001405.40. Taxonomy (NCBI): domain Eukaryota; kingdom Metazoa; phylum Chordata; class Mammalia; order Primates; family Hominidae; genus Homo; species Homo sapiens. The sequence continues at coordinate 2,329,861 of NC_000016.10, forward strand.
ACAGATGGAAGGTGTTTGAGTGTAATTTGGAAAATAATTATAAAACACCTCTTACCAAGTTAGAAAACAGAAGAGCAAAATAGATTTTGAGGATGTTACTTAAAACTGAGCAGATCTGATAAAAAATTTTGGATTTAGAAAATAAACACCTGGCCGGGCACGGTGGCTCATGCCTGAACAATTCCAGCACTTTGGAAGACTGAGCTGGGCGGATCACCTGAGGTCAGGAGTTTAAGACCAACCCAGCCAACATGGCAAAACCCTGTCTCTACTAAAAACACAAAAATTAGCCAGGTGTGGTGACGTGTGCCTGTCCCAGCTACTCGGGAGGCTGAGGTGGGAGGATTGCTTGAACCCAGGAGGTGGAGGTTGCAGTGAACCGAGATGGTGCTAACTCAGAGTCATCAGCTCCGAGATGACCCTGTCTCAAAAAAAAAAAAAAAAAGAATATAAGCTCTATTTTTTTTTTTTTTTTTGAGACAGAGTTTCACTCTTGTGGCCCAGGCTGGAGTGCCGTGGTGCCATCTCAGCTCACTGCAACCTCCACCTCCCAGGTTCAAGCGATTCTCCTACCTCAGCCTCCCAAATAGCTGGGATTACAAGCACCCACCACCACATCCAGCTAACTTTTGTATTTTTAGTAGAGATGGGGTTTCACCACTTTGGCCAGGCTGGTCTCAAACTCCTGACCTCAAGTGATCCGCCGACCTTGGCCTCTCACAGTGTTGGGATGACAGGTGTGAGCCACTGTACCCAGCTGAAACTCTGCTTTCCTGCTTGTAAGCACTCTGCTTCTACAACCTCCTCATCCTCTCCTGGCTTCTGGCAACACCACCCTTTTTTTTTTTTTTTTTTTGAGACGGAGTCTTACTCTGTCTCCCAGGTTGGAGTGCAGTGCCGCGATCTCTGTTCACTGCAAACTCCGCCTCCCAGGTTCACGCCATTCTCCTGCCTCAGCCTCCCGAGTAGCTGGGACTACAGGCACCCACCACAGCGCCCGGCTAATTTTTTTTGTATTTTTCAGTAGACACAGGGTTTCCCTGTGCTAGCCAGGATGGTCTCGATCTCCTGACCTGGAACATCACCCTTTTGCAGACGAAGAAACAAGGAGGAAATGCCTGGCCCAAAATCACACAGCAAGAAGCTGCCAAGTCAGGGCTTGAACCTTGGCTTGTTTTAACTTCCAAGTCTGTCTTCTAACTACTACACTACTACAACCTGTGGGTCCTAAAAACACAGAACAACTTCCAACTTCATACAAGTTTTGCATATCACTCCTAGAACATAACATCAGAAACTGAAAGGTAAAAAAGACCCCTAAGCCCCATCACCTTAATAGAAGTTTTCTTTTCTTTTCTTTTCTTTTTTTCTGAGACAGAGTCTCGCTCTGTCGCCGAGGCTGGGCACGATCTCGGCTCACAACAACCTCCACCTCCCAGGTTCAAGTGATCCTCCCATCTCAGCCTCCCAAGTAGCTACAGGCACATGCCACCACGCCCGGCTAATTCTTGTATTTTTAATAGAGACGGAGTTTTGCCATGTTGGCTAGGCTGGTCTCAAACTCCTGACCTCAAGTGATCCGCCCGCCTCGGCCTCCCAAAGTGTGGGGATTACAGGCGTGAGCCACTGTGCCCTGCCGAGGTTTTATCTCTGTGCCCCCACGGCACCCAGCTTGTTGCCTGATACGTGTGAGGCTTTACCTAAAGTCTCACTGAACACTACGCTTGCATCTGTTCTGTTTCAGCAAAAGGAGTTTAAAGGAAGAGATCCTAGAATTACAAAATCTGGCAAGTTTTTTGTTACAAAAGCAAATGTACACAAGAGAAAGAAGTTAATGTTCCTTCTGCACTTGACGCCGAGGCGGCAGAGTCTCCAGAAGTGCTGATGACTGAGGCCCAGGACCGGCCCCGGCTGAGCCCCCATCAGCTACTCTAAGTTAAACACTCAGGACTCCAGCCACTCCTAAAGCTGCCGCCTCTGCCCAGCAAGAGGACAAGAGCAGAGCTTCAAGAACTTCCCTTTGAAGAGGCTCTCTTCACTAGTCCCGGGACACAGTCAGGAAAGGGAAGGCAAACCTTTTCCCCTCTCTATAAAAGGTTTGCTTACTGTTAAAATATTAAACATCACACATATCATTGAGTATCTCAATGTTTGTTTTTTAGGTAAGCAACTGACTCGGTGCAGAGTGAGCGCATACTGCAGGCTGCTCATTTCTCAGAACTCTCTTGATGGCACAAATTCTTCTACAAATGGTCTTTCCAGTAACTGTTGTCAGCTCAAGAGCCATCGGCTGTGCCAGTTAACAAGCGCTGTGGCTCTTCAGGCGGCCAGTGCTCAGCAGCAAATTGGAGAAATCCCAAACTCCTCCATTTCTTTTTTTTTTTTCCTTGAAACTTTAAAATCCTTCAAAATCTGTTTATTATACAGGTGAATTTTGATAGTCACGATGGGCTTATCGGTAGGATTTCTAGTAGCGAGCACAGGCACCAGGGCTTCTAAACTTTTTGGACTCGCAGGGACGGGGATCAGCTACCAGCAGGGTCCGGTCATACAGGATGAGGATGTCTTTGATCTCCTTCTTGGAAGCCTCATCCATATACTTCTGGTAATAGGCCACCAGGGCTTTGGAGATGGACTGACGGGTAGCATAAATCTGGGCCACATGACCACCACCCTCCACACGGACACGAATGTCCACACCAGCAAATCGCTCCTTGCTGAGAAGCAAAACTGGCTCCAGCAGCTTGTACTGTAGCGTGGGCGGCTCAATCTTCTCCAGGGGCCGCCCGTTCACCTTGATGAGACCATTGCCGCGTTTGCAGTGTGCCACAGCTGTGGCTGTCTTCTTGTGTCCAAAGACCCGCACCGATTGCCTCCTCCATTTCTTTATTTGTGGTTTGCAGGTATTTTTGTGTGCACCATAGGCTTGAATTTGCCACCCAATTCCTATGTGCCCTTTTTTTTTTTACACAGTCTTGCTTTGTCACCCAGGTTGGAGTGCCGTTGCGTGAGCAGGGCTCATCGCAGCCTGGTGCTCCTGGGCTCAAGTGATCGTCTTGCCTCAGCCCCCTGAGCAGCTGGGACCACAGGCACATGCCACCATACCTGGCTACTTATTATATTTTTTGCAGAGATGGAGTCTTGCTATGTTGCCCAAGCTGGTCTGAAACTCCTGGCCTGAAACAATCTTCTTCCCATCTTGGCCTCCCAAAGTACTGGGACTATAGGTATGAGCCATGCTGCCTGGCCCTTATGAGCCCTTTCAAAAGAAGTTTTTATATCTGCATATATGGAGCAGAGGTCCCTGGGGGTGGTGGGTCTTGAGACCCATGAACAGAAGGGACAGGCCAGAGTGAGGGGCACAAGACCCATTACGCCATGTGTTCCTGTTGTATTCTGAGCTTGGTTACACCTCCCTCCATGAAAGCCTGTCCACAAAGGCATAGAGAAATCCACTCATGGAAAGAAGGGGGCCTTGATAAAGCCACAGGTGAACCGCCCCAAGATGCACAAAGAGAGCCGCCAACCATGGCTCTGCTCGCTTTGCCACAGGTGTGGTGCTGGTCACATTTGGTGCTTTTCCTTCAGGGGAGGACCCAACATCCCAATATTGACACCAGGAGTCTGCAACAGCCAGCCAGCATCAAAGATCCGCGTGTATGCGCACTGAGGCACGGAGGACAGTCAATTAATGGAGGCCGGTAGAATCCATGGTCTTTTAGGGTATACAAGACAAAAAAGCATTTGTTCATTCAACAATTGCCAAGTTTTTGCTGTCTGATGGGCACTTGTACAAGGTACTAAGGATTTGGAAATGAAAATAACATTCTTTTTTTTTTTTTTTTTGAGACGGAGTCTCACTCTGTTGCCCAGGCTGGACTGCAGTGGTGTGATCTCAGCTCACTGCAACCTCCGCCTCCTGGGTTCAAGCGATTCTGCTGCCTCAGCCTCCTGAGTAGCTGGGATTACAGGCGTGCGCCACCATGCCTTGCCAATTTTTTGTATTTTTAGTAGAGACAGGGTTTCACCATGCTGGCCAGGCTGGTCTCAAACTCTTGACCTTGTGATCCACCCGCCTCAGCCTCCCAAAGTGCATGCTGGGATTACAGGCATGAGCCACCACGCCTGGCCGATGATAACATTCTTAATCCAAGGAGTTCACAGTCCCTGAACACTTGCATGCACTGTAATTGCTGTGACGGATGCTAAATAAAGTATGGCAAGATTCAGGAGAAGACAGGAATTAATTGCGTGTGTGAGACAGCGAGCAAGACAGGGAGATGGCCCGGGAGGGTGATGGGGGGAGGTGACATGGGAAGCCGGTCTTGAATGACTCATTAGTTGGGACAGGAAGGACATTACAGGATCCTGGAGACAGACTGTGTATGGGGAGCAGCGAGTCATTCCGAGTGGCAGTGCAGAGAATGAGCCAGGAAAGGCGCAGACCCTGGGCCCATGTCATCAAGGCGCTGGATGTTGCACCAAGAAGGGAGCTCGGGGTGTGTCCCAATGGGCAGTGATGCTGGGTGAGGGTGACTGGTTTTGTTTAATCCTTTATCTAGGACATTATCTTTTTTGAGAGACGGGTACACAGTAAATATTTGAAAATGTCTAATTCAATGGATCCTGTGGATGAAATGCCCAAACACCAGTAATTTTTTTTTTTTTTTTTGAGACGGCATCTCGCTCTATCACTCAGGCTGGAGTGCAGCCCGATCTTGGCTCAATGCAACCTCCGGCCCCCAGGTTCAAGTAAGTGATTCTCCTGCCTCAGCCTCCCAAGTAGCTGAGGAGTACAGATGCCCGCCACCACACCCAGCTAATTTTTTGTATTTTTAGTAGAGATGGAGTTTTGCTATGTTGGCCAGGCTGGTCTTGAACTCCTGAACTCAGGTGATCCACCTGCCTCAGCCTCCTGAAGTGCTAGGATCACAGGTGTGAGCCACCGTGCCAGACTTAAATATTAGTTCTTTTTTTTTTTTTTTGAGACGGAGTTTCACTCTTGTTGCCCAGGCTGGAGTGCAATGGCGTGATCTTGGCTCATGGCTACATCCACCTCCTGAGTTCAAGCGATTCTCCTGCCTCAGCGACCTGAGTGGCTGGGATTACAGGCACTCGCCACCACGCCCAGCTAATTTTTGTATTTTCAGTAGAGACGGGGTTTCACCATGTTGGCCAGGCTGGTCTCGAACTCCTGACCTCAAGTGATCTGCCTGCCTCTGCCTCCCAAAGTGCTGGGATTACAGGTGTAAGCCACTGTGCCCGGCCCTAAATATTATTAATATATAAAAAAAGCAGGCACATTTATAGAGTATGGTCCTCACCCCTTCCCAGTGGTCTCCAAATGGGGTGGGCTAGACAACCTGCAGCAGTGAAAAAGTGATGAAAAAATCTACTTGTAAGTATTTTTCTTTAAAAATGTGAAAAAAATGGCTTCACTGATTTGTTTGTTTGTTTGTTTGTTTCCTGTAGGGACAGGATCTCAGTCACACACAGTTATCCCGGCTGGAATGCAGTGGTGTGATCCTCCTGCCTCAGCCTCCTAAGTAGCTGGGACTACAGGCATGTACCACCACACCTGGCTTTTTTTTGTAGAGACGAGTCTCACTATGTTGCCCAGGCTGGTCTCAAACTCCTGGGCTCAAATGATCCTCTTGCCTCAGCCTCCCAAAGTGCTGGGACCACTGGCATGCGATACCACACCCTGCCAGCTTTACTGACATTTAATACTTGGACAGACCCTGGTGTTCACGCTGGCTTGTATGTCAGCAGCCGTGGCATCCTGACTGAGGAGGAGGCACCCTGTGATGTGGGGAGTGATGGTGGGCCCTCACCACAAGTCTACTTTAAGCATCCTAGGCGTGTTGGAGTTTACAAGTTTCAGAGCTTTCCAGTTGTGGTCAATTAAAACAAACAAACAAACCACAAAAACTCAAGACCCTTAAATAGCGAAAGCTTTACAATGCTTCGCAGTGATGTGGAAAATGACCATGAGTATCTTTTGTGTGACTTGGAGGTTTACTGGTCATTTCATGGCTTAGTATTTCAAAGAGTCAGAGAATTTAAGGAGAAGGTACAGATTTTCTTTTGTGAAAAGTTCCAAATCCGGAGACATTTTTTCGTTTTTAATGACAAATGACTGCAGCAGTGTGTCATCTACCTTTTTTCTTTTAAATAGACACAACGTAATCTGTCCCTTCAAAGAAAAAGTGACAGTATATGAGAGTTACAGCTTTTCAAAAAGAATCTGTACCAAGAATAGAGCATTTGTGAAAACAGACGTTTGAAGAGGTTTCCACAATTACGTGACTGCGTTCCCAATGATGCTACAAGCGTACTGTCTATATGAACATTTACACCCGCACACCAAAACATCTTCAACACCAGAATCTCCACCTACCCTGATAGCCCCTGAACATACCCAGCCCAAATTCATCAAGGGCCCTCAGATGATGGGTAAATGAAATTGAAAAACAAGTACCCTGCCTCGTAAGCACAGGGTCTGTGCCTTTCTCTGTATCATGTTAATGTGTAAATGCTGTTAATAACTAGGGCCTGAAATATACAGAACTTTTTTTTTTTTTTTTGAGACAGAGTTTCACTCTTGTTGCCCAGGCTGGAGTGCAAAGGTGCAATCTCGGCTCACTGCAACCTCTGCCTCCCAGGTTCAAGTGATTCTCCTGCCTCCGCCTCCTGAGTAGCTGGAATTACAGGTGCCCGCCACCACGCCCAGCTAATTTTTTTTTTTTTTTTTTTTTTTGTAGAGACGGGGTTTCACCATGTTGACCAGGCTGGTCTAGAACTCCTGACCTCAAGCAATCCACCCACCTCGGCCTCCCAAAGTGCTAGGATTACAGGCGTGAGCCACCTCGTCTGGCCAATAAACAGAACTTACAATTGATCTTAAATGCTGGGACTTAGGATTCAATGAGAGTTTATAAATGGGATGTGGACACATGGCTTTCATCTTTAAAAAGCATGTTTATACAATAGTTTTTGTAGCATTCATATGTTGGATAAATTTAATCATGTTTATTTCACCTCTCATCCTTTTTTTTTTTTCTCTGTTAGAGACAGGGTCTTGCTCTGTTTCCCAGGCTGCAGTGCAATGGCATCATTATAGCTCACTGCATTCTTGAATTCCCAGGCTCAAGCGATCCTCCCTCCTCAGCCTCCACAGTAGCTGGGACTTCAGGTGCACGCCACCATACCTGGCTATTTTTTTTTTTTTTTTAGTAGAGACAGGGTCTCACTATGTTGCCCAGACTGTTCTCAAACTCTTGGCCTTAAGGGATTGTCTCATCTCAGCCTCCCAAAGTGCTGGGTATACAGGTGTGAGCCACCATGTCTGTCTGGCCTTCGTCCCTTTAAAAGATCCAAATTTGTATATATTTCTATGTCCATAATACATCAGGACAGTAATTGTAATTTATAACACATAATATATATTGGGCTGCATGTTTACATTCATTCTTTTACACATAACAGTACACATGAAAAAAAAAGTCTGAGGCCTTTTTTTTTTTTTCATGCAGGGTCTCACTCTTTTGCCTAGGCTGGAGTATAGATAGTGGTGTGATCATGGCTCACTGTAGCCTTGACCTCCTGGCTCAAGTGATCCTCCCACCTCAGTCTCCCAAATAGCTGGGACCATGGGTGTGCACCACCATGCCCGGCTAATTGTTTGATTTTTTTTTTTTTTTTTTTAGAGATGGGATCTTGCCATGTTGCCCAGGCTGTTCTTCCAACTTGTGGCCTCAAGTGATCCTCCCGCCTTGGCCTCCCAAAGTGCCAAGATTACAGATGTGAATCACTTGCACTGGCCAAGGCCAATTTATAACCTCAGTGGCCCTTGTGGGGATGAGGTAGGAACAAATGCACAACCCACAGCCATTGGCTGAGAGCTGGGGAGGCTGGTTTGAGGCTGTGGCACTGGCATCGCAGGCCCTGATGGAGCCCTAGCTTGCTGGCGCTCATACTCAGCACCACAGGCGCTGCCTGGAGTTGGAGGCGGCTGCCTCCCTAGGATCACAGGCTCTGCGTTTACAATGAAGCTCTGGCAGGGGTTCATAGGGTGTATTTTTAAGCCAGAGACGTGGTTCCAAAGGGAGCTATCGGGACAGACTTCCACAAAATCTCTGCTACTGCCTGTTTCCCTAACCCTTGCCGTGGCTTCAGTCCCGTTCTCCAGCCAGCTAGCTGTTCTGCCTCCCTAGGTGCAGGAAACGAGGTAATGAGGCAATGGAAAGTCCCCAGAGGGAGGTAACCATGGATGTTCTCCAACAAGCAAGTTAGCAAGGACCTCGTTACACGGCTCCCGCAAAGGCACCTGTCTGCCTGTTGACTCCAAACCTCTCCAACACCACAAACACTCTGAGCCATTCAGGGGAATGGGGTCTGCAAAACTCTCCCAGGACAGGGCCTGACATGCCTCACTCTTCCCCACAAGATGTGGGCCTTCAGTGTTTTGTCTGCCTAGAATATCACCCGGATACCTTTCTCTACCTACCCATCACTTCCCAGCCCACTTCTAGTACCATGGCCTCTGTGAAGCTTGTTTCAGGGGCTCTTTGTCTTGGCTGCCTGCACAATGGAATTTTCCAGGGCACTTTAAGACAGAAACTGACATCTGAGGCCCACCCCTGGAGATTCTGGGCTGTTTTGGGCCCAGGCTGGCTTCCCAGGTGATTGTAACGGGAAGCCTGGGTGGAGACCCTCTGCTCTTCTTGGAGCCAACTCTCCTCCACCTCTGGTCACCTGTTGCACCTTTTCTGGATGTGTCATGTGGTACTCATCTTGTTCTGTCTTATGTCACAGTTACTTGTGAATAAAGCATCTCTTTAGCTCTATCCTAAGACCCCTCCAAGAGCAGGGACTGTGTCCAATTCATCTTTTTTTTTTTTTTTTTTTTTGAGACAGAGTCTTGCTCTGTCGCCCAGGCTGGAGGGCAGTGGTGCCATCTCAGCTCACTGTAACCTCCACCTAATATGTTCAAGCGATTCTTCTGCCTCAGCCTCCTGAGTAGCTGGGATTACAGGCACGTGCCACCATGCCCGGCTAATTTTTTATATTTTTGGTAAAGATGAGGTTTCGCCATGTTGGCCAGGCTGGTCTCGAACTCCTGAACTCAAGTGATCCGCCCGCCTCTGCCTCCCAAAGTGCTGGGATTACAGGTGTGAGCCACTTAGCCCGGCTTCCAATTCATCTTTCCATTGTGCACAAGGCCTTCCCCGTCAGAGCCGTCCCCAAAGTTCCAGAATGCTTCCCCTCAATAGATTCCACAGTCTCCGGAAGCAGGGCTGGGGAAGAAATGGCAAACTAGGGATCTTACCTGGGCCTTCCCAGTTGAGACTACGTCAAAATGGGCTCCCATGAGACTGCCTGGCTCATGCAGATGGAAGGCTAACATCTTTTTAGAAACAACTCGTGCTACCCTCTCCTGTTCCAAAAGCCTGTCTGGTCAGAATGGTGGTAAGTCACTTTAGGAAGGGAGAGACGTCGTCCTGTTTTTCAGGTAGAGTTAGCAAAGGTTCAATTTAAAAGAAAAATTATCTAAGAAGTTAAAAATGAAAGTGTGGGGGAGATTCCCATGACATCCATTTTTATCTATTTTTCCCTTTCTCTTACATTTCTCATGAGGCAAACTTTCTAAAACAGTCTTAGTCTTTTCAAGTTTACAAAAGGCAGCGCCCAGACTATCTGAATAAAATGACGGGATGCCCAGGAGAAGAGTGAACCTCTCCCACGTGCTCCCTGCCTGGGCTCCATGCTGTCGCGGGGTCTCGGCTACTCACTCAGCGGGCATTTCTGGAGTTCCAGGAACACAAACCCCAACAAGATCCAATCGACGCCTTCCCGGAGTGCACAGTCCAGGACGTAACCCGGAGAACAAGCGGCAATTACCCCCTGAGGACATGGCTTCATCTGTGCGACAGACACCAAGCGCCTTCCCCACGCCCCTGACCATAAGGCCGTCCCGGCCCTTCTGAAGCGTGGAGCCGGCTTGGAACAGAGCCAAGACACACGGACGCGATGCACACAGGCGTCCTGACCGAGGGCGCCGAGAACGCGGCCTCCGGCGACTGCCACAAGCCCCTCCGCCTGGACTAGCGGCTCCCCTTTCCCGTTCCCACACAGTGGAGGGCGCAGCAAACGCCCGCCGCGGACCGTGGGCCTTGGATTCGGATTTGGAGGCTCCTCGGAACCAGAGGGTGGGAGCAGGCGGAATCCAACCCGGGCGGCTTTGCCACCGCGCGCCCGGCATCCCTGCGGCCGGAAAGCGGCGCCATCTCCGCAAGTGCGCGGCGGACGCCTGCATCCCTCGGGGCCGGGGCTGTCGGTCGCTACATATCCACCTTCTGGGCGCACACAGAGGGCCCGGGCCGTGCCGAGTCTCCGCAGGGTCGAGCTTCCCCGCGCGGCGCGGGCTCAGGCACTGCCCGCAGTGCGGGACACGCCCAAGGCTCGGATGGGAGCCGACGCTGAGGGAGCGGCACCTGCAGGGAGCGCCCGGAGCCGAGGCCGCGGCAGGAGGGGCGGGCGCGGGCGCGGCCGGAGGGGATGCGGGGTCGCGGGAGGGGCCCGCAGGCCAGGCCGGAGCTGGGGGGGGCCCGAGGCCCGAGCTGGCCGGCGAGGGTGGGAAGGGCGGACCCGGGTGGGGACCGCAAGCCCCGGGAACGAGCGCGCGAGCGGCGGGTCCCGGCGGCACTCACCGAGCCTGGGCGCCGGGGCGGCGGCGGCCGGCGCGCGGCCCTCTCGCGGGGTCCCCTCCCTCGGCCACCCGGGCTCCGCTCCAGCCTCGCAGTGGCGGCGGCACTGACAGCTGCGTGGCCGCCCTGGAGGGGAGGGTGCGCCTGCAACCCGCTACTGGCGGACGCAGCGGCCGCTCCGGCTCCTGCAGGGGGCGCCGCGGATGGCGCGTGCGCAGTCGGCCGCCCCTGCAGGTGCCCGGTCCACCCCCGGCCGCCTCGGCCGCTCCGGCCAGCCCAACCCCGCGCCTGCGCGGTGCCCCCTGCATGTCGCCCATGCCCGGCAGAGGGCGCTCTGACTTGCGCGTGCGCAGTCAGCCACCCTGCGAGTACGCGGTTCGCACCCGGCCGCGCGGCAGCCCGTGCTTGCGCACTGCTCTGTGCCCGCGCCTATGTCCAGCAGGGGGCGCGCAGCGGCGGTAGCCGAGCGAGGGCGCGGTGGCCTCTGACAGGAATGACTCTGCGCACGTGCGTTTCGCAGCAGTGGAAGTCTTCACACCCGGAAACTCGACTTTGGCCGTTTCTCCATTTCTCCTCACGCACTGTCTTTCCTTGGGCCCTCGTCACTCCTGGCACCGGGGGAAGGGCTTCCCCGCCTCTGGCCGGGCGCTGGGGCGCGACCGAAGGCGAGGCGGCGGCGAGGAACCTTCTGGAATTCGGCCGTCGGGGCAGGCGTCGAGTTTACAGGAGAAGGCGCGGTGTCCCGGGATGAGCGGAGTCGCCCTCACTTAAGGAGCGAGGGAGGCCTCGGGGGTCCCCAGCCGGGTAGGAGTCACCTCAGGCAGGAGGGCCCGGCCTTGTCGGGGTCACCTGGCGGGAGGGTCCCGGGGTGGGGCGGGGCCGCCTGTGAGGAGGGTCCAGAGAGGGTCGGGGTCACCTGAGGGGAGGGTGGGGGGGTTCGGGGATGGTTGGGGTCACCCGACGGGATGGTCCGGGGAGGGTCGGGTTCACCTGAGGGGAGGGTCGGGGAGGGTCCGGAGAGGGTCGGGGTCACCTGAGGAGGTGGTCCGGAGAGGGTCGGGGTCACCTCACGGAGCGAGCGGAACGGGGTCACCTGGAGGGAGTGTCCAGGGCGGGGGCCCTGCAGGGAGTCGCCTGCAGGGAGGGTCCCGGGCGTGTCACATTAGGCGGTCCCAGGGACGGGTCGCGGTCTAACGGGACGGGAGTGGGGAGGTGGGTCGGGGTGTCCCTGGGCCGGACCGGGTCGTGGGACTGGGTCGCCCCAGGCAGGAGAGCCTGGGAGGGGCGGGCCCCCTTGGCGTGGCAGGGAGAGGTGGAGTGAGGGACTCCCGGGCTCCAGCATGAGGGCGGGCGCCGCGCGGGGCCGACAGTTGCCGCGGGCCGGGGCCAATGGGTCCCCGAGCGCCGCCAGCGGCCGGACCACAGTGAGGTGCGTCCGTGGTCCCGGCGCCCCGGGTGAGGGAGGGCTGCTGCCGGTCCTGCCGCTGGGAGCCGCCTGCGACCCGCACCGCCAGCCCCGCGCCCAGCCAGCCGCCGGCACCACGACCCGACGGCCCCGACCTAATGCAACGCCCCGGGCCGGGGGCGGAAATCGCCCACCCCCAAGAGTCCTGATGGAGTAGGGTTTGAGCGGCTCGTTCCCCATTTTACTGTGTACATAGCACCTTTCACTCTGATGATGTTCTGGATAGCCCATTCCGCGAGCAAAGGGACTTCGTCAGGTTCATGCCTAGATCCAGGGTCCTAGAGTGCCTGGGGCGGAGGAGGCTCATGCTAAATAATTTGTTCAGTGGAATCACAGAGACCTGGCTTCAGATCTTGACCCACCAATTAATGTAGACATGTCATTTTATCTTTCTGAGTCTCAATTTCCTATCCCTAAAATTGAAATTATAATAATAGTAATTAATAATAATAGCAAACTCAAAGGTTTTTTGTTGGTGTATTCTTTTCTTTTTTGGGTCAAATGAGAAAATGCATGTTTAAGTGCTTACTACAATACCTGACACATAAATGCCAAATAAATGGTAGTATATAATGTGAGTATAGCTAGGGATTTACATAGCCTAGTCTCCGTAATGAGCATACAGGGGGAAAAAAAACCCCAAACAATTGAATGCAGTTACAGGATGGGTGGGGGAGTGGATTATTAATGCGCTGCAAACATCCTAAAAACCCCCTTTCCCCATCAGTCTTCACAGACTGCAACACCCCATCCAAAATGTCTTCCCCATTCTCTGCTTCGTCCCAGAAAATGATGTGAACTTGGCTGCTTGGCCCTGTCTTCACCCGGTCATATCCTCAGTCATTTTTCTTTCCAAAACCAATCCTTGCCATTTCCAAATTGAATTTGTTAGACCTTGCACGTTTTTCCGGCCTTTTCAAAACTGGATCCCAATTCTCTGTAACCAAATCCAGTACCAGAACTGGCTGACTCAGAATTTACCTTAGATGGAAGATAGGGTAGGAATTTTGGAAGAAGGATGACCTTACAGATCAAGACAGACAATTGCAGGGTACTAATTTTATATCTTTTTTCTTAACTCTGCCAGGTTAATTGTTAATTATTATAATCACAATCATGAGGTGGGAGGGTGTGAAGGCCACTGGGAAAAGTATCTTATGCCCAAAAATTTCAGGCTCTGAACTGTTAAAAAACAGTTGCCCACAGTGAGCTGGACCCTTTTGATGCCCTTCAACAATCCCTGGATAATTCATCACATTGTGCTCAAGGCCCACTACTGAAAAAATAAAGCAAACCTAGATGCTCCACCTAGTCATTTCTTTCCAGATGGAGGCCCAGATAAGGTCATAATTTCTTCAGAGTCACCCAGTAGAGCTGAGATGACAACCTCCGTGTTCAGGCTCCTGGACTCTACCCCTCTCTTATATGGAAACACTCACATCCATATACCATGAATACATGCTGAGAAATTGAAGGATACACTCCTTGAAGTTACTATGGTTCAAACATTTCTTTTCTCTCAAGATTGATGGTAAACATTATAGTGGATGGTGACACTCATAAACAAATCTTACAGCTTCACAAAAGGCAGTAAACCTAGCCATTATACTAGTCGGCTAGATATAATTAAACCAATAAGCTCCCAATTCTTTGAAGGGGTACAAATACTATACCCTATCTATCTATCTATCTATCTATCTATCTATCTATCTATCTATCTATCTATCTGTCTATCTATTGTATCGTACAACAGTACCCAAATTGCTGATATTCAATACAGTATCTTAGAATAGGGCTTCTTTGATTGTTTCCCTGGGAATGATGTTATAATTCAGAGACGCATTGTAGACCAAGGGCTGTACACATATTCTTTCATTCAGTGATTGGGAAGCATTATATTGTAATGGTTAAAACTGAACTCTGGCCATATTGCCTCAGATTAAATTCCAGCTCTTAATGTCTTTAGGCAAATTACTGGACCTTTCTGTGCCTTGGTTTCCTAGTATAAAATGAGGATTGTATAACAATTCCTCACAGAATTGTTGTGAGGATTAGATGCATTAAAACATGTAAAGTACAGGACTTAGAAAAGTCCTTGGCATTCGGCAAGGGCTCAATAAGTGATCTAAGCATTATACTGTATGCTTTGGAAACAAACGCATGAACATTTTTTTTTTTTGAGACGGTGTTTCACTCTTGTGGCCCAGGCTGGAGTGCAATGGCGCAATCTCGGCCCACTGCAGCCTCCGCCTCCCGGGGTCAAGCGATTCTCCTGCCTCAGCCTCCCAAGTAGCTGGGATTACAGGCATGCGCTGCCATGCCTGGCTAATTTTGTATTTGTAGTAGAGACGGGGTTTCTTCATGTTGATCGGGCTGGTCTCGAACTCCCGACCTCAGGTGATCCACCACCTCGGCCTCCCAAAGTGCTGGGATTACAGGCATGAGCCACTGCACCCGGCCCAACAAATGAAATTTATGTGTTTTGAAGGATCTCACAAAACAGAGTTGCTTAATTCGATTTAGTTTTCACTGTGTGCTTACTATATGCCAGATGAAACTTGAAATAAAAATGTGAATAAGCCACCATCTATACTTTAATAGAATTCAGAGTGCCCAACAATATGTTGTTAGAAGCAAAGATACAGCAATTGAAGACAATACAGACTATGAGTTGCAAAAATGGGCATTAATACATGGACTATCTCAATTATTCAGGGATTTCCTTTGTACTATTAAGTAGTACAGAAACTATAAGTAAGCTGTTTCCTAACTATATTTGTCTAAACCAAATCACTCGCTTTAAAATAGTTATTTTGCTTAGGTTTTAAACATTTAGAAATTTTGAGGAGATGATTTTTATGGATGATTTGCATGCTCTCAAATTAATTTTAAATTTAACAAGTGTTACATGAATATATTCTTGTTGAGAAATTCAAACTAATAGGCAAACCAAAATTCTTTGTAACCGCCATCCCCTTCCCTGATTTCCTCTCCATGGTCATAGTTTGGTAAATAAGCTTCTTAAAGTTTTTTAAATGTATTTGCACACATATATAGATTAGCCTATACAAGTGTAGCATTATTTATCATTTTTCCATAAATGATATTCTGTGGGCATGATTCTTCAGTTTTCTTTTCAGAAATGAAAATTGGACATTTGACATTTGAACCTCTCTCCTGTGTTTGGAAAACTCTCCATCAATGTGATACAATGGTGGAAAGCGGGGTCTAGGCTCAATGGAACAGGTGCTTTTGCAAATGTATTACAGGTGTTTTCCCCAGGTTGTCTGTCAGCTTTTTACCTTTTTTTCAAAGAAAAGTTGTTTTTTTTTATGTAATCAGATTTATTAGCCTGTTTCTTTATAGTTTCCAGGTTATAGGTCATACTTATTTTTTTAAAAAAGTCCCCACTCTAATAATATAAAAGTGCTTTTATAATGAAATTTTATATGTTTAAACTTTTATCCATCTGGGGCTTATTTTGCTGGAGTGAGCTAGCCAATTTTCTCAACACTTAAAAACATTAATCATTAAAATCTCAGTTTACATATAGTAGAATTCACTCCTTCTCCTAATAATAATATAATTAATTATAATTATAAAAGTGCTTTTATAATGAAATTTTTTATGTTTAAACCTTTATCCATCTGGGGCTTATTTTGCTGGAGTGAGCTAGCCAATTTTCTCAACACTTAAAAACATTAATGATTAAAATCTCAGTTTACATATAGTAGAATTCACTCCTTCTGGTTATAATTCTGTGAATCTTTGTTGTTGTTTGGAGATGGAGTCTCGCTCTGTTGCCCAAGCTGGAGTGCAGTGGCGGGATCTCGGCTCACTGCAACCTTTGCCTCCTGGATTCCAGCGATTCTTGTGCCTCAGCCTCACAAGTAGGTGAGACTTTAGGTGCACGCCACCAGGCCTGGCTAATTTTTTTATTTTTAGTAGGGATGGGTTTTCACCATGTTGACCATGCTGGTCTTGAACTCCTGGCCTTATGTGATCCACCTGTCTCCACCTCCCAAAGTAGTGAGATTACAAGTGTGAGCCATTGTGCCCACCCATAATTCTATGAATTTTGACAAATGTACAGAGTTGTGTAATTACTACCACAACCAAATTCAGACATCATTCCCCCAAATTTCCTCATGATGTCCCTTTTGTAGTTAATTCTTATTACCCTCCTGCTGGTAAGTACTGATTTTAGTTTGCTAGTCCTATTTTTGTCTTTTCCAGAATGTCATATAAATGAAATCATACAGTGTATATAGTCTGAGTCTTACTTCTTTCACTTAATATATTTGAGATTTGTGCATGTCAGGTGTATCAATAGTTCATTCTTATAGCTGAATAGAATTCCACTGAATGAATATACCACAGTTTGTTGATCCATTCATTAATTGAGAACATTTGGTCTATTTCCAGTTTTGGAGATTATGAGTAAAGCCTTCTATAATCATTTGTGTTTAAGTTTTCATTTCTGTTGGGTAAAAATTTATGAATGGGATTGTTGGGTTGTATAGTATATGTTTAGTTTTATGAGAAACTTCCAAAATGTTTTCCGTAATGGTTGTACCACTTTGCATTCCCACTGGCAATAGATAAGTCTTCCAGTTGCTCTGTACCTTCTCCAACACTTAAAATATATATATTTTATTTTTTATTTTTTTTCCCGAGATGGAGTCTTGCTCTTGTCGCCCAGGCTAGAGTGCGATGGCACGATCTCGGCTCACTACAACCTCTGCCTCGCGGGTTCAAGCGATTCTCCTGCCTCAGCCTCCTCAGTAGCTGGGATTATAGGCACGCGCCACCACGCCCTGCTAGTTTTTGTATTTTTAGTAGAGACGGGGTTTCACCATGTTGGCAAGGCTGGTCTCGAACTCCTGACCTCAGGTGATCCGCCCGCCTCGGCCTCCCAAAGTGCTGGGATTACAGGCATGAGCCACGGTGCCTGGCCTAAAAAATATATATATATATTAGCTATTCTTATAAATTTGTAGTAGTATTTCATTGTGGTTTAAATTTGTATTTCCCTAATGATTAATGATGTTGAGCATCTCTCTTCATGGGGTTATTTGTCAGGCATATGTTCTTTTTTTTTTTTTTCTGATGGAGTCTTGCTCTGTCACCCAGGTTGGAGTACAGTGGCATAATCTCAGCTCACTGTAACCTCTGCCTCCCAGGTTCCAGCGATTCTCCTGCCTCAGCCTCCTGAATAGCTGGGATTACAAGTGCGCACCACCACATCCAGCTAATTTTTTTTTTTTTTTTTTGAGATGGAGCCTTGCTCTGTTGCCCAGGCTAGAGTGCAGTGGCGTGATCTCAGCTCACTGCAAACTCTGCCTCCTGGGTTCATGCTATTCTCCTGCCTCAGCCTCCCGAGTAGCTAGGACTACAGGTGCCCACCACCACGCCCGGCTAATTTTGTTTTTGTATTTTTAGTAGAGATGGGGTTTTACCCTGTTAGCCAGGATGGTCTTGATCTCCTGACCTCGTGATCCGCCTGCCTCAGCCTCCCAAAGTGCTGGGATTACAGGCGTGAGCCACCGCGCCCGGCTGATTTTTTTTTTTTTTTTTTTTTGTATTTTTAGTGGAGACAGGGTTTCACAATGTTGGCCAGGCTAGTCTGAAACCTGTGACCGCAGGTGATCCACCTGCCTCGGCCTCCCAAAGTGCTAGGATTACAGGCTTGAGCCACCGTGCCTGGCTCTTTTTGGTGAAGCATCTTCAAATCTTTTGCCCATTAAAAAAACATGGGTGGTTAGTTTTCTTATGGTTGAGTTTTGAAAGTTCTTTATTTTATTTATTTATTTATTTTTATTTTGAGATGGAGTCTCGCTCTGTCGCCAGGCTGGAGTGCAGTGGCACGATCTTGGCTCACTGCAACCTCCATCTCCTGTGTTCGAGTGATTCTCCTGCCTCAGCCTCCTGAGTAACTGGGACTACAGGCATGCGCCACCACACCCAGCTAATTTTTGTATTTTTAGAGAGATGGGGTTTCACTATGTTGGCCAGGATAGTCTTGATCTCTTGACCTTGTGATCCGCCTGCGTTGGCCTCCCAAATGCTGGAATTACAGGTGTGAGCCACCACACCTGGCCTATTTTTTATTCTTTTTTGAGATGGAGTCCTGCTCTGTGGCCCAGGCTGAAGTGCAGTGGTGCTATCTCGGCTCACTGCAACCTCTGCCTCCTGGGTTCAAGCGATTCTCCTGCCTCAGCCTTCTGAGTAGCTGGGATTACAGGCGCACCCCACCACGCCTGGGTAATTTTTGTATTTTTAGTAGAGATAGGGTTTCACCATGTTGGCCAGACTGGTCTCGAACTCCTGACCTCAGGTGATCCACCCACCTCAGCCTCTCAAAATCCTGGGATTACAGGTGTGAGCCACTGTGCCTGGCCTTCTTTATATATTTTGTATACAACTTTGTATACAACAATTCACAGATGTTTTCTACCACTCAGTGGATGGTCTTTCTATTCTATTAAGAGTGTTTTTTTCTTTCTATTCTATTAAGAGTGTTTTGGTTTTGTTTTTGTTTTTGAGGAAGAGTCTTGTCCTTTGCCCAGGCTGTAATGCAGTGACACGATCTCAGCTCACTGCAACCTCTGCCTCCCGGGTTCAAGTGATTCTCCTGCCTCAGCCTCCTCAGTAGCTGGAATTATAGGCATCTGCCACTGTGCCCAACTAATTTTTGTATTTTTAGTAGACACGGGGTTTCACTATGTTGGTCAGGCTGGTCTCTAATTCCTGACCTCATGATCTACCTACCTCGTCTTCCCAAAGTGCTGGGCATGAGCCATCATGCCCGGTCACCATGGTGAGCCACCATGAGCCACCATGGTGAACTCACCACCGTGAGTCACCATGTCTGGCCTATTAAGACTGTCTTTTAGAGAATAAAGACTTCCAGTAAGTGTTTCTTTTTCTTTTTCTTTTTTTTTTTTTTTTTTTGAGACAGAGTCTTGCTCTGTCATCCAGGCTGGAGTGCAGTGATACAGTCTCAGCTCACTTCAACCTCCATCTCCCAGGATCAAGTGACTCTCCTGCCTCAGCCTCCCAAGTTGCTGGGAATACAGGCGTCCACCACTACGCCTGGCTAATTTTTGTATTTTTAGTAGAGACCCTACTGGTCTGAAACTCCTGTCCTCAAGTGATCCACTTGCTTCAGCCTCCCAAAGTGCTGGGATTACAAGTGTGAGCCACTACATCTGGCCGAGAACAAAGGTTTTTAATTTTGATGAAGTCCAATTTACTATGGTTTTGGTGTCATATCTAAGAAATCTTTGCCTACTGTGAGGTCACAGAGATGTTCTCCTGTGTTTTCTTCTAGAAGTTTTACGGTTTAGATTTTGTATTTAAGTCTATGATTTATTTTGAATTAATTTTGTGTAATGAGTTGAGGTATGGGTCAAAATTTTATTTCCATACATGGATGTCCCTTGTTCCAGCACGTTTGTTAAAAAGACTATTCTTTTTCCATTGAATTGCAACTTTGTCAAAAATTAATTGACCATATATGTCAGTTTATTTCTGGACTCCCTATTCTGTTCTATTGAGCTGTATGTCTTCTGTAAAGGGCCAGATAGCAAATTTTTTAGGTTTTGCATGCCAATAGGCAAAATTCAATAAATTACTTATATAAAGAGACAAAGCAAGTTTCCACAAAATTTTTTATTAATGAAATTCAGTATGATAATTGAATATAATTTTAAAAATAATATGGACCTAGTAATGGGAATGAGATTTTTTTAAAATTAATTAATTATTATTATTTTTTTTTGAGAAGGAGTCTCGCTCTGTTGCCCAGGCTGGAGTGCAGTGGCGCAGTCTCGGCTCACTGCAAGCTCCACCTCCCGGGTTCATGCCATTCTCCCACCTCCATGCCATTCTCCCACCTCAGCCTCCCGAGTAGCTGGGACTACAGGTGCCTGCCACCACACCTGGCTAATTTTTTGTATTTTTAGTACAGACGGGGTTTCACCGTGTTAGCCAGGATGGTCTGGATCTCCTGACCTCGTGATCCTCCTGCCTCAGGCTCCCAAAGTGCTGGGATTACAGGTGTGAGCCACAGTGCCTGGCCAAAAACATTTAATATTTTAAAAAAACTTTTACCAGCGTTGTTTCGTCAGCATTTGGATTCTGCACATATTTTATTAAATTTATACCAAAGTATTTCCTTCTTTCAATGTTACTACAAATGACACTTAAAAATTTCCACTTGTTCTTTATTGTTACATAGAAATATGATTTATTTTTATTTTTTAAAATAATTAAAATTTTTAAAGAGATGGGATCTTGCTTGTTGCCCAGTCTGGTCTTGAACTCCTGGCCTCAAATGATCTTCCTGCCTTCTCCTCCCAAAGTGTTGGTATCACAGACGTGAGCCACTGTACCCAGCCAATTTATTTTTATATACTGATCTTGTCTCTCGTGACCTTGCTAAACTCGTTCATTAATTGTAGAATACTTTGTTTTGAATTTTTTGGGATTTTCTACATAGAAAGTCATGTTATCTGAGAATAGAGATGCTTTTATTTCTTTTCAATCTGTTATGTCTCTTTTCTTTTTAATTGCCTATAGTATTCAGTACAATGTATGTCTCTTATTTCCTGCTTTATTGCACTGGCTAGGATGATGTTGAATAGCAGTGAGAGTAGTCATCCTTGGCTTGTTCTCTAATCTTAGGGGGAAAGCACTGAGTCTTTGACCATTAAGTATCATGTTAACTGTAGGTTTTTGTAGCTGCTATTTATCGGGTTGAAGAAATTTTCATTTTCTTCTATTTCTAGTTTGCTGGGAGATTTTACCATGAATGAATGTTGACTTTTGTCAGATGTACTTATCTGCATCCACTGAGATGATTAAGTGGTTTATTCTTAAGCCTCTTAATATTATGAGTTGCATTGTGTTTTTTATGCTATGTCTTTTCGTGATGTTTTTATCTGGCTTTGGATCACAGTAATGTTGACCTCATAAAATGAGTTGGAAAGTTGTCCCTCTTCTATTTTCTGGGAAAGATTGTACAGAATTAGTGTTATTCCTTCTTTAAGTGTTAGAATTTGCCAGTGAAACCATCTGGATTTTGTTTTTTTGGAAGGATTATAGCTACAGATACAAATTCTTTAATAGATATTAGGACTATTCAGGTTACTTACTTCTTGAGTGAATTTAGGTAGTTTATGTCTTTCATGGAATTGATCTGTTTCATCTAGTTGTTAAACAAATAGGTATTAATACTGTTTTAATATTTATGTGATTTATTTGAAAGGCTATGTTTATAATACACTAAATTTCCATATATATATGGTTCTCTATATAAGTTGTTTTTGGGGGCTGTTACTATACTAGTATGATGTTCTTTTCATTAATGAAGTTATTTAACAACATGTTTTAATATTTGGATCATCTCTGGTCAATAGCTGTCTCAGAATTTTCTTGGCTAGTCTCACAGCTTTATCTTTCATGTGAACTTCAGAATCAAATTTCTTAATCTCATTAAAATTTTTATTGGGTTACAGAACATTTGTAGATGTACTTAGAAAAATTAATATCTTAAAAATATTGACTATTTCTGTGCAAGGATGGGATATGTTGCTCCATTTACTCAAGCTTTTTATTTATTCTTTTTAGAGACAGGGTCTCGCTATGTTGCCCAGGATGGTCATGAACTCCTGGGCTCAGGCAATCCTCCCTCCTGAATAACTGTGACCAGCACCGAGTCACTGAGCCTGGCTTATTCAAGCCTTAATTTTATGTTTATTGATATAGTTTTACAGTTTCCATCCCAGAGATCTTGCATATTTCTCACTATATTTATTCCTAAATGTTTTCTTCTGCTGTTGCTGTTGTGAAAGGGATCTTTTCCTGAAATACATTGTCCTACCTGGTTTTTGATAGGAAAACTATTGATTTTTTTATATACTACTTTTGTAACTGGCTATCTTACCTTACCTTTTACTGTTTCTTATAGTTATTCAGTTGTTCTCTTGGGTTTTCTATGTATACCACTTAATAACATGCAAACAATCATAATCTAGTTCCCTCTTTACCTATATTTATGCCTCTTGATTCATCTTATCATTTAACTGTAGGAGTATAGGGCCACCAGGAGCTTATATAGGGTACCGTGCCTGGTGAGGAATTGCCAAGAGGTGATCCCTGCCTCCCCACCTATTAGATAAAGGCAGCTCTTCTGAGTGGACCAATTAGTTAAAGGCACCCAACTGCACAAACCAATTAGATAAAGGTACCCCTGAGTGGAACTTTCAGCCAGCAGATCCATCCTTAGGCCAGGTGGAGTGGAGCATAGAGTGGATCTCAGCCCTGCTTCTCATCCTCTGAGCCAGATGTCCTGGTATAGGGAACAGGCCTCATAACTGGACACAATGGCTCTGGGTTACTGTTTCCAGAATAATGCTAGAAAATAATGTTGCCACTGGCATTTTAATCTTGGTTTTGTCTTAATTGTGAATGCTTCTGTGGTCACCAGAAAATATCTTTGCTTTTGATTTGAGAAATGTGTTTTTAACACATTATAGATGATTTTGTTTCTAAGGATTTTTTTAAAAAGTATCAAAGAATAGATGGAAAATTTTATCAAATGCCTTGGGAATTTATTGACATTATGTTTTTATTCCTTTGAGCAATTGATATAATGAATTAAACTAATAGAAATCATAATGGTGAAAATAGTGAATCATTCCTATATTTCTGGAATAAATTTTCCATTTGTTCATGGTATATTATTCTTTTAATGCATTTCTAGATTCTATGTGCTAGCAAGGATTTTTACATCTTCTCTTTACTAAGAATGGGCTTTAGTTTTTTTTAAAAAAAATGTTGTCATTGTCAGATTTTCATATCATCATTAGTTAACCTGATTTTTTTTAGTGGAAGTTTACCCTCTCTCTGCTTATGGATTAGTTTAAATAGCATTAGAATGACCTATTGCTTGTAGTTAAAAATAACTTACCCATTTGAGTTTTTGCACTTACACTGCTTGGAGGACTCTGACAAATTTCTCAATTTCTTGAACAGTTTATGTGAATAAATATTTAGGTTTTAAAAAAAATCTCTTACTGGATTATAGTAGTTACTTCTATTTTCCTAATCAACCCATCCCAGACAGATTGACAAATTTTTTAGCATAGTGTTACAAAAAATATTTAATTTTCTGTACAACATTGGGTATTTTTTCCTTTTCATTCTTCATTAATATGTCTGACAGTGTGTTTGTTCCTTTTTTTGTATTGACTGGATATGCTAGTGGATTACTTATTTTAGGAGTTTAATTTCCCTGTCAATCCTTCTTTTTTCTTTCTTTCGTTCTTTTTTTTTTTTTTTTTTTTTTTGAGACAGGTTTTCTGTCGGTCATCCAGGCTAGAGTGCAGTGGTACAATCATTGCTCACTGCAGCCTCGAAGTCCTGGGCTCAAGCAATCCTCCTGCCTCAGCCTCCTAAGCAACTAGGACTATAGTATGCCTGTCTAATTTTGGTTTGTGGTTTTGGGTTTTTATTTTTTTTGGTAGAGATGGGAGTCTTGCTATGTTGCCCAGGCTGGTCTTAAACTCCCAGGCTCAAGAGATCCTCCTGGCTTGGCCTCCTAAAGTGCTGGGATTACAGGCTTGAGCCACCCTGCCCAGCAAGCACTGATTCTTTTTTTCTGAGACAGAGTCTCACTGTATTGCCGAGGCTAGAGTGCAGTGGCACAATCTCAGCTCATGTCAACTTCTGCCTCCCAGGCTCAAGTGATTCTTGTGCCTCAGCCTCCTGAGTAGCTGGGATTACAGGTATGCACCACCATGCCCAGCTAATTTTTGTATTTTATTTATTTATTTGAGATGGAGTCTCACTCTCATTGCCCAGGCTAGAATGCAATGGTACGATCTCGGCACACTGCAACCTCTGCCTGCCATGTTCAAGCGATTCTCCCACTTCAGCCTCCAAAGTAGCTGGCTTTACAGGTGCCTGCCATCACGCCCATCTAATTTTTATATTTTTAGTAGAGATGGGGTTTCAACGTGTTGGCCAGGCTCGTCTCAAACTCCTGACCTCAGGTGATCTGCCCACCTTGGCCTCCCAAAGTGCTGGGATTACAGGCGTGAGCCTCCGCTCCTAGCCCTGATATATATATATATATAGTTTTGCTTGCCTTTTCTGGAATGTTAAATAGTTAGAATTATATAGTATGTCGCCTTTTTACATTGGCTTCTTTCACTTAGTAATATGCATTTAGAGTTCCTCCATGTCTCTTCATGATTTAATAGCTCATTTCTTTTTGTTTTTGTTTTTGTTTTGAGGTGGAGTTTCATTCTTATTGCCCAGGCTGGAGTACAATGGCGTGATCTTGGCTCACTGCAACCTCTACCTCCCAGGTTTAAGTGATTCTCCTGCCTCAGCCTCCTGAGTAGCTGGGATTACAGGCGCCCACCACCATGCCCAGATAATTTTTTGTATTTTTAGTAGAGACAGGGTTTTGCCATATTGGCCAGACTGGTCTCGAACTCCTGACCTCAGGTGATCCGCCCACCTCAGCCTCCCAGAGTGCTGGGATTACAGGCGTGAGCCACTGCGCCTGGCCCAGCTCATTTCTTTTTAATGCTCAATAATATTTCATTGTCTGGATGTACCACAATTTATTTATCCATCCACTTATAGAAGGACATTTTGGTTGCTTACAAGTTTTGGCAATTATGAGTAAAGTACTATAGACATCCATGTGCAGGTTTTTGTGTGAACATAGGTTTTCAACTCGTTTGATAAATACCAAGGAGCATAACTGCAGGATCACGTGGTAAGGGGTTATTTACTCTTGTGAGAAACCGCTTGTCTTCCTAAGTGGCTGTACCACTTTGCATTTCCACCATCAATGAACAATAGCTCCTGTTGCTCCACACCCTTGGCATATCCATTGATTTGGATGTTTTTATAGGTGTGTATTAGTCTGTTTGCACTGCTGTAAAGGAATACCTGAGACTCTGTAATTCATGAGAAAGGTTTAATTGGTTTATGGTTCTGCAGGCTGTACAGGAAGCATGTTGCCATCAGCTTCTGGGGAGGCCTCAGGAAACTTATAATCATAGCCTAAGACAAAGTGAGTTCCACCACTTCCCTGGCTGGAGCAGGAGGAAGAGAGTGGGGGAAATGCTACACACTTCTACCATGAGAACAGCACTAGGGGGATGGCACTATACCATTCATGAGAAACCATCCCCATGATCCAATCACCTCCCACCAGGTGCCACCACCAACATTGGGGATTACAAATTCAACATCAGATTTGGGAAGGGACACAAATTCAAAACATATCAAGGTGTGTAATGGTATCTCATTGTTTTAATTTGCAATTCCCTAATGATGTATAAGGTTGAGCATCTTTTCATATGCTTATTTGCCATGTGTATATTTCTTTTTTTTTTTGTTTGAGACGGAATCTCTGTCGCCCAGGCTGGAGTGCAGTGGCCCAATCTCAGCTCACTGCAAGCTCCGCCTCCCGGGTCCACGCCATTCTTCTGCCTCAGCCACCCAAGTAGCTGGGACTACAGGTGCCCGCCACCACGCCTGGCTAATTTTTTGTATTTTTAGTAGAGACAGGGTTTCACCGTGTTAGCCAGGATGGTCTCGATCTCCTGACCTCATGATCCGCCCACCTCGGCCTCCCAAAGTGCTGGGATTACAGGCTTGCCATGTGTATATTTCTTTAGTGAAGTAACTGTTTAGGTTTTTTGCCCATTTTTAAATCAGGTTGTTTGTTTTCTTATTGTTAACAGTTCTTTGTATATTTCAGATAATAGTACTTTATCAGATATGTCTTTTACAAATATTTTCTCTCAGTCTATGGCTTGTCTTCTCATTTTCTTGATTGATAGAATATTTTGCAGTTTAGGAGAGAGTTTTTCATTTAAAAAAAGTGCTTTTTTGGTTTTGGTGTTTTTATTTTATTATTAATACTTTTAGTGTAGTGTGATCTAGAAATGTGGTCAGTATCATTCAACCTCTTACAATTTGAAATTTTCTTTATGGCCTATACATACTCTGTTTTCATGAATAGTGCATGGGTGTGCATAAGCTTGTTTTTTAAAAAAAATTTTAGAGACAGGGTCTTGCTCTGTCACCCAGACTGGAGTACATTGGCATGATCATAGCTCACTGCAGCCTTGAACTCCTGGGCTTAAGTGGTCCTTCTGCCTCAGCTTCTCGAGTAGCTGGGACTGCAGGTGCGTACCTCCATACTTGGCTAATTAAAAAAAATTTGAGTGATGAACATCTCACTATGTTTCCCAGGCAGGTCTTGAACTCCTGGCCTCATGTGATCCTCTTGTCTTAACCTGTGAGTCACTGGGATTATAGGCATGAGCCACTGTATCTGGCTCTATTTTTTAAATCATATGGGAAACAGAGGTGTTACATACCAAAAGTACAATAATACTAGTTGTTTTTTTTGTTTGTTTGTTTTTGAGATGGACTTTTGCTCTTGGTTGCCCAGGTTGGAGTGCAGTGGCGCAATCTTGGCTTACTACAACCTCTGCCTCCCAGGTTCGAGTGATTCTGCAGCCTCAGCCTCCCGAGTAGCTGGGATTACAGGCGTGTGCCACCATGCCTGGCTAAATTTTGTATTTTTAGTAGAGACGGGGTTTCACCATGTTGGCCAGGCTGGTCTTGAACTCCTGACTTCAGGTGATCCACCTGCCTTGGCCTCCCAAAGTGCTGGGATTACAGGCGTGAGTCACCGCACCTGGCCAATGCTAGTTTTTATAGTTACCTAAAAAGTTACCTTTACTGATAATTATTTATTCATATGGCTTCAAATTACATCTAGCATTTTTTTGTTTCAGCCTGAGGGACTTCCTTTGGCATGCTTCTTCGGGCAGGTCTACTAGAGACAAATTTCTTTAGCTCTTATTTACCTAAAAAATGTCTTAATTTCTCCTTCATTTTTGAAAGATAGTTTCGCTGGGTATAGATTCTTGACAGTTTTTTTTTTTTAAGCGTTTTATATATATCATCCCACTGCTTTTTTGCCTCCCTGTTTTCTGATGAGAAATTAGCTGTTAATCTTACTGAAGATCCCTTGTACAAGTTTCTTCTGTCCTACTGCTTTCAAGATTCTCTCCTTGGGCTGGGAATGGTGGCTCACACCTGTAATCCCAACACTTTGGGCAACAGAGGTGGGAGGATCGCTTGAGGCCAGGAGTTAAAGACCAGCCTGGGCAACCAAGCAGACCCAATCTCTACAAAAAATAAAAAAGTTAGCTGGGCGTAGTGGCATATGCCTACATGCCTATAATCCCAGCTACTTGGGAGGGTGAGGAAGGAGGCTCACTAGAGCCTGGCTGGTCAAGGCTGCAATGAACGATGATCATGCCACAGAGCCAGACCCTGTCTCAAAAAAAAAAAAAATTCTCTCCTTATCGTTAGCATTCGACGGTTTCATTATAATAACTCTCTTTGTGGGTTTTTTAAGTTTCTTGTACTTGGAGTTTGTTGAGCTTCTTGGATCTGTAGATTCATGTATTGATCACATTTGAGAAGTTGTTATTTCATTATTTCTTCAAACATGTTTTTATCTCTTTCTTCTCCTGGAACTTTCACAATGTGTATTTGGTACACTTGATGGTGTCCCATAGGTCCCTTAGGGTCTGTTCATTTTTCTTCATTTTTTTTTTCCTGCTCCTTAGACTTGGTAATTTTAACTGCCCTATCTTCAGGTTTGCCGATTCTGTCTTCTGCTTGCTCAAATCTTTGAATTCTTCTAGTGAATTATTTTGTTTCAGCTTTTATGCTTTTCAGCTCCAGAATTTCTATTTGGTTTCTTTAAAATTTTTCTGTTTATTGAAATTTTCTGCTTGTACACACTTCATTCTTCAGATTTCCTTTAGTTCTTTGTCCATCATCTTCAGCTCTGAGAATATTTAAGACAGTCCATTTAGAAGTTTTGCCTAGTAAGTCCTATGTCTGGGCTTCCTCAGGAATGGTTTGTGTCAGCTTCCTTTTTTGCTGTGAATGGGTCATACTTTCCTATGTCTTTGTATGGTTTGTAATTTTTTACTGAGAGCTATACATTTTGAATACTGTAGTTGGTAGCTCTGGAAATCAGATTCTCATCTCTCCTCAGAAATTGCTGTTGATACTTGTTGAAAACTGCAGTTGTCCATTTGTTTAGTGACTTTGCTAAAGACACTATATTTCTTGTTATGTGTGAGTACTGAAAGTCTCTGTTTCATTATCTCTGCGTTCAGCCAGTGACTTGACAGATTTTTTTTTTTTTTTTTGAGACGGAGTTTCGCCCTTGTTGCCCAGGCTGGAGTGCAATAGCGTGTCTCAGCTCACTGCAACCTCCCCATCCTGGGTTCAAGCGATTCTCCTGCCTCAGCCTCCCAAGTAGCTGAGATTTATAGGCATGCACCACCACACCCAGCTAATTTTTGTATTTTTAGTAGAGATGGGGTTTCTCCATGTTAGTCAGGCTGGTCTCAAACTCCCGACCTCAGGTAATCCACCTGCCTCAGCCTCCCAAAGTGCTGGGATTATAGGCGTGAGCCACTGCGCCTGGCCTTTTTTTTTAATTTTTTTTTTTGATGGAGTTTCACTCTTGTTGCCAAGGTTGGAGTGCAATGGTGCGATCTCGGCTCACTGCAACCTTCGCCTCCCAGGTTCAAGTGATTCTCCTGCCTCAACATCCTGAGTAGCTGGGATTACAGGCATGTGCCACCATGCCCAGCTAATTTTTTTTTTTTTTTTTAGTAGAGATGGGGTTTTGCCATGTTGGCCAGGCTGGTGTTGAACTCCTGACCCCAGGTGATCCACCCTCTTCAGCCTCCCAAAATGCTGAGATTACAGGTGTGAGCCACCGCGCCTGGCCTGCATTCACTATTGAAGATGCTGCTTCTAAAATTCTTATATTCAGGAGAAGGAAACACTGTCTCTGTATTTAAGGAAGTAGCATTACAGGAAGTACAGTAAGAGACAAGAGACACAACACATCCAAGAAGGAGGACTTTCCAGGAACAATAGTCATATTTTCTCCATTCTCCGTATTTATATGAGTCTTGTTTCTTTAATTTCTTTTGTGCAAAGTTAGAGATGCTTTCACCTGAGAAAAAATATATTCCCCTTTCTTTCCCCACTGGAAAAATGTTTTCTGTAAATGAAAATCTCATTTTTGTTATAATAATAGTATCTAAAAAATTAAAGCATGTATTACACTTGGGAAACAAAAAGATTGAGAAGAGAAGGAACTTTCTGCTATCCGAGGTATTTTTCTTTCTCGCAGTCATTTTTGCTTCAGTCACATGCCTACAAAGACTGCATACCTTTTAATTCATTCATTCATTCATCAAATATTTACTGAGTTCCTACCATGTGCCGCCTCTGTTCTTGTGTCTTGGGATTCAGTGTTGGAAAAAAAAATCAGAACAAACAATTCCTGCTTTCACAGAACATAAATTTGAGTAGGGATGTCAGATTAAATAAGCAAATAAATAGCATGTAAATCATTTAAAAGTGCTAAGAAGAAAAATAAACATGGAAAGTTGATATGACATCTATAGGGATGTTGAAATTTTATATAGAATGATCAAAAAGACCTCACTGAGAAAGTGACATTTGAGGAAATATCTGAAAGTAGTAGGGGAGCTAGAAGTGTTGATACACGAGGGAAGTGTGTACTTGACAGAGGGATATGAGTTTTGAGGCAAAAGTGTGTTTGGTGTGTTTTAGGAGGAGCAGCTATGCCTGTGACACAGGAGCAGGGAGAAGGAGAGAAGTAAACTAGGAGACAGAATGACATGAGAAAGTGAACAGGAACTATACCATGTACAACTGTGTAGTTCATTGTAAGGCAAGGCTTTTGCTTGGAGTGAGATAAGAGCCAGTAGAGAGTTTTGAACAGAGGAGGAAGCGTAATCTGACTCAAAGAGGGTCGCTCTTATTGCTGCATGGACAATGGATTGCAAAGTGGCAAGGGCAGATGTACTGATACCACCAAAGAAGGTATTGCAGAAATCCCGGCAAGGGACGATAAGAATAGGGGTGGTGAAAGGGATTGAATTCTAGGTCTATTTCAGGGGTAGAGCCAACAGGATTTGCTGACTAACTGGATTTGAGCTGTGAAAGAGAGAGAAGTCAACAATAATCCTGTATAGAATTAAATACTGTTGATATTTTGGTATTTAACCTTCCAGTTTTTTATATACATGTTCATAATTTTATATATTTTTAATTAAAATTGAAGTCATCCTCTACCTACTGCTTGTAACCAGTTCATTTTGTAACATGTTGCTTTCCTGTGTCATTAAAAAAGAATAAGCCCAGGCCAGGTGACTCACGCCTCTAATCCCAGCACTTTGGGAGGCCAAGGTGGGCAGATCACTTGAGGCCAGGAGTTTGAGATCAGCCTGGCCAACATGGTAAAACCCCATCTCTACCAAAAAATACAAAACTTAGCCAGGCATGGTGGTGGGCACCTGTAATCCCAGCTACTTGGAGGCTGAGGCAGGAGAATCGCTTGAACCTAGGAAGCGGAGGTTGCAGTGAGCCAAGATCGCATCACTGCGCTCCAGCCTGGGTGACAGAGCAAGACTCCGTCTAAAAAAAAAAAAAAAAAAGAAAGATAATAATCCTATATAACTCAAAGAATGGAACTGACGTTAACAGTGAAGAAGACTGTAGGACAATCTTTTAACAGGAATAAGAAAGCTCAGTTTGGGCATGTCAACTTAGATGAAACACATGGAAGTATTAAGCCGGCAGTTGGGTATCTGGATTTAGAGTCAGAGGCAAGGTCTAGGCTGGAGATACAAATTTAGAAGTCACCAGCATATAGATGGATTCAAATCTAAGAGCTGAGTGAGATCACCTAAGGAGAGCACAGACTGAGCCCTGGAGTGCATTTAGAGGTTGGGAAGAGGAGGAAGTATCAGCAAAAAGACTTAGAAGGAATTCCTAGAATGATAGGAGGAAAAGTAGTCCATCACAATGATCTGGAAGCCCCAAAGAAGAAAGTTTTCAAGGACGAAAAAGTAACTCTTAACACTTTTGTGCTATGCATAACATTTTCCCTCATTTGTTTCCTGACTAGTGATGAGCCCTCCTCTTCAGCTAGGAAAATGACGGTGTTCAGAAAGTTAAAACTTCTTCGCTGGAAGGATTTCATCTTAAAGTTGGTATGGTTATCTGTGGGAAGATATAAGTCCTTGGGGGGGATTGAATGTTTAAGTTAAATTGGTTCATAATAACGGGTTAAAGAACAATTAAGAACTTTACATGGAAAGGGGCCCTTTTCTGCAAATGAGTCATGTAATTATTAAAGATGACATCATTGTTACTGATTTCTGGCCATTGGAGTTACAGAAAGGCTAAAAGGAGATGTTTCAAGCTAATTCTTACTCTGTGTTTTTCTTTTTCGTGTGTTTTGCAGGGAGACTGGAAGAAATTAAAGTGTTCTAAATGGAAGAGCATTCACCACATGTGTTCTGTTTTGGGTTGACATTTAGCTTTTGTTTTTATTTTAGAAACGGAAGACTCTGGTAGCAGTCCTTGAAATCTTGATGCCATTGCTATTTTCTGCATTGTATTGTATCTTCGTTTTAGTAGTGCTCCAATAAAAAGACCTGCTACTAGCTGCCATGCAATTGATATCAGTTTGTTGCCAGACTTCTACAATTTTCCTGAAAAATAGATTTCAACTAGTTTATATCCCTTCTATAAGTGAAACATTGAAGGCTGTCACCGAAATGGTGGAACAGATCTTTGATGTTGAGTTTGAAGGTTAGATGTAAATATGGGTAAGGATCGGGAGGACATTTTTATAAAGTACAGTTTGAAGTTTTTCCCCGAGAGTTCTTACAGTAGTGATTCTAAATCTAGTGTCTCCAAATTCTAAAGAGCCTATGAGGTGGTAGTTGGGGGGAAGCTGTCCATGAGATATTTTTATTATTTCAAACAACATATGGAGTCTTGTCTATATATGTCAGAAGGCTTCAAGGCTAATTAAAATGTTAAATGTTAAGTATTTGTTTTTAACTCACTATCATGACACCTATTATCTCATATTAATCCAAAGGTCTGATTGGCAATTATATGTCTCTAATAAAAAATGGAAGGCATTCAGAGAGTCAGAGGGTCTGAAATAGCTTCTAACTTGTTAACTGGTCTCTGCTTCTCCTCTTGTCCCATTCTAATCCAGTCTCCGTGTGGAGGCAGAAAGATCTTCAAAAGCTCAATAGGATCCAGCTAGTCTCTAGCTTAAACCCCTTCAGTGGCTTCCCATTGCCCTGAAAGAAAACCAGCTCTTCTCCAGGTTCTGACCCTGCTTTTTTCCCAGTCTTATCTAGTTTGGCTCTTTATTGTGCTCCCACACACTGGTCATGTTGGTCTTTTACTTCCTAGAAAGCAGCTACATGAGGTTTTCTCCCAATAGGGCCTTTGCAGCAGGTGTTCCTTCTGACAGTGCTTTGCCCTCAGCCTTCCCTGTGCATTGCTCCCTCTTAGTCTTCACGTTTCAGCTGAACTGATGCCTAGGAAAGCAGCTAAATCGGTTTTAGGTTTCTCACCTCTGCCTTATTCTCTGTCACAGAACCCTGTTTTATACTTTCTATCAAAAAGGGAATTTTAATAAATGTTTACATATATATTCACTTTCTTGCTTCTGTGTATTGTCTGCCTTTCTCCACTAGACTCCACCTCCATGAGGGCATAGGAACCATGTCTGTTTTGTTCATCACTGTGCCTGTTGTAGTACCTAGCACATAGTAGGTGCTCAATAAATATTTATTGAATAAATTAATGTAGTTAGGTAGATAGCATTCTTCAAAATATGTAGTTTATAGGAGAAATTTTTCAAAATTACTATAATTGCTCTACATGCTATTGTAAAAGTATTCTAATAATATATAGGGCATAAAGTGAATAGAGATTTTTCCCTCCAAGCTTCAGTGCCACTCAATGGGGATAATAATTTTTTTTTTCTTTTCCTTTTTTTTTTTTTTTGAGATGGACTTTCGCTCTTGTTGCCCAGGCTGGAGTGCAATGGTGAGATCTAGGCTCACTGCAACCTCCGTCTCCCGGGTTCAAGCAATTCTCCTGCCTCAGCCTCCTGAGTAGCTGGGATTACAGGCACCCGCCACCACGCCTGGCTAAGTTTTCTATTTTTAGTACAGATGGGGTTTCACCTTATTGGCCAGGCTGGTCTCAAACTCCTGACCTCAGGTCATCCGCCCGTCTTGGCCTCCCAAAGTGCTGGGATTACAGGCATGAGCCACTGCACCCAGCCTGAGTGAGGATAATTCTTTTAAAAGCTTTCAGTTCCAGGAGTTTGAGACCAGCTTGGGCAACATAGTGAAACCCTGTCTCTACAAAAAATAAAAAATTAACCAGGTATGGTAGTTGATGCTTGTAGACCCAGCTACTTGGGATGCTGAGGTGGGAGGATCTCTTGAACCTACAGTGAGCTATGATTGCACCACTGCACTCCAGCTTGGGTAACAGAACGAGACCCTGTCTCTAAAAAAATAAAAAATAAAAATGCCCTCAGTGGTAAAATGTGGGGAAATCACTGTTTTGAAAGTTGTGCTTCAGCCGGGTGCAGTAGCTCATGTCTGTAATCCCAGCACTTTGGGAGGCCGAGGTGGGCGGGTCACTTGAGGTCAAGAGTTTGTGACCAGCCTGGCCAGCATGGTGAAATTTCATCTCTACTAAAAATACAAAAAAATTAGCCGGGCGTGGTGGCACATACCTGTAGTCCCAGCTCCCTGGGAGGCTGAGGCAGGAGAGTGGCTTGAACCCAGGACGTGGAGATTGCAGTGAGCCGAGATCGTGCCATTGCACTTCAGCCTGGGCGACAGGCCAAGACTCCATCTCAAAAAAAAAAAAGAAAAGAAAGTTGTGCTTCATGCTTGTCTGGTATCCTAAAATACTATGTATTCTAATTCAGTTACCTTATACATATGAGATTATGAAATTTCTTTCTTTCTTTTTTTTTTTTTTTTGAGACAGAATCTCGCTCTGTTGCCCAGGCTGAAGTGCAGTGGCGCCCGTAATCCTAGCACTTTGGGAAGCTGAGGCAGGCGGATTCCCTGAGCTCAGGAGCTCAAGACCAGCCTGGGCAACACGGCAAAACCCTGTCTCTACTAAAAATGCAAAAAATTAGCCGGGCATGGTGGTGCGACTTGTAATCCCAGCTACTTGGGAGGCTGAGGCATGAGAATCACTTGAACTCTGGAGATGGAGGTTGCAGTGAGCCGAGATCAGACAGAGCAAGACTCCATTTCAAAAAAAAAAGAAAAAAAATCTAGATGAAGGAAAGAACCCAAAGAGATCAGTGGAGGCCCTAAACTGCTTTTGATCAAACATTCATCATACTAGGGGAAATCGAATGCTCGTTTTCATAGACTTGTAAGGCACAGAGGGAAAGAAGAAAAAGTTAAGTCCCATTCAAGGTGGGGTGTATATCATGAGACTATCTCCCCTTAAATCTAGGACCCCATATGCTTACATTGTAGTGGTGGTACTTAATGTAAGGTTGTGCTGGATGTAAACATGCCCCCGACTGCCTGAATGTTGCCTTGGAACTGAGCACAGCAGGGAGGGTCCTAGCTCTGAGATTTGTAGCTCAAATTCACATCACTTGGCTGTCAAAAAAAAGGAAGGAAGAAAGAAGGAGAGGAGGGAGAGAGGGAGGGAGGGAGGAAAGATGGAAGGGAGGGAGGGAGGGAGGGGAAGGGAAGAAAGAAGGAAGGGAAGGAGGGGAGGGAGGGAGGAAGGAAGGAAAGAAGGAAGGGCAGAGGGAAGGGAAGAAAGGAAGGAAAGGAAGGAATGAAAGGAAGGAAGGAAAGAAGAAAAGAAAAACCCCTCGAACTGTGAAGTGGGACAGTGGGACTCAGATTGACAGATGCAAATATATATTTTTCCTGGAATAATGTACCCTCCTTCTGTATCTCAAGACTCACCACAAGAGTATCAAGGTCAGTGAGCAAACATACTAGGAAACAGGACACCAAGGATGATTATCACTATGACAACAGACAGCAAAAACAGACCTGGAAAGATTCCAGATAATGGAATTATTAGTCTCGTGTTATAAAATCCCTATGTTTAGCTGGTTTGAAGAAATAAAAGACAACGTAAAAGGATTTATAGGTAGCATGTCATTATAGTCACCTAGCAAATTTGGGGAGAAAAAAGGAACTAGAACTTCTAGAAATGAAAAATAAAATAATCAACATGTAAAACTCAGGCTAGAAACAAGCCTTGAAAGGATAAAAGTGAACTTAAACTTCCTACAAGAACAAAACTCATTCTTTAATGAAAAACCACAAGGCTTGATCCAGGTCTCAGATCATGTGATCAGCACTTAAATTCTCTTCCTTCTTAGCATTACTTTCTTGATGCCCCAAGATAGTTGCTAGCAGTTCTTGGGACTATAGACTTCCCAGTTAAAGTTATGACTTGAAATAATGAGATTCATGTCCCTTAACTTACCTCCCTTATTTTCTGTCTCTCTCTGCTCGTGTATTTGCAGAACGAATGCTGGAGTTAATGGAGCAGTCAGCTGTCGATCTTAAGTCTCCTTAAGTAGAAAGCGGGCAGCTGGGTAGCCTTTGCCTTCACACCAGCCACTCACTGATGGGATTTTTCTCTCTGTAGTTTTAGGCTGTTCTTCAGTGTCTTTGTTTGAACGTTATATAATTGATGATCCCAAAGCTTTCTACATATTGGCAGGAATTGTTTTTGACCACAGCGTCAATGACAGCAATGGATCTTTGCCACTTGCGGTAAGAACATCCTTTCTCTAACAATTGTACTGTGCTGCCGAGACTTGAGCATGTGTTCCTTCTGCAGTCTTGTTGGCTGACCTGCCCCCGGCTTTTCTCTGTGGCAGCTTTGTCATCTTATTTCCAAAGGAGATATGCAAGGGCTCCTGTGTTTCATGTCTTACAACCTAGACTTTGAGGTCCCTTCCAGTTTTCAAATTCTTTAGAAGGCTTGTTGTGAGCAAGCCTTTATCCTGAGGGTACAGGATGGCGTATATTAAACTGCCTGATGACAGATGCAGACTACAAGATCAGCCTCCACAGACTTGCATTCCAGCCCTGCAACTCACCAGCTGTGTAACCTTGGAAAAACATTTCTGGGCCTCGGTGTCCTTATTGTTGTGAGGGCTAAAAGAGTTTTATGCCTATAAAGTGCTTAGAACAAAGCCTGGAACAAAATAACTTTCCAGAAGGATTAGTTATTGTTGTCATTACTAATAATCTTATGGACTTCAGATATGGTATGAGTGTGAGTTTGTTTAAGGAAAAGTTCATGTTGTAAACATGGGAATATTTGGTTTATGTTCTGGGATGGGAAAACCACTCATGTATAGCTTTTGTGTTGTACAGTGTATCTGATGATTAATTGTTGGAAGTTGCATGGGCTATTGGTAGATGGAGAGAGACATGTTAATAAAATAACCAACAATGTTTTTCAAGCATTTATTAATGCTAGGCAACACAGATACCATCTGGTTCAATCCTACTGTAGCCTATGAGGTAGACGTTGTTAATATCCCCATTTTACTCATGAGGAAACTGAGGAATGAAGTTTATGTAATTTGCCCAAGGTGTCAAGGCTATTCAGTAGGAGATTTGGGGTTAGAATCTGGGTGGTCTGGCTCCAGAGCCCTTGCTCTGAACTGTTCTGCAGCACACCATTCCTGAAGGGGGCTCAGGAGCGGCTGTATGTTTCCCAGGCTTGCACCACGGAGAATTTCCAGAGTACACAGGGAAGACCACTGTTGCAGCATGGTCTCCCAGGGGACACCTGCCAGTGTGGGCATCCTTCATCCTGTTACAGCTGACATCAAGCACAGATTTGTTCTGTCCTGTGCCTTTGCTGAGTTTCAGGAGTTCATAACCGAATTTGTTTTCTCTTTGTTCTTCATAGGTTAAGTATCAATTGCGCTTCAGTTACTTTCAGAAGAATTTTATACTGGGGAAGAATATATTTTTTCAAGATGACATAGAAGGCTGGTGCACATCCTTTCTTTACCCTCCCAATCCACGCCAAGAACCCCGGGAATTTCCATTTGCTGTTGGGGGAAGTCCTGGTGAGAAAGCCCCGAAGCTTGTGCGTGTTAAGAGCATGGCCGTGGCTGGGCGCGGTGTCTCATGCCTGTAATCTCAGCACTTTGAGAGGCTGAGGCGGGTGGATCACCTGAGGTAGGGAGTTCGAGACCTGACAAACATGGAGAAACCTCATCTCTACAAAAAATACAAAATTAGCTGGGTGTGGTGGCTCATGCCTGTAATCCCAGCTACTCAGGAGGCTGAGGCAGAATTGCATGAACCTGGGAGGCAGAGGTGGCGGTGCACTGAGACTGGGCCATTGCACTCCAGCCTGGGCAACAAGAGCGAAACTCCGTCTCAAAAAAAAAAAAAGAGCATGGCCACTTTTGTTGTTTTGTTTGTTTTGCTGCCAGCACATAAACTAGCATTTCAGAAGAGGTTGAAGGAGTTACATTTAGAAATGTGACATTCAGTAAACTGCTTACATTCTAGAGCAAGTAAAAACAGTAGTTATGGATTTGATTGTAACAATATTGAATTGTTTGGAGGAAGGATGGAAACATTTTACTGGAACAAGGAGTGCAGGGACCAGTGGGTGGCCAATTTAGCAGTGACATTTGTCATCATGGAGGAAACATGATCTGTGCTTTATGCATGTTTAAGATTTTCTCGGCTTCCCTTTTCCACCTGCAAATACCACTCCTATTTGGTTATTTTATTTTATTTTGAGATGGAGTTTCATTCTTGTTGTCCAGGCTGGAGTGCAATGGCACAATCTCGGCTCACTGCAATCTCTACCTCCCAGGTTCAAGCGATTCTCCTGTCTCAGCCTCCTGAGTAGCTGGGATTACAAGTGCCCACCATCACACCTGGCTAATTTTTTGTGTTTTTAGTAGAGATAGGGTTTCACCATGTTGGCCAGGCTGATCTCGAACTCCTGACCTCAGGTGATCCGCCCACCTCGGCCTCCCAAACTACTGGGATTACAGGCATGAGCCACCACTTTTGGCCCTATTCTATCTTTTTAAACACATGTCCTGTTCAACACGCATGTCATATTGTATGATCTATGTCTAACATGCCTCCATTACAATCTCCACTGACTGTATCCTTTGCATTTCATCCGTCTCATTTAATTTAATGAAGAAGAAACAGAAGATAATCATCCACACTCTTGGGACTCTCTGCATGTCTGTGCAGCTCCAAAGAGTCTGTTCCTGCTTTGGGGGAATCCCTGAACTCTTTCTGGCCTGTTCATTGGCTGATGCTTCACTTTGATTTTATTTACTCTGACTGATGCTTTTAGATCTTGCCTTGATTCTTATTCCATCCTCCCTGCCCCATCTGCAACACTGGTGCAGAATCCCAGTTCCTGTTCTTCAGGCCTCTTGGTCTTGGCTGGCCCTCTCCCTTTCCCTCTCATGAATCTCCCTATCTGCATTTCTAGTCTGGGAAAATCTCCTTTTCCCTGTCTGTCATTCAGGATAAGAGGACAGAAAATTAATGCCAGAAGGTTGGAGTTTTTCCAGGAGTTCCTATTTGTCCCAAGGGCTGGCATGTGGTCCCAAAGCCAGGTCCTGACTCCTGGCTGCCATAGTCCTCTCTTCTTGGGGAGCCATGCTGACTTTCTGCTCTGTCACCCTCTGTTGAGGGTGAAGGAGAGAGCCTTGCTGAGTGGCTGCTTTGCATCTGCTTGCTCTCTCCCATGCAAAGGGGTCTAACTGCACCTGACAGAGCAAACACCTAAAACTTGGCACCCAGTACTCCCTGGATCTGCCTGCGTTGCCCAACTCTCGCTTCTGGCAACCCCAGGTTCCTAGAGAAGTACTGGGGCAACACTGACACCTGTGCATCCTCTGTCCTTCACAATAAGCATCACATTCCCGACTGAAGGCCCATGGGCCAATCCGCTCTTGAAAGACTCATGCTCTCCCATTCACTTTAGATTTTTTGGTCTTCCTTTTTGTGAGGGGTTTAGGGTGAACATCCTCTAGGCAACTAACTTTTCTTAGAAAATTAAGCTGGTAATCTACATCTGTTGTAGAATGGCTCAAATATTGGCTTGAAGCCTCAGGCCTTTGTGCACACTAAGTGAGAGTCCAAGTCCGAGTACTTACAGTTTTGCATAATTCTAGAAAAGATCCAGCAGTTCTGCAGTGAAAATACTCCTACACACAATCAAGAATATGTAACCATTCTGAGAATTTATTACCAACAATTTGTTCCTTCTTTTTCCTGGACAGATCTGAGAGTCTGCCTAGGTCTAGGCCATCTGAAGACCATAGCCACCTCTACTCCTGGGAGGGGGTTGAGGTACCCCACCTTGGCTTTGCTCATGTTGGAGCCTGGTAACCATTGCTTGGAGGTGGGGCTGTTATCTCTTAGAGGACCCCAGAACCAGGAATCTTTGCCTTTCAGCCTATTTTTCCTGAAAGCTGACCCCATCATGCCAACTATGCTGTATTGAAATGAGTGTTGCTTGTGATAAGGACTGTTTTTGAGACTTAGTAGTAAAATTCACTGACCATAAACCCAACAGCGGTAACAATTCAGAAGTAGGTCACAACAGGTTAGGGAGGCTGTGTCTTTCAAGTGCTTTGAGTTTAACCATCTCATATGAGTGCTTTGAGTTTAACCATCTCATACGTGCTGTGTGATCAAAACTGCAGAAGAGGTGCTCTTTCCCTGAAGTCTGAATACTAAGGGGAGGAGATGTGGTCCCACCTCAAAAGATTCTTGTATTGGACATCTTTTATTTTGCCTGCCCAGGCTCCTTTACCCCATTTTTGGATCATATATGCATTACCCTCAGCTCCAGGGGTCTCCCTTGTGACTTTCCTCTCTTTCTTCCACACTGTAGTGAGGACTCTAGGGATGCCTTTCCTACCGCTGTCTGTCTCTATGAATGCCTAGCCATGATCCGTCTGAAACACCAGTTGTTGTATCTTTATACTTTCTTTCTTTTTTCTTTTTCTTTCTTTCTTTCTTTCTTTTTTTTTTTTTTTTTTGAGATGGAATCTCCCTCTGTTGCCCAGGCTGGAATGCAGTGGCGCAATCTCAGCTCACTGCAACCTCTGCCTCCCACCAGGTTCAAGCAATTCTGCCTCAGCCTCCCGAGTAGCTGGGACTTTAGGCATGCACCACCACACCCAGCTAATTTTTGTATTCTTAGTAGAGATGGGGTTTCACCATATTGGCCAGGCTGGTCTCGAACTCCTGACCTTAATTTCTTGATATTCACTATTTTCTCATAGGATACAACAAAGAAGGCTTCCTGGCCATACAGTATGCTGTGGATAAAGCCATCATGTGGTACCATGCTCACAATGCAATGACCAACATGTTTGAGAATCTCAATGTACTTGTGAAGAGATTCCCATATGGACCCTATATCGAGGACAGGTTCTTCCTAGTCCTTCAGAATGAGTTTTCTGTGTTCTTCATACTCAGCTTCATGTACATTGAGCTCATCATCATCAGTTCCATTGTACTGGAGAAAGAGAAAAGACTGAAGGTAACCCCAGATACTTCAAGTGTATGCCTCTCCTGGGACAGGGGTATGGGGAAGCTGCTAATGAAAAATGACCAGAATAGGAATGAAGCCAAAAGGAGGTTGCTTAGGTGTCCAAGCAACTTCCAAGGTGAGTTGGAACTTGGAAGGTTGTTCACAATTTTAACTTGCTTGCAATCTAGGTGATCCCACCTCTGTTATTACATGAATCCTTGCCTTTAGTCTGAGAATGTCCAGCCTGGTCATTCCTGGTTGGTCAGCACACTGCCTCCCACTAGGTAGGTGTTTGAAAAATGCTTGTGGAATGACTCATGATAAGAGATCTACCCTTCACTATTCACCACCTTGCTTGATGCCCTGAAGGCTGACCTGTAGGGATCCCAGCACATGCTCCCACAAGGAATCTGGCAGGACCTCAGAGGGAAGAAGTAGGAGGATGAGGTCCCTGTGTTGACCTCAGGCCAGCAGGGAGAGATCCCTACAGGTCATTTTGGGCTCAGCTTGTTCCTTAACTGAAGGTCACTGTTCTCGCAAGATGTCTTGCCCTACAAGACTCTCCCATTCTGGATTCTGGTAGCCTCTCTTTCTTCTCATCCATTTGGATCCAAGGAAGGTATTCATGCTTTTGCTGCTAGCCCTAGGTTTCTGCACTATCCTGTAGGGTTTTCTGTCTCTGTGCACACATGTGCCTGTTATAAACAAACCCTCTTTGAATTACTGTAATTTGAATATAACAGTTGTTTCCTTTAGGGATCCTGAATGATACACAATTATATGAGAGAACTACTGCTATTATTCTTATTTAGTAGAGGAAGTAACTTGAGAC
This sequence comes from Homo sapiens, assembly GCF_000001405.40. Lineage (NCBI taxonomy): Eukaryota > Metazoa > Chordata > Mammalia > Primates > Hominidae > Homo > Homo sapiens. The sequence continues at coordinate 2,371,421 of NC_000016.10, forward strand.
ATAGAGAGGTTAAAAATTTCCAGATAATTTTATATGGAACAGTACAACCTAGCCATAAATACAGTTTTCATTCCCAGATAAAGAGTAAAAGTAAAACAGTTTTCCAGTAATTAAGCTTTAGCTTCTCTGAGTGGAATCTTAGATGAAATATGCCAGAGAGGAATGTGTTCCATTTCCGCTTGGTGCAGAGTCAGGAAAAGATAGTCTCTTGGGGAGTTCTAGAATAGCATTTAGCCCTGGACGCTGATAGGATCAATGTTGTCAGCTCTTCCATTCTATTCAGGTGATGCCCTAAGACCCAACCCAAACTTTCAACTCTTCCTTGGCAAGGACCCAGGAGTAGGCAAGTTGTATTCCAGGAGGAGTCATTACTATGGGAAATATTCCAGGAGGGAGAATGCCCTGACGGTGTTTGGCCCTAGGACCAAGGTGGGATATGGGGAATGGGGCACTAATGTCATTTCCTTCTTTGAACACTGAATACAACTAATAGAACTCTTTCTTCCTAAACTCCCTCATGTTTATTTAGTATGACTATGTAGATGGATTAAGGAGAATTAAAACACACTGTCCTTAATTTAGGAATGACCCGTATCACTCCATCCCTCCTATTCCCCTCACCCTTTCAAGCATAGTCCCTTTGCTCTGGTTGACCGTGTTCCTTTTCTGTTCCCCAAATAGGTATTAGGTATTCTGCTCCTCCTATAGGCAGGCCTCATTGTTTGGCTGCTCTTCTTCAAAATTTATATTGCAGTTCATTTCTTTCAAGAAGTCTTTCTAAATTTCATCAGTCTTTCATCCCATCTTCCTATAGTTTGTTGTTTCCACCTCTTAACTGATCTCCATGTAATTAATTGTCCAAATTAACTGACATTCTATCCCCTCTGTAAAACTCTCAGATTGAAGCTCCCAACACACTGCAGCTGGTAGGCTTCTCTCTAGCGAATCTGGGTTTATCTTTTACCTGCTGAGTTGTATGCTTTTTAAAGTTTGTTCCTAAATCTCTTTATACCTGTACTTGTTCTTATAATTTGTAATTTAATTAAATATTATGTAAATAGATGGAGTGGACTGGAGTTACCTTTGAAAATTTAGTTGAATGCTTTGGAAAGATTCAGTAAGGCAAATCTCTAAAAAAAAAAATGCTAATAAAGTTCGCGTGAGGCCAGGCGCAATGACTCATATCTGTAGTCCTAGCTACTTGAGAGGCTGAGGTGGGAGGATTGCTTGAACCCAGGAGTTCAAGGCTACAGTGAGCTATGATCGTACCATTACACGCCAGCATGGACAACAGAGTGAGACCCTGTCTCTAAAAAACGAAAATGATAAAATAAAAAATAAATTTCACGTGGGTGAAACTTCTGTAAAATATGAGAAAAAAATACAGAAACCTGGTCAGAGTCTGTACTACAATGCTTCATGCCTGTATTCATGTCCTCAGTCCACTTTCAAGGCTGTGATCTTTGCTTTATGGGTGGGGCTCACATTGCTCCAATGAGCAGGCCCACACTTCAAGAGAAGAGTTTGTGTTCTGACATAAGAATACCAACACAAATTGTACATTTATATGCTATAAGTAAAAATAAAAATGTAAGGTATGTGTATAGCATTTTTGTGGTTCCCTGCTTACCCAACTTGTTTTTGATTAACCAACTAACTACTAGTTCCATTATTAAAAGGTAAAAAGGCTTCTTCTGTAACTATAGTGTGGCATATACAGTATTATTATCATATATGTGTCTTCAGTACTAGATTGCGAATTTTTAGAAGACAGTACCTTTGCCTTTTATATCTTTTAATTTTTCCTGCATGGTGCCTAGCACAGTGCTTTGCATTTATTCACTTATCAAGTATTGATTGAACGACTTATATTTATGAGGCACATGCATTAGAGATAAACATATAAATGACACAGCCCTTTCTCTCAGGCAATTTACAGCAATAAAACCAAGTGTTACAAAAGAAACCCAAGTGCAAAGGTAATGGAGTGTGTAGATGTCACGTCTCTGTGGAGAATGGGCAACGCTGACCAGAGAAAGCTTCACAGAGCAGGTAGCTCTTGAACTAGGCTTTGAAAATCAACTAGGATTTTGCTAGTTGAAGAGAATATGAGAGAAAAAAGAAAATGACATATGTAAGAAAAAAATGTTTTTAAAGACATCGAGGTCATAGTGCATTCAGTGAATTGCAAAATGTTTTGTGTAACCAGGGCATAGGATGCCAAGGAGTTTAGATTTTCTTTTCAGAACTATAGGACTATAGGAGCCATTCACTTATAGTAGACTTACTATTGTAAAAGAAGAATCATGTAGTAGGTCTATCTCTACTATATCTAAACCAGGTAAATGCCATTCACTGGTTTGTACTTTTCTTTCAAACTCAGTCTCCACCACTCCTATTAGCCACCTCTTCCCAGTATACACACACAACCCTTCATCCCAGTCTGTTGGAGTTTCAGTAACAGACTGCTGAACCAGGCAAGCTAGAACTGAGTGTTGAACTGTGTAATGCCTGCTTGTTTTGCTTTCTCTAGGATTACCTGTGCGTGATGGGACTGGAAAGCTGGTTACACTGGGTTGCTTGGTTCATCACGTTCTTCATTTCTGTCTTCATTGCTGTTTCTTTCATGACCATTCTCTTCTGCACAGAGGTACATATCTCTTGTCCTTCAAGATGTGCTAAGCTATGAATAGGTGGGAAAGAAATTTGGTGTTTTGTGGGTGGTAGTGCTGAAATTCAATATATGATGGGAAACACCATTTTTTATTTTTTTGAGACAAAGTCTCACTCTGTCACCCAGGCTGGAGTGCAGTGGCATGATCTCGGCTCACCGCAACCTCCCAGGTTCAAGCAATTCTCCTGCATCAGCCTCCCAAGTAGCTGGGATTACAGGCACCTGCCACCACGCCTGGCTAATTTTTGTATTTTTAGTAGAGGCAGAGTTTCACCATGTTGGCCAGGCTGGTCTCGAGCTCCTGACCTCAAAAGATCCGCCTGCCTCGGCCTCCCAAAATGTTGGGATTATAGGCTTGAGCCACTGCACCCAGCTGGACACACCATTCTTGATGAACACTTGGAAAATCTCAGGTTGTATGTGGTGGTATTCTCTGAAACTTGAGGCATTTAAGCATTTAGAATCTTTCAGATCAGGGAGAGCTTTGTCCTCCTTTCAGTTCCCTCGCCTTCAAGTACTGGACATGGGTGTGGTTAATATCTTTAGTAGACTGGAATGCCAAAAATGTATCTTATAAACTTTAAAACATAAATTTTATACTCTACAAACGATTAAAAGTAGTTATTATAAAAGATAACATTCTTTTATGTCTATGACATCGTTATTTTTCTTTTATATTATCAATGAAATTTGGTGTTAAATTTGCCAACTTGCATTTAATGACTAGATTAAAACCTATTACTTGGATATACGAACATTTACCTTCTAAATTATCAAAATTGGGGCAGGTTGAACAAAGGAAAACAAAGAAACCCAGACTAGTCAGCAAAATATATAAAACAAATGAAATGGCTGGAAACATTAAAAAAAGAAGATATAAGATATCAAAAGGTATAGCAAAATTATCTGTAATAGTGATCATGACAAATGAGAAAAACACACTTATTAAAAGAAAAAAACTTGTCAGGCCATGGTTGCTTAAAAAAAAAGGATAAAAGAAAAGTTCACATTGGATCAAAAATTAAATCCAAACTTATGCTTTCCAGAAAAGGATACATGTACAGAGCATAATTTGTAAATGGTAATGGATGTGGGAGGAAAGGTCCTGCCTTAAAAAACTATATATATGTGTGTTTCTAAGATCATCTCAGATTTTAAAAACAGTTTCTTCATTGTTTTCATGGAAGTTTTGCTTTCTTCTTATTTTGTTCATGTAAAAATTATATCTATGATTGTTTTATAGATGAAAAATGTGGCACTGCTTAAGAACAGTGACCCTAGTCTGATATTTGTTTTTCTAATGTGTTTTGCCATTGCCACAATTTTCTTTGCATTCATGATCAGCACATTCTTCCAAAGAGGTGAGTCCTGATACAATTTTCTGTCAAGGGGTGTTTATGACTACTTCTTCCAGTAGCATTGCTATTCCCATTATCTACAGCCTTCATTATTATTTCTTGAGAGTCACGTTTTCACTTTTATGGTTATTTTAACAATAGAAGACTTCCATTCTCCACTAAAGGCTTGTTGAAACATCTCAATATATGTATGTTTTTATATTTCATTTGTCTCCTTAATATAATTTCAAATGGAGGCAGTCTCAATTTGGAAGGGAATGGAGGTGTAAGACATCCAGGGCAGATAATTTCCCAGGTCTTGATTATGATGTTGGGGCACAACAGTAAAATGGCTTCTAAGACACCATGGTAAGGGAGGAGTTCCTAGACATTTTATTATTATTATTTTTTTGTCAAGAGGAGGTGTTACCTCTAAAACTATTGGTAGAATTGATAAATTACAAAGGACAAAAATAACAGGGAGTAGAGTCAAAGAAACAGTGCAGGAGAAAGAATTGTGGGTCAACATGGAGAGGTATAGGTAGAAACATTAATGAAGGACAGGCCCAACAGTTGGTGACATAAAAAAGGGAGTTCAAGAGAACTGTGACAAAAAATCAAAGTGTAGTATAAATGAAGCCAAACAGCTTATCATTTACATTTGTGAATTTTTTGCATCAAATAGTATGTTCCAATATGTGGGCCCTGACAAATTGTGACTCTACCAAGATGAGGATGGATTCTTAAAGAGGTCAAATGGGCCGGAACACTATCTCCTGATTCAAACTCTGTATCTAGTTTCCCACATCTGCCTCCATAGCCCTGATGCTCCTCATACGTGGCTGATGCTCTTTCCACTGAAGGCATTTGAGGAGCAGCAAAATAGTGAAGCTGTGTCAGAGGTGCCTTTGGCCACCCCTCTGGTATCAGGACTTTAAAAACCAAATCTTAGCCCAGCAGGCACTTGCTGGGCAGGCTCTGCGTGCATCAGGACTGGGGCACAGCAGTGTTTCTGAAAGGATGGTCCTCTCTCAGATACAGACACTGTTGTTCCTGACAGTGTTGACCATTTAGGGAAGGCCTCTCCCCCTATATAGGCCTGTGAGGTTCTCACTGCCTGAAGGGTATCCAGCTACACCCCCAGGCTAAGAGATCAAGGAGGCAAGTCAGGTATGTGTGTGAGTTATTTTTCTGCCTCCCCCTCATCCCTCTCTCCAGAGAGCCTGTTCTGTTTACTTCTGGATCCACAGTGTCTGAATAGTACTTGGCACAGAATAGGCATTCCATAATATCATTGAATGAATGACTGAATTAATAAATGAATTGCAAATACTGCCAAAATGCAGACTGGGAATGATGTATCAGAGCTCTGCCATGGATTTCTGCCATTGGTGACATGGCATAAAAAAAGCTAACACTGGCTGGGCACGGTGGCTCACGCCTGTAATCCCAGCACTTTGGGAGGCCGAGGCGGGAGGATCACGAGGTCAGGAGATCAAGACTATCCTGTCCAACACGGTGAAACCCCGTCTCTACTAAAAATACAAAAAATTAGCCAGGCATGGTGGCGGGCGCCTGTAGTCCCAGCTACTTGGGAAGCTGAGGCAGGAGAATGGCGTGAACCTGGGAGGCAGAGCTTGCAGTAAGCCGAGATTGCACCACTGCACTCCAGCCTGGGCGACAGAGCAAGACTCCATCACAAAAAAAAAAAAAAAGCTAACACTGCCCTGGGGAAAGTGGCATCACTAAAGGATACACAATGGGATTCAGTAGCCTTGAAGATGCTGAGCAGGGAAGGAAAATCTGGCTGATTGCCTAGGACATCGGACAGCAAAGGACTTCTGTATCGTAATTGGTGGTAGAAAGGCCCAAAACCTGGCACAGGCATGTTTTGTATCTTAAACGCCATGTCCAGTAAAGTTATGTGGTTTTTTGTTTCTTTTTTGAGTTCTATTTAGTTCTTTTGTTATTATAACTTTACATTAAAAGACTTGTTACATTTACTCTACAATAGTATTACCTTCTCCCCTTCCCCCCCCACCCCCAAACAATCATGGATGCTTTCTTATTCACAGCCAAAATGGAAGATCTAACAACCAGAGGGTGATTTGGCAATAAGTATCAAAATCCTTTCAAGTCTTGTCCCATCTTTGACCTGCCAAATCTACTTATATTGATTTAGAATAAGGAAATAATTGGGAAGCAGTCAAAGTTATATCACAGGTTTATACTTGTGAAAAATTGCAAATAACGTAAGCATCCATTAGTCTGGACTGAATCAAGAAATAGGGTATGTTCATAAAAACAAAATCTTTTTAGGCCTTAAAAATGATATAGGGCCGGGTGCTGTGGCTCATGCCTGTAATCTTAGCACTTTGGAAGGCAGAGGCAGGTAGATCACTTGAGCCCAGGAGTTTGAGACCAGGCTGGGCAACATGACAAAACCCCATCTCTACAAAAAATATACAAAAAAATGACGCACACCAGTAGTCCCAGCTACTGAGGTGGGAAGATCACTTGAGCCCAGGAGGTCGAGGCTGCAGTGAGTCGTGATCACACTACCGCCCCGAGCCTGGGCAATAGAGCAAGAGCCTAGCCTGTCTCAAAAAAAAAAAAAAAGAAAAGATTTTGTTGATGTGGACAAATGGCCTCAATACATTGTTAAATGAAAAAGCCAGTTAGACCAGCCTGGCCAACGTGCTGAAACCTCATCTCTACTAAAAATACAAAAAATAGCTGGGTTTGGGGGCACACACCTGTAATCTCAGCTCCTCAGGAGGCTGAGGCATGAGAATCACTTGAACTCGGGAGATAGAGGCTGTAGTGAACTGAGATCATGCTGCTGCACTTTAGCCTGGGCAACAGAGCCAGACCCTGTCTCAAAAAAAAAAAAAAAAGCCAGTTAGAAAACTAGAATTTATACTTATATTCTCATTTGTGTTAAAAAATAAATGTATGAGTACATTAATTAATAATTAAAATAAATTTTTGAGTACATTTATTTTTTACATAAAAAATACCTAAGGCTATATAGCAAAATGTTAACAGAAGTTTGTTTTTTTTTTTATTTTTATTGTTGTTGTTGTTTTTGAGACAGAGTCTCGCTCTGTCGCCCAGGCTGGAGTGCAGTGGCGTGATCTCAGCTCACTGCAAGCTCTGCCTCCTGGGTTCACACCATTCTCCTGCCTCAGCCTCCTGAGGAGCTGGGACTACAGGCCCCCGCCACCACGCCCGGCTAATTTTTTGTATTTTTAGTAGAGACGGGGTTTCACTGTTTTAGCCAGGATGGTCTCGATCTCCTGACCTTGTGATCCGCTCGCCTCGGCCTCCCAAAGTGAAATGAAGTTATCTTTTAATGATAGGATTTGTATAACTTGTTTTCTTTGTTATACCTTTTTTTGACCTTGTTGTAATAAGAATTTATTGCCTTTTTCAACCAGAAAAAATACCTAGAAAATAAGAATAAAGACAATGATAGTATGCGGGTAGGCAGGCTGCAAAATTTTATGCTGGCATACATTTGGCAATGAGAACATTCATTTATTTATTCATTCATTGAACAGATACTTATTAAGAATCAGAGATAAGTCAGAGAACTTGCCTTCAGGGGTCTCAATTCAAAACTGTTAGATTCCCACAAAACTTTTCTTAATCATATTTACTAGGCATCCAAATTATTATTTAATACTTACAGTAATGTAATTTGCTTTTACATGTGCCTATGTGTGTTTTATTCATTTAACTCACTGGAATTTCTCAAAAGTAGGGAGGATATCTCCTATCTCTAATACTCCCCACACATCCTGGTACATTGTCATGCATAGAACATACATACTCCTTGGATGCTGCTGATTTCACTGACTGTGGCAAAGAAGTAGTATAAGGACAGTGTGTGTGAGAACAAGTGAACAAAGCAGAAAGTATCATCGGGCCTTCGTGCTGCTGTGTGCTCTGACTGAAGATAACTTCAGTATCTTGTCTTCCCCTTGGTTCTAGGTCTTATTCCCCCTACAAGTGGATGTGCATATGTCAATGGATATGAAATTTCACAAGAGATATTTCACATTAGGAAGAGCCTGGGCTGGTGCCCCAACATGATGTCTTATCTGATAAGTTAACAGTAGCAGAACATCTTTCTTTCTATGGTCAGGTGAGTCGATGGATAACAGGGATTTGTTTCCTCTGTATCCACTCTTGGGAATGATGAGATAGACTGCAGCTCTCTGATTCAACTCAGGGTAGGTCTTTTTTTTTTTTTTTTTTGAGATGGAGTCTTGCTCTGTCACCAGGCTGGAGTGCAGTGGCGTGATCTCAGCTCACTGCAACCTCCTGGGAGTGTCTTTAAAATGAAAACTTGTGTTTCTCTATTCTCAACACTTCTGACACCAAATGTATGTGGAGTTTTCCCACACCAACCAATTCTCCAACTCTGCGGATAGCAACTGAGTGTCCTACAATTCAGTTCTTAATGCTGACTATCTAAAGTTAATGCAGACTCCACAGGTTTAAGGCTCAGTCTCACAAGATTGCCCCCATCCCTGACTTCAGATGTCAGTTGCAAGTTCCAGGTTGTTACCTGTACTTCTGACCAACTGGCTGTTGTTTGGGGGTTCCGACAACCTCCTCCTTAGGTTTGATAATTTGTTATAAAAGCTCACAAAACCCTTTATTATAGAGGGTATTATGAAGGATACACATGAACAACCAGATAAAGAGGTACACAGGACAAGGTGTGTGAAAAGCAGTGCAGAACTTCCATGCCCTGTCCTAGTATACCACCTTGGCAGCACCTCAGTGTATTCACCAACCCGGTAACTCTTCAGAGCCCATAGTTTAGATATTTTTAGGCAGGCTACATCATGTGGTCATGACCAGTTATTAGCACAGCCTCCAATCCCTCTCCCACTCCCTGGAGGATTGGGGGTGAGGCTGAAATGTCCAAGCTTTTTTTTTTTTTTGAGACGGAGTCTTTCTCTGTTGCCCAGGCTGAAGTGCAATGGCGTGATCTTGGCTCCTCCACCTCCCAGGTTCAAGCGATTCTCCTGACTCAGCCTCCTGAGTAGCTGGGATTACAGGTGCCCACCACCAGGCCCAGCTAATTTTTTAAATTTTATTTTTAGTAGAGATGAGGTTTCACCATGTTGGCCAGGCTGGTCACGAACTCCTGACCTCAAGAGATCCACCGGCCTCAGCCTCTGAAAGTGCTGGGATTACAGGCACGAGCCACCACGCCTGGTCTGAAATTTCCAAGCTTCTAACCATGGCTTGGTCTTTCTGGTGACTAGCTCACATCCTGAAGCAGTCCAGGAGCCCACCAAAAGTTGCCTCCCTAGAACAAAAAGATGCTCCTATCACTCAGGAAATTCCAAGGGAGTTGGGAATTCTGTGTAAGAAACCAAATCAAATATCAAATCGAAGACCAAATATTAGAACAAAAGATGCTTCTAGCAGCTTTGTCACTCAGGAAATTACAAGGGCTTTAGGAGCTCAGTGCCAGGAACCAGGGCAGAGACCAAATATATATTTTTTTATTATGTCAGTCTTGAAACCTCTTCTGGACACTATTCCTTAAACATTCAGGAAGGGTGAAGGGCATGGCGTTTAAGTCAAGATTTCTGAGTTAAAGGATTTCTACAAATGACTGTATTTGAATTTTTATATATTTTTTACTTTTTATTGAGACAAAATTCACATAACGTGAAATTCATCATTTTACTCATTTTACAATATTCAATTCAGTAGTTTTTAGTATACTCACAGTGTTTTGTTGTTTTGTTGTTGTTGTTTTTTTCAGAGTCTCACTCTGTTGCCCAGGCTGGAATGCAGTAGCACCATCTCAGCTCGCTGCAGCCTCCACCTCCTGGGTTCAAGCGATTCTCGTGCCTCAGCCTCCCAAGTAGCTGGGATTACGTGCACCTGCAACCATGCCTAGCTAATTTGTGTGTGTGTGTGCTTTTTTTTTTTGAGACGGAGTCGCACTCTGTCACCCAGGCTGCAGTGCAGTGGCGCAATCTTGGCTCACTGCAACCTCTGCCTCCCGGGTTCAAGTGATTCTCCTGCCTCAGCCTCTTGAGTAGCTGGGACTACAGGCGCATGCCACCACACCCAGCATTTTTGTATTTTTAGTAGACACAGGGTTTCACCATGTTGGCCAGGATGGTCTCAATCTCCTGATCTCATGATCCACCCGCCTCGGCTTCCCAAAGTGCTGGGCCTGGCCTAATTTTTATATTGTTAGTAGAGATGGGGTTTCGCCATGTTGGCCAGGCTTGTCTCAAACTCCTGACCTCAAGTGATCCACCCACCTCAGCCTCCCAAAGTGCTAGGATTACAGGTATGAGCCACCGTGCCCAGCCTGTATACTCACAATGCCATGTAACCATCACCACTATCTTATTGCAGAACATTTTCATTGCCCACAAAATAAACTTATACACATTATCAGTGACTTCCCATTGCTCCCTTCCCCTAGTCCCTGGCAACCACTAATCTGCTTTCTGTTTCTATGGGTTTGCCTATCCTGGATATTTCATATAAATGGAGTCATACAATATGTGGCTTTTTATGTCTGGCTTATTTCACTTAACATAATGTTTTCAAGGTTTATCCATATTTTAGTATATATTTGTACTTCACTCCTTTTAATAGCTGCATAATATCCATTCTACTCACCTGAATGTTTGCCCATTCCTCAGCTGATGGACATCGGGTTGCTTTCACCCTTTGGCTATTGTGAATAGTGCTGCTATGAACATTAGTGTTCACGTTTTTGTTTGAACACCTATTTTCAGTTATTTTGGGTAAATACCTATAAGTGAAATTAATGGGTCAGATGGTAACTCTATGTTTAACTTTTTTGTTTGTTTGTTTGTTTTACTTTTTGAGAAATTGCCGTTAGTGTGAAGTAGTACCTTGTGGTTTTGATTTGCATTTCTCTGTTGACTAATAATGTTGAGCATCTCTTCATGTGCTTATTGGCTATTTGTATACTTCTTTGGAGAGATATCTATTCCAGTCCTTTGCCTGTTTTTTTGGTTGGGTTCTTTATCTTTTTGTAGTTGAGCTGTAAGAGTTTTTTTTGTTTTTGTTTTCTTTCCATTTTTTTTTTTTTGAGATGAAGTCTCACTCTGTCACCCAGGCTGGAGTGCAATGGTGCGATCTTGGCTCACTGCATCCTCTGCCTCCCAGGTTCAAGCGATTCTCCTGCCTTAGCCTCCTCAGCAGCTGGGATTACAGACGTGCACCACCACGCCTGACTGATTTTTTTTTTTTTTTTTTTTTTTTGTATTTTTAGTAGAAACAGGGTTTCACCATGTTGGCCAGGCTGGTTTCAAACTCCTGACCTCAGGCGATCCACCAGCCTCAGCCTCCCAAAGTGCTGGGATTACAGATGTGAGCCACTGTGCCCAGCTTTTTTTTTTTTTTTTTTTGAGACAGCCTCTCACCTCTCACTTTGTTGCCCAGGCTGGAGTGCAGTGACAGGATCTCACCTCACTGCAATCTCTGCCTCCCAGGCTCAAGTGATCATCCTGCCTCAGCCTCGCAAGTAGCTGGGACCACAGGTACAGGCCAATTGCCTGGCTAATTTTCGTATTTTTTTGTAAAAATGGGGTTTTACCATGTTGCCCAGGCTGGTCTCAAACTCCTGAGTTCAAATGATCCTCTCGCCTTCGTCTTTCAGAGTGCTAAGTGAGATTATAGTCGTGAGCCACCGCACCCAGCCTGTAAAAAGTTTTTAAGTGTATATTCTAGATCCTAGGCCCTTGTTAGTTATATGATTTGCAAATATTTTCTCCTACTCTGTGGATTGTCTTTTCCCTTTATTGATAGTATTTTTAAATTTAAAACAAAAGTTTTAAATTTTGATGAAATCTAATTTATCTTTTTTTTATTTGTTACTTACGCTTTTGCTATTATATTTTAAAAATTATCGTCTAGGATTTATACTTATATTTCTTTTTAAGATTTCATAGCTTTGGTTCTTAGATTTAGATCTTTGGTCCATTATGAGTACATTTTTGTATATGGTGTGAGGTATGGGTCTACATTTATTCTTTTTCATATAGATATTAAGTTGTCTCAGCACTATTTGTTGAAAAGACTATTCCTTCCCCATTGAATGGTCATGGCATCCTTGTAAAAAGTCTATTTACCATAGATATATGGGATTGTTTCTAGACTCCCAATTCTATTCCATTGTTCCATATGTCGGTTGTTATGCCAGTACCACAATGTCTCAATGACTGTAACTTTCTAGGAAGTTTTGAAATTAGGAAATATGAGTCCTCCAACTTTGTTCTTCTTTTTAAGATTGTTTTGGCTATTCTGAGTCCCTTGCATTTCTATATGAATTTTTAGGATCAGCTTGCCTATTTTTGCAAAAAAAAAAAATAATAATAATAATAATAAGGTATTGGAATTTTAGTAGGGATTACATTGAATCTCTAGATTGCTTTGTGTTTATTTTTATTTTTTTGAGATGGAGTCTTGCTCTGTTGCCTAGGCTGGAGTGCAAAGGCTCAATCTCAGCTCACTGCAACCACTGCCTCCTGGGTTCAAGCGATTCTCCTGCCTCTGACTCCCGAGTAGCTGGGATTACAGGTGTGTGCCACCATGCCTGGCTAATTTTTTTGTATTTTTAGTAGAGACAGGGTTTCACCATGTTGGCCAGGCTGATCTCGACCTCCTGACCTCAGGTGATCCACCCACTTCGGCCTCCCAAAATGCTGGGATTACAGGTATGAGCCACTGCACCCAGCCTCTAGATTGCTTTGGATAGTAATGTCATATTAACAAAATTAAGTGTTCCAATCTATGAACACAAAAGGTATTTCCATTTATTTAGGTCTTCTTTAACTTCTTTCAGCCATGTTTTACAGTTTTCAGTGTACTTGCCTTTCTTGCACTTCCTTGATTAAATTTATTTCTAAATATTTTCTCTTTTGTGATACTAATGTAAATGGAATTTATTTTTGTAATTTCATTTTTGGATTGTTCACTGCTAGTGTAAAGAAATACAACTCCCATTTGTATATTTATCTTATATCCTGACATTTTCCTAGGCTCATTTATTAGCTCTAATAGCTTTTTGTGGATTCTTTAATGTTTTCTATATATAAGTTTATGTGATCTGCCAAGAGGCAATAGTTTTACGTCTTTCTTTCAGTCTCGATGACTTTTTTTTTCTGGCTAATTTCCCTGGCTACAACTTCCAGTAGAATGTTGAATAAAGTGGCAAGAGCAGACATCCTTGTCTTGTTCCTGATCTTTGTGGGGGAAGCTTTCAGTTTCACCATTAGGTGTGATGCTATCTGTGTTTTTTTCATAGATGCCTTTCATCATGCTGAGGAAGTTCCTTTCCATTCCTAGTTTGCTGAGTGTTTTTATCATGAAAGTGTGTTGGATTTTGTCAAATGCTTTTCTGTGTCTACTGAGATTGTCATGTGATTTTGGCCCTTCTTTCTGTTAAATATGCTATATTACTGCAGTGCAGTTTGACTCTAACAATGGGCTGGGTGTGGTGGCTCGTGCATGTAATCCCTGCTCTTAGGGAGACAGAGGCGGGAGGATAGCTCGAGCCCAGGAGTTCAAGGCTTGCCTGGGCAATATAGCGAGACCCCATTCTCCAAAGAAAAAAGGAGAAAAAAAAGACCAAAAAAAAAAGTGTGACTTTAACAATAGAGTTAGCATAGGCTTCACACATTAGAGGTATAGTCCCCCACAAGATTGCCCCCACTTTGGAACCCACAAGCTTGGAGGTTCCCAAACAAACAAAGCACTTCTGACAAACTGGCTGCAATTGTGGAAGTCCCACTATTCTCTCAGGTTTGTTAATTCACTAGAACAACTGACAGAACTCAGGAAAGTACTATACTTATGATTATAGTTCTATTCTAGAGGATACAATTCAGGACAGGCCAACAAAATAGCTGCATGGGTGGGGTCTGGGAGAGTCCCAAATGCAAAGCTTCTGTGTCCTCAGGACGTAGCACCCTCCCAGCATATTGGTGTCTATTGGGTTAGCTCACCTAAGCTTTGAGTATCCAGTTTTTATTGGGGTTTTATTACACAAGCATGAATGATTGAAGCATTGGCCACATCATTGAACTCCATCTCCAGCGTTCTTTCCACAACCCAGGAAACTCGGAGGCAGGGTGACATCACATAGCTCAAAGCCCCAGCCTTCTAATCACATGGCTGGTCTTTCTAGTGTGACCATCCCACATCCTGAGTCACCTCCTTAGCATAAACTCAGGTATGATGATGGCAGGGTGGAGATCCACTATGAGGAACAAAGATACTCCTATTACTCCAGAAATTTTAAGCATTTACAGGCTTCTTTCCAGGAACCAGGGACAAGGGCCAGCCAGTTCTTTATTATAAAAACTGAAACCCTGGTTTTTCATGTGCTCAGCCTCCCTTGCATTCCTGAGATAAATCCCACTTGGTTGTGATGAATAACCCTTTAACATGCTGCTGTATTTACTTTTTAACATCGTAAGTTTATTTACATGGTTCAAATGCAAAAGCCTTTGTCCATCCCTTTCCCTGAAGGTAATGAGTTTCTGGTGTAAGTTTTTATGTATATGTATACACACAACAAAATGTTCGCTGGTCAGGGTCGGCCTCCCGCCAGGAGCCCTGCATCTCCCTGCGTCCCCTGTCGTTGCAGCTGAAGGGCCTGTCACGTCAGAAGTGCCCTGAAGTCAAGCAGGTGCTGCACATCATAGGCCTGGAGGACAAGTGGAACTCACGGAGCCGCTTCCTGAGCGGGGGCATGAGCCGCAAGCTCTCCATCGGCATCGCCCTCATCGCAGGCTCCAAGGTGCGGCGGTGGGACTGGAGGCAGTGGGTTCCCCTCCTGCTCGACCTGGGACTACAGGCGCCCGCCACCACTCCTGGCTAATTTTTTGTATTTTTAGTAGAGATGGGATTTCACCGTGTTAGCCAGGATGGTCTCGATCTGCTGACCTTGTGATCTGCCTGCCTCGGTCTCCCATAGTGCTGGGATTACAGGTGTGAGCCACCGCGCCTGGCCTACTTTCTATTTCTTTTTTTAAAAAAAAAAAGGCTGGGCGCAGTGGCTCATGCCTGTAATCCTAGCACTTTGGGAAGCCGAAGCGAGTGGATCACCTGAGGTCAAGAGTTCGAGACCAACCTGGCCAACATGGGGAAACCTCGTCTCTACTAAAAATACAAAAATTAGCCGGGCATGGTGGCAGGCATCTGTAATCCCAGCTACTTGGGAGGCTGAGGCAGAAGAATCGCTTGAACTCAGGAGGTGGAGGTTGCAGTGAGCCGAGATCATGCCATGGCACTCCAGCCTGGGCTTCAGAGAGAGACCCTGTCTGAAAAAAAAATTAAAAAATAAAAAATAAAAAAATAAAAATTATTGGGTAATATTTTATACCTGTAAATATATGTTTCATATATGTAATTATGAAGTGTAAATAACAGAATGAGCACTAGTGAACCCTCTATGCAACCTAAGAACTAAGACATAGCGATAACTTTTTACCCTAACCATACTCAACCCCACAACATCAGTTACGTAGTTAACCATTTCTTTCTTCTTGAAACACTCTTCTCTCTTGGCTTCCTTGGCAAAATTTACTCCTTGGGGGTTTTACTCCTACCTGTCTGGCCACTCCCAAGTGGCAGTGGGAAAGAATGGGAGACAAGCAGTGTTGAGAGAGGTGGTTATGAAAAGGTCAGTTAAGAATTCTTTACATTTGAAAGGCCCCTGAGCCACCCTAGTGGAGACATCAAGAAGGCAGTTGGATGTGAATGAAGCTGGGCATTGAGGAGAGGGTCAGCCTGGAAATGCATGGGAGTCATCTGCTTGTAGAAGTATTTAAAGTTGTGGGAAGGGATACGGTCAGGTAGGAAGAAAACATAGAGAAAGAAACAAAGGAGCTTACAAACAGTTCCTGAAGCGCTCCTAAAATTCGAGGTTCCACAGAGAGGGACCTTGCAAAGAGGCCTGGAGAAAAGAAGCCTCTTAAAGATGAATGGAGAATAAGCACAAATATGTAAAATTGGAATTGAGAATTGGGGGAAAAAACCCATAGATACCAAAAAATTAGAAGACAATATTTTGTACAGTTTTAAACTAATATATTAGAAAACCTGAATATAATGGTAGACTGTCCAGAAAAATAATTTTATTAAAATTGACTCAATAAATACCAAAAAGTTTTTATAAACCTGATCACTTTTATCAAATATTTAAAGAAAATATAATTTTGATTTTATTCAAAGTCTTCCAGAGAACATTAAAAAAATACAGGCTGGCAGTAGTGGCCCATGCTTATAATCCCAGTACCTTGTGGGGCTGAAGCAGGAGGATCACTTGAGCCCTGGAGTTTGAGAACAGCTTGGGCAAGACAGGAAGACCTGTCTCAACAGAAAAAAAGAAAGAAAGAGAGAGAAGGAAAGGAAGGAAGGAAGGAAGAAAGAAAGAAAAGAAAGAGCCAGGCTTGGTGGTGCACATCTGTAGTCCCAGCTACTCGGGAGGCTAAGGCAGAAAGAACGCTTGAGCCTGGGAAGTCAAGGCCACAGTGAGCCGTGATCATGCCACAGTACTCCAGCCTGGGCAAAAGAGTGAGACCCTGTCTCAAAAACAAACAAACAAACAAAATCTCCCTGCTCCTTTTTACTAATATGGGTTAATATAATCTAGCAGATCACTGAAAGAATACTGCACCATGTAGTTCATTGAAAGACTACTATACCATATTGAAAGGATTGTTTGATAGTATCATTTATCAATAAAATTTCCCATAATATGTCAAAAAGAAATCACCATGTATTCATCCACATATAATAATTTACTTAGGAATGCAGATAAGAGCATGGCCAGCCAGGAGAGGCCTGAGTCCTTAACCCCACCTCCCTTCAGAGAGCACAGTGCTGCAGTGGCTGGCCCCAAGTCTGATGCAGCCAGGGCAGCTATCCCTGTGAGGCCTGCCAGGTAAAACCTTGTAATTACCTATAGTCGGGCCTGAAAAATCATACATGGGTTTTTAACCATGAGCCAGACTCCTCAACACACAAACAAAATCTCATCATAAATTTAAAAACAGAAGTCACTTCTGCTTCCAGTCATGATGGAGTAACTGATAAAGAGCATACTCTCCCACTAAAACTCGACAAAAATATATGAAGCCATTTCAGATATTAAGCATTAGGAAGTCCAGGACCATGTTTGATTCTTCAGAGAAGAGAAACACTAAAGAGAGGCCTATATTTGCCCCAGCTCTTCGGCTTGGGCACTTTCCAAAACATGGCCCAGAAAAGTAAAGGCAAATCAGAGTGTAGCAGTGAACTTGCTGAGCTGAGAAGGTAGAGATGAGAGGTCAGAGCTCCTGAAGTGTCTGGACTTTGTGGGACTAGGACAGGAGAAGAGAAAGCTGGTAAGAGAGGGAGGGCCCCAAAAGTCTCTGTGCAGGTTCACTTGAATCTGTGGCTGAGGGCTGGGCTGTACAAGAGCAGGCTAAGAGTTCATGGTGCATAGCACAGAGCAGCTACTGTGAGCCTGAGCTGTTGACTCAGCTGTGCTGTTGGCTCTGCTGGGCTGTTGGCTCTGCTGGGCTGTTGACTCAGCTGGGCTGTTGGCTGTGCTGGGCTGTTGACTCAGCTGGGCTGTTGACTCTGCGAGGCTATTGGCTCTGCCTCTTAAATAGTGTGGATACTTCGTTTTTCATGAAAGATGGTTGACATTTGTAGCAGAGCAGCTTCATTTGCCTGCTTCCTGCTTGTAGGAGGTTGACTAGAGGCCACTTTTCACTTTGAACTCTCTCTGTCCCTTTTTGTGTAAGCTGATACAATTTATTTAAATACTTTGTAGGTTTCCTATGTATCACATTATGAAATACAGTTTGTTAGACTATGGCCACACTCACAATATCTTCAACACAAGTCTGTCTACCTTGGGCTGAGAGCCATGGAGATATGGGACAACACTGTTATGATTTTAATTTTTTTTAATTATTTTATTCTATTTTTTTGAGATGGAGCCTCACTCTGTCACCCAGGCTGGAGTGCAGTGGTGTGATCTCGGCTCACTGCAACCTCCAGCTCCTGGGTTCAAGTGATTCTCCCACCTCAGCTTCCCGAGTAGCTGGGATTATGGGCGTGCACCACCACACCCAGCTAAATGTTTGTTCTTTTTTAGTAAAGATGGGATTTCACCATGTTGGCCAGGCTGATCTCAAACTTCTGACCTCAGGTGATCCGCCTGCCTCGGCCTCCCAAAGTGCTGGGATTACAAGCATGAGCCACTGTGCCCAGAACCATTATGGTTTTTAAAAGCTTTTGTCCAGATGATGAGAGTCTGTGAGCAGTGGTATGTGTGCTGCTAAATATTTAGCTATTCTCCATGAAAAAAAGTATGCATATATATGTATATAATTGTATTATAAATTTTACTGATATAAAGAATGTGTAGCACACAATTTACAAATCATGATAAAATATACAGTATTCTTTATTGTAACTTTCATTTAGCCAATTTAGTCTCACAGTACGTTTATGTTGATGTTTGCCAAACTCTCATATTCATAGTCAACTATGGTTGCAGTTCAGCTATTATTTGCCAGATTTTTTTTTTAATGCTAGTCATCATATAATGGCATGACATTCTTTTAAACATTCTAACACTTTCTTGAGTCTAAACAGCCAACAAGACAATTAGTAAGGCCTGATTTGCAGCTTTTGCTGATGTCTGTGGTGTAAATACTCCCACCACAGCCAATTTCATGTTACCAGAGTGAAATTACTGAATGTGGCATTGGGAAGAAATGTTCAGTAACACTCTGTAATATTCCTACCCTAAAGACACAATAGAGTTAAATAACCTCAAGAACATAGATAATAGTATTAAATACAATGGAGTAAAAGAATGAGGAATCAGTGAGTTTTAATTAATACCTTCCCTTTACTGTGATTCGTTAATTTTAAATTTATATAACTTAATTTTTTTAAATGGTTGTAACAACCAGCTCACAGAATTTCTGAAAATTTAACAATTGGCTCTCAAGAGCTTGTATAAGTCAGCTTCAGCACACCACATTTGAGAGGTGCACTTTTAAACCTTTCTGAGGTCTTGACAAAGGACCTTATAGCTGCACAGTTAATCTGATATTTATCCTGAAAAAGTATTTTATTGGCATCATTTTGGCTTTCATTTTAGTTCTGAGAAATTTGAGAACCTTTTCCAAACTGGAAATACTGTCCTGGGCTCTCTCTCTCTCTCTCTCTCTCTCTCTCTGTATATATATATATATATATATATTTTTTTTTTTTTTCTTTTTGAGACAGAGTCTTGCTCTGTCATCCAGGCTGGAGTACAGTGGCATGATTTAGGCTCACTGCAACCTCCGCCTCCCAGCTTCAAGCTATTCTTCTGCCTCAGCCTCCTAAGTAGCTGGGATTACAGGCACCTGCCACCAGGCCTGGCCAATTTTTTGTATTTTTAGTAGATGGAGTTTCGCCACGTTGGCCAAGCTGGTTTCGAACTCCTGATCTCAGGTGACCCACCTGCCTCGGCCTCCTAAAGTGCAGGGATTACAGGCGTGAGCCACCGTGCCTGGCCTTTTTTCTCTAAAATTCTGATGAACATTTGATTATTTCCTTTTTAAATTTATTTCTCTCGTGGTTAAATCATAGGCAGCTATAAGAAACCAGCTGGCACTTTCAACATTATAACTGGAAATCTCCATAGGAACTTATCCACAAGCTCATTAAATACCCTTTCAATCTTTCTTGTTACTGCAGGTAAGAGTGTTGCCAAACCTTCTGCACCAAATAACATGAGAAATAACAATTTCCTCACTGTTCTTCCAGCCTCTGTCTAGAGTTCCCTTGAGGCTCCTCTTGCCTTCATCCTGCTATCTGGTCCCACAGCCATGCCAGATGTTGTAGGTTTTTGTCACAGTGCTTCTGGTGCCAAATTTTGTTTCAGTTGTATACTATATAACAAATTATCCCCAAGTTTTCTGACTTCATATGACAACCATTTTACTGCCGATCATGATTCTGTAGCTTGCCTGGGCTCAGCTGGACAGACATTATGCTCTAAATAATGTTGGCTGGGGCTACAGGTATCTGGGGCCTAGAATGGGTTGGAATATCCGAGATGGTTCATTCTCATGTCTGGGATGATGGTACTGGCTATCAACTGGGAGCTCACTAGGGCTGCTGACTGGTGCACCCAGTACCCCTCCATGTAGGTTCTCGGTGTGGTTTGAGTGTCTCATAGCATGACAGCTGGGTTCCAAGAAGAAGCATCCCAAGAGTGCATGTTTCAAAAGAAAGCAAAGACAGCCACGTCTCTTAAGGCCTGGGCTCAGAAATACCAACACAACACTTCCGTCACATTCTATTGCTCAGAGCAGCCAAAGGGGAGGGGAAGTAAGCACCACTTCTTGATGTGAGATGTGCCATGCTCAATCAGGGAGGGCAGAAATTGTTAGGCCATCTTCTCAGAGTAGCTATGTCACAGAAATAGAGACAGTGCATAATGAGAGTCAGTACACCAGGAAGACCTAACAGTTGTTTATGTGCATGTGCCTCATAACAGAGCTTCAAAATACATAAAGAGAATGTTGACAAAAATAGATGAAGTCAAAATCCCAACCATTTTGGAGATTATGGCACCCTTTCCTCAGTGATTTATAGAGCAAGTAGACAAAAAACTCACTAAGGATATAAAATATTTTGATAATACTGTCATCACACTTACTTCCTGCAGATAGACACTACAGACTACAGCTGCAGAACACCCATTCTCTCCAAATGCCTAGGGGATATTTACCATAATGGATTACTTGGGCCCTCCCCTACCAGCTTCTCCTCTCTTGTCCTAGTCCCACAAAGTCCATACATTTCAGAAGCTCTGTCTTCTCATCTCTACCTTCTCAGCTCAGCAAGTTCACTGCTACACTCTGATTTGCCTTTACTTTTCTGGGCCATGTTCTAGAAAGTGCCCAAGCCAAAGAGCTGGGGCAAATATAGGTCTCTCTTTAGTGTTTCTCTTCTCTCAAGAATCAAACATGGTCCTGGACTTCCTAATGCTTAATATCTGAAATGGCTTCATATATATTTTTGTCCAGTTTTAGTGGGAGGGTATGCTCATGTGAAATAAGTCCAAATAAATTTCAAAAAATTGAAATCGTGGGTTATGATCTCTGACTACAAGGGAATTAAATTAGAAATTGATTACAATAAGATATCTAGATAATTGGCTGGGCGTGGTGGCTCACACCTGTAATCCCAGCACTTTGGGAGGCCAAGGTGGGTGGATCACCTGAGGTCAGGGGTTCGAGACCAGCCCGACCAACATGGTAAAACCCTATCTCTGCTAAAAATACAAAAATTAGCCTGGCATGGTGGCGCGTGCCTGTAATCCCAGCTACTCAGGAGACTGAGGCAAGAGAGTCGCTTCAACCCAGGTGGCGGAGGTTGCAGTGAGCTGAGATCTTACCACCACCCTCCAGCCTGGGTGATAGAGTGAGACTTCATCTCAAAAAAAAAAAAAAAAAAAAAGAGATATCTAAAAAATCCACAAATATTTGAGAGTTAAACAACATACTTCTGAATAACTCATGGGTCAAAGAAAAAGTGGAGGCCGGGCACGGTGGCTCACGCCTGTAATCCCAGCACTTTGGGAGGCCAACGCGGGTGGATCACAAGGTCAAGAGATTGAGACCATCCTGGCCACCATGGTGAAACCCCGTCTCTACTAAAAATGCAAAAATTAGCTGGGCGTGGTGGCGTGTGCCTGTAGTCCCACCTACTCAGGAGGCTGAGGCGGGAGAATTGCTTGAACCCAGGAGGCAGAGGTTGCAGTGAGCCGAGATTGCGCCACTGCACTCCAGCCTGGCAACAGAGTGAGACTCCATCTCAAAAAAAAAAAGAAAAAAAAAGTGGAAAATATTTTTAACTGAATGATGATGAAAATACAATGTATCAAAAATTTTCAGATGCTACTGAGGCAGTGCTTAGAAATATATAGCTTTTAAAAACTTACATTTGAAAAGAAAAGGGGCTTAAAATCATTTACCTGTTTCCAACGGAAAAGGTAGGAAAAGAAGAGAAAATTAAACCCAGATTATGTGGAAGAGAAGAAATGAAAAATATAGGGGGAGAAAATAATGTAATAAGAAACAAAAAGAAAATTGAGAAAGGCCAAAATGCTAAAAAGCTAAAAAGCAAAAAGTTATTTTAAAAGATTAATAAAATTGATAAATTATATTGATAAACCATTAAATGATAAACCATTAATTCCAAGACCATTAAAGAAAAAAAGAAAATTAACTAGCACCAGTAAGGAAAGTACTGCTATAGTTACAGAGCCTAGAGTTACAAAAAGGATAATAATAAAATATCACATGTAAATAAATTGGACACTTTAGGTAAAATGGACTGATTTCTTAAACAATGCAATTTACCAAAACTTACAAAATGAAGCAGAAAAATCTGAATAACCATATATCTATTCATGAAATTGAATTTGCAATCAAAAGTATTCCCAAAAAGAGAACTCCAGATTCTATGAAACATTGAAGAAAAAAATAATCTCAATCTTTTAGAAAATAGAGAAGGAAACACTTCCCAACTCATTTTAAGGCCAGCACAACCCTGATACCAAAACCTGGAAAAGTCCCTATGACAACAGGAAATTATAGACTAATATCCTCATGGGCATAGACATAAAAGCCTTTAACAAAACACAAGTTGGGGAGTGGACTTATCTGGAGGCTTTGTTCACATGTCTGTGCCTTGGCATGGATTCAGCCTGGTTTCAAGGTAGTGAGGCATCTTACCTGGTGGCTTGGGGCTCCCAAAGAAATCAAGATACCTGAAGGCTTCTTCTACCCAACATCCATTACTTGCATTGCATCCTCTCAGTCAAGCAAGACACTAAGGCCAGCCCAGATAAAAGGGAATTAAAGGCCACCTCTCAGTGGGAAAAGTAGCAAAGAATTTGTAGCTATCATTTATCTACTGTGTTATTCAAGATAAATGAAAACATATGTCCAGACACAGGACACATAGAAGAACATTTATAGCTGCTTTATGCATAAGCATCCTTACACAGGAACAATTCAAATGTCTATCAACAGGAGAATAGATATATTCCTTTTGTTGAATGCTGCTCTGCAATTTACGAGAATGAACTAATGCATGCAACACGGTTTAACCTCAAAAACATGTTACATGGATGAAGCAAGAGATGAAAAGACCATATGATTCCATTTACATGAAGAGCAAGAAGAAGTAAAACTAATGTAAAATTTAGGACATTTGGTTGTCTGAGGGCAAGAGAGGGACTCATCAAAGGGGACATGGGGGCATTTTCTAGGGTGATGGAATGTTCGGTGTCTTGATTAGGGTGATATTACACATTTGTCAAAACTCATCAAACTATACATGTAAGAACAAGATAGTTTACCTAAATTCTGCCTCAATATTTTAAAATGGTTACTGTGATCTTGTTGGCAAGACAGTAGCAATAGCATGAGTACAATTTCAGTAACTGGAAACTGAATGAAGAGCAAGATAGTGAACATACTGAGGGTGTGACTGTTGATCATATTCAGTAAATAGTATTTGCTGAATATTTAACACAGGGGGGCTACTTTGCTAAGCATCTTTACATTTTTCTCAATCCTTACAACTTTTTGAATTAGGTAATATCTGTCTTACAGGTGAGGGAAGATTTGGAAAGGTGAAACAACTAGCTCAAAGTCACAAAACTTGTAAGTGACAGAGTCTAGACTCAAACCCAGCCATGATTAGTTTATAACCATTGTCTGCTCACAGGGACACACACAAAGCCCCTGCAGACCTCGTATAGGCATCTGGCATATGTGTCTGGTTTCTTAAAAGTTGGACACTAGGTTGTGAGAGAATAGAAGCCTTCATTATAGAACATTATGATGGATTTCTTAATATCACAAACAAAAGCCATGATTGTTTTAATTTAAAAAAAATGGAAAGCATGTTTGAGAAAGGTTTTAACATTAGCAGGCTAAAAGAATTATCTCCTTTCCTCGCTTAAATAACAATTAAAACCACTCTCTCTGGAGACGAAAGGCCTGAGCTTGAGTCCTGGCTCTTCTGCTTCTGGCTGTGTGGCCTCAGGGAAGTTTCTTAACTTCTCAGCACTGTCCTCAAAGAGCTGTTGAAAGCATCCACAGACCTTAATACAGAGTTAATAGGTAAAAAACTGTGAAGGGCCCCTGACATTCACATAGTTATAAAGCTAATGACAAAGCTGGTGTTTGAAAAAATACGTTCCTGACTCCAAAGTCCATGCTTTTTCCCCAGTAGAGAGCCAAGGGCAGTGATGAAAGGGATTCACCTTACACCTTTCAGGACTAAAACCATTTCTTTCCTTCCAGGTTTGAATCTCTATTTACTGACTTGGAACTGAGGCAGGTAGAGCTGGGCATCTCCAGCTTTGGGGCCTCTGTCATGACCATGGAGGATGTCTTCATAAGGTAAGCACGTATAAAACTGTAAGACTCCAAGGTTCTTAGGGTTGGAAGGGATCTTAAAGGTCATCTGTCTAAACATTGCCTGATGCTTGAATCTTTTCTGTAGCAACCTCACTGAATGGCCTTCCAGCCTCTGACTAGTACTTCCAATAACAGGGATACCTGAATCTTGGCTCACTGCAGCCTCTGCATCCCAGGTTCAAGCAATTCTCCTGCCTCAGCCTCCTGAGTAGCTGGGGCTACAGGCGCCTGCCACCACACCCAACTGATTTTTGTACTTTTAGTACAGATGAGGTTTCACTATGTTGGCCAGGCTGGTCTCAAACTCCCGACCTCAAGTGATCTGCCTGCCTCAACCTTCCAAAGTGCCTGAGATTACAGGTAACTTTTGTATTTTTAGTAGAGATGGGGATTCACCATGTTGGCCAGGCTGGTCTCGATCTCCTGACCTCAAGTGATCCACCCACCTTGGCCTCCCAAAGTGCTGGGATTACAGGTATGAGCCATTGCACCTGGTCTTTAAACAAATTTTATTGATCCATAATGTGCATATGTCTGGGATACATGTGATATTTTGATACATGCATATTCTACTTGAGACTTGATTGATGTCTGGCTATGGAAATCTTCCATGAGTTTAGAATCCCCAGCTATTATTATCTGTTCATACAGGGCCTCTGCTCAAATATCTCCTCTCGTTTTGGAACTCCAATTAGACATATTAGATCTTATCACTCTACTATGTGAATTTTAACTTTTTAAATATTTTCCAACTCTTTGTCTCTCTGAGCTGCACTCTACATAATATCTTCTGATCTACATCCAGGTCGTTGATTCTCTCTGCAGATGTTTCTGATCTTCAGCTAAACACTTCCATTGAGAGTATTTTCTTTTTTGTGGAGATGAGGTCTCATTATGTTGACCAGGCTGGTCTCAAACTCCTAGGCTCAAGCTATCCACCCCCTTGGCCTCCCAAAGTGCTGGGATTACAGGCATGAGCCACTACACACAGCCAGTTTTTTAAATACTTACATTTTTGTTGAAGTATAACATATATACCAAAAGGTATGCAATTATTAAACCTGTAGCTCAGTTTTCATTTTTTGAGTTTTTGAAATTTTTGTATATTCTAGATATAAATCTTTGTCAGATACGTGTTTTATCTACATTTTCTTCCAGTATGTGGCTTGCTTCTTAATATTCTTAGTGGTAGCTTTTTATTTTATTTTTTTGAGACAGGGTCACACTCTGTCACCTCGGCTGGAGTACACTGGCATGATCTTGGCTCACTGCAACTTCCGCCGTCTAGGTTCAAGGGATTCCCCTGCCTCAGCCTCCCGAGTAGCTGGGACTACAGGTGCACGCCACCACGCCCAGCTAACTTTTTGTATTTTGGTAGAGACGGGGTTTCACCATGTTGGCCAGGTTGGTCTCAAACTCCTGACCTCAGGTGATCTGCCCACCTTGGCCTCCCAAAGTGCTGGGATTACAGGCGTAAGCCACCATGCCTGGCCCCTAAATTTTTTTTATAGTTACTGTGTTCTGTATCCTTTCTAAAAAATATTTCCCTACCCTTAGGTCACAAAGTCATGCTTCTACTTTTTGTTCTAGGAATTTTATCATTTTAGCTTTTACATTAGGTCTGTGACCCATTTTCTATTAATTTTTGTGTATGGTTGTGTGTGTGTGTGTGTGTGTGTGTGTGTGTGTGTGTGTATGCAAGACAAGGTCTCACTCTGTCACCCAGGCTGGAGTGCAGTGGTGTGATCACAGCTCACTGCAGTCTCCAGCTCCTGAGCTTAAGTGATCCCACCTCAGCCTCCCAAGTAGGTGGGACTACAGATGCACACCACGCCTGGCTAGGTTTTTTATATTTTGTAGAGACGAGGTCTTGCAATATTGCCCAGGCTGGTCTCTAACTCCTGGGCTCAAGCAATCTTCCCACCTCGGCTTCCCAAAGTGTTGGGATTATAGGCGTGAGCCACAGTGCCCAGCCTTGTGTACGGTTTGATAAGAGGTGAAATGGAAAAACATACACTGTTTTTCTTCTGCTCTCACATCACAGCAATCAACACAGAAGACTTCTATGACAAAATGTGTGGGAATTTCCCGCCAACAGCAAGCAAGCAATCAGTTCTGCAGCAGACACCAGCTAAGTGTCCTCCAATTCAATTCTGACACTATTTGGAGATAGCATCAGATCCCACAGGTCGAGGGCTAGGTTCCACAAGACTTCTCACTTCCAGTGTCAATCACAAGCCCCAGGTTGTTTTACCTGTCCTTTATTTATTTATTTATTTATTTATTTATTTATTTTAAGAGACAAGGCCTCACTATGTTGCTCAGGCTGGTCTCTATCTCTTGGGCTGGGCTCAAGTGATCCTCCTGCCTCAGCTTCCTGAGTAGCTGGGATTACAGGGTTAGCTACCACACACTTACCTGTACTTCTGACCGACCAGCTGTAAACTAGCGATCCTATTACCCCCTCCTTAGGTTCAATTAATTTGCTAAAGTGGCTCACAGAACGCAGGGAAACACATTTCCCAGTTTATTATAAGGATAGTACAAAGGATACAGAAGAAGAGACGCATAGGGTGAGGTATGTGGGAAAGGGTATGGAGCCTCTGTGGCCTCCCCGGGTGTGACACCCTCCAGGAACCTCCAATTGTTCACCTATCTGGAAGCTCCTCTTGGGCCTTCTATGGAGACTTCATTGGATAGGCATGACTAAAGCATGGACAGCTGTGTAGAAATGAGACTGGACAAAAAGAGTATGATGTAATACTAACAGTCTGAGTGGGGAAACGCAGCAAGGCCTGTCTGTTCAGATCCTTCCTGGCCTCTCTGTGCAGCGTTCTTTCCCCCAGGGTATGGTATAGGACACCTTCTAAAACGGGGAGGTCTTATGACCTACAATCAGGCAAGATGGGTCAGAGAATTTCTTTATGGCCAGCTCCAAGACAGAAAGATGCAGGAAGATTATATTTTTAGTTTCTGTGGACTGCCTTGGGGAGAAATAACAGCTACACGAGTTACGGGCCAGGAACTATGAACGAAAACATATTTTATTGACCCGTGTGATATAATGATACCACTGCCTCGTGATAATGATATATCACAGGGGTTGAGGCTCATTTTCTTTCACATAAGTATCCAGATGGGACAGACTATTTGTTGAAAAGACTTTTTTTTCCACATTGAGTTGTTCAGATGCCTTAACCAAAAATCAGTTGACTGTATGTCTCTACATTCCCTCTTCTGTTTCATTGATCTGTTTGTCTGTCCTGTGCTAGTACTGCATTGTTGAGATTGCTGTAGCTTTGCAGTATATCTTAAAGTCAGGTAGTATATTGTTCTCCCAGCTTTATTCTGTTTTTTCTTTTTTTTTTTTTTTTATTGATCATTCTTGGGTGTTTCTCGCAGAGGGGGATTTGGCAGGGTCACAGGACAATAGTGGAGGGAAGGTCAGCAGATAAACAAGTGAACAAAGGTCTCTGGTTTTCCTAGGCAGAGGACCCTGCGGCCTTCCGCAGTGTTTGTGTCCCTGGGTACTTGAGATTAGGGAGTGGTGATGACTCTTAAGGAGCATGCTGCCTTCAAGCATCTGTTTAACAAAGCACATCTTGCACCGCCCTTAATCCATTCAACCCTGAGTGGACACAGCACATGTTTCAGCGAGCACAGGGTTGGGGGTAAGGTCACAGATCAACAGGATCCCAAGGCAGAAGAATTTTTCTTAGTACAGAACAAAATGAAAAGTCTCCCATGTCTACCTCTTTCTACACAGACACGGCAACCATCCGATTTCTCAATCTTTTCCCCACCTTTCCCGCCTTTCTATTCCACAAAACCGCCATTGTCATCATGGCCCGTTCTCAATGAGCTCTTGGGTACATCTCCCAGACGGGGTGGTGGCCGGGCAGAGGGGCTCCTCACTTCCCAGTAGGGCCAGCCGGGCAGAGGCGCCCCTCACCTCCCGGACGGGGCGGCTGGCCGGGCGGGGGGCTGACCCCCCCACCTCCCTCCCGGACGAGGTGGCTGCCGGGCGGAGACACTCCTCACTTCCCAGACGGGGTGGCTGCTGGGCGGAGGGGCTCCTCACTTCTCGGACGGGGCGGTTGCCAGGCAGAGGGTCTCCTCACTTCTCAGACGGGGCGGCCGGGCAGAGATGCTCCTCACATCCCGGACGAGGTGGCAGGGCAGAGGTGCTCCCCACATCTCAGACAATGGGCGGCCGGGCAGAGACGCTCCTCACTTCCTAGATGGGATGGCGGCCGGGAAGAGGCGCTCCTCACTTCCTAGATGGGATGGCGGCTGGGCAGAGACGCTCCTCACTTTCCAGACTGGGCAGCCAGGCAGAGGGGCTCCTCACATCCCAGATGATGGGCGGCCAGGCGGAGACGCTCCTCACTTCCCAGACGGGGTGGCGGCCGGGCAGAGGCTGCAATCTCGGCACTTTGGGGGGCCAAGGCAGGCGGCTGGGAGGTGGAGATTGTAGCGAGCTGAGATCACGCCACTGCACTCCAGCCTGGGCACCACTGAGCACTGAGTGAACCAGACTCCGTCTGCAATCCCGGCACCTCGGGAGGCCGAGGCTGGCGGATCACTCCCGGTTAGGAGCTGGAGACCAGCCCGGCCAACACAGCGAAACCCCGTCTCCACCAAAAAAATACGAAAACCCGTCAGGCATGGCGGCGCGCGCCTGCAATCGCAGGCACTCGGCAGGCTGAGGCAGGAGAACCAGGCAGGGAGGTTGCAGTGAGCCGAGATGGCAGCAGTACAGTCCAGCTTCGGCTCGGCATGAGAGGGAGACCCTGGAAAGAGAGGGAGAGGGAGACCGTGGGGAGGGGGAGGAGGAGGGAGAGGGAGAGGGAGAGGGAGAGCGAGAGCGAGAGCGAGAGCTCAACCCCTACATTTTACAGATGGGAAAACTGAGACCCTATTCTGTTTGTTGAAGATTGTTTTGGGTATTGTAGATCCTTGACATTATCATGTAAATTTTAAAATAAACTTATCAATTTCTTAAAAAAAAAAAAAAAAGAACCTGATGGAAATGCTGTTTCATTTGTAACGATGTACCACCCTAATGCAAGATGTTAAAAACAGGGAAATGGGGCTGGGCACTGTGGCTCACACCTGTAATAACAGCATTTTGGGAGGCCGAGGCGGGCAGATCACCTGAGGTCAAGAAATTGAGACCATCCTGGCCAACATGGTGAAACCCTGTCTCTATTAAAAATACAAAAATTAGCTGGGCGTGGTGTCTCACGCGTGTAATCCTAGCTACTCAGGAGGCTGAGGCAGGAGAATCGCTTGAACCCAGGAGGCGGAGGTTGCAGTGAGCCAAAATTGCACCATTGCACTCCAGCCTGGCAACAGAGAGAGACTCCGTCTAAAAAAGAAAAAAAAAAAATAGGGAAATGAGGGTGGGAGATGTGTATATAGGAAACTCTCTGAACTTTCTGCTCATGGAGGTAGATGCCCCAGCCCCAGTCAAGCCTTCAAGGGACTGCAGCCCTGGCTAATAGCTTAACCGCAGCCTCATGAGAAATCTTAATATAGAAACACCTAGCTAAGCCACTCTCAAATTCTAGACCCCCAGAAACTGTGTGAGATAATAACTTTTACTGTTGTTTTAAGCTACTAACTTTTGGGATAATCTGTGTCACAGCATTAGATAACAAATACACCATGTTTTACAGAACCATACTGAAGGAAAAAAGTCAATTTCCTGGGTTATTTTGGTGTGACAAATTCTTAGTAGAATGATGGCCCAAAGCCTTTGACTAGAAATAGTTTCCTGGCACATTGACACTTTGCTGCCAACCAAACACATCTTTTTGCCTAGAGCAGGGGTCAGCAGACTTTTTCTTAAAGGGCCACACAGCCGGGCGCGGTAGCTCACGCCCGTAATCCTAGCACTTTGGGAGACCAAGGTGGGCAGATCACGAGGTCAAGAGATCGAGACCATCCTGGCCAACATGGTGAAACCCCGTCTCTACTAAAAATACAAAAATTAGCTGGGTGTGGTGGCCTGCACCTGTAGTCCCAGCTACTCCGGAGGCTGAGGCAGGAGAATTGCTTGAACCTGGAAGGCAGAAGTTGCAGTAGGCTGAGATAGGGCCACTGCATTCCAGCTTGGCAACAGAGTGAGACTATGTCTAAAAAAAAGGACCACATAGTAACTATTTTATGCTATGTAGGCTTAGCAGCATAATCAAGGATATTATGTAAGTAATTATATAACTAGTTCCAGGCCAGATACAGTGGCCCATGCCTGCAGTCCCAGCTACTTGGGAGGCTGAGGCAAGAGGATCCCTTGAGCCCAGGAATTTGAGGCGGCCATGAGCCATGATCACCACTGAAATCCAGCCTGGGCAACAAAGTAAGACCCAGGCTCTATTATTTAAGTGTGTGTGTGTGCATACACACACATACTATATACTATTTATATATATATATATGATTATATATACTTACATATATACACTGTAAATGTATATATAATATGTATATATACACGTGTGTGTATATATACATATGTAGTATGTGTATATATATAGTATGTGCGTGTATATATACATATGTAGTATGTGTATATATATAGTATGTGCGTGTATATATACACATATTAGTATATATATTTTACATATATATTACATTTTATTATATAGTACATATATACTTTACATTATACACATATATAGTGTGTGTGTATAGTATATATACACTTTACATACACATATTAGTGTGTGTGTGTATATATACAAATACTTTAAATATATTTGTGTATGTACATACCTACGCACACATATTGGTTAGTTAACTCAATACTTGGGACTTATTTAAGACTTTGCGGCCAGGCGCAGTGGCTTATGCCTGTAATCCTAGCACTTTGGGAGGCCAAGACGGGCAGATCATGAGGTCAGGAGATCAAGACCATCCTGGCTAACACGGTGAAACCCTGTCTCTACTAAAAAATAGAAAAATAAAATTAGCCGGGCGTGGTGGCGGGTGCCTGTAGTCCCAGCTACTCGGGAGGCTGAGGCAGGAGAATGGCATGAACCCGGGAGGCAGAGCTTGCAGTGAGCCAAGATCACGCCACTGCACTCCAGCCTGGGTGACAGAGCGAGACTGCGTCTCAAAAAAAAAAGAAAAGACTTTGCTAGACAGTTTGTAGCCAGTATATACTATATATATATATACACATGCACACACACATACACACACAAGTATATATTTGTATATGTGTGTTTCAATGTTTATGGTTATGTTAGATCATTATATAATTACATAATATCCTTGATTATGCTGCTAAGCCTACATAGTGTAAATATAACATATATATAGCTCAGAATCAACCATAGTTCATTCTGAACTCAGAATCTCTTGGGCTGGATATGGCCCACTGGCCATTGTTTACCAATTCCTGGCCTAGAGTCTCAACAGAACTCTGTTTTATAATTTTCAGTTTTGCTTATGAAATAGATATTAAATAATGTATCATTTTGTTTTAATTTGCATATAGAATCTTTTAGGGAAAATGACAAAATCTATTCATACTAGTGTTGCCTCAGTTATTTGGAAAAGCCATTGGTTAGTTAACTCAATACTTAGGACTTATTAAGACCTTGCTATCCTGTTTATAGCCAGTATATACTTGCTACCCACTATATATAATCTAGATGCAGCTTTTTTTCCTCATTATTCTTATCCTTTTTTTTTTTTTTGAGACGGAGTCTTGCTCTGTGGCCCAGGCTGGAGTGCAGTGACACAATCTTGGCTCACTGCAACCTCCGCCTCCTGGGTTCATGCCATTCTCCTGCCTCAGCCTCCTCAGTAGCTGGGATTACTGGCACCCGCCACCATGCTTGGCTAATTTTTTTGTATTTTTAGTAGAGACAGGGTTTCACCATGTTAGCCAGGATGGTCTCAATCTCCTGACCTCGTGATCCGCCCGCCTCGGCCTCCCAAAGTGCTGGGATTACAGGAGTGAGCCACCACGCCTGGCCCATTATTCTTATCCTAACTTAGTTTTTTCAAATATCATATTACTTTCATTCTTTAAATCCAAACAAAATGAACTTTGCCATGATTTTAAGAATTTGTTTTTGCTTTTGGTTTGGTTTAGGGTTTGTATGTTGGCAGATGCCAGTACAGCTGTCCCAAACATCAAACATCCCTCTATCCATCCCCAGCCCTGCTTAGCAGAATTCCTGTTGACAGAATTAAACATCTTCATTCGAGGACCTTCTCAATACGGACTGGGCTGCCAATCAAACCAAACACTGGGGTAAATAACTGTTCAAAATGTATGCAAGAAAGCACATATTGGTTTAATTCTTGGAAATATACTGTCATTCTGTCAAGAAGTTACATCAGCCTTTTACAGGGTTTTAAGAAAAAACGTGCACATTTTAAGCATAAAAGATTGGCTGTGCCAGGTTTTGACACTATCACAGTCTCTGCTGTAGTTCAAAGGCGAAGGGTGATGGTCTGGATAGGATTAACCCAGTGTAAGAAGGGATCATAGAAGATTATAGTAGAGGTCTTGGCCATTCCTCTGACCAGGAAGAAGATAGAATAAAAGTACTAAATCTGCTAGCCAAAAAGCATGTATCTTTCACTATGAAACAGATCATCTATTATATCACTTGGAATTTAAAATTTTTAAAAATACATCCTTATGAAATATATGGACAACCTGTAATGTTCTTTTAATGTTGAAAAAAGGATATTGGGCTGGGCATGGTGTCTTATACCTGTAATCCCAGCACTTTGGGAGGCTGAGGTGAGTGGATAACCTGAGGTCAGGAATTCGAGACCAGCCTGGCTAACATGGTGATACCCTGTCTCTACTAAAAAAAAAAAAAAAAAAAAAAAAAAATATATATATATATATATATATATATATATATATATATATATATATATATATATATATAAATTAGCCTGGCATAGTGGTGGGTGCCTGTAATCCTAGCTACTCGGGAGGCTGAGGCAGGAGAATTACTTGAACCCTGGAGGCAGAGGTTACAGTGACAGTGAGCCAAGGCTCTAGCCTGGGCGACAAGAGCAAGACTCCATCTTAAAAAAAAAAAAAAAAGGAATATTGGTTTGTGGCCGGGCACAGTGGCTCATGCCTGTAATTCCAGCACTTTGGGAGGCTGAGGCAGGCAGATCACCTGAGGTCGGGAGTTTGAGACCAGCCTGACCAACATGGAGAAACCCCGTCTCTACTAAAAATAAAAAATTAGTTGGGTGTGGTGGCACATGCCTGTAATCTCAGCTACTTGGGAGGCTGAGGCAGGGGAATTGCTTGAACCTGGGAGGCGGAGGTTGCAGTGAGCCGAGATCGTGCCATTGCACTCCAGCCTGGGCAATGAGAGCAAAATTCCGTCTGAAAAAAAAAAAAAAAGAAATATCGAGGTTCATTTTATGAAGTGTTCTTGATTTAGCTATCCACAAGTATTAATGTAAAATAAGACTGACTTTTGTGAGTTAGTCAAGAGATTAACTTTATTGTTTCATAACCTTGAATCACACAATTACTAGGAAGCTGTCATCCACTGAGCCTCCAAGTTGGGAAAGGTCTTGGGGTCAACTAAGTCAGCCACCTGTCTCATACAGGAGGCAAAATAAGACCCCATCTCTTCAAAAAATAAAAAATTAGCCAGGCACGGTGGTGCACGCCTCTAGTCCCAGCTACTAGGGAGGCTGAGGCAGAAGGATCACTTGAGCCCAGGAGGTCAAGGCTTCAGTGAGCCAAGATCACACCACTGCCCTCCAGCCTGGCTGACAGAGTCAGACCTGGTCTCAAAACAAAACAAAACAAAACAAAAATCATAAGTTCAAAGAGTTCTGGCCGGGCGTGGTGGCTCACGCCAGTAATCCCACCCAACACTTTGGGAGGCCAAGGCAGGTGGATCATGAGGTCAGGAGATGAGGTCAGGCTGATATGGTGAAACCCCATCTCTACTAAAAATAAAAATTAAAAAAATTAGCCGGGCATGGTGGAAGGCGCCTGTTGTCCCTCAGCTACTTGGGAGGCTGAGGCAGAATGGCGTGAACCTGGGAGGAGGAGCTTGCAGTGAGTCAAGATTGCACCATTGCACTCCAGCCTGGGCGACAGAGTGAGACTCCGTCTGAAAAAAAAAAAAAAAGACTTCTAACTTGAAGCAAATTTTGAATATAATTGAAAAATTAAGGCCGGGAGCAGTGGCTCACGCCTATAATCCCAGCACTTTGGGAGGCCACGCCTGTAATCCCAACACTTTGGGAGGCTGAGGCGGGTGGATCACGAGGTCAGGAGATCAAGGCCATCCTAACTAACACGGTGAAACCCCATCTCTACTAAAAATACAAAAAATTAGCCAGGCGTGGTGGCGGGCGCCTGTAGTCCCAGCTACTTGGGAGGTTGAGGCTGGAGAATGGCGTGAACCCGGGAGGCAGAGCGTGCAGTGAGTCAAGATCGCACCACTGCACTCCAGCCTGGGCGACAGAGCGAGACTCCGTCTCAAAAAAAAAAAAAAAAAAAAGAAAGAAAAGTTAGTTATATGTAGTATCAGGGAGTGCAAATGGGCATGAGCCAGGGGCCACTTCAGTGCCTCCAGCTTCTATCTGTGACCGTGTTAATGGTGTGTTTCCCTTTTATTTTTTTATTGTAGTTCAGTCTTCTCTGCCAACAATTTTATGCCATGCTCCTGAAAAAGGTCACATATTCTTAACACAACTGGATGTTGATGTTATCAATACAGATCCTGGTCCCTCTGGTGATCATCATGTTAAGCCTCACATTCTTCAACTTCAAAGAAAGAAGCATAGAAAATGTCCCATTGGAGCTGACTCTGAAAACATATGGTCAGACCATTGTTCCTTTCTTTATTTCTCAGAATTCCAGGCTGGATCCTCAACTTTCAGAACGCTTTGCAAATATGTTTATGGTTGAGGGACAGATTCCTCTGGAGGTCCTAGGTAAGTATGTACCAGGCCCAGGAAAATGGGGCATGAAACAATCCTGTTGTTCTTTGTAGTGAAGCTGTGTGCTGGTGGGCCACGTGGTGCTCTCTGAAGTTAGAAATAAATAGCCAGAAATCTCAGAAAACCGTATTTCAAACCCCAAATGACAAGAAAGGTAGAGTCCCTAGAAATAAGACCAAGTATGTGTCTTTCTAGGAATGAAATCATGCCCCCAAATAAAATTATAGCTGTGTGTGTGTGTGTGTGTGTGTGTGTGTGTGTGTGTGTGTGTGTGTGTGTATGTGTTTGAGATGGAGTCTTGCTGCAATGCCCAGGCTGGAGTGCAAGGGTATGATCTCGGCTCACTGCAACCTCCACTTCCTGGGTTCAAGCAATTCTGCCTCAGCCTCCCGAGTAGCTGGGACTATAGGCACCTGCCACCACACACGGCTAATTTTTGTATTTTTAGTAGAGAAGGGGTTTCACCAGATTGGCCAGGCTGGTCTTGAACTGCTGATCTCAAGTGATCTGCCTGCCTCGGCCTCCCAAAGTTCTGGGATTCCAGGCATGAGCCACTGCACCCAGCCCCCCAAAATAAAATTGAGAAACTATTCAATATGTTTGAATTGTATTGAAAGGACAGCTACACTTTTTTTTTTTTTTAGATGGAGTCTTGCTCCATTGCCCAGGCTGGAGTACAGTGGTGCCATCTCGGCTCACTGCAACCTCTGCCTCCCGGGTTCAAGCAGTTCTCCTGCCTCAGCCTTCCGAGTGGCTGGGATTACAGGTGCATGCCACTGTGGCTGGGTAATTTTTGTATTTTTAGTAGAGAAGGGGTTTCACCTTATTGGCCAGGCTGGTCTTGAACTCCTGACCTTGTGATCCACCCACCTCAGCCTCCCAAAGTGCTGGGATTACAGACGTGAGCCACCACGCCCGGTCAAGATCTACACTTCTATCAAGGGAGTTTATGGACGAAGTGGTGATAGATATAAAGAAAACTAGGCAAATGAGAAAAGGAGAATATTATTAACTTCAGGGGGAAAAGTTGTACAACAAAACATAACATACTACTTGGTTCAGTTGTAAATAATTTTTGCTTAGTCATCATAATCTCAAAACTGACTATTGGCCGGGTGCAGTGGCTCACGCCTGTAATCCCAGCACTTTGGGAGGCTGAGGCGGGCGGATCACGAGTTCAGGAGATCAAGACCATCCTGGCTAACACGGTGAAATCCCATCTCTACTAAAAATACAAAAAATTAGCCAGGCGTGGTGGCGGGCAGCTGTGGTCTCAGCTACTCGGGAGACTGAGGCAGGAGAACAGCGTGAATCTGGGAGGCGGAGCTTGCAGTGAGCCGAGATTGCGCCACTGCACTCCAGCCTGGGCAACAGAGCGAGACTCCGTCTCAAAAAAAACAAAAAACCAAAACTGACTATTGATTTAGCGAAAATCATGATGTAACTCTAGTGGGAGGAAGTCTGTGGGGGTTGTAAGAGAGGATACTTGTAAGAGAACACAATCCTTGCTTCCATCATGAAACATCAACAGCTAGGTGATGTGCTGTTTAGCAATGTGGAGAAACACCAGGTAAAAGATGGGAAAAGGGTTGCTTCTGGTGAACAGCCATTGGGGAGGCTCAGGGCTAGGGCAGAGCACTGCTGTTTCTTGTATAGCTATTTGATTTTTAAAATTATATTCACGCATTATTTTGATTAAATAACATTTTAAAGTAATTACTTTTTTAAAATAAAGATTTCAAATGCAGAACATGATGTAACAAAATGGTTGGGATCATAACACCCTGCCTCTCTAAGCCTTGGTTTCTTCATACTCCAAATGGGGAGAAGACAGACTTCACCTCACAGTATCATTGGGTGATTTCGTGAGTGAGTGCTTGTTAAGTGCTTTGCACAGGTGCACCCAGTGAGCACTCAGACAGTGGTGCTGGTACTATTGTTGTTGTCATTATGATTGAAGGTCCCTTCAGCACTAAAGAGTTTAGATTTCTGGACTCTAGGTGGGTTGTATATTTGACTTGGCACTGTGTGCTGGGAATACAGTAATGAACAGCATCATTACCTGAGGCCTTATGCAGAAGTGATAGTTACAATACAAAGTGACAGTGACTGCGATTGGAATACTGTGGAATTACACAGACATATCTCAGTCATGGAGGGTCAGAGTAGGCTCCAGAGTAAGAGCCCACGGTATGAGTAGGCATTGACAAATAGAAGGGAAAAGTAACCCAGAGAACATTCCAAACAACAAGAAGAGCATTTGTAAGCATGGGGCACTGTAAGTCCTTAGGTTTGGCTGGAGCTAAAAGACGTGAGGCTGAGTTTGGATAGTGATGGGGTCTGTACCTCATGTGGAGGAATTTGGCTTTGTCGTGAGGACAGTGGAGAGCCACTGCAAGTTAATTGGTGGGGCGCATTATGGCCAGATGTGTCCTTTCAAACAGAAACCGGAGGTGCCAGATAGAAGGCAAGATCTGGCCAGGTGCAGTGGCTCACGCCTGTAATCCCAGCACTTTGGGAAGCTGAGCTGGGCAGATCACTTGAGGCCAGGAGTTCAAGGCCAGCCTGGCCAAAATGGTGAAACCCTGTCTCTACTAAAAATACAAAAATTAGCTGGGCTTGCTGGCGCACAACTATGGTCACAGCTATTCGGGAGGCTGAGGCAGGAGAATTGCTTGAAACTGGGAGGCAGAGGTTGCAGTGAGCCAAGATGGCACCACTGCACTCCAGCCTGGGCAATAGAGTGAGACTCTGTTTCGAAAAAAAAAAAGCGAGCTCTTCATTGAGGGCTACATAATCCAGGCACAGATAATGAGATCCAGACCCAGTTGAGGCAGTGGGAAGGAAAGAAGCAGACAATTGGAAGAGACTTAAAAGATTAATAGAGCCAGGCACAGTGGCTCACACCTGTAATCTCAACACTTTGGGAGGCTGAGGCAGGAGGATCACTTGAGCCCAGGAGGTCAAGGCTGCAGTAAGCTATGATCACATCACTGCACTCCAGCCTGGGGAACAGAACAAGGCTCCCTCTCTAAAAATACGAATAAATAAATAAAATAAAGGAAGAATAGACAAGACTCCAAGAGTAACTGGAATTCAGGGCAGAGTGGTGGGAGGAGGCCTGCTTTTAGAGGTCGGTGGAGGTTAGTGATGAAGTACCTAGGAGGAGCAGCAGGTTGTGGGAGACTGATAGTGAGTTCTCCCCATCCCAGTGGGCCTGGTGTGACACTCGTCCTGGTGGATATTTTGTTCCCTTCTAGGTTCTGTAGATGAGTTCCTATTGAAAAAGGCAAAAGAGGAGCCTGAGGACTTTGATAAGCTCTACTTAGTGGCAGCTTCCTTTGAAGACGTGGGAAATCACACCATAGTGACAGCGCTGTTCAACAACCAGGCATACCATTCTTCTGCCCTGGCTCTGGCGCTATTGGACAATTTTCTCTTGAAGTTGCTTTCTGGTGCCAGGGCTTCCATTACCGCAGCCAACCACCCTCAACCTCAGCCAGCCAGGGAGGATTCAGAGAATTTCCTGTATCAGTATGTGTGAATTTTCTTCTCTCTATCTACACCTCTGTAGGGTTCCACCCTTTCCCACCTGTTTCTGTCTTTGCCTCTTGTTTTAATTACAAATTGTTATTTTGGGAGATGGTTGTTATTAGCAGTTCCACTTACTCTGCTATCTCTCTCCTTATGTCCCGTCTTTTACAGGGAACCTAAAGGACATTACCTTGTTATCAACTTGCTTTTTGGATTAGCTTTCCTGTCTAGCTCTTTTTCCATGTTGACAGTCAGAGAGAGGCGCGTTAAGGCCAAGCTTGTCCAGTTTATCAATGGAGTTTATGTGGCCACTTTCTGGCTCTCCACTCTGCTATGGGACCTCATCTCCTTCCTCATTCCCAGTCTGCTGCTGGTGGTGAGTGCTGGAGGGTGCTGGGATTCTTCAGCTGCATATCACAGGCAGCTTTTCCTGGGGACCCCTGCCCAGAACCGGAACCAGCTAGGAAGTCTAGGTTGGCAGCTCTGCCCCAGTGGGGACACAGGGTGTGAGATCTCCCTCATCCCTTGGCAGAAGAAGACTCAAGTTCCCAGCTTTGTTAGGAGCAGAGGGATCTGCTTCAGGGTCTCCATGTGGCCCCCCCAAGAATTGCTACTTCAAGCTAGTAAGGGGCAGTACTTTGGGGACATATGTTTATTGTCCAGAAATACCTCACCAGGGTACTGATGGGTTGAAGTACTTAATTGTGGTTGCATTGAGTAATTTTCAGCTCCCTGGTTATTTTATGCAGAATGGACCGCCTCCTGCTTTGTTCTGCCTGTGTGTTTTGTGAGCATCTCTGAACCCCTTATCACACTACACTGTACCACTGATTTCCAGGGCAGCTCCTGGAGAGCAGAGTTTAGAGCTTGTTCATGTCTGCATGTGCAGATGAGCAGAAGGGAAGTGCCCATGCGGTATTTCTAACACCTCACTTTTAAAATTCAGATTCTGATATTCTTTCTCAAGTGTTTAGGATTGACTTTTTTTTTTTTTTTTTTTTTTGAGACGGAGTCTCGCTCTGTGGCCCAGGCTGGAGTGCAGTGGTGCGATCTCGGCTCACTGCAAGCTCCGCCTCCCAGGTTCACGCCATTCTTCTGCCTCAGCCTCCTGAGGAGCTGGAACTACAGGCACCCGCCACCACGCCCAGCTAATTTTTTGTATTTTTCGTAGAGACGGGGTTTCACTGTGTTAGCCAGGATGGTCTCGATCTCCTGACCTCGTGATCCACCTGTCTCGGCCTCCCAAAGTGCTGGGATTACAGGCGTGAGCCACCGTGCCCAGTCCCCTCTGCTTTTAACTTGGGAGTCATTCTGTCTCCTAAGGGACTCTTGGTGATAGTTTTATCTCCACAAACTATAGAGGCAGGAACTGCATCCTCCTTATCATCTGGAAGATGACACTCAAACAACTTGGGAGCCGGCAATTCACCCCTGCTATCTGGACGCAGATCACCTGTAAACCTCATTTCCCTCTGCCCTCAGCTCCCCCACCTCCGCAGATGCAGCCCATGCTGCGGCTGTGCTCCTGATTTTCCCACACACACCGTGTTCTTGCAGATCCTCCCGCGTGAACAATTGGAAAGAAGTAAAGTGACAGATTCGAGGAGCATAGCAGAAGAAAGATACTTAGGTCTTAGAGGTTGAATGACTATAGAGGAAGAGGAGTCAGGGAGAACCAGTTTTCTGGTCTGGAGGCCTGGGAGTCTGATGTTGTAATGATGGATATACAATAACGTGGGTTAGGATAGATAATAGAAGATATGCCCTTTTCTTCCTGCAAGCAGAGTTAATATTTTCTATTCTCTTCGCATAGCTAGGCTATGCAACAATCTCAAAATCCTTGGATTATACATTCCTAATACTTCCAGGGCACTGCCTGGGGATGGCTTTCACCAACTTATATTACAACTCTGAACTACAGAGGTTTTGCAGTGTCAAGAACCTGAGTGATATTGAGTGTAATGAAGTCTGTGAGTATTGTAAATGGAATTTGTTAATTACATTTTTGTTGAAACATAATTCATATAAAATATGCCCTTTTAAAGCTTACAAGTCAGTAATCTGTCATGAGATAAGAGTTTTTTTAAAAAGAATAAAATTTACAAGTCAGTGGTTTTTGGTATATGCAGAGTAACCTTCCCCACTATCTAATTCTAGAAAATTTTCATCACTCCAAAAGGAAACCCTATACCCATTAACAGTCACTCCCCATTCCCTTCTTCCCCCAGCCCCTCGCAATCACTAATCTGCTTCCTGCTGTTATGAATTTGCTTGTTCTGGATATTTCACATAAATGGAATAATACAATGTGTGAGCTTTGTGTCTGTCTGCTTGTACTTAGAATAATGTTTTCAAGGTTCATCCATGTTGTAAGAGGTGTCAGTGCTCCATCCCTTTGCGTAGCTGAATGTTAGTCCATTGTATGGTTTCACCACAATTTATCTTTTCATCTGTTGATGGACATGTGGGTTGTTTCTGCTTTTGCTATTACGAATAACAGTATTATAAACATTTGGATATGAGTTTTTATGTGAACATGTTTTCAGTTCTCTTGGGTATATACCAAGACTATATTTGCTAGGTCATATGGTAACTGTGTTTAGCATTTTGAGGAACTACAAAACTGTTTTCTACATTAGCTGAACCATTTTACATTCCTACCAGCAAAGTCTGAGGATTCCAGTTTGTCCACATCCTCTCCAACGCTTTAAAAAATTATTTACTTTTTAAATTATAGTACAATATACATAGCATGAAATTTCATTTATCAATTTTTTTTCTTTTTTCTTTTTTTTTTTTTTTTTT
This sequence comes from Homo sapiens, assembly GCF_000001405.40. Lineage (NCBI taxonomy): Eukaryota > Metazoa > Chordata > Mammalia > Primates > Hominidae > Homo > Homo sapiens. The sequence continues at coordinate 2,413,255 of NC_000016.10, forward strand.
TAGACGGAGTCTTACTCTGTCTCCCAGGCTGGAGTGCAGTGGTGCAGTCTCAGCTCTCACTGCAACCTCTGCCTTTTGGGTTCAAGCGATTCTCCTGCCTCAGCCTCCTGAGTAGCTGGGATTACAGGCATGCACCACTGTGCCTGACCTCCTTTCAACATTTCTTATAGGGCAGGTCTGGTGGTAATTTTATGCCCCCTTTTCCAACATTTTTAAATTCCTTTTAAAAATTGTATTATAAAGCCATGTACAGTGGCATGCATCTGTAGTCCCAGCTGTTCAATCTGTAGTCCCAGCTGAAGTGGGAGGATCGCTTGAGTCTAGGAGCTTGAAGCCAGCTTGGGCAACATAGCAAGACCCCATCTCTTTTTAAAAAAAATTATTATAGCTATTCTAATGAGTATAAATTAGTATCACATTGTGGTTTTGGTCTTTGTTTTCCTAATGACTAATGATGTTGAGCATCTTTTCATGTGCTTATTGGCTATTTGTATATCTTCTTGGGAGAGCTATTTAGTCAAATCCCTCCTCCATTTTTAATTAGGTTATTTGTCTTTTTTCTTTTTATCAGGAAGTTGTAAAAATTTTTTTTTTTTTTTTTTTTTTTTTTTGGACAGGTCTTACTCTGTCATCCAGGCTGGAGTGTAATGGCATAATCACGGCTTACTGCAGACTCGACCTCCTGGGCTCAAACCATCTTCCCACCTCAGCTTCCTGTGTAGCTGGGACTACGGGTGCATGCCACTGTGCCCGGCTAATTTTTTAATTTTTTGTAGAGACAGTAGTCTCACTATGTTGCCCAGGCTGGTCTCGAACTCCTGGCCTCAAGCAATCCTCCTACCTCGGCCTCTCAAAATGCTTGCAGGCATAAGCCACCACACCCAGCCAATAATTCTTTACAAAGTTGGATACTAGACCTTGTCAAATATATCATTTTCAAATATTTCCTCCTATATTGCAGGTTGTCTTTTCACTTTCTTGACAGTGTCCCTTGATGAACAAAAGCTTTTAATTATGAAATTATGACAAAGACCAATTTATCTATTCTTTTCTCTTTTGTGTTTTTGATTTAAGAAATTATTGCCTTATGCAAGATAGGGAAGTTTTACCTCTACATTTTCTTCTAAGAGTTTTAGCTTTTTTTTTTTTTTTTTTTTTTTGAGATGGAGTCTTGCTCTGTCACCCAGGCTGGAGTGCAGTGGCGGGATCTTGGCTCACTGCAAGCTCCACCTCACGGGTTCACACCATTCTCCAGCCTCAGCCTCCTGAGTAGCTGCGACTACCGAGTAGCAGGCACCTGCCTGCTACTACGCCCATCTAATTTTGTTTTTGTATTCTTAGTAGAGACGGGATTTCACCATGTTAGCCAGGATGGTCTCGATCTCCTGACCTCGTGATCCGCCTGCGTCGGCCTCCCAAAGTGCTGGGATTACAGGCATGAGCCACTGCGCCCGGCTGAGTTTTAGCTCTTACATTTAGGCCTTTGATTCATTTTAATTTTTTATATGGTGTTAGGTAGAGATCCAAATTCATTCTTTTGCATATATGTGTAATTGTCCCAGTGCCATTTGTTGAAAAGACAAAAGTTTCTGTTTTGGTGGAAGATTTTTAACTACAAATTCAATTTCTTTTCTTTTTTTTTTTTTTTTTTGAGATGGAGTCTTGCTCTGTCACCCAGTCTAGAGTGCAGTAGCACAATCTCAGCTCACTGCAACCTCCACCTCCTGGTTCAAGCAATTCTCCTGCCTCAACCTCCCAAGTAGCTGGGATTTCAGGCGCATGCCACCATGACTGGTGAATAGTTTTTCCTTTTTTTTAGAGGTAAGGTTTCACTTTTTCCCTGGAACTGCAGGCAGGTGCCACCATGCCAGTCTAATTTTTGTATTTTAGTAGAGATGGGGGTCTTGCTATTTTGCCTAGGCTGGTCTCAAACTTCCAGGTTCACGTGATTCTCCTATAGATTCCCCAGAAAAGAGCAGCAAACAGACTTGGCCTCTGTCCAAAGGGAGGGTGCCTTCGGGGGCTGCTGGAGCAGCATGTTCCCTGATAATCAGTGCTGGTGGGTGGTAGAGAACAATGTAACCACCTGCTAGGGGACAGTCAGGATTCCTGTGGCCACATGCCCAGCACAGACTTTCAAACAACCTTTGGGCCCCTCCCCTCATTTTTTTTTTTTAAGAAAGAAGGTCTTGCTCTGTTGCCCAGGCTGGAGTGCAGTGGTGCAATTATGGCTCACTGCAGCCTAGAACTCCTGGACTCAACCAGTCCTCCCACCTCAGCCTCCTGAATAGCTGGAACTATACAGGTGCACACCACCGTGCCTGGCTCAGAAGTATAGTTTTCTACCTTTATGATGTGGAAGACCCTCCAGAGCTTGCCATGAAACCCAGAAACGACAAAGTAGTATATAATATTTAAATACATAAACATTCAAGTCTATATAAGAAAAGACACATTAACTGATGTTAAATAACGGAAATACTTGACACATACATAAAGGACAAAGACACATACATATATATACATACACACATATATATATATCTCCATCATATAAATCAGTGAGAAAATATGAACAATTTGTTAGTAAAAAATGGGCTGAAGAAATAAATGGGCTATTCATAGAAGAAAAAACATCCAGTGCCTAATAACCATATGAAAATATGCCTAATTTTACCTAAGGATTTATAGACAGATAATATCTAGTATTATCAACAGAATCGGAAATAGGCATCCCCATAGGCTATTGGTAAGATCAAGCTTTTTGGAGGACAATTTGGCACTATTTATTAAATTTTAAAAGTGCACCCCTGGCGGGGCGTGGTGGGTCACGCCTGTAATCCCAGCACTTTGGGAGGCTGAGGCAGGCGGATCACGAGGTCAGGAGATGGAGACCATCCTGGCTAACACAGTGAAACCCCATCTCTACTAAAAATACAAAAAATTAGCCGGGCATGGTGGTGGGTGCCTGTAGTCCCAGCTACTCGGGAGGCAGAGGCGGGAGGCTGAGGCGGGAGAATGGCGTGAACCCGGGAGGCGGAGCTTGCAGTGAGCAGAGATCACGCCACCGCACTCCAGCCTGGGCCACAGAGCGAGACTCCGCCTCAAAAAAAAAAAAAATTAACCAGCACACTCACTCTGAGGGAAGCTAAGTGCCATTGCCATGTCATGCAGACACCTAGGTGGCCCTGCAGAGAGGTCTGTGTGCTGAGGAGCAGTCAGAAAGTACCTGAGACCTGCCAGCCACTTGGAAACAGCTCCTTTAGCCTTCAGGAGACTTCCAGCCCAACTGACAGGTTAGCAGCACCCCATGAGAGACCCTGACCAGCACCACCTAACTAAGCTGCTCTGAGATTCCTGATCTAATGCATAGAAACCATGAAATAACAAATTACACCCACGTTTTGGAGTAATTTGTTATGCAGCAACATATGACTAATCACATAGGAAGGATACAGTGCGAAGGCTTAATATGTGTGTAACAGAAGTTCCAAAAGGAAGGGCAGACAAGGCAACATTTGAAACCACATGGCTAAAACTTTTCAAAATGTATGAAAGACATCAATCACAAATGAAGCCCTATTAGCCCCAAGCAGGATAACAAAAAGAAATCAGCCCCTAGGAGCAGTATAGTAAATTTGCTGAAAACCAAACACAAGAAAAAGTCTTAAAAGGACCCAGAGATAAAACGTGGAGTCCCTTCACAAGAGCAACAGTTACACTGGCAGCTGGCCCCATCACAGAAATAATAGAGGCCAGAAGACAATAGAATGATACATTGTAAGTGATATAAGAGGAAACAACCTACCTAGAGTAAAGTAACCCATAAAACTACACTTAGGAAAGAAAGTTTTGTTTGTTTGTTTGTTTGTTTGAGATGGAGTCTCGCTCTGTTGCCCAGGCTGGTACAGTGGCATGATCTAGGCTCACTGCACCCTCTGCCTCCTGGGTTCAAGCGATTATCCTGCCTCAGCCTCCGGATTAGCTGGGATTACAGGTGCCTGCCACCACACCCAGCTAATTTTTGTATTTTTAGTAGAGACGGGATTTCACCATGCTGGCCAGGCTGGTCTCGAACTCCCACCCTCAGGCGATCTGCCCTCCTCGGCCTCCCAAAGTGCTGGGACTACAGGTGTGAGCCACCAGCACCCGGCCAGAAGGTATTTTTAAAAAGACCTTCAGACAAATAGAAGCTGAGAGAATTTATCACCAGCAGATGTATGCAAAAGGAGATAATAAAGAGTAAGTTTCAGGCAGAAGGAAAATGATCCCAGATGGAAACTCAAAGATTCAGAAAGGGCTAGGTGCGGTGGCAGAGCTCATACCTGTAATCCTATCACTTTGGGTAGCTAAGGCAGGTGGATTGCTTGAGGCCAGGAGTTCGTTCGAGACCAGCCCAGGCAACACAGTGAGACCCCCATCTCTACAAAAAATAACAAATTAGCTGGGTGTAGTGGCCTGCTCCTGTAGGCCCAGCTACTCCAGAAGCTGAAGTAGGAGGTTCACTTGAGCTCAGGATTTGAAGTTATGGCAAGCCATGCTCATACCACTGCACTCTAGCCTGGGTGACAGAGCAAGACCCTATTAAAAAAAAAATACAGAAAGGATGGCTGGGCGGGGTGGCTTATGCCTGTAATCCCAGCACTTTGGGAACCCAGGGTTAAAAAAAGGAGTAAAAAGTGATTATTTATTTTTTTATTTTTTTTATTTTTTTTTGAGACAGAGTCTCGCTCTGTCGCCAGGCTGGAGTGCAGTGGCGTGATCTCGGCTCACCGCACCCTCCACCTCCTGGGTTCAAGTGATTCTTCTGCCTCAGCCTCCCGAGTAGCTGGGATTACAGGCACGCGTCACCATGCCCGGGTTATTTTTGTATTTGTAGTAGAGATGGGGTTTCACCGTGTTGGCCAGGATGGTCTCGATCTCCTGACCTCGTGATCTGCCCATCTGGGCCTCCCAAAGTGCTGGGATTACAGGCATGAGCCACCGTGCTGGGCCAAGTGGTTGTTTTTTTTGTTTTTTTGTTTTTTTTGTTTTTAAAAGGGAGATGTGTGGCCGGGCGTGGTGGCTCACGCCTGTAATCCCAGCACTTTGGGAGGCCAAGGCAGGTGGATCACGAGATCAGGAGATAGAGACCATCCTGGCCAACACGGTGAAACCCCGTCTCTACTAAAACTACAAAAAAATTAGCTGGGTGTGGTAGCACGCGCCTGTAGTCCCAGCTACATGGAAGGCTGAGGGAGGAGAATCGCTTGAACTTGGGAGGTGGAGCTTGCAGTGAGCCGAGATTGCACCACTGCACTCCAGCCTGGGCAACAAGGCGAGACTCCGTCTCAAATAAAAAAAAAAAGGGGGGGGATGTGTCAGTTTTGACTGAAAGCTATAATAATAATGTCTTATGAGGTTTAAAATACATATAAAAGTAAAATACATGACAACAATGGCTTTAAGTCAGGAGCGGGTAAAAGAAGTTAAAGTATTTTAAGGTCCTTACCTTACTCATGAATACGGTAAACAGCTAATGATATCCATTGCTAAGTCAAGGATGCGTGTTTTAATCTCTAAAGGAACAACCCATGTAATAGGAGAAAGGAGTACATATTTTTAAGCTAATAGAAGGGAAAAATAGAAAAATGAAAAAAATAATATGATCGAAGAATTGAGAAAAAGGAACATAGAACATATGGGCTAGCTAGCCCTGAATAAGATGATAGATTTAGGCCAGTCATGGTGGCTCACACCTGTAATCCCAGTAATTTGGGGGGCCCAGGCGGGAGGATGGCTTGAACCTAGGAATCTGAGACTAGCCTGGGCAACATAGCGAAACTCCACCTGTACAATAAATTTAAAAATTAGCCGGGTGCAGTGGTGTGTGCCTGTAGTCCCAGCTACTTGGGAGCTGAGAGGATCACTTATGCCTAGGAGGTTGAAGCTGCAGTGAGCCATGATCACACCACTGCCTTCCAGCCTGGGCAAGAGAGTGAGACCTTGTCTCAAAAAAAAGTTTTATATATATATATATATAAAATACATATATTATATATATATATTAGATTTAAATCCAAACATCAGTACTTACATTAAATATAAGTGGACAAAGACTCCAGTTAAAAGATTAAAATTATCAAAAAGGATACTCAAAAGGTTAAACATAGAATTACCATATGACCCAGCAATTCCATTCCTAGGTATATAACCAAAAGAACTGAAAAACCTACATCCGCACAGAAACTTGTATAAGAATGTTCATAGAACTGGAAATACCATTTGACCCAGCCATCCCATTACTGGGTATATACCCAAATGACTGTAAATCATGCTGCTATAAAGACACATGCACACGTATGTTTATTGCGGCATTATTCACAATAGCAAAGACTTGGAACCAACCCAAATGTCCAACAATGATAGACTGGATTAAGAAAAGGTGGCACATATACACCATGGAATACTATGCAGCCATAAAAAATGATGAGTTCATGTCCTTTGTAGGGACATGGATGAAATTGGAAATCATCATTCTCAGTAAACTATCGCAAGAACAAAAAACCAAACACCGCATATTCTCACTCATAGGTGGGAATTGAACAATGAGATCACATGGACACAGGAAGGGGAATATCACACTCTGGGGACTGTTGTGGGGTGGGGGGAGGGGAGAGGGATAGCATTGGGAGATATACCTAATGCTAGATGACGAGTTAGTGGGTGCAGTGCACCAGCATGGCACATGTATACATATGTATCTTACCTGCACAATGTGCACATGTACCCTAGAACTTAAAGTATAATTAAAAAAAAAAAAAAGACAGTAAGTTCCTTATTAAGGAAAGGTTATTCTCTTGTCTGAGTGAGAATTATGTTGAAAGATAAATAACCTTTAAAAAAAAAAAAAAAAGAATGTTCATAGAAGCATTACTCATAGTGGCTAAAAGTGGAAACAACCCAAATGCCCATCAACAGATGAATGGATAAACAACATGTGGTCTTGCTGTATGATATGGAATATTCCTCAGCCATAAAAAGGGATGAAGCACTGACATACACCACAACATGGATGAACCAGAAAACCAGACACAGATCATATGCTGTGTGATTCCATTCATATGAAATGTCCAGAATAGGCAAAGCCATGGAGACAGGAAGCTTATTAGTGGTAGTCAGGTGCTGGAGGTGTTAAAGGGAACGCGGAGTGACTACTCATGGGTACAGGGTTTCTTTTGGGAACAATGAAGTGTTTAAAGTTGAGTGTGATGATGGATGTGAACGTGCTGAGAGCAGTTGAACTGTACACATTGGTGAATTATGTGGTATGTGCATTGTATCTTAATAAAGCTGTTATAAAAAGAAGGAGGAAAAGGGGGAAGCCCCACTCTGGGAACCAAAGCCGGGCCCTTAGTTGTGTGAGGTCTCCGTAACATTCTTCCACACTGACAGCCGTCTCCCTTACCTCTCTTTCACTAAGCAGACACTCCATGTGGTTTCCTTTCTTTCCCTCCCTCCCTCCCTCCCTCTCTCTCTTTTCCTTCCCCTTCCTCTCCCCCTTCCCCTTCCTCCTTTCTTAGAGTCTCCCTCTGTCTCCCAGGCTAGAGTGCAGTGGCATGATCTCAGTTCACTGTAACCTCTGCCTCCTGGGTTCAAGCAATTCTTATGTCTTAGCCTCCGGAGTAGCTGGGATTGCAGGTGTGTGCCATGTTCGCCAGGCTGGTCTCAAACTCCTGGCTTCAAGTGATCCACCTGCCTAGCCTCCCAAAGTGCTGGGATTACAGGCGTGAGCCACCGTGCCCAGCCTCCATGTGGTTTTCTGTTTTGCACTCTGTAAAATCCTTCCCATCCTCCAACCTCAGGCAGTGGAGCCCAGGGTTGTCCAGCTGTTTGAATAGGGAGAAGAGGGGAGAAAATAGGAGGGAAAAACAGTGGTTACTTCTCAGAAATGGCATCCCACTCTTTCCAGCACCTGGGAGTAGATGAACATGGACACAAACCAGGGTGGTCAGCTGCAAGTTCAGAAAGGCAAAAACCTGAGGTCAGGAGTTTGAGACCAGCCTGGCCAACATGGTGAAACCCCCTCTCTACTAAAAATACAAAAAATTAGCTGGGCGTAGTGGCGTGCACCTGTAGCCCCTGCTACTCAGGGGGCTGAGAGGAGAATGGCTTGAACCCAGGAGGCAGAGGTTGCAGTGAGCTGAGATCACACCACTGCAATCCAGCCTGGGCAACAGAGTGAGACTGTCCCAAAAAAAAAATAAATAAATAAAAGCGAAAGCCTGGAAATGAGTCAAATGAAATTTTTAAACAGCTAAATGAAATCTAGAAGCCTTCCCTGGATAACTAAGAAGCAGTTAAAATAAGTGGGGGTAGATCTGTATTTACTGACCTAGGAATATCTTTAAGACATAATATTGAGTAAGAAAAGCATGTTGGCTGGCCACGGTGACTCATGCCTGTAATCTCAACACTTGGGGAGGCTGAGGCAGGTAGATCATGAGGCCAGGAGTTCGAGACCAGCCTGACCAACATGGTGAAACCCTGTCTCTACTAAAAATACAAAAATTAGCCAGGTGTGGTGGCGTGCACATGTAAACCCAGCTACTCAGGAGGCTGAGGCAGGAGAATTGCTTGAGCCTGGGAGGCAGAGGTTGCAGTGAGCCAAGATCACGCCACTGCACTCCAGCCTGGCGACAGAGCGAGACTCCATCTCAAAAAAAGAAAATAAAAAAGAAAAGCATGTTACAGAATGGTAGATATGGGATGATACCATTTGGCAAAAACAGCACCCAGCCAGTCCTGAGCAAGGAGCACAGGCCCACGCAGGTGCCTTTGCCAACACAGAAGTGTAGAGGGTGCACAGCTGCCTGGCCACAGTGGGCTGAGCCAACAGACTGCAGGAGTCTTTGCATGAATATTTTACAAAGAAAATCTATTTGCAGATTACATGCCTAATAGAAAATATTTCTAAAGGGGAAAAAAGCAAAGCAAGCCTCTTGTATTGACTGGATGCTTCAAAGGCACCAGGAAGTAGGGAGGCACTGTGTGCTGAGGTTTCACACTGGGTGGGCTGGAGGAGGAGCCAAACAAGCGCTCCACCCTGTCCACAACACCAGCAGCAAGGGCTGTCCCAGGCTCCCTTACATTACTCTACTTCCACTCACAGCCCCTTAGTAGTGTGCCTGTGCATTCACATGGCAGATGCGGGTAGTGGCAGAGGCAGCAGCCTGGAGCAAGACCAGCAGGTGTCCAGGCCCTTGCCTCATTGGAGGCTTGGTGAGCCTGGTGGGAGGAGGTTTCTTCTGACGTGCCTCCCTCTCCGGGCTGTTTTCTGACCCAGGTATGGCGGTGGATTGGTTACTGTCCTCAGTTTGATGCTCTGCTGAACTTCATGACAGGCCATGAGATGCTGGTCATGTATGCCCAGATCGGGGGCATCCCAGAGCACCCCATCAGTGCTTGTGTGGACCAGATTCTTGAGGATTTAGTCATGTACATGTACGCCAACAAGCTGGTCAAGACCTACAGGTGAGATCTGGGGCTTCCTTCAGGCCCTCCACCTCCAGTTACAAGATAAGTTCCAGTTCTTCCCAGACCTGGAGAGCAGGGCAAAGCCCCCAGCTCTGGGCATGAGGTCACTGCGCAGGTGGTTGGGGGCGGCCTGCAGGAAGAGGTAAGTGGCCTGGGCTGCCTCAAGGCACCCCTTCCTCTTGGTCCTGGGCTTGACTGGATTATGAAGCTGACCCAGGCCAAAGGCAGCTTACGTGGCTGAGGTCAGGCAGATGGCACCACAGGTGTTACTGTCCTGATAAGGTGAGGACGGACCTTTCTCCCTGCCACTTTATGAAGGGCTATTTTCAGTAAGTTTGCATTTTAAGCCCAGAGTTACCTCATACCACTGGGTCTGCGGTACTTGAACTACTGATGTTCTGCTAAGGCGCATGGGGTATTTCTCAGGCTTCTGTTGTCAGTGATAGAAGCCCGACTCCAATTAAAGCAAGGCCACAGGCCCCGCAGGTCCAAGGACTCCCTTCGTGTTGTGTGCAGCGCCCCCGGAGGCACACAGCGGTACTGCACACCCAGGATTGGGAGGTAGAGGTGCCCACGCCTCTAGCAAAGTGAGCCCGGGGTCAGATGATGATGTCCCTTGGGTCTTCTCTCTTTGGTGGCTCCTGTTTCAAGCAGGTTTTTACGTTTCCCTGCATCTTCTGAAGATCAAATGAGTTCACATTTGCGAAGTTTAGAACAGTGTGTTGCACATAGTAAATGCTATATGGTTTTTTTGTTTGGTTTTGTTTTTTAGAGTTTTCACTCTTGTTGCCCAGGCTGAAATGCAATGGCATGATCTCAGCTCACTGCAACCTCTGCCTCATGGGTTCAAGTAATTCTCCTGCCTCAGCCTCCCGAGTAGCTGGGATTACAGGTGCCCACCAACACGGCCAGCTAATTTTTGTATTTTTAGTAGAGACAGGGTTTCACCATGTTGGCCAGGCTGGTCTCAAACTCCTGACTTCAGGTGATCCACCCGCCTCAGCCTCCCAAAGTGCTGGGATTACAGGTGTGAGCCACCATGCCCATCCAGTTTTTTTTTTTTAAGTTAGCTAAGATGGGCCAATGCCTTTCCTCTCAGATGGAGAGGTGCTTGCCCTCAACACTTCAAACCCTCAAAGAAGACTCGTCGGCCGTGTGCTCACCCTGGACTCATCCCTGTGTCCAGGGGAACAAGTTATTTCCTGAGTGGATAGCCCAAGCCACAATTCAGCTCTGGGTGAAAGTGGTGGACTGCATTGCTGAAAGCCCCATGAGGGGTGTGGGAATACTTCCTGAATAGAGAAGGAAAGGGGGTGAGTGTTGAGCCGGCAGTGCTCACTGCTGGAGACTGACCATTGCCGTCACCCAACCTTCTCCCTTCCACCCCCGGTGGTGGTAACAAGCCGAAGTTGAGCACTGGCATTGATCGCCCTGATTGGAGAGCCTGCCTTCATCTTCCTGGATGAGCCATCCACTGGCATGGACCCCGTGGCCCGGCGCCTGTTCTGGAATGCTGTGGCACACGCCCACGAGTCTGGCAAGGCCATCATCATCACCTCCCATAGGTAGAGCCTGGGTCTGTGGGTCACTGGAAGTTTCAAAACCAGGTAGGCTGGGAAGAAGCCAGGTGGCCAGAAGACCCATCAGCAACTGGTGGAGAGTCTTTGAGGAGATTCCCTAGGCTCTGCACCTGAGCCACACTCTGAGCATTGGTATCAGGAATGGCCTGATCAGGCCACCAACGCCTTCCTGTCTGCATGAGCCTTTGACACCCCCAGCCCTGTCTCAGGCCCCACCCTCTCCCCAGCATGGAGGAGTGTGAGGCCCTGTGCAGCCGGCGGCCATCATGGTGCAGGGGCAGTTCAAGTGCCTGGGCAGCCCCCAGCACCTCAAGAGCAAGTTCAGCAGTGGCTACTCCCTGCGGGCCAAGGTGCAGAGTGAAGGGCAGCAGGAGGTGCTGGAGGAGTTCAAGGCCTTCGTGGACCTGACCTTTCCAGGTGTGTGCCGGCCCCGGCAGCCCCCACTGGGTGGGCCCTGGGCCCCTGCCTAGGCATTTCCCATCTGCCGTGAGGAGAGTCTGTGCCTCGCCCCTCCCACGTCCCATCTCCCTGATCCCTGGGATGAGGACCCCAATGCCGAGCACCCAGGCACCCTCCCTGATCCTCCAGCCCAGCCGTCACAGCAACGCCATCTCTCCTTCGTGCAGGCAGCGTTCTTGAAGACAAGCACCAAGGCATGGTCCATTACCATCTGCTGGGCCGCGACCTCAGCTGGGCGAAGTTGAGCGCACATTTTTGACGTGACCCACTTTCTGGGGTAACTCTGTCTCTCTCTCTCTCTCTCCCTGTCTTTCTCTCCTCCCCATCCTCCTGAAGTCATGTTCAGTGCTGCCCCTGTCCTCTGCCATCTCCATGGCAACGTTCACGTGGATTTCATAGAACAGAAGGTGTTTCTGCTGGAAGGGACTTTGAAGATTGGCTCCTCCTGCCCACTTATTTCATGGAGAGGAGAGCAGGCCCAGAGAGGGAACACCAGATGCCTGGGGACACACAGCAAGCCAGGGACCCCACCAGGCCTCTGGCCTTCTGACACCACTCCCACCCAAGAGCACAGACAGCTGAGATCCATAGCACTGACTTCTCAGGAGGTGTTCTGGAGCAGCTGAGAGAGGGATGGGCCTCTTTGGGGCCTTGTCACAGTCCCGGAGGCCAGCCCTTCCCACCCTCTCTCCTCCCCCGTGTGCATCTGTGGGACAGCCTGGCCACAGCAGCCTCTTCCCTCCCCTCAGGTGTTTGGCACTCTGGAGCAAGCCAAGAAGTACATGCTGGACAACTACTCAGCAGTCAGGTCACCATGGAGGACGTCTTCCTGAGCTTCGCATGCCCTGTGCCCCTGGTCCAAAGCGAAGACCAACGAGAGCAAGCAGAGCAGGTGGGCTCCTCATCGTGCTCGCTGCCTCCTTCCCTGCCTCCCTCTCGGCTTTCCTCTCAGTCTCCCTCCCTGCCTCCCTCTCAGCTTTTCTCTCGGCCTCCCTCCCTGCCTCCTCCCTCAGAGCCTGTCCTGCTGTAATAAGGACAGACCAGTGCCAGGTTGGCCCAGGTGTGCATGGCCTTCCCTGGGTTTCCAGGGCGTACAGAGGCAGCTCTCGACCTAGCTAGCTCAGCACAGGGCTGTCCCCCTAACTGCAGTGCACGGAGCAGAGTGGGGCCCACTGGAGAACTTAAGAGGCCCGCTGGAGAACCCAGGTGCGTTTCCTTAGAAAGGGATGCCCAAGTCCCACCTGAGTAGCCTGTGGTCTTATTGAGACCTGGCTGTGGAAGCAGCCTCAGAACATCTTGCATGTCCTTTCCAAGGGCGGTGGCCATGGGGTGACTACAGTACTAACCATGACCCGACCAGGTGCCAACTCTGTGGTTGGTCCCCTGCAGGCATTGCGTCATTTGATCACATCACCCTCAGGCCCGGCCTTAAGGGGTCTGTCCTGGTCATCCCCTTGCTCATGGGCAAGAAGTCTGCAGGGCAGAGGGAAATGCTCACCCAAAGCTTGCGCTCTTCCTTCTCTAGAATCCCCTGCCCAGATGGTTTGTCCATCCAGTGCACTCCCTCCCAGGGCAGGCCATGCCGCCCAACGCACCCTGAGATGCGAGATGCAGCAAAGCAGTGGCTCTGCAGAACTTCGGGTAGAGTTTGGATGGGTGCGTGGAGGTTTCCACACATGTGTGCAGATCCCTTGGAAAGCAGGATAGAGCCAGAAACAGAGAGGAGGGTGCCCGTAGGCCGCTGGGGGCTGGCTCCCATGGTCACATGCAAGAGTGAAGCTTCATGGAGACCATGATTCTAAACTCACACCTGGCCTCACAGGTGGTAATGTCACTGTTCTTCTGAAGGAAGGAGGAAATAAATATTGACAAGTTTGCTAGCCTAAGTCGGGATGTCACAATATTTAAATATTTGGATGTGTGGGCTTTCATCCTCTTCCCTGGCTCCTGCAAATTTAGGGCTGCATGTGATCCTATATCCACCCATGAAGTGGACAGCGCCCCACCTCCCACATGGGTAGACTGGCTTAGAGGCAGCCAGTAACTTCCCACATCAACAGACAGGGGAGCCAGGGTTGCACTGGGGCAGAGGTTCTCGCAGTGGGGTCCCAGCAGTAGCAGCACCATCAGGAAACTTGTTAGAAATGTAGGTTCTTGGGCCCCACCCAAAACTTACTGAATCAGAAATGCCTGGGGCAGGGCCAGCAATCCATGTTGCAAGAAGCCCTACAGCAGGTACTCTGGCGCAGCTCCAGCATGAGAACCACTGAGCAGAGGCCCCATGGGCGCCAGACCATCACACTGTCCAGATGCAGATGGATGTGGCCACATGCCTTTGTCATGTACACTCACCTCTCTTCTGAGACGGGCTCCATCCCGTGGCCTTTCTCTCTCTGTGGAGTTCACTCTGCCCCTTGCCACAGGCCCCTCAGCTCCTCTCTGGGAAGTGCAGATGCTGGTCTCTGCCCCTTCTCAGCCAGGACTCAGGAAAGGGTCATGCACAGGCCTTGCCTATGGTTCCTGCACCCCTTGCCCAGAACAACGGCGTTGCACACCCATGGTCGCCAACCCACCCTCCTCAGTCCTCGTTTCAGGTGACTGCTCCCTGTGATGAAAGCCACTCCCTGGGCTCCCATATCCAGCTCTCATTCCTCCCATGCCCCTCTCTGCCTCCACTGAAGGCCCATCTTCTTCTCTGAATGTGGGATTTCTCAGGCTCCCAAGCTACTTCACTTTCCCTTCTCTCCCCTGCCCCTCACTACCCATAACGTTTTCAACCGACACCTCATTCCACCAGGAATTTCCCTGAGCTCCTAACAGTTTAGACTTTTCCAACAAGGTCTCACCTTCCTGAAGCCCAGTGGGAAACGGGCCCACACCCTGGAGGAGCCACTTATCACCCCAGGGCAGCCCTGGAGGCTCCCACTGCCAGTGCAGGGTGTGGGGCGAGAGCAGGCATGGCTGCAGTCAAGACAACTCCTGCTCCCTGAAAAAGAAATTTGCCTGTCCATGTTGAAAGGAGAGTGATCAGGACACAAAGCACAGGATAGAGCTAAACAACAACCTAGGGACCAAGGATGCTGTTCTAGATTCTAGAGGCAGCTGGTGTGGCTAATGTGCTCATGGCTGGCTCTAGTTGATTAATCCCTTCAAGATGCTATGGAAGCTAACCCTGAAAGTGCACCTCTGCCCTAGGGGGAGACAGGTAACAGTGACAAAGTAGGAAACAGTAACCCAGGAGGACAAAAGTGAGATAAGGGGATAATAAATCTGGGGGCTGAGAACATGGGACATCTGGGGAGCAGGCCCCAAACTCGCTCAGCCTGTCCTCTCTTCACCCTCCTTCACCCGCTTCCTGATTCCGGGACAGGGAATATTCCCAACTTCCAGACCCTCTCTGGGGCCACGGACTCTTCTGTACCCTGTGCTGTGATCACCTGTTTACTCTGTCTCTTGCCCCAGGCCGGCTGAAGCCTGCACGCCAGGGCTCCTGTCTGTGTGCCCAGGGCAGGCCCAGTACTTGAAGGAGTTCTATGGGGACCCGGAAGGATGGAAGGGTGCAGACTGAGGGAAGCGTGAGGGAGGGGTGGGCAGCCTTGGCCCAGGCCCCTGCCTTCCCCAGGAAAAGCCCCCTCTGTCCTCCACCAGACAGTCAGGAGGCTGCGAGTCTTCCCCTTGACAGCCTGTGCCGTAAAAGGGGTGCGGTGTGGCTGACTCCTGAAGGACAGCTCAGATGGGCACTGCCCAAGACAAGAGTGAGCAGATACGACACTTCCCGCGGCGAGCAGCTCCAGGTAGCAGCCGAGGAGGCCAGACAGGGGGCAGCATCTGGCCAAAGTGATGGGGAGGGCTTGCCCCGGGGCTGGAGCACTGAGGCGTCCAGGGTGCGCCACGTTTCGCGGGAAGAAGGGGTCAGCGTTCCGCGGGGGAGACTTCCCAGCGTCAGCTCCGACCTCCTCTTTCTCTACCACGATCCCGGCCAGCATCCCCGCCCAGCAGCGGCTCAGCCACAAACCCAAGGGTCTCCACCTGAAGCAGGCGGCGGAAGGGAAGGCCGTGCAAGCTGGGGGTGAGGGTCGCGGGCCCAGGAGCGACCCCGGGACCCGGGCAGGGCACGGCCTCGTCTTAGAAGCGCCACGTCGAGGCTGTCCCAGGCTGGATCACGGCCGCGACTGCGAGGGACGCCAAGGAGTCCTCTTTCCCCTGGCCGCAGGCGTGCGCCTTCGCAGCCCATCTGGCACCGCAGATGCCGGTCGCCGGGGTCAGCGGCGAAGCCCGAACCCATGCGGCCGGGAGGGGACGCCCACAAACCCCTGCCCGCCGGCCGGGAAGCGCTCCTACGGGACCCCAGCCCCGTTGGGGAGGCGGGGCGGCCACGCGGGTTCCACCAATCAGCGGCCAATGTTCGAATTCGCGTCCTGGCGCGGCCAATGGCGGGTCCCGGAGCAGGCGGGGAGGGCGTGGAGGGCGGTAAATGAGGCGAGCACAGGGCGGGACATGGGCGGGGCCGGCGGCGGCCCCCCCGGGCAGGCCAATGGGAGGGCCGGGTGCGTTTGAAAACTGGGGTGGGCGGCGGGGCGGGGTCTGCGCCTGCGCGAGGGCTACGCGCGCTCCGGCCGGGGCGCGGGCGCGCTCTCAGGCGGGCTCCGGCGGCAGCGACGCGAGCGCGGCGATGGGGAGCGGCGGCGGTGAGTGCGGGGCGATGTCCGCTGGTTTCTGCCCCACACCCCTTCTGCCTGCCCTGCGGGGCGGACGGTGGGTCCCGCGGGAGGGGAGGCCCTGGCGGCCTGAAGAGGGCTGGCTCGAGCTCTTTAACCCGGGGCGGATGTCGCGTCCCGCGCAGGGAGCCCCGGCGGCCGGGCGCGCGGTTTAAATGCCCGGCGGGCGCCCGAGCCCCTCGGAGCCTTCCCCCGCGGCGACGTTTTCCGGCCCTTTCCTGGGGCAACGATCGGGTCCCGGGGCAGCGATCCGGCGATCGGGTCCCGGGGCGGCGATCGGGTCTCGGGGAGCCAAACACCAGCGCCTCCTGGTCGGGGAAAGGGCTGCGGAGCGCGTGGGGGCGAAGCGATCCCGCAGCCCGGCCGGGCCCTGACCGAGCCTCAGTCCAGCGGGGCCGTGGACCTAGCTCTGTGGAAAGCAGCGTTCGGCCCCGCGCGCGTTGAGGCACAGGAAACACGAACTGTGGTTTCAGCTATTATCATAGTATCTGTCCTGGAGCCGGAGAATGAGGAATATTTTATGGAGAGGTCTATAGAATCTTTGAGAATTCGTCGCCCTGGAATACGTTTGGCTTTTGCAGCTGATTTAATTGCTAACAGGAAGACCCCGGTCAAGAGAGGGGAGCCGGGAGCAATCGCTAGGAAGTCCTAGCAAGGCGGGGAGGGATTTGGGCCCACAGAGGGGAGTGGCGCTTCCTTTCAGGACTGGAAGGAAGGATGGATAGAAAGGTAGATTTGTAGATGGGGAGGCAGGATCCTGAGGTTCCTGTCTGAGGGCTTCTGTTTCCCTGTGAAATAAGGGCTAAGGTCATCTGCTTAGAGTGAGGAAGGGGTTGCTGGAGTAGGAGTTGGAAAATCCGGCTGTGGGAAGAGGAGAGAGCACATCTGAGAAGCATGTCCGGGCTGCCTGCCTGGTGGGTGGAATGCCCGTCTCACCTTTAATGATTGCATCTGTACACAAACCTACAGGTCTAGGTTTGTGTTGGGACCTGAGCAACAACCTTACTGCGTAGCTGTCAACTCCGCATTCTACAATAGAGGGCACACTGAGACTCTGCAGAGCTGAGACTTGGACGCACACTGCCCCGGCCTCCAAGTCTGTGGCTTCTCTCCAGGGCCGACCCTTCTAATTTGGACTTGAAAACCAGACTCTTCAAGCCCACAGATCTTTATTGAACATTATGCACCTTGGTCACGTGTGCAAAAAGCAAAGCTATCCAGCAAAGGCCCCAGGAGTTTTCCTGAGAGTGAAATAGAAGGAAAACCGTCCTCAGCTTCGGCAGCTTTTTCCCCTTCCTGCCTGTCATGTGGGCTCTGGATCAGAAAGTTTCCCAATAGCCAAGTTACATGACATGCGCTATTTGCCATAAATATTTGTTGAATATTTGAAAATGAATGATCTCTTCTGTAATTTGTGCAATGCCACTCCTTTACATAATCTTTGTTTGGGACAAGAAGCATAGTTCCATCTTTTGTGGCACAGGGAATAGTAACCATTAGATCATCTTCAGATGTAACTTTTATCCTTTTTTTTTCCCTTCAAGGGTGTGTATATAGAATAATTTTTCATCTTATCAAGGCTTCTGTCTTTTTTTCCTTCAGTGGTCCACTGTAGGTGTGCCAAGTGTTTCTGTTATCCTACAAAGCGAAGAATAAGGAGGAGGCCCCGAAACCTGACCATCTTGAGTCTCCCCGAAGATGTGCTCTTTCACATCCTGAAATGGCTTTCTGTAGAGGACATCCTGGCCGTCCGAGCTGTAAGTCCCTGCATGAAAACACTATGAGCCCTAGCATTGTTGATTATACCATCAGGCCTTGTGTTCTTAACTGTCAGAACAAAACTTTGGCTAAAAAAGAGGTTGGGGCAGAGGCCAGGCACGGTGGCTCATGCCTTAATCCTAGCACTTTGGGAGGCCGAAGGGGGGTGGATCACCTGAGGTCAGGAGTTCCAGACCAGCCTGGCCAACTTGGCAAAACCCCCATCTCTACTAAAAATACAAAAATTAGCCGGGCGTGGTGTCTCACGCCTGTAATCCCAGCTACTAGGGAGGCTGAGGCGGGAAAATTGCTTGAACCTGGGAGGCAGAGCTTGCAGTGAGCCGAGATCACATCATTGCACTCCAGCCTGGGCGACAGAGCGAGACTCTGTCTCAAAAAAAAAAAAAAAAAAAGGAGGGCAAAAAGGAAACAAGGATGATATCATTACCAGATGCTTTCTTTAAGACATTCTGATTACAGAAATTCCTACTGCTGTCTCCTAGCACACTAAAATTGCCTCTGTTCATTGCAGTGTCAACAAAGAAAGTACCTTTTTTTTTTTTGAGACAGAGTCTCGCTCTGCCACCCAGGCTGGAGTGCAGTAGCGCAATCTCGGCTCACTGCAAGTTCCGCCTCCCAGGTTCATGCCATTCTCCTACCTCAGCCTTCCGAGTAGCTGGGACTACAGGCACCCGCCACCACGCCCGGCTAATTTATTGTATTTTTAGTAGAGTTGGGGTTTCACTGTGTTAGCCAGGATGGTCTCTATCTCTTGACCTCGTGATCCGCCCGCCTCGGCCTCCCAAAGTGCTGGGATTACAGGCATGAGCCACTGCACCCGGCTGAAAGTACCCTTTTATGGCAGTGAAATTTGCATCCCTTAAAAAATAGGATAGTGTTTAAAAGAATAAGAATACATTCTTGAGGACAAATTCCATGTAACATTTAACACTGAAATGGACTCTAGGAGTTATTTTCTAGATATTGGAACCATAGGCTTACTTTGAGTGACTTAACCTAGAGTATATAGTGGATTCATGGGGAAATGCCAGCAAGAACCCATTTTCTGACTCCCAAAGCCACCTCCATTGCAGGTGCGACACACTTTATGGACCCCAGGGGGTGCTGAATTTCCAATGGCAGTGGAAACTTTGGTGCTTAAAGTGTTCACCTGTGCTCCAGGTCCTGGCCTGGACACTCCTGCGTTGGCCCAGCGCTTAGGCTCCGGGTTCTACCTGAGACCTCCATCATGGGTGTTGTTCTTTGCCCTGAGTCCCTGTGACCTGTTTCCACACTCCCACTAGCAAGGCCTCCAGCGGGGAAGCACAAAACACATTTCCGTCCTGCCTGCCCCCTTTTAGAGTGTTTCCCCTGTCTTTGGGGGTGATACCTTTGCAGGGATGTTGAACCCTCTTTCTCAGCCTAGGTGTTTGTTTCCTCCTTCCCAGATCATTGTCCTCTGCCCTGCTTTAGAACCTCAGAGAAACTCGTTTCTGGGCTCTTTTATCTGCTCAAAGTGACAGTTACTTTCACACAGAGATTGGGGACCTCAACTACTTGGGATGGCGAGGGAGACAGGAGACCCTACATCTGCCTCTCGTCCTCAAGAGCCTCCAGGTGTGGGGCTTTTGGGTGGTGCCTCCATCACCCAGCCCCGGCCCCCGTTGTTCTGCAGGTACACTCCCAGCTGAAGGACCTGGTGGACAACCACGCCAGTGTGTGGGCATGTGCCAGCTTCCAGGAGCTGTGGCCGTCTCCAGGGAACCTGAAGCTCTTTGAAAGGTATCTCTGCACCCTGAGAATGGCTCAGTCTTCTCCTGCCTTGGCCTCCCTATGTGCCAGTCTGTGTCTCACGGCCTGATTCAGCAACGATTTTCCTGTTGCTGTCTCCCATGACATTGCCTCATACCCTGGGGAGTGACTGAGGGTGGCAGACCTCACGCATCAGGCCGCACAAGCCACACACCTTCCAGCAGGCTATGCAGTCAGTCATCCCTCACGCCACTGACACGGGCCCGTGGTGCCTCCAGAGGGCTGTGATCCATTCCCACATGACCCAGACAAGAGTCACCTTCCTGTGGAAACTTCACTCAGCCTTCCTTCCCTTTGGTCAAAACCATCTGAATTCTATCCTATAGCGTTTCACTCACTGGCTGATCCCACCCCAACCTGCACCCCGCACCCTGGCCCCTGTTCACATGTGCTCATGGTCCCAGGTACCCGCCGCCCTCAGAACAAACCAAGGAACCACAGCTCAGGCGGGGATTTTTCTTTTTTGTTGTTGTTTTTTGTTTTTTGTTTTCGTTTTTGTTTTTTTCTTGAGACGGAGTCTCGCTCTGTCACCAGGCTGGAGTGCAGTGGTGCAATCTCAGCTCACTGCAACCACCAACTCCTGGTTCAAGCGATTCTCCTGCCTCAGCCTCCTGAGTAGCTAGGATTACAGGCACGCGCTACCACGCCCATCTAATTTTTGTATTCTTAGTAGAGATGGGGTTTCGCCATGTTGGCCAGGATGGTCTCGATCTCCTGACCTCCTGATCTCAGGCGGGCATTTTTCTGACAGGGATTCGCTGTGAGCCTCGTCCATCTGAGTTGCCAGAAATCCAGATCGACAGCCAACCAGGGCAGGCAGCCATGTTGCCGCGGCCATGCTTGGGCTGCTTCCAGGGGGAATGTATATATTTCTTATTGAGACATTATCCACACATCACACAATTCATCCATTTAAAGTGTATAACTCAGCCGGGTGTGGCGTCACACCTGTATTCCCAGCACTTTGGGAGGCCAAGGCGGGTGGATCACTTGAGGTCGGGAGTTCGAGACCAGCCCGGCCAACATGGCAAAACCCTGTCTCTATTAAAAATACAAAAATTAGCTGGATGCGGTGATGGGCACTTGTAGTCCCAGCTACTCTGGAGGCTGAAGCATGAGAATTGCTTAAACCCAGCAGGTGGAGGTTGCAGTGAGCCAAGATTGCGCCATTGCACTCCAGCCTGGGTGATGGGGTAAGACTGTCTCAAAAAAATAATAATAAAATAATAAAATATGGCTGGGCACAGTGGCTCACGCCTGTAATCCCAGCACTTTGGGAGACCAAGGCGGGCGGATCACGAGGTCAAGAGTTTGAGACCAGCCTGAGCAACATGGTGAAACCCTGTCTCTACTAAAAATACAAAAATTAGCTGGGTGGTGGCACATGCCTGTAATGCCAGCTATTCAGGAGGCTGAGGCAGGAGAATTGCTTGAACCCAGGAGGCAGAGGTTGCAGTGAGCCGAGATCGCACCACTGCACTCCAGCCTGAGCAACAGAGCGAGACTCCGTCTCAAAATAAATAAATAAGTAAATAAATAAATAAAATGTATAACTCATTGGTTTTTAGTATACTGAGAGTTGTACAGACATCACCAGTACTTAACTTTAGAACGTTCTCCTTACCCCAAGAAGAAAGCTTGTCCCCATCAGCAGTCACTTCCCATTTTCCCCACAATCCTGGAAACTCTAGACAACCCCTAATTGATTTTCTGTCTCTCCGGATTTGCCTTTTGTGAGGATTTCACATGGAATCATGCAACACGTGGTCTTTCGTGGCTGGCTTCTTTCACGGACCCTGATGTTTTCAAGGTTCATCTGTGTCATAGCATGTAATGGATAATTCGTATTTGATTACATGTTATTAAGAAATGTTCGACCGAGCGTGGTGGCTCACGCTTGTAATCCCAGCACTTTGGGAGGCCGAGGCGGGTGGATCATGAGATCAGATCGAGACCATCCTGGCTAACATGGTGAAACCCCGTCTCTACTAAAAATAGAAAAAATTAGACAGGCGTGGTGGCGGGCACCTGTGGTCCCAGCTACTCGGGAGGCTGAGGCAGGAGAATGGTGTGAACCTGGGAGGCGGAGCTTGTAGTGAGCCGAGATTGCGCCACTGCACTCCAGCCTGGGCAACAGAGCAGACTCCGTCTCAAAAAAAAAAAAGAAAAGAAAAGAAAAAAAAAAAGAAATGTTCTAGAGCCGGGCATGATGGCTCAAGCCTATAATCCCAGCACTTTATGAGGCCAAGGCAGGAGGATCACTTGGGTCTGGAATTCAAGACTAGCCTGGGCAACATAGCAAGACCCTGTCTCTAGAAAAGAAAATATTTTTTTTTGACTAGCTGAGCATGGTGGCACATGCCTGTAGTCCTAGCTACTTGGGATGCCGGGGTGGGAGAATGGCTTAAGCCCAGGAGGTTGAGGCTGCAGTGAGCTGTGATCGCACCACTGCACTCCAGCCTGGGCAACAGAGCAAGACCCTGTCTCAGAGAGAGAGAGATATATATATATATATGCACACACACACACACATATATATGCACACACATATATATATGCACACACACACATATATATATATATATATATATATATATATATATATATTCAATTCAGGGAACAAGTATTCTGACTTCTTCAAGTGCTGTAGTAGTTCATAACGTTTGTGGCATAAAATATTGTGATGCTTTATGTTCTTAATGTTTCAGGGCTGCTGAAAAGGGGAATTTCGAAGCTGCTGTGAAGCTGGGCATAGCCTACCTCTACAATGAAGGCCGTAAGTCCTCACCCCACCTGCATGTTGGCGCTTCAGATAAGTGTGAGCCTTTGGCCCTATGAAGAAGTGGTCCCCGTGTTAGCAGTTCAGTTGCTGTCCTTGCTCTATCCGATGGCCTGCCTCCCCATTCCCTCTCAGGAGCTCGTGCCCAGATGTACCCTGCTGAGGGACCTGCTAATGATACTCTGACTTTGCAGGTTACGAAAGTCGCCTCTTGTTTTAGCAAACCCTTTAATTTCAGTTGGCAAAGAGTGACTGAGCCAGAGCCTCAGCACGGGGGCTGTTTGGGCTCCCTGCCCTGTGCGCCATGAGCACGCAGACCTGCCTGTGGATGCTGGCCCTCTCCTTGGCCATCCTCTTAGAACTCTCGAGACAGAGTTCAGCGTGCCCTGTAACACAGAGCCAGGCTTCTAAACGGGAAGCAGGTACAGGCAGGTTAGAACTGGCCTGGTGCCTGGATCCCTTCATCCCCAGAGGCCAGGTGCTCCTTGAAAGAAACTTGCGCAGCCTTTTCTTCTACCAGTTAACTGCTTATCTGCTCAGCACCCCAAGGAACGAGCCCATGATCTGTCCCAGCTCTCAAAACAAGTAAACACTGGGATGTAGCCTCCCACATTTGTACTTCTAAACGATCTGGTGTCTTGCTGGGAGAGAGTCCCTACCTGGCCGGCTGGCAGAATTGTGACTGACAGGGACCATGAGCAACACCCTCCTCCAGAATCAGGGGAGCCGAGGTCCTACCCCTACCCTCCCATCAAAGAGCAGTTCCCAGACATAAAATTCACACACCATACAGTTCACCCCTCTAAAGCCTGCAATTCTGTGGTTTTTTAGGATATTCACAGGGTTGTGCAGCCATTGCCACTGTCTAATTTTAGAATATTCTCCTCGTCCCAAAAAGAACCCCCACCCCTGCCCTGGACCCATTACCAGGGGTCAGGCGGTGGTTCCCAGCTGGAGGGAGGGTGGGACATGAAGCGTCGCGGGGTCTCCTTCCCCTGACCTTCAGAATCCAGGCTTCCGGGAGGACCACAGCAGGGGCATTGATCACAATGACCCACCTGTTCTAGACATTAATGAAGTAGGGGGAGAAAAGACAGGTGCCCCCATCCTGGAGGGCTCTACTCTCCTGAAACACAGCTGCTTTGCACTATGGTGGGCTTCAGGCATTACACTTTCCACCAAGACCATGGAGAGCTTTCCACATTCCGTCCCTAAGAGACATCCCTGGGCTCTGTCCTGTCTGTCCCCGCAGTGTCTGTGTCTGATGAGGCCCGCGCAGAAGTGAATGGCCTGAAGGCCTCTCGCTTCTTCAGTCTCGCTGAGCGGCTGAATGTGGGTGCCGCACCTTTCATCTGGCTCTTCATCCGCCCTCCGTGGTCGGTGAGCGGAAGCTGCTGCAAGGCCGTGGTTCACGAGAGCCTCAGGGCAGAGTGCCAGCTGCAGAGGGTGAGTCTGGGCGAGGGGCAGCACCTGCGAGGCCACCTGCAGGGTCCCAGGACACAGGAAGACCCCGAGGGTAGATCCTGGACCCTGGAAAGTCAGGAGCCTAAGGGAAGTGAAGATGCAGAAAACTGAGAGTGCAGATATGGGGAACGCATCTGGAAATCAGCTGGCACAGAGGAGGAAGCCTGAGAGCCAGGGTGGGCTGTGGAGTTCTGGGTACACGTGCTGACAGCTGGAAACATGGGGCTGAGGCTGCATGGGGCAGTGGGAGCTCAAGACACAAATCTGGCCAGGTGTGGTGGCTCACGCCTGTCATCCTAGCACTTTGGGAGGCCGAGGCTGGAGAATTGCTTGTGGCCAGGTGTTCGAGACCAGTCTGGGCAACATGATGAAATCTCGAAACCTCGTCTCTACAAAAAATACAAAAAAGTTAGCCAGGGGTGGTGGTGCATACCTATAGTCCCAGCTACTCAGGAGGCTGCGGTGGGAGGATCGCTTGAGCCTGGGAGGTTGAGCTTGCAATGAGCCGTGACTATGCCAATGCACTCCAGCCTGGGTGACAGAGCAAGACCCTGTTTCCCTTTAAAAAAAAAAAAAAAAAAAGACTGAAATCTGGGAGTGGCCCTCTGCAGGGGAGGGAGGGCCAGACAGCAGGGCCATGGGCATGGGACCCAAAGACAGACAAGGGAGTGGTGGCCCCCGGGCAGTTCTCTGTGCTGGAAATCACACTTCTTTCTCCTTTTTTTAAAGACTCACAAAGCATCCATATTGCACTGCTTGGGCAGAGTGCTGAGTCTGTTCGAGGTGAGTCAAGTTGTTCTCTGCACTGGGACTTTGTGTTCGATACATCCCTAGCCGAGATCCTGGAACTGAAAAGCAGCAGAAGGGGGTGTCCAAGGCCCAAAACAAAAGGCAAGCCTTGCCCAGAAAGGCCTAGCTGGAGAAGCCAGGGGACACATGTGGGCCTGGCCACGGGCTCCGATCCTGGCTCCATGACCCGCCTGGCAGGGGAGTGGGGGACGGTGAGAACAGCAGAGCAGATCTCAAGGAGGCATCGAACCTCGATGCTCACTCGTCTGCTGGCCCTGCTCCTCGTGGGCCTCTCCTGCTCGTGTGGACCTCTCTGCCTGGCCAAAATGGTGAAACCACGTCTTTACTAAAAAACACAAAAATTAGCTGGGCGTGGTGGCGGGTGCCCATAATCCCAGCTACTCAGGAGGCTGAGGCAGGGAGAATTGCTTGAACCTGGGAAGCGGAGGTTGCAGTGAGCCGAGATTGCACCACTGCACTCCAGCCTGGCAACAGAGTGAGACTCAGTCTCAGAAAAAAAAAAAAAAAGTATGGAAAAGGAGGAAGATGGTGAGTAGAGTGATTGAACATCAAGTAAAGAATAAGGGCCGGTCATGGTGGCTCATTCCTGTAATCCCAGCACCTTGGGAGGCCGAGGCGGGTGGATCACCTGAGGTCAGGAGTTTGAGACCAACCTGGCCAATGTGTTGAAACCACGTCTTTACTAAAAAACACAAAAATTAGCCGGGCATGGTGGTGGGCACCTGTAATCCTAGCTACTTGGGAGGCTGAGGCATGAGAGTTGCTTGAACCCGGGAAGCTGAGGTTTTAGTTAGCCAAGATCGTGCCACTATACTTTGGCCTGGGTGACAGAGGGAGACTCTGCCTCAACAACAACAAAAAAACCAGCCAGGCACAGTGGCTCATGCCTGTAATCCCAGCACTTTGGGAGACTGAGGTGGGTGGATCACCTGAGGCCAGGATTTTGAGACCAGCCTGGCCAACATGGTGAAACCCCGTCTCTACTAAAAATACAAAAATTAGCCGGGCATGATGGTGGGCTCCTGTAATCCCAGCTACTCAGGAGGCTGAGGCAGGAGAATTGGTTGAACCCAGGAGGCGGAGGTTGCAGTGAGCCAGGATGGCGCCATTGCACTCCAACCTGGGCGACGAGTGAAACTGTCTCAAAAAATAAAAATGAAAAAGAATAAGGGAACAATGAACTCTGCTGGGATTTATTCTAGGATGAGGAGAAGCAGCAGCAGGCCCATGACCTGTTTGAGGAGGCTGCTCATCAGGGATGTCTGACCAGCTCCTACCTCCTCTGGGAAAGCGACAGGAGGACAGATGTGAGTGGTGCCTGCTCTGGGTCGGGGGGAGTTATGCTGGACAAAGGCGTAGTTGATGCTGGTCCTTGGATGCGTTTCTGTCCACAAAAGGGAGGTGGCTCTTGCTGCTCCCGGTCTCTCAGCCTCCGGGAACCACTGGTCAGTCGGCTATTCTTGGTACCCCCAAAAATGACTCCACCATTTGAGAGAGAAGAGGTGGGAAGTTAGCGTAGTGTCGGCCCTTCTGGGTCTTGGTTCTGAGTTCCTCCCAAGACACAGTTGTACAAAGGCTCGGTGATCTCCCATTGACAGGTGTCAGATCCTGGGCGATGCCTCCACAGCTTCCGAAAACTCAGGGACTACGCTGCCAAAGGCTGCTGGGAAGCGCAGGTGAGGTGCGGGGCTGGGATGACGTGGGGAGCTGGCCTTTCTCCCTCCAGCCTTGGGGCAGGACTATCTGGGCTCCCACATTGGGGGGCAGGACTATCTGGGCTCCCACATGGGAGGCCAGGATTGAGGGACACCCTAAGATCGGTTCAGCACTGGAACTGGTCCTAAAGGACAGGTACACTGTGAGAAGAGCTGGGAAATGCGTTATTCATCTCTGCCTATCCACTCTTGCCTCTCAGCCAGCCAACCTCTTAATTTTCAAATGCTTGTGAGCTATAGCTGCTGTCAAAATTTGTGCCATTCTTGAAAGTTGTCCCATAGGTAGAACTGATCTTGACAACAAAACTTGAGGCTACTTGAGAGCAGAGGGGCGTGGAGAGTCCCTTCCTGCTTCCTCTTCCTGTTAGCGCCTTGCTTGTCATGTCACCTGGTCACCAAGTCATCCAGGGCTACAGGCAGGAAATCAAGCATTGGTAGACTCTCCCCTCACAGCTATAAATAAGTTGTTAGGGCCAGGTGCGGTGGCTCACGCCTGAAATCCCAGCACTCTGGGAGGCCAAGGTGGGCGGATGACCTGAGGTCAGGAGTTCGAGACCAGCCTGGCCAACATGGTGAAACCATCGCTACTAAAAATACAAAAATTAGCTGGGCGTGGTGGCAGGCACCTGATACTCAGGAAGTTGAGGCAGGAGAATCGCTTGAACCCGGGAGGCAGAGGTTGCAGTACCACTACACTCCAGCCTGGGCGACAGAGCAAGACTCTGTCTGAAGGAAAAAAAAAGTTGTCAGGACGAATCAAAGAAAGCTCCTATTTGCCAAATGGATAGAAGCTTGTTCTTGTCACCCCACCAAGTGGGTGGCAGAGTGATCTGCGCTCAAATGCTAGGGACAAAATTACAAATTGATAATGGCCCAGCCCGAGGTGTCATAGCACATTGTGGTGTTCACGTCCAAAAAGCCAGTCTACAGATTTACAAGAAGGCCAGACGTGATGGCTCACGCCTGCAATCCCAGCGCTGTAGGAGGTTGAGTTGGGAGGATCGCTTGAGCCCAGGAGTTCAAGACCAGCTCTGGCAACATAGTGAGACTCCATCTCGACAAAAAATTTTAAAATTAGCTGGATGGGCTGGGTGCAAGTGGCTCATGCCTGTAATGCCAGCACTTTGGGAGGCTGAGGCGGGCGGATCACGAGGTCAAGAGGTCGAGACCACCCTGGCCAATGTGGTGAAACCCCGTCTTTACTAAAAATACAAAAAAATTAGCTGGGCCTGGTGGCATGTGCCTAGAGTCCCAGCTACGCGGGAGGCTGAGGCAGGAGAATTGCTTGAACCCAGGAGGAGGAAGTTGCAGTGAGCCGAGATTGTGCCACTGCACTCCAGCCTGGCAACAGAGCGATACTCCATCTCAAAAAAAAAAAAAATTAGCTGGATGTGGTGGCGTGTGCCTTGTAGTGCAGCTACTCAGGAGGCTGAGGCAGGAGGATCACTTGAGCCTGCGAGGTCAAAGCTGCAGAGAGCCGTGATCGCAACATTGCACTTCAGCCTGGGCTACAGAGGGAGACCCTATCTCAACAAAAACATTGTTTACAAGAAATGCAACAACGTAGTTCTCGTGGAAGTTCAAGGGGCCTCAGTCAATTCTCACAAAAGAGGAAATAGGGCCGGGCGCAGTGGCTCACATTTATAATCCCAACACTTTGGGAGGCTGAGGCGGGAGGATCACTTGAAGCCAGGAGTTCTCTCTGTTGCCCAGGCTAGAGCACAGTGGTGCGATCTCAGCTCACTGCAACCTCTGACGCCTGGGTTCAAGCCTTCTGAGTAGCTGGGACTATAGGTGCCTGCCACCACGCCCAGCTAATTTTTGTATTTTTAGTAGAGGTGGGGTTTCACCATGTTGGCCAGGCTGGTCTAAAACTCCTGACCTCAAGTAATCTGCCCTCCTCGGCCTCCCAAAGTGTTGGGATTACAGGAGTGAGCCACTGCACCTGGCCAAAAAAAATTAATAATAAATAAATAAACTCAAGTGGTTAGAAATTGGAATGTTCAACCTTACTACTAGTCATAAGAGTGCACTTTTAAATGAGATATTTTGGGCTCATGATATTAGCAAATTATATATATATATATATATATATATATATATATATATATATATATGTTTTTGTTTTTGTTTTGTTTTGTTTTGTTTTGTTTTGTTTTTGATGGAGTCTTGCTCTGTTGCCCAGGCTGGAGCGCAGTGGCACAATCTCGGCTCACCACAAGCTCCGCCTCCTGGGTTCATGCCATTCTCCTGCCTCAGCCTCCCAAGTAGCTGGGACTACAGGCATTGCACCACCACGCCCAGCTAAATTTTTTGTATTTTTAGTAGAGACAGGGTTTCACCATGTTAGCCAGGATGGTCTGGATCTCCTGACTTCGTGATCTGCCCGCCTCGGCCTCCTAAAGTGCTGGGATTACAGGCTTGAGCCACCGCACCCAGCCCTTAATTATATATATATAATATCCATAATTAGATATATTTATAATATCTATTATTATATTATAACATAATTATATTTAGTCTGCCAGCTATTTATAATATATAATATTATATAATATAATATTATTATATATAATATATAATATTATATAATATAATATTATTATATATAATATATAATATTATATAATATAATATTATTATATATAATATATAATATTATATAATATAATATTATTATATATAATATATAATATTATATAATATAATATTATTATATATAATATATAATATTATATAATATAATATTATATATAATATATAATATTATATAATATAATATTATTATATATAATATATAATATTATATATAATATCATATTATTATATAATAATTATATATAAATATGTATTTATATATTGTATAACATATAATTATATAATAATTATAATAATATAATATATATCATATATAATATTATATATTATATTCTATAATATATAATATATTCTATAATATATGTAATATTATATTCTATTATATATAATATATATTATATTATATATATTATATTATAATTATATATTATATATTATATAATATATAAATATATATTAATATATATGATTATTATATATTATTATATTATATATTTTTATATATTTATATATTATATATTATTTATGTTAATTATATATTATATAATTATATTATATGTTCTATAATATATAATATAATATTATGTTATAATATCTATAATATATATTATAGATATATTATATATAATAGATATTTTTATATATAATATATTACATATTATATATTATATGTTTTATATTGTATATAATATATATTATATATAATATATATATAATATATAATATATATATATTTCTCTGTTTTTGGGTGGCTAGCTGGTAACTTCTGAAAATAGCTGTTTTTAATAATCACAGTGTTTGCTGGGATGAAGCTGTGATGAGGCAGGTGCTCCTATTCCTGGGTGTAAACATTGGCAGAAGCCTTTCGGAGAGCACTGGGGCGTATGGCCAGAGACTTAACACAGCTTCCCCAGGCATTAGCCATGTAAGAAACTGAGACCTGAGCCACGGTGGAAAGGCCACTGACATTTCATTATATATCTTTTCTCATGTCATCTATTACTTATACAAAAAGGAATAATAATTAAAACCTGAGCCATCCTTGTTCCCGAAGCTTGTGAAGGTTTAAGTTAAGTAGGGCAGTGTGTCCACATGCATTTGGTGCCTGAATGGGCCTTTGCTTCAGAAATGGAAAACTGCAACATGGCTGCTGTCTCACGCTCATGTTTGTCTTTTCTTCCTCAGCTGTCTTTAGCCAAAGCCTGTGCAAATGCAAACCAGCTTGGACTGGAGGTGAGAGCTTCCAGTGAGATCGTCTGCCAGCTATTTCAGGCTTCCCAGGCTGTCAGTAAACAACAAGTCTTCTCCGTGCAGAAGGGACTCAATGACACAATGAGGTGAGGCATTCAGGCCGGGGCTTCTAATCAGAGCGGCGCGGAAGCCAGCCTCCAGGGGAAGGGAGCCCTTTCCACTTAACCCCAGTTACCTGTGACAGGGCGGCATAGAGTTCCCTTATCACCCTTTTTTTTTTTTTGAAGTGGAGTCTCGCTCTGTCGCCCAGGCTGGAGTGCAGTGGCGCGATCTCAGCTCACTGCAAGCTCCGCCTCCTGGGTTCGAGCAATTCTCCTGCCTCAGCCTCCCGAGTAGCTGGGACTACAGGCACCCACCACCATGCCCGGCTAATTTTTTGTATTTTTAGTAGAGATGGGGTTTCACCATGTTAGCCAGGATGGTCTCAATCTCCTGACCTCGTGATCCGCCCGCTTTGGCCTCCCAAAGTGCTGGGATTACAGGCGTGAGCCACCGCGCCCAGCCTTGGGTGTTTTTTAAAACCAGTAATGCCAAAGTTATCGTGGACTTTTTGGAAGAAAATATCCTACTCTGCTTTCTTCAGTTACTTTTTTTTTTTTTTTTGAGACGGAGTCTTGCTCTGTCACCCAGGCTGGAGTGCAGTGGCGTGATCTCGGCTCACTGCAAGCTCCACCTCCCGGGTTCACACCATTCTCCTGCCTCAGCCTCCTCAGGAGCTGGGACTACAGGTGCCTGCCACCACGCCCAGCTAATTTTTTTGTATTTTTAGTAGAGATGGGGTTTCATCGTATTAGCCAGGATGGTCTCAATCTCCTGACCTCGTGATCCGCCTGCCTCCGCCTCCCAAAGTGCTGGGATTACAGGCGTGAGCCACCACGCCCAGCCACCTTTTTTTTTTTTGAGACAGGGTCTGGCTCTGTCACCCAGGCCAGAGTGCAGTGGCATGATTTCAGCTCACTGCAGCCTCCGCCTCCCAAGCTCAAGAGATCCTCCCACCTTACCCTCCTGAGTAGCTGGGACTACAGATGCACACCACCATGCACAGCTAATTGTTGTATTTTTAGTAGAGACAGGGTATCACTATGTTGCCCAGGCTAGTCTTGAACTCCTGGGCTCAAGCGAACCTCCTGCCCCAGCCTCCCACAGTGCAGTGATCTTTTTTAAGCCACAGAACACATTGAACATCTTTTTTTTTTTTTTGAGGCAGGCTGTCTGTCACCCAGGGTGGAGTGCAGTGGTGTGTTCTCGGCTTGCTGTAACCTCTGCCTCGGGCTCAAGCCTTTCTCCTGCCTCAGTCCCCCAAGTAGGACTACAAGTGTCTCCACTCTATTCAGAAAGGCATTTACCATATTGGGGCATCATTTACCGTATTGGGGCATTCCCTTGCGACTGTCCACCTTCTCCCGCTCCCTGCACGCCCCGAGGGTCAGGGTTCATCCACTGTGGGCAGACCAACGGCTGTGGGCTGACTTTTCACTTTGCGTCAGGTCGAGGTC
Source organism: Homo sapiens (assembly GCF_000001405.40). NCBI lineage: Eukaryota > Metazoa > Chordata > Mammalia > Primates > Hominidae > Homo > Homo sapiens. The sequence continues at coordinate 2,445,211 of NC_000016.10, forward strand.
TCAAAGCGCTTGTGTTTGGGAGCACCAGGAACACAGTCGAAGGATGTGGGGCCTGCTTTGGGGCTGGGACCCACGGAGCCTCCCGGGCTTCCTGTGACATGGCCTCTCCAGCCTTGGTTCCAGGGTAAACCCATGATTCCAGAGCTAGCCAGCTTATTTGGTCGGGCCCAACAGGTGGGGTTGAAATCGCAGACAGGGACACATGGAGAACGCCCCCACCAGTTCCCACGTGCTTCTCTTTCCGCAGGTACATTCTGATCGACTGGCTGGTGGAAGTTGCCACCATGAAGGACTTCACAAGCCTGTGCCTGCACCTGACCGTGGAGTGTGTGGACCGGTACCTGCGGAGGAGGCTGGTGCCGCGGTACAGGCTCCAGCTGCTGGGCATCGCCTGCATGGTCATCTGCACCCGGTGAGAAGCCCCCTTGGCCCAGCTGGCAGGGACGTGCTGGCCTTTCCCGGGTTCAGGGTCACCTGCCCTTCATGTGCTCCTCACTGGTTTGGTTTTGTTTTGTGTTGTTTTTTTTTTTTTCCCGAGACCAAGTCTCGCTCTGTCACCCAGGCTGGAGTGCAGTGGTGCGATCTTGGCTCACCGCAACCTCTGCCTCCCAGGTTCAAGTGATTCTTCTGCCTCAGCCTCCAGAGTAGCTGGGACTGCAGGCGTGCGCCACCATGCCCGACTAATTTTTTTGTATTTTTAGTAGAGACGGGGTTTCATCATGTTGGTCAGGCTGGTCTCAAACTCTTGATTTCAAATGATCCGCCCGCCTCAACCTCCCAAAATGCTGGGATTACAGGCACAAGCCACTGCGCCTGGCCCTCACTGGTTCTTGACTCATGAGCCACGAGTGTCCCACCTGGTCAGACATGGAGTGCCACGCTGAGGGCCTTTTGCAGGCAGGGGTGGCAGAACAGCCTTCAGCGTGTGGGGGCCGCTGTGTGGGGTGCCTGCATCCAGGCAATTCATCCTGGCATGCAGTCTCAGGACCCAAAGTGTGGCCTCGCTCTGGCAGGCACAGGCTGGACTGCCCTGTCCCCTGGCTCCTGAGGGCAGCAGGATGACTGATCAGGGAGGGTGGCAGTTGGCTGCCCTTCTCTGAAGTTGGGTTCTAAAGTCTGTTGCCAGAGTTTCCTACACTCTTGGAGTTAGAGAGTTTTTCGTCCCCCACTGGTGCCCTGCAGAGCCCACTCCAGCCACGTGGGTGTCTCTCAGCAGCAGCGTGCGTCCTTACACGGCAGCCTGTCCTTTTCAAATCAGACCACTGCTTTCCTTTAACTAATGCTGGATCCCCTAGTTCCGCCTTTGGAAATAACGTGGAAATGATTCTCACAATACGATTTGCATTTCCTAAACCAGCTGTCCCCAGCATGGTCTACATTTCCCGAGGAAGTGCTTTCCAGACCGACTCCTCTGTAGAGCCTGGTGGGTGAGGATAGGCTTGGCTGCACACAGCATATGTGTAAGCTACAGAGACTTGTTTCTTTCTTGCACAGGTAACCCAGAGGCAGAGGTTCCAGGCTCAGGTCATTGGCATGTTTTTTGTTTCATGAGGAAGCAGAGGAGCCCCATCTCCCATCTTAATCTCTGCCACCAACTAGGGTGCTGCCCTTGTCCCTGTGACACCTGTACCTGCCACATTCACCTTTGCACTGAGCTTAGTCTTGTGACCACATCTCACCAGACGGGAACTGGGAGGTGTAGTCTCTTCGGGCCTGTGTGTGCCAGCTCGATGCAGTGTCATTCCCATGGAAGGAGGGAGCAAACCCTGCCACAAGCATCCAGAGCTGTCTTCAGATGCGCTCTTGGGCCTGAATCCAGCGTCCCAGGTCTTCCGACCAGAGACGACTGAGGAGGTCGGGCGGCCGCCTCCCTGGATCTGACTGCACATCCATCACTGCAACCTACGACAAAGCTCCTGGGCCACAACCGGCTGGCAGTGAGAGAATAACTGCTAAAAACGTTTCAGGGAGCTGAGTCCAATTTCTTCCCCAACCACAAGACCTGATTGCAGTGGTCCATATAACTATCACCACAGCTCCCTCAAATCAACTCTGCCTTATTATCTTTTTTTTTTTTTTTTTTAAATCCGGGGACCAGGCACGGTGGCTCACGCCTGTAATCCCAGCACTTTGGGAGGCTGATGTGGGCGGATCGTGAGGTCAGGAGTTCAAGACCAGCCTGGCCAACATGGTGAAACCCTGTCTCTACTAAAGATACAAAAAATTAGCTGGGCGTGGTGGTGCATGCCTGTAATCCCAGCTACTCAGGAGGCTGAGGCAGGAGAATTGCTTGAACCCGAGAGGCAGAGGTTGCAGTGAGCCAAGATTACACCATTGCACTGCAGCCTGGGCAATGGCGCAAGACTCTGTCTCAAAAAAATACAAACAAAATTAGCCAGACGTGGTAGTGGGCGCCTGTAGTCCCATCTACTTGGGAGGCTGAGGCATGAGAATCACTTGAACCTGGGAGGCGGAGGTTGCAGTGAGCTGAGATAGCGCCACTGCACTAATCCAGCCTGGGTGACAGAGGGAAACTCTGTCTCAAAAAAAAAAAGATTTTAAAGGCTGAGCTGCCCCCCACCTCTGCTCTCAGAGGTGCCCTGCCCCCACCAGCCATCTCACACCCCACGCTGGGCTCTCATTGGCCACTGACATCTTGTCTTTTTGGCGTCTGCAGCCCCCACGCTGGCAGGTGTAGTCCCTGCGCCTCTTGTCCTCTTGGTCAAGTGAATGACGCATGCAACCTGCAGAGTCCCCAGGACAGAGCAGCCAAGGGACTTGGCCTCAGTCCAAGGGGAAGGTGCCTTGCGGGGGGCCGCTGGAGCAGCGTGTTCCCTGATAGTTGGCGCTGGTTGACAACAGAGAACAGGGTGACCATCGCCTAGAGACAGTCAGGATTCCTGCGGCCACACAGTGCCGGGCACAGACTTTCCAACAACCCTTGGGCCCTTTGCCTCCAATTCCTAGATCTGGTGACTCACCCACCTTCTGGGTCTATAACATTTCTACCCCACTGATAGAGCTGTCACGTGACAGGCAAATCTCTGTCCTTGGTGTCTTTTAGCAAACTGAATGCTCAGGGCACTTGGGCCTTTTGCAGACATTTGTGAGTCTGCCTAACAGCCTTGCTGCTTTCTGTCTGCCTTGTGGCTCTCATCCCTCTTTCCAGCACTTTCTGACCTCCCCTTTGTTATTATTATGATGATTATTTTTTGAGACAGTGTCTTGCTCTGTCACCCAGGTTGGAATGCAGTGGTGTAATCAAAGCTCACTGCAGCCTCAACTTCCTGGGCTTAAGCAATCCTCCCACCTTAGCGTCCCAAGTAACTGAGACTATAGGCACGTGCCACCATGCTCTGCTAATTTTTTATTTTTTAACTTTTTGAAGAGATAGGGTCTTGCTTTGTTGCCCAGGGTGGTCTCGAACTCCTGGCTGAGCTGTCCTCCTGCCTGGGCCTCCCCTTTTTTAAATGCCCCTTGTCAGCCACAGGCAGCTGGCTCCATTATGAAGCCTCTGTTTGTCACCAAAGCCCAACGCCATGGCTCCCTCCCTACCTTGAGGCCTCCTAAAGCCTTGGGTCCCTCCGCCCCACCCCTGCCCCAGGAAGTGGGCTCCACCCTGAGACCCCTTCTCGGCGTTGCAGGTTTATCAGTAAAGAGATCCTGACCATCCGGGAGGCCGTATGGCTCACGGACAACACTTACAAGTACGAGGACCTGGTGAGAATGATGGGCGAGATCGTCTCCGCCTTGGAAGGGAAGATTCGAGTAAGCAGCGGTTCCATTTTCCTTATTAATCTTCGTTGTCGCTGTGCTGGAGGGTGGGGGTGGGCATTCAGCTTTCCTGCTGTGGGAGGGCCTCATGGACTCAGAGAGCAGCTGTCTCTGCTGTGCCCAAAGCCATGGAGCAGGAGGCCACGGTTGCACCACGTCGCCATCTGCGCTGGTGCGCTACGCGTGCAGCATCGGCGTGAACATCATCCGGGCCAGACCCTGCGCTGGGCCTGCATGCGGCACTGCACCAAGGAGCCCCCGAGCGCTGAGAGCCCACACCCCGTCCCGGCTGTCTAGGTCCCCACTGTGGTGGATTACAAGGAGGTCCTGCTGACGCTAGTCCCTGTGGAGCTGAGAACCCAGCACCTGTGCAGCTTCCTCTGCGAGCTCTCCCTGCTGCACACCAGCCTGTCCGCCTACGCCCCAGCCCGCCTGGCTGCCGCAGCCCTGCTCCTGGCCAGACTGACGCACGGGCAGAGTAAGGAGTGGCCCTTCCCAGGGATGCCTGTGTCGGGGAAGGTGCTGACATAGGAGGAGGCTGTGGGGAGGAAAAGAGTCCAGCATCCATTTGTCCTGGTTACTTCTTGGGGGGTGAGATACAGCACGGCTCCTACCTTCAGTGATGTCCCAGATTTCTGACCATGAGCCTGCACGCCCTATGTATGGGTTTTTTTCAAAACTATTTTAAAAGGATTGCAACCCTGAGCTCCAAGAAACTCCACAGCAGAGCCCACAGAGCTATAGAGCGGGAGTGTTCAGGCGGCTGTCACCACAGCCCCTCCGTCCCCTCCATCCCCTCCGTCCCCTCCATCCCCTCCACCCCTGGCCTGCTTTCCTCCCCAGCACAGCCCTGGACCACTCAGCTGTGGGACCTCACCGGATTCTCCTATGAAGACCTCATTCCCTGCGTCTTGAGCCTCCATAAGAAGTGGTGAGTTTTGGCCGGGCGCAGAGGCTCATGCCTGTAACCCCAGCACTTTGGGAGGCCGAGGCGGGCAGATCATTTGAGGTCAGGAGTTTGAGACCAGCCTGGCCAACATGGTGAAACCCCACCTCTACTAAAAATACAAAAATTAGCCAGGCGTGGTGGTGCACGCCTATAATTCCAGCTACTCAGGAGGCTGAGGCAGGAGAATCGCTTGAACCCAGGAAGCAGAGGTTGCAGTGAGTTGATATCACGTCACTGGACTCCAGCCTGGGTGACAGAGCAAGACTCTGTCTCTAAAAACAACTGGCCAGGCATGGTGGCTCACACCTGTAATCCCAGCACTTTGGGAGGCCAAAGCGGGCGGATCACCGAGGTCAGGAGTTCAAGACCAACCTGGTCAACGTGGCAAAACCCTGTCTCTACTAAAAAAAAAAAAAAAAAAAAAAAAATTAGCTGGGCGTGGTGGCATGCGCCTGCAATCCCAGCTACTCAGGAGGCTGAGACAGGAGAATCACTTGAACCCGGGAGGCAGAGGTTGCGGTGAGCCGAGATTGCGCCATTGCACTCCAGCCCAGGCAACGAGTGAAACTCCATCTCAAAAAAAAAAAAAAAAGTTCCAGTAGTTTCTTATCTCACACATTTTTCACATTGAGAGCAGCTGCTCCCAACCCAAGCTCATTGCACAGGCAGCAGAACATACTAGAAAAAATGAGGGCATCTCCCTGACCCGTGGTAACTTGTGCGTGTTGTCAAGTTGTCATCTAGCTCAGGCACTGGCACACCGTGGCCCTCAGGCGGCATCTGGCTGCTTTTGCGAATGGGGTTTTCTTGGCAGCAGCCACCCTCACTGGTTTCCACATTGTCTGCTGCTGCTTTTGCTCTGGCGGTGGCTGAGCTCATAGTGCAGCGGACACCACGTGGCCCCCAGTCAGGAAAATACTCCCCTTCCCTTGAGAGAACAGCTTCTGCCCTGATGCAGCTGCTGGGATAGAGCTATCCTCTGTCTCACTGAGAAGATGGAGACTGCGGGTGGGTCCCTTGCGCCGTCGTGCCCGGATGTGACCCCCTGTCTGCCCCAGCCCCACTGGGCTTCCCTCCACCTGCCCCGGCCCCTCCGCCCTTCTCTCTGGTGAGCCTGGCCCGGCCCTCGCCACATCTAAGCCCCTTCACTCGCCCTGGCAGCTTCCCTTCAGCCCACGTTGGTTTGTTCCATGCAGTTCATGAAGTCCCTACCGTGGTCCAGGCGCTGGGGGAGAGGGCAGGACAGAGAGTTCAGAGGTCAGGTCGTGACGAGAGAAACAGCAGGCAGGCGCGCGGGGCAGGTGGCGCGGGCGGGGGCGACTCCCTTCAGGGAGCGTAGCCGGGGTCACCTGGGCATCTGAGTCCAGGGCAAAGGGGGCAGCCATGCCAGGGCCCAGTGCAGACCAGTGGGGCTGGGGGCCATGAGTGGAGTCATGGCAGTGAGGGGTGAGGGGGACAAGCACGGGGCTGAATTTGTACCCGGCCAGCCATCTCCGTCTCCCCTCCTCAGCTGTGCTCACAGACTTGCTCCTCCCACCTCTCGGCACCCCCACTCCCTGGTCTCCCACTTCCCCGCTTCTGCCATGGCTTCCTTTTCCTCAGCCAAATCCAGCAGACTCAGCGGTGTGGGCTTTTTTTTCCTTTTTTGAGTTGGGGGCCCAGGCTGGAGTGCAGTGGCACCATCCTAGCTCACTGCAGCCCTGACCTCCCGGGCTCAAGGGATTCTTTTGTGTCAGCCTCCCGAGTAGCAGAAACCACAGGCACCAGCACAGCAGGCCTGGGTGCTTTTCTCCAGCCAGCATTACGCTGACCCTCCCTCCCTCGGGGGCTTCGGCTTCCTGCCCTAGGCCATGCGGCCTAGGTGTTGGTCTCCCTTCCCACCCACCCCAAGGGGCCCCGGAATTCTGGCTTTCTGCCACTCCTCAGACTCCTTCCTGGGAGACTTCACCACTTCCAGAATTCAGGCCACATCTCAACCTTGACCTGCCACCCCCCTGCCAGCGTGACTCAGCCAACGGCCTGTTGCCTGTTCTGGCCCTGGTGGGTCGTGGTGCATGAAGCCCTGTGTGCCCAGCTGAGGCCTCCACCAGCCGCTGCTGCTTCTCCATCCCTGCATCCTCGTCAGTGCAGTTTCCTCGTGCGCTCACAGCTTGGGGACTGGAGCTATCCGTGGCGGCTGCCCGGCCTCCTGGAACACTGTGGCAGCCGCCCCGCACATGTCCCGTGTACGTCACCCAGGGCCTCGCTGTCCGGCTTCCAGGATGAGATCAGAACTCCCTGGGGGTCTCGATGCCCTTGAGCAGCCCCTTCTGTGGCCCATCTGCTTTTTCTCCCACCATGCTGTGCTCCAGCCACAGGGGACCTGGTGGCATCTCCCGGGCTTTGGCATGTGCTGCTGCTCATGCTGCTTTCTCCTGCAGTGCCCGGACCCTGTGCCTTCTGGGCAAGGAACGAGGCTGACAGTAGAAGGGTTCGCATGGGTCTCGTCCCACCCACCTTTGCTTATGGGGAGCACAGATCGTCCCAACCCTGGCCACCAAAAGCTGTTTCTGGGCTGCGTTTATTCTCTTCCTCCTGAAGAAGTTAATTTTTTTTCCAAACAAGATAAATTAGAAACGTTATTTAGAAACTACACTTCCTTTGATTGTGTGATTTAACGGGCTTTTATTCACACAGTTGTGCTTGTCATCACAACAATCAAATTGATGACATTTTCACTTTCCCCAAAGGGACAACACACCCCTCAGCTGTCACCCTCCCGTTCCCCCCAACTTCCTCAGCGCTAGATGACCCCCAGTAGTCTACTTTCTGTCCATGGATGTTTCCCATTCTGTACATTCCATATAAATGGCGTCATCGGACAAGTGGCCTTCTGTGTCTAGGTGATTTCCCTCGCGGTAACGTTTGCTGGGTTTGTCCATGTGGTGTGTGTCCCTGCTTTGTTCTTTTTCATGGCTGAATAATATTCCCCTGCATGGACCACATGTGTTTATCCATCCCGCAGCTGGTGGACATTTTGCCTATTGTGAACAGTCCTGCCATGAACATTCTAGTACAGGTTTCTGTGTGGACATAGTTTTTCCTTTTTCCTGGGTCTTTACCTAGAGAGGAATTGCTAGGTCCTGTGGTGACTGAGTTTAACCATTCGGGGAACTGCCAGGTCAGATTCCAGAGTGACTGCACCATTTTGCATTCTCATTGCTCACTTCAGTGAACTGAAGCTAAAAATGGGGTGGGGGTGCCTCACATGTCCACTCCACGTGACTCTGTTTCCAGCTTCCATGATGACGCCCCCAAGGACTACAGGCAAGTCTCTCTGACCGCCGTGAAGCAGCGGTTTGAGGACAAGCGCTATGGAGAAATCAGCCAGGAAGAGGTGCCTCCCTCCCGCCACCTGGGCGTCTCATGGGGTGCTGGGGTGTGGGCGGGCCTCACCCTCGGGGCCTCTGCACCCCCTAACTCTAGCTTCCCCTCAGGTGCTGAGCTACAGCCAGTTGTGTGCTGCATTAGGAGTGACACAAGACAGCCCCGACCCCCCGACTTTCCTCAGCACAGGGGAGATCCACGCCTTCCTCAGCTCTCCCTCGGGGCGGAGAACCAAACGGTTAGTTACCCTGCGTTCTGGCTGCGCCATACAATGCTGGCATCCTCGTGCCGGCCCAGTTCCCTCAGCGCTTCCTCACACAGAGAGGCCCCCAAGGCTTGTCAGGGGAGCAGCAGATCCCAGGACAGTGACCCTGGGACGGAGCCCTGCAGTCATGCCTCGGGCCCCTGCGTAACCTCCACTGTCTCCAGCCCAGGTCTCCTTCCTCAGAGGCTATTGCCTCTCGCTCTGACTGGGCTCCCTGTGGAGGAAGATGGTTTCGAGCACGCGGGAGCCTAGCCTGGCTCTAGCCCTGCCCGTGCCTGTCATGCGCGTCCTGGACTTCTCTGCTCCATGATGCTGCTGTCACTCCCGGCACTCGAGCTGTGACCTGAGTCACATCCCCAGCACTTCCCTCGCCACCCGTGTGGACCTGTTTACCCGCCTCTCCTATCTCAGCACCTTGGCTGTTCCTCCTGGAGTTAACTTCCTCTTTCTACCTCACCCGCCTGGAGAACTCCTACTGATTCCACAAGGCCCCGATGAACAGGGCCCTCCCTGTGCTGCTGGCCCTGCGCCGTGACCCCTCAGCACCATGTGCACCAGTAACCTTCCCAAGGGCAGGCACTGGGTGGCTGGGTCTTTCCTGTCAATATAGGACCAGGCAGGGCTGCCTCCAGAAGCGTTGTGTCGGGAGTGGGCTCCTGGCAGGAGACCTCAACTCCTGGGGAGCCCTGGGGAAGCAGCCAAAGCCCCTGCTGCTGCTTCCTCCCCAAGAAGCGTGACAGCACTTTCCATTGTGTGGAAGGCAGGAGACCTGACCCTCCTGTGTCACTCCACACACGCACCGACTCCCTGGGGCCAGGGTCATCACGAGGAAAGTCCATGCAGATACGCACGGCTACTCCAGGAGGGGGCCTGGCCCTGGCCCTGTGCTCAGCCTCGCTGTGTTAAACCCGCTTCTCAGAGGCCCCCCACAGCCCCATCAGTCTTCTGAGACAGACCCCCACGGGTGACACTGGGATAGCTCTCTCCACCCCCCGCCCTCCACCAGGCCCTGGGGTCAGGAAGTGGAAAGGCTCAGCTGGTGTGGCGGCTTTTCCCAGGCTCACGCCCACACACTGGCCTCTAGCCCCATCCTGAGCAAGACTTGACCCCAGTTGGGTGTGGGTGTCAGCACCGCCCAAGGCCAGGCCATTCCATGCAATCTGCCTGGCGCCGGGCTAAGCACTGCCTGCACCTTATTAATCAACACCAGAGGGGCCGGGTGCGGTTGCTCATGCCTGTAATCCCAGCACTTTGGGAGGCCGAGGTGGGCGGATCACCTGAAGTTAGGAGTTCGAGACCAACCTGCCCATCATGGTGAAACCCCGTTTCTACTAAAAATATAAAAATTAGCTGGGTGTGATGGCGGGCACCTGTAGTCCCAGCTACTCAGGAGCCTGAGGCAGGAGACTCACTTGAACCCGGGAGGTGGAGGTTGCAGTGAGCCAAGATCACACCACTGCACTCTAGCCTGGGCGACAGAGCAAGAACACCTCAAAAAAAAAAAAAAAAAAAAAAAAACACTGGAAGGTGGCATCATCCTAGAGGTTTCCAGGGGACCAGATGGTTGGCCCACGCCCCACAGCTGAGCCGGGTGGGCTGGGCTTCACACCCAGACCTGGGGCCTGAGTTTGCCTGAGCTGTCCTCCAGGTTGGCCCTGCCTGAAGGGCTTATACCTGTTCTAGCTTCACCGGCATCTTCTTCGTAGCAGAACCTTTGGGAGCACGTGGTGACAGGCTGGGGCACGCGGGTGTTAGAGGCAGGTGTGGAGGGCCTGGCCTCCCAGCGCCGCCGTCCATGACTGGGTCTCCTGGGCTCTCTCCACCTTGCAGGAAGCGGGAGAACAGCCTCCAGGAAGACAGAGGCAGCTTCGTTACCACCCCCACTGCGGAGCTGTCCAGCCAGGAGGAGACGCTGCTGGGCAGCTTCCTCGACTGGAGCCTGGACTGCTGCTCTGGCTATGAAGGCGACCAGGAGAGTGAGGGCGAGAAGGAGGGCGACGGTGAGTGTGGGGCCAGGGTGCACCAGAAGGGACATCACACAGAGGGTGGCTCTCACCGAGGGCCTCTGGGCACCCGGCCCTGTGCGAGCGCTGTGGGAGGAAGATGTGCACAGAGTGCGGGGTGGGGCCAGCTCCTGCCCCGCCGGGGAGTGTGTCCAGACATGGGGAGAGAGGAGGGGAGAGCCCCCAAAAGACCACAGCTGCTCCCACCACACAGGGATGAGAGGACTTAGGCCACACCTATCCGGCTCCTGCTCATTCCGTGTTGGGAGGACCTCACTAGGATGAGGGAGGCAGAGACCCTGTCTGGAGTTCATGGAGATCCTTCTAGGCCTGTAGTCTCATGCCTGTAATCCCAGCAATTTGAGAGGCTGAGGCAGGAGGATCACTTCAGGCTAGAAGTTCAAGACCAGCCTGGGTGACACAGCAAGACAAAAAATTTAAAAATTAGCTGGGCATCGTGGCGTGCGCCTGTGGTCCCAGCTACTCAGGAGGCTGAGGTGGGAGGATCTCTTGAGCACAGGAGGTGGGAGCTGCAGTGAGCCGTGATCATGCCACTGCACTGTAGCCTGGGCGTTCTTTCTAGAATGTTGTTTGAGGTGTGCCCACGTGGTATACGTGACACTCCTCACTGCCCTGCTGGGATCACTGCCCTGTGCAAACCCCAGGCAGACTGCGGGGTCCTTGCCAGAAGCCCAGTTAGTGTGAGTCCTGTCAGTTTCCCGGTTGCTTGCTTCTGCGTCCACTTGGCTTGAGCTAGATGGCCAACTTGTCATCTCCACATTTGTTGGAGTCATGGCGGGCAGCTGTCCAACTTGGAAGAGGCATGTCACCCACGCTTCTCACCACAGGAGGGTAACACAGGGGACCGTAGCAAGGTAGAAGATTCTTGACCTGGACTTCAGGGTCCTGACCTGGCAGGGGGTCTCCCCTGATGCTTGGGTGTGACATGACTTCCCTCCCCACCAACCTTCCTGCAGTGACAGCTCCCAGCGGCATCCTCGATGTCACCGTGGTCTACCTGAACCCAGAACAGCATTGCTGCCAGGAATCCAGTGATGAGGAGGCTTGTCCAGAGGACAAGGGACCCCAGGACCCACAGGCACTGGCGCTGGACACCCAGATCCCTGCAACCCCTGGACCCAAACCCCTGGTCCGCACCAGCCGGGAGCCAGGGAAGGACGTCACGACCTCAGGGTACTCCTCCGTCAGCACCGCAAGTCCCACAAGCTCCGTGGACGGTGGCTTGGGGGCCCTGCCCCAACCTACCTCAGTGCTGTCCCTGGACAGTGACTCGCACACACAGCCCTGCCACCATCAGGCCAGGAAGTCATGTTTACAGTGTCGTCCCCCAAGTCCCCCGGAGAGCAGTGTTCCCCAGCAACAGGTGAAGCGGATAAACCTATGCATACACAGTGAGGAGGAGGACATGAACCTGGGCCTTGTGAGGCTGTAAGTGTGTCAGCACATTTGCCGCAGTGGATGTGTACTGAGGGGGCTGGAGGCGAAGGGTGGGAGCATAGCATAGGAACGCTGCATAGACCATGGAGGCCTTTGCGCAGAGAGCAGAGAGGATGACTTGCGGCCACCAAGTTTCTGTCTCCGCGGGAGTCCCGTGCAAGCCATCAGAATGTTGAAATGAGGGTGAAGAGCTCAGATCCCTCTCTTTGGAAAGTTTAGCCTGGAAGCAGTTGGCCACACTGTGTGGAGGGCACCTCTCTGTCCCTTCCGTGTCTCACTGTCTCTGGAAGCTTCAGCCCATGTGTGTCCTGGTGTTCCCAGCCCCACCAGAGCCCCGTGCCGGGAGCTGACAGCTTTCACGCTTAAGGCACGTGTGACCTGGGTAGTCAGACACCACTTGAGCCCCTGCCCACATCTGCTGGTTTGGGGCTTCAGTGGGGAGCTGACAGCTGTGAGCACACCACTGTCCCCTCATCCACCTCGGCCTGCATGGGGCACCCACTTCCTTCTGGGTGGGGCTTCCATGGTAAGGGGGCCTGCGTCCCTGCACACTGCGAGGACTGCCTTGGCCACAGGCCCACTCCCTACGACACGTGACTCGTTTTAGAGCTCTGTCCCAGAGGCGTTCGTATGTGACCCACAGATGGCGTCAATGTGAACACCTCTCTTTGTGCTGAATTTCTGGGCCATTCTTTTCCTGTCTTATTTCTAAATTTCCTTCTTCCAAGATGAAAACAAAAGAAAAACTTAAAACAGAAGGTATTAAAAAAACAAGAGATTCCCACCATTATTTAGGTTCACCTGCAAAACAAAAATCTTACTCCAGCCCCTCAATGCCATCCTGACACACTTTATGCAAAAAGAATTTTCCCAGATAGGCTAGCCAGAAAAAACTTCAAGTCCTCTGTAACATCTGAGGTGACCAAGAGGCAGAAGAGCAGAGCAGTCGGGGGCCGTGTCCTGGCTGATCCCAACTGCAGCTCTGCTGTGGGGGCCCGTGGGAGGGAGGCAGACCCCTGGGCTTTCCTGCTGGCCACGGAGACTCTGCTCCTGCATGGAAAGGGAGCCTGGGAGCCAGCAGCCCACGCCTGGGGAGCCTGCCTGGGGCCATGTGACCATGGCCTCTCCCTGGGAACGGGCTGACCACAACACACCCTGCTGCCATCCACTTCTGTTTACTCTGCAAATGTAAGAAAGAACCACTTGGCCAGAAGTGTCCCCCAGATGCTTTTTTTTTTTTTTTTTTGGAGACAGTTTTGCTCTTGTCTCCCCGGCTGGAGTGCAGTGGCATGATCTCAACTCTCAACTCACTGTAACCTCCGCCTCCCGGATACTCCTGCCTCAGCCTCCTGGGTAGCTGGGATTACAAGCACCCAACCACGCCCAGCTAATTTTTGTATTTTCGGTAGAGACGGGATTTCACCATGTTGGCCAGGCTAGTCTCGAACTCATGACCTCAAGTGATCCGCCCACTTCGGTCTCCCAAAGTGCTGGGATTACAGGCATGAGCCACGGCGCCTGGCCCCCAAATGCTCTTGAACCGGAAACCCAGGGATGGGAGATGCTCACTGAGCTGCTGCTTTTATGTGTGCTGGTGCTATGTGTGTTCATGTCCGCGGCAGCTGTCTTTTTGCTACTATAAGGGAATTCTGGCCACCCTGGGTGGGGTGTGGTCGGGGTGAGAACCCAAGCGTTGGAACTGTAGACCCGTCCTGTCGACTGTGTGCCCCTGGGCATGTGTGAGCCTCAGTTTCCTCATCTGTAAGGGGGGCAATGATACCTACCTCACAGGGGTGTTGTGAGGATTAAATGTGAGGAGGATAGTGGCAGATGAGTGATGGACGTCCTTCACTGCCTCGGCCCCTTGTCCAGGGGCTCTTAATCCCAACTCTGCATGGAGTCAGTTCTCTGCTTTCTCCCAGCTTGCACCTGAAGGAGGAAACCACTCCAGGGGGACCTGGCCCCGCCTGCCTGTGGTGGGTGGGTTCCTGCATCACCCACCTGCTGACTGAGCATTTCCCTGCCTCCTCCTTCACAGAGAATCTCCAGGGAGGCAGGGCCACCGTCACCCTCCCCCACCGCTGATGGAGGGGCCCACCCGGAGCGCTGGGCCAGAGCTGCCTGGGTCCCAACCTCCCTGACAACTCCCTTTGTGCCCTCCTTCCCCTCTGCGATGGCACCTTCCCATTAACGACTATGGAATGGACTCACCTGTCCCATCTTTAAACAGCAACCCCAGGCTCTGTTTTTCTTTCAGCTACCGCCTGGGATTTCTTGCCCCCTAATTGTTTATTCTTGTTAACACCAACTACATGGGGCCCTGCTGCCTTCCTCACTTCCTCCCTCAGGTGTCCCCCGCATCACCGAAGGCCCTGTACCCCCGCCCCCCTGCTGTGCTGTGTACACCGCCGAGGCCTCAGCAGCACTTGGCCTGTGACCCACTCCCTCCCGTGACAGCCTCCTGTTGCCTCTGTGACACTGTCCTACTGCTCCTCCACCTCCCTGGCCATTGCGTGGGCCCCGTGATCTGTCCCTACCCGTCCCCTGCCCCACCAGGGGCCACCTCGCCTGGCCCACTGCTCCAAGGTCTGAGCTTCCTCCCCTCTGCCCAGTGCTATCACGTCACATGTCCAAAAGTGAACACTTTCTCCTCCTTCATCCCCGCCCCTGACACGCGGAATCCTCACCTCCAGCAACCCCGTCCTGTCCCTGTGCTCGGTGGCCCAGGCGTCAGCAAGACGGCTGGTCCCTGCGTTAAGAGCACTTTCAATAAGGACAGATGGAGCCTCTCGTATAACCTTCACCGGCCCCCTGCAAGAGAAGCGCGATAATGGCGCCCCCATCTACCCAGTTACCCAAACCAAAATCCCGGCGTCGCCCGCAGTCACCTCCCTGGCGGCCTCGGGGGCCCAGCTCCGAGCCGGAGTCCCCGTCAGACCTGGGAGGCAGGAGTGGGCGGGGCTTGAGGCTTGCCCGCAAGGAGGGAGAGAAAGCTTCGGGGGCGGCCCCTGAGCCCCGGTTCAGGATTGGGCAGCCCGGCCGGGAAGGGGCGGCCTTCCCTCCCGGAAGGGGCGTGGCTCTTCAGAGGCGGCAAATTGCAAGGAGACGCCGCCGCCTTCATGCTGCCGGCGGGCTGCTCGCGCCGGTGAGGCCTGCGCGGCAGGAGGGGGTGGGAGGATGCGGGCGGGCCGGTAGCCAGGCGCGGGGCCCGAGGCCCGACGCTGGCCGAGGTGCTGAGCCGCCGGTGCGTCCCCCAGGCTGGTGGCCGAGCTGCAGGGCGCCCTGGACGCCTGCGCACAGCGACAATTGCAATTGGAGCAGAGCCTGCGCGTTTGCCGTCGGCTGCTGCATGCCTGGTACGCGGACCCCGGACCCACTGGCCAGACCTCCCTCGGGCCCTCAGAGTCCCGCCCCGAGCGCCCAGGGCTGGGAGACCGGGCGCAGCCGCCCACTTCGGAGCTGTGGGTTGTCAGTGCCACCCTCCTTACCCTGCAGGCTCTGAGCTGGGGGCCTGCCGCGGGGCCCGGCGGCCCCCTCGGGTCTGTTTGGGCTGGGCCCTGCCTCCTGGCCGTGCGACGGCTGCCCGTGTCTTTGCAGGGAACCAACTGGGACCCGGGCTTTGAAGCCACCTCCAGGGCCAGAAACTAATGGAGAGGACCCCCTTCCAGGTAAACCTCCACCACCCGCCTTCTCCAGGTGCTGCTCTGGCCTGTCTGCTGGCGTGCAGTTGTGAGGAACCCTCCTGGGGGACAGTGGGGAGAGATCCCTGCATAATTCTTGGCTTTCACAGCATGCACACCCAGTCCACAAGACCTCAAAGAGTTGGAGTTTCTGACCCAGGCACTGGAGAAGGCTGTACGAGTTCGAAGAGGCATCACTAAGGCCGGAGAGAGAGACAAGGCCCCCAGCCTGAAATCTAGGTCCATTGTCACCTCTTCTGGCACGACAGCCTCCGCCCCACCGCATTCCCCAGGCCAAGCTGGTGGCCATGCTTCAGACACGAGACCCACCAAGGGCCTCCGCCAGACCACGGTGCCTGCCAAGGGCCACCCTGAGCGCCGGCTGCTGTCAGTGGGGGATGGGACCCGTGTTGGGATGGGAGCCCGAACCCCCAGGCCTGGGGCGGGCCTCAGGGACCAGCAAATGGCCCCATCCGCTGCTCCTCAGGCCCCAGAAGCCTTCACACTCAAGGAGAAGGGGTAGGTTTCCCGGACCCTCACTGGAGGGACTTCTGTCTCTGCCTCCTCAGACCCTGGCTAGCAAGGAGCCTGGGATTTGGGGTGACAGGGAAGGCAGGGCATCGAGCCCTGTGGCATACCCCTGAGGCTCATGCTCAGAAGCTGGCAGAATGAAGCAGCTGTGTGGTGGTGTCCAGGTTGGCACCATCAGGTCAGGGAAGTACTGGAGCCTGTCCTCCTCTCTTCTCTGTGGCTGTCCCCTTATTTGCCCAGGCCAGAGGCTCCAGATGGGCTCTGGAGGGCGTGGGATCTGCTCACAGGGCCCCGCTCACAGGGCCCCCTCTTCTCTCTAATGGGGCAGCACTGGACGATGCTTCTCCTATGGCCACTCTGGAAGCCCTATCCAAGGGGGCTCATCCTTGGTGGGGTCGGGTGTGGGAGAGGGGCAAGAAGCCTCATCCCTGATTGGGCTCTGAGCAGGAAGTGGGACTTGTAGACCCCAGAGCAAGGCGATGCTCCTCTGAACACGGGCTTCTCCGACAGGCACCTGCTGCGGCTGCCTGCGGCATTCAGGAAAGCAGCTTCCCAGAACTCGAGGTGAGGCTGAGGTCTTTGGCTGGACGGGGGTAGGGGAGAACCGGGAGGCATCACCAGCTCGGGGACAGGTTCGAGATACTTTCCAGTGGGTCTCTTTGTCCTCTTTGCTGAGTGGGATCACTGTCGATGTTAAAAATCTGCCAGCCGGTCAGCTTTGTCCCCTTGTCCTAGTCAGTGTCCTCTTGGTTCCCTGCGGCCTCTGGAGGCCCCTCCTGGCATTCAGCAGAGCCAGACGCCCAGCCTGGGGTCCCCACCCTGGCCCTTGCCTACCTCCCAAGGCCCAGCTTACTGGCTGGAATAACCGTGTCCCTCTGTGGTTCCTCTGTGCACCCCACGTGTGCACCCCAGCCTGTGGGCCCAGCTCAGTTCCACACAGACCAGTGATTCCACGGATGCCGCCGCTGCCAAAACCCAGTTCCTCCAGAACATGCAGACAGCTGTATCCTTGCTGGGCTTGTGGGAGCCCTGGGGGCCTCTAGCTCTGAACCTGGCAGGTTTGCAGAGCAGCCCCAGGAGGGGCTGGCGTGGGATGGCCAGGGCCACTCCCCAGGCCCCGTTCTTGGTGGGAGCAGAGGGGCTTTGGCTGCAGGGAAGTTTTCCTGACCCATATCCAGTCAGGCGGGCCCCAGCCCAGGCTCAGTGCTGTGGAGGTGGAGGCGGAGGCGGGGCGCCTGCGGAAGGCCTGCTCGCTGCTGAGACTGCGCATGAGGGAGGAGCTCTCGGCAGGTCAGTGGGTCCTGGGTCTGTATCAGGAGGAGTGTGGAGGGCCAGTGCAGGGAGGGTTTCCAGACTGCCACGGGCCCCACCTGCTCTCCCTGACTCTTCTGCAGCCCCCATGGACTGGATGCAGGAGTACCGCTGCCTGCTCACGCTGGAGGGGCTGCAGGCCATGGTGGGCCAGTGTCTGCACAGGCTGCAGGAGCTGCGTGCAGGTGAGACCCCGCCCCCACCCTGCCACCTGCACTGAGGTCTGGGCCGGGGACAGGGTGCTTTAGCCAGGCTTGTCTGCGCCTCAGGGAAGGGTGAGCAGCCCAGGGACCAGATGCAAGTTGGTGGGCCCCTCCACCCCTCCCACGCCACTCCCCAGTGTGCTGGGTCCTCACCAGTCGTCCTATGGGAGCAGTCAGCCTTCCTCTCCTCCTCAGGGCAGCTCTCCCACCTCGCTGCTCCCCGCACACAGAACCTCATTGCTCTGAGCAGTTGCTTATTCACCCAGTTGTTGAAAAACTAGCATGTGAGGGCCGGGCGCGGTGGCTCACGCCTGTAATCCCAGCGCTTTGGGAGGCCAAGGCGGGTGGATCATGAGGTCAGGAGATCAAGACCATCCTGGCTAACACGGTGAAACCCTGTCTCTACTAAAAATATAAAAAAGTAGCCAGGCGTGGTGGTGGGCGCCTGTAGTCCCAGCTACTTGGGAGGCTGAGGCAGGAGAATGGCGTGAACCCAGGAGGAGGAGCTTGCAGTGAGCTGAGATTGCGCCACTGCATTCCAGCCTGGGCGACAGAGTGAGATGCCGTCTCAGAAAAAGAAAAAGTAGCGTGTGAGGCCGGGCACAGTGGCTCACGCCTGTAATCCCAGCACTTTGGGAGGCCAAGGCAGGCGGATCATTTGAGGTCAGGAGTTCAAGACCAGCCTGGCCGACATGACGAAAGCCCATCTCTACTAAAAATACAAAAATTAACTGGGTATGATGGCGCACACCTGTAATCCCAGCTACTTGGGAGGCTGAGGCACAAGAATTGCTTGAATCCAGAAGGCAGAGATTGCAGTGAGCTGAGATTGCACCACTGCACTCCAGCCTGGGTGACAGAGTGAGACTCCGTCTCCAAAAAAAAAAAAAAAGAGAAAGTAGCTCGTGAGAATCAGCTCCTGGGAGGTGACTCGCCTGGGATTGCGTGAGGTGGTTATTTATAGAACTTGTTTCCTCCTTTGTATTTTCTAATTGCTTGAAGTTTTAAGAGTGAAGATACATCATTTGTCAAAAGGAAAGACAATCTCATAAAAGTCATGCATAAACACAGTAAAGAAATTAGGCAGGCAGAGGGCCACCCCACAGAGGACTCCCTGCCAGCAAGTCCAGGCCCAAGACACACCATCTTGCATGGGGCTGTCCTGAAAGCCCACCTTTCTCCTAAAGGCAGGGCAGGTGGTGCAGATGCGGGAGGGCCAGGCACACAGGAAAAGCGGGGCCCTGGGTTCGGCTGCTACCCCAAAGGCCACATTCTCCTGTGCACACAGCGGTGGCGGAACAGCCACCAAGACCATGTCCTGTGGGGAGGCCCCCCGGAGCCTCGCCGTCCTGTGGGGGTAGAGCGGAGCCTGCATGGAGCCCCCAGCTGCTTGTCTACTCCAGCACCCAGGAGCTGCAGACCCTGGCGGCCCTCAAGCTGCGAGTGGCTGTGCTGGACCAGCAGATCCACTTGGAAAAGGTGCTTCTGGAAGAGGAGGTGGGGGTGCAACAGAGGTCCGCAGCCTTGAGGACCCGAGGGTAGGGGCTTGACTGCTCCACCCCCCAGGACCCAGGAGGATGGGGGCAAGCCTGGGGTCTGTGTGTGTGGGTTGGGAAGTGCATGGGTCAGACGGGGCTGGGACGGCAGGAGGGAGCCTGGAGCCTCAGAAGGAGGGAGGAGGGCTGAAGCATGGGGGCCTCGAAGCCTGTCCCAGGATTGCCCCCCGCCTAGGTGCCCCTGAGACCTTGGCCCTGCCCTGCCCTGCCCCCAGGTCCTGATGGCTGAACTCCTCCCCCTGGTAAGCGCTGCACAGCCGCAGGGGCCGCCCTGGCTGGCCCTGTGCCGGGCTGTGCACAGCCTGCTCTGCGAGGGAGGAGCACGTGTCCTTACCATCCTGCGGGATGAACCTGCAGTCTGAGCCTTTCCCATGCTGCCCTCGGCCTGTTCAGATGGGGATTGGGGGTGTCTTCCCTGGCACTGTGCTCGGGGACCCAGAGATGCCTGTGCTTCCCTGGGAAACCTGGTGAACTGGACCAGGTGGCCTCACTGGCTCTTCTCAGGACAACTAAGCCTGCTGGTCAGGGCTGGCTTTCAGCCTTCCTAAGGCTCCTGGACTCCAGAGGCCAGCGGGGAGCCTTTCCTGGCTCCCTCTGTTTTCTCTCACTGTAGACCAAAGAGCCGCTTGTGTGATATTAAAGCCACTTTAGAAAGCATTTGTGTTTATTTATGTTTTTGAGACAGTCTCACTCTGTCGCCTAGGCTAGAGTGCAGTGGCGTGATCTCAGCTCACTGCAACCTCCGCTTCTGGGTTCAGGCGATTCTCCTGCCTCAGCCTCCCGAGTAGCTGGGACTACAGGCTTCGGCCACCACGCCTGGCTATTTTTTTTTTTTTTTTTTTTTTTTTTTTTTTAGTAAAGATGGGGTTTCACCATGTGGGCCAGGCTGGTCTCAAACTTTCGACCTCAGGTGATCCTCCCACCTCACCCTCCCAACGTGCTGGGATTATAGGTGTGAGCCACCGTGCCTGGCTGAAAGCATATGTATTTAAATCATGCCAAGGTAGGACTTGGTGAGCCCTTGTTGTTTCTTTATGATTTTATCAAGTTATATCACTGGTTGATACATGTCATGCTGAAAAAGAATATATCAAGTGTATTTATCAAGATTATAAGTGGGCCGGGTGTGGTGGCTCACGCCTGTAATCCCAGCACTTGGGGAGGCTGAAGTGGGAGAATTGCTTGAGGCCAGGAGTTTGAGACCAGTTTGAACAACAGTGAGACCCCATCTCTACACAAAATTTGAAAATGAGCCGGGCATGGCGTGTCTGCCTGTAATCCCAGCTACTTGGGAGGCTAAGGCGGGAGGATCGCTTGAGCCTCGCACTTTGAGCCTGCAGTGAGCCATGATTGCACCACTGTGCTCCAACCTGGGTGACAGAGCGAGACTCTGTCTCGATATCCCTTCTGTATAAAGGACGGGACAAGGCCACTCAAGGCAGGCCCAGCATTGCTGAAAGCCCTGCCCCCTGTAGGCTGTAGGCTGTATGCATTCATCGGAGGACACGAAAACCACAAGGCCATATTGGAGAACAGGCCGGCCACTGTCTCTGCCACAGCCACACGGCTCTGCTTCCCACTGTCTCCTGGTGCCCATGCCCAGCTCCCCCTCCTGGCGCTGGTGCTGGGGCAGGTGTGGGGTCACCGGTTCACACTGAGCCTCCACCAGGAAGGGCCTTTTACCTCTTCACCCTTTAGCCACTCCACTCTCACCTCCTCCAAGCCTCCTTCCCTTCCCCAGGAAGGCAGGAAAGAGCATGGGTCAGGGTTGGGCCCTCTGCAGCCACAGAGGTGTTTGCAACATGACTTGTTTCTTGCCCTGGGACTGGGCAAGATTCTCAAGGAGTCAGCCCCAGTTGTCCAGGTTTGTCCCCACTGTCATGCTGGGTGATGGTGGTGATGACCTCAGGGGCCGGCATAGAGATTACTTGATGTGGCATCTAAAGTGCTGGCCACAGGCTGGGCGTGGTGGCTCACACCTGTAATCCCAACACTTTGGGAGGATGAGGCAGGCAGATCACCTGAGGTCAGGAGTTCATGACCAGCCTGGCCAACATGTTGAAACCCTGTCTCCATTCAAAATATAAAAACTAAAGGCCAGGCACGGGGGCTTATGCCTGTAATCCCGGCACTTTGGGAGGCCAAGGCGGACGGATCATGAAGTCAGGAGATTGAGACCATCCTGGCTAACACGGTGAAACCCCGTCTCTACTAAAAATACAAAAAATTAGCCAGGCTTGGTAGTGCGCATCTGTCATCCCAGTTACTTGGGAGGCTGAGGCAGGAGAATCGCTTGAGCCCAGGAGGTGGAGGTTGCAGTGAGCCGAGATCACACCACTGCACTCCAGCCTGGGTGACAGAGCAAGACTCCGTCTCAAAAAAAAAACCCTGCTGGCCACAGAGGCCGTGGTGTTGGCCATGGCCAGTGCTCGTAGTGTTCTTTAAACGAACCTGCACTGAGGGCCCGAGGCATCCCAGACATTTTGGGAGCTGGGGCCAGGTGCTCTGTGTGGACAGTGCCGGAGCTCCACCAAGCGCTGCTCTGGGCAGGGACCTGCGACAGGGAAGATGACCGGCCTCTTCACCAAGGTGCCCCCCCTGGACAGGGCAGCAGGACAGGAGGTGGATGACACCTGGAGAAAGCCGGGTCTTCTGAGAACCAGATGGAGCGTCGCAGGTAGGTCGTGCTTGTAAAGGGCCTTATAGTCCAGCGGGCCAGAAACACGCTCGGACCCAGAGTCCCAAGTTGAGGGCTGCTGGGGACCAGATGACAGAGACCAAGACAGGAAACCAAAAACCATGGTCCTCGTTGCATTGAGGGGGCGCCTCCAGGGACAGGGCAGCTCCACCCCCTGCCACCGCAGCCTGGCAGCAGCCCCAGGGTCGCACCCCTTGTGCAGATCAGCCAGCCTCGCCCCTCCCGGCAACCCCATTGCTGCCTCCAGGCTTATGCCCAGGTGCCTCTATCTGCAGGAGCCACTGACTCATTTGAAACCCCCAACCACGCTGCGACCGTACACCCCCGTGGCTTTCCAGAGCAGGTGGTCTCTACCTGACGTTATTTCACTGGCTGACTTGGCTCATGGCTCATCCCCCATGCCTACTGGATGTCTGCCTCAGGAGGACAGGGGTGCTATCCCCCCTACCCCGGCCAGGCCCTGATGGGAGCCAGATGTGCACTGACTCAATGATCCACCAATCCCGGGGGCCAACCCAGAGGACAGTGGTGTCCTGGAGCAGGGAGGCGGCCTAGATAGCTTTGTGGGGGTCCTGAGGAGGCCCCAACACAGGAGTCCAGGGCGGGAAAGACAAGCCGCCTCCTCGGACTAACGCCCGCCCACCCCGATTCCCCGCCAAAACCCAGAGGTAGCAGCTGACTCCTCGGGCTCCCGGCTGGCGTCACCGCCTCTGGAGCCAATGGGCTCTGACGTGGCGAGCCTGGAACGCCACTGGGACTGCGCGGGCGTCCACACCACCCACCGAGCGCGGCCACCGCGTTGGCGGCATGAGCGCGCTCGAGCCTCCCCCAGCGGCGCCCGCCTCGCCCCCCGGGCCGGGTCTGGCGCACCCGGAACCCCCCGGGGCCCTGCGCGCCCTGCTCTTGGCCACCGGCGGCGCTGGGGGCTCGTGGCCTCGCTGCATTCTGCCGTTCGGTGCCGTGGCCGTGCTGGCTGGTGCGGCTGCCACGGCCATCACCTTCTCGCTGCGGGGACCCCGCCTGGACCTGGCCCAGGGCTCGTCGCTGGCCGCGCTCAGTGCGGGCCTGGGGCTTCTGACCGCCGCCTTCCTGTGCTGGCGCGCTCGGCGGAGGCGAAGGGCCGGGCGCAGGGAGCCGGGGGCGCCCTGAGCCGCGGGCGAGGCCCCCTCCCATCGAGGTCACCGCGAGCCGGCCGCCCCTCCCTCCAACCTCGCCCCGGCCGGGCGGGCGCAGTGCCAAGCGTGGTCGCAGAGGCCGCCCCCCACACCCCATCCCCAAATCGTTTCTTCTGGAACCCTTTGGGCAGAGAAGGCCACCGGCCGTTTCCCTCCCTCCCTCTCTGCTTTCCCTCTCTTCCCTCCTCCGTCCAACGTCGCATTTCAGCTTTTGACTTGGCGCGCAGAGCTGGCGCGACCGCAGAGCGGCCTGGCTGGGCAGCGGTCTGCGAGGCTGGGGGATCGACCCGGCGCGAGGGTGCTGGGTGCAGGGCAGCGCGACGCGGGCTCGGCCACACCACCCGCCGTTGGGAGCCGGCGCTGTGTCTGCTCCTGGGCTGTCTGCCTTCGGAGCTCGGTTGGAAACCCCCCGAGGCATAATAGGCGCTCGATAAATGTGCAATAGGTGAACATGTGGTGGCTTGCAGGCGTCTGGGGGGAGACAGCAGGTTCTGGGCTGGGCAGGGAATTATTGGATCAACGGGCATCTTACAGGAAAGACTCTCAGCTCCCTGCCGCCTAGGACTGTCCAGCCCATCTATGCCCTCTCCCCAGCCTGTGCCCCAAAGCTGGAGCTGCCACTCTAGGGGTGAGGGGTGGGGTGGGGAGGGGGAGGCGAAGCACTGCGGCCTGAGTTGCAGGTGGGGGGAGGGGAGGCGGAGCTTCTTTGTTGCAGAAGGTGCCAGGAGGGGGCAGGGCCAGTGGAGAGGTGGGAGGTGGGAGAGGCCCCAGCCAGGGGCTGGGACAGGTGGCTGGGTCCCTGGGGAGCAATAAGTCCCGCTTGGGCGCTGTGGGGAGGCCCTTCCTAACTCCCAAACACCATCTGTGAGGGCTGGGGGTGGGGGCAGAGTAGCGTGTGCAGAGGACTGTTCCTGGGGAGAGGCCCTGTGACCAGCGGCCTCCTCCCTGGGGAGCTGGCGGTACAATGGCCCTCTGGGCCCACGGCCTCCCGCCGCTGCTGCTGACCCAGATGAACAATTGGGGCAGGGCTGAGCCCCAGGCACCTACTTTCCCCCACCCCAGAAGCCACCAGACGTTCTGCAGACCCCAGTCCTGGCTCACAGGGAAGCTGAGCTGGAGACAAAGCCAGCCCCTCTGATGAGGGTGGAAGAGGCTGCTGGCCACTGTCCCTCTTGCAGCCTGGCTGGCAGCCAGTCTGGCAG
The DNA here is from genome assembly GCF_000001405.40 of Homo sapiens. Classification (NCBI taxonomy): domain Eukaryota; kingdom Metazoa; phylum Chordata; class Mammalia; order Primates; family Hominidae; genus Homo; species Homo sapiens. Next base: position 2,469,382 of record NC_000016.10, read on the forward strand.
TGGCCCTGACGTCCAGAGACAGCTTGGGTTTCCCCAGAGGCTTGTCTCTGGCCAGTGGGACCCCTCTGTCAGGCCTGGGCTTTTCTCTCCACTGTCCCAGAATGATGATCTCAGCCCCCATAGTCCCCCCAGGGTTCCTCCCACCCTTAGGGTGGGGTGTCGGGGGGTGGGGGTTGGGAGCCAGAAGGACCTTGAAGAGGGTGGTTGGGACGTTTCAGGTTCTAAGCTTGACCCACAGAGCGGAGCGTGAGCCCCGTCAGGTTGAGGTCCCTCAACTTGTAAAGGACACAATTCCCATTCTCTTTATCAGGAAGCTGAGGGGCAGGGGCCCTGTGGCAGAGAGAGAGCCCCTTAGCCCTCTCTGTTCAGTCCTCCGGTGCCCCCATCCCTGTGCATCTGTGGCTGTCACATGCAGATGTGTGGCAAGGAGAAGGTGCCCACCAGCCAGTGTCAGTTGCTCCAGGAGCCAAGCCAGGTGCCCTATCACCCTGTCTTCCCGTTCCTCCCCTCCATGGTCAGGCCCTCCTGCTCCCTCCTCTGGTCCTTCAGTTTCCCCTAGGAGGCTTCCGTGTCCTCCTGCCCCTCCTCTCCCCAACAGCGGGATGCGTCTACCTCTCCATTCTCTTCCTCCTGGTCCTTGCTCATCTCTGGTCGTGTCCAGGGTAGCACCCACGTGGCCTCCTCCACCAGCTGCAGGCCTGGCCTCCCATCTGAAACGGGGCATTCAGGCCTCGATGCTGGCCCTGCACGGAACTTGTTCCCTGCCCCTCCCTGGGATGCTTGGCCTCCTCTGTCAAGGACCTGAAAGTCGGAGGGGAGGAGGTTTCTCTGACCAGAGCTGTTCCTGGACCCTCTTTGGTGGTGTCGCTCCCAGGCACAGCTACCCCATCCCCAGCTAGTCCCCAGGCCACCCAGCTGGGCTTCTGCCTCAGTTTCCCTGCCCAAACGTGCTGTGACGTAGGGCAGTGGGCTCCGGGTTGCGACCAGCCCCTTCCCATGATTAAACCCTACTCCCTGCCCCTGCAGAGGGGTCCTCAACAGCTAACCAAGCCCCCGAACCCCAAGAAGCCACCCCATCCCACCCTCCAGCTTCCATGTCCTCCCTGCCAGCTGGGCCCGTGGCAGAGGTGCCCCTAGAAACTTGCAGACCCAGGGAGCTTTGGGATCAGAATCTGGCCTGGTGCAGGGGATGCTGGCCTCATGTCTTAGCCCAGCTCAGGCCCATGGGGGTGCCCCCCTTCCTCAACATGGGCAGGAGACACTCCAATTTGTGCAGCTCTCGACTTGGGCCTGATGCCACTTGAGACTCATCAAATCCAACAGCTTCAGAGCGCGTGCTGAGTAACAGGCATCTGGCAGGTGAGGAAACAGGAGCCCAAGACATGCAGCCAGAAATGGGGCAGTTGGATTCAAAATTAGACCTGACCGAATCCTGGGTTCCTTCTACTCGAGTAGATGCTGCTTTGGGGATGACCCTTCAACTGGTGGTTACTTGGCTTCCCTACCTGGGGAACATCCAGGGCCTCTGCTGTCAGACCCGGGGCCTTGCCTGCCTGATGGTCTTCAGGGAGGAGGCGACCCAGACCCCCGTCCAGCACGTGGCACAGCCCCAGGAGCAGTAAAGACCTGGCTGTGGGCCCAGGACCCTGCTGGGTGGTCCCCCACGGGCTGCGAAGGCTGAGCTGCCCCCCTCCAGACCCCTCCCGCCAGCGCATTCCTGGCTCCCCGGCCCCTCCCCTGGCTCCCGGGCCTCCCAGCCCCCTTCCCCGCTGGCCCAGCCCGCGTCTGAATCTGCTTCTGATTCCAGCTCTGCGATGAGGCCCCCTCCCCTCCCCTGCCTCCTTCCCGACCCGAGCAGCCCCGCCCCCGGCTGGGCCCGGGCTTGCGCCTGCTGCGCCCCCCACCCCCTCCTGGCACAGCTCGTCCGCCCTCGCTGCAGCCGGGAGGAGGCGGCGGCCCGTGCACCGCAGGCCCCGCCCGCCCACGGCCCTTCCCGGGAGGCCGGGAGACCTGCTCCGCCCGGCCCTCGGTGGGTGAGTGCGAGCGGCGGGTGGGGCCTCCGCGGGCGGAGGCACCGGGAGCGGGGGCGACGCCTGTCATCGCTCTAGGCCCAGCGGGAGGACGCGCCAACATCCCCGCTGCTGTGCTGGGCCCGGGGCGTGCCCGCCGCTGCTCCCACCTCTGGGCCGGGCTGGGGCCGCCCGGGGGCCCTGTTCCTCGGCATTGCGGGCCTGGTGGGCAGAGCCGCGGAGAGGGCTTCTTTTCCCCAAGGGCAGCGTCTTGGGGCCCGGCCACTGGCTGACCCGCAGCGGCTCCGGCCATGCCTGGCTGGCCCTGGGGGCTGCTGCTGACGGCAGGCACGCTCTTCGCCGCCCTGAGTCCTGGGCCGCCGGCGCCCGCCGACCCCTGCCACGATGAGGGGGGTGCGCCCCGCGGCTGCGTGCCAGGACTGGTGAACGCCGCCCTGGGCCGCGAGGTGCTGGCTTCCAGCACGTGCGGGCGGCCGGCCACTCGGGCCTGCGACGCCTCCGACCCGCGACGGGCACACTCCCCCGCCCTCCTTACTTCCCCAGGGGGCACGGCCAGCCCTCTGTGCTGGCGCTCGGAGTCCCTGCCTCGGGCGCCCCTCAACGTGACTCTCACGGTGCCCCTGGGCAAGGCTTTTGAGCTGGTCTTCGTGAGCCTGCGCTTCTGCTCAGCTCCCCCAGCCTCCGTGGCCCTGCTCAAGTCTCAGGACCATGGCCGCAGCTGGGCCCCGCTGGGCTTCTTCTCCTCCCACTGTGACCTGGACTATGGCCGTCTGCCTGCCCCTGCCAATGGCCCAGCTGGCCCAGGGCCTGAGGCCCTGTGCTTCCCCGCACCCCTGGCCCAGCCTGATGGCAGCGGCCTTCTGGCCTTCAGCATGCAGGACAGCAGCCCCCCAGGCCTGGACCTGGACAGCAGCCCAGTGCTCCAAGACTGGGTGACCGCCACCGACGTCCGTGTAGTGCTCACAAGGCCTAGCACGGCAGGTGACCCCAGGGACATGGAGGCCGTCGTCCCTTACTCCTACGCAGCCACCGACCTCCAGGTGGGCGGGCGCTGCAAGTGCAATGGACATGCCTCACGGTGCCTGCTGGACACACAGGGCCACCTGATCTGCGACTGTCGGCATGGCACCGAGGGCCCTGACTGCGGCCGCTGCAAGCCCTTCTACTGCGACAGGCCATGGCAGCGGGCCACTGCCCGGGAATCCCACGCCTGCCTCGGTGAGGCCTTGGAGGGTGGCCTGGGGACCTTGGACACAACCAGCCTGCCCCTGACCCATCCCTCCCTGCAGCTTGCTCCTGCAACGGCCATGCCCGCCGCTGCCGCTTCAACATGGAGCTGTACCGACTGTCCGGCCGCCGCAGCGGGGGTGTCTGTCTCAACTGCCGGCACAACACCGCCGGCCGCCACTGCCACTACTGCCGGGAGGGCTTCTATCGAGACCCTGGCCGTGCCCTGAGTGACCGTCGGGCTTGCAGGGGTGAGCCACCACCGGCCACCTGCAGGCCCTCACCCTCTGACTTCCCAGATCCCCAGACAGGCTTCTGACCAGGCCCTTCCCACCTCTGTCCTCAGCCTGCGACTGTCACCCGGTTGGTGCTGCTGGCAAGACCTGCAACCAGACCACAGGCCAGTGTCCCTGCAAGGATGGCGTCACTGGCCTCACCTGCAACCGCTGCGCGCCTGGCTTCCAGCAAAGCCGCTCCCCAGTGGCGCCCTGTGTTAGTGAGTGACCCTGCCCCGCCTCAGCCACCAAGCCAAGGCCACCCCAGCTCCCTGCTGTTGTCCCGTCTATTCCCCGAGCCCTGCAGATCTCTCTGCCCCTCCATCGCAGGCCATTCTCCCTCCCTCTCTGCAGAGACCCCTATCCCTGGACCCACTGAGGACAGCAGCCCTGTGCAGCCCCAGGGTGAGTGGACACAGGACAGGGCCCCAGACTGGCATGACTTTGGGGGAGGGGGCTCTGGGAGGAGAGGGTGGGGAAAGGGAGTCTGTGCCAGCCTCCCACCTTCTACCCAGACTGTGACTCGCACTGCAAACCTGCCCGTGGCAGCTACCGCATCAGCCTAAAGAAGTTCTGCAAGAAGGACTATGGTAGGTGCCCTCAGGCCTCCCGCGGACCTTCCCACCTTCCTCCTCTCCCTACCTTCCCTCCTCCGCCAGCTTCCCCTTGGAACGCCTTGACCCTTGCTGGGCCCCAAGGCCCATCCTCATCCCTCAGGTCCTCCACGGGCAGCGACCCCGCCCCTTCAGCCCCCACTGCCCTCCTGGTGTCCTCCCCGTGCCTCCCCCTACCGCGGGCAGGCCGCCCCTTCCTGACCCCGCCCCCTCTCGCTCTCCCCGCAGCGGTGCAGGTGGCGGTGGGTGCGCGCGGCGAGGCGCGCGGCGCGTGGACACGCTTCCCGGTGGCGGTGCTCGCCGTGTTCCGGAGCGGAGAGGAGCGCGCGCGGCGCGGGAGTAGCGCGCTGTGGGTGCCCGCCGGGGATGCGGCCTGCGGCTGCCCGCGCCTGCTCCCCGGCCGCCGCTACCTCCTGCTGGGGGGCGGGCCTGGAGCCGCGGCTGGGGGCGCGGGGGGCCGGGGGCCCGGGCTCATCGCCGCCCGCGGAAGCCTCGTGCTACCCTGGAGGGACGCGTGGACGCGGCGCCTGCGGAGGCTGCAGCGACGCGAACGGCGGGGGCGCTGCAGCGCCGCCTGAGCCCGCCGGCTGGGCAGGGCGGCCGCTGCTCCCACATCTAGGCGCACGTTCACCCTGTGCCTTCGCCTGCCAAGGAGTCCTTGCTCGCGTCGCGCGTGTCGCCACCTGGGCCGCCGCCCCGTCCCCGCCGGCAGCTCCCTCGGTACCTCCCGTCTGGCCCTGGGGGGATGTGACCGGCGCAGCGACAGCCCGCCCCGCACAGAGGCAGATGATATGGCACACCCGGAGGACCCCATGGTCTCCCGCCCTCTGGCTGTCGGCCCTGTCCCAGGGGCACTGGGATACCCGGAAGGCTGTGAATCCTTCGTGATGCCGGGCCCTCTCGGGGATCTCAGATCATCCCCGGGGCCGCTGTGATGCACCCCCACCTGTGCGGCGACCCGCCAGGGAGCGCACTGACCTCCCCAAAGACTGTGGCCACCGCAGGCGCCTTGGACCCCCATGGGGGGACAGGGCGTCCCCTGCCTCCTGCAGCCCCACGAGGGCGGCGGCCTTGGCCCCTGCGGGCTGGGCGTCCGCGTCCGGGCGCCCCGCGGCGTCTGCTGCCGGGTCCCGTAACTTTCTTGGCCGCCTGTGTCCCCGTCTGCCGGCTCCGTCCGGCCGTCCCTCTCTCTGCCGCGTCTCTGACCCTCGGCGCCACAGCTCCTCAGCTCAGGGCCCGTCCCAGAACCTCCTTCCAGCCCTTCTCCCCCGACTCGGGAAGGGACGTCGTGCCCACGCGGTTCCGGATCCACGCGTGACCCGGCCGGACCGCGACTCCGACAGGCGGCTGTCCGGGCCCCCGATGCCCTCGGCAGGGCCGTGCCACCCCCCGCCCCCCTTGGCTTGTCCCCCCGGGACCGCACTGCCGTTGCCTCCTCTCCGCACGGGACCGGTTCCCGGCCGGCCCCAGCTTCCGCCGCTGCGGCCGCCGACCGTCAGCGCGCATGCCCAGAGCCGGGCAGGCCGGAGCCCCGCGGGCTCTCCGGGGTGGGCACAGGGCGACAGCTCGGCGGGGGCGGGGCCGAGCACGCGCGTGCGCAGAAAGGCCGGCGCGGCAGGCTGAGGAGAAAGCGGCGCGCGGAGGTGGGTGCGCTCGGGGCGTGCGGGGGGCGCGCGGCGGGGTGGCGGGTGGCGGGGCCGGGTCCCCGCTGTCACCGCGGTCGGCGCGTGCTGGGGGCGGGAGCGTGGGGGCCGGGCTGCGGGCCCCATTCGAGGCGGGGATCCCCGGCCACGCGCGGGTTGGGGGCTCCAGAGCCCGGCACCGCCCGGCGCTGCAGCTGCGGCTTGGCCTACGGGAGGGGGCGCAGGAGCGGGACCCCCTGGGCGCGAGGCCCGATCCCCGCCCGGTCGCTGGCCCGCGGCCCGGCCCAGGGCATGGTGTCGTCTGGAAGAGTGACTGTGTCACTGTTTCCTTGGGGCGCTTTCCGTCTCCGCAGGGTCGGAAATCCTCTTGGGGGCTCGGTGAGATTGCAACAGATTCTGATACGCCCTGCCCTGTGGACCTGCAGCGGCCCCGGGCCCCGCCCCGCCCCGCCCAGGGATGACACACGCCCCCACCGACCACCCGCTTGGGGGTCCGCCAGCCCCCGGCCCTGTCCAGTGGGGGGCCCCTCTGGGTGCGCCGTGCCAGGCGGCCGCTGTCCTTCGGGCCCTGGGAGGTGGAAGCCAGGGACTCCCAGCCCTGAGCCAGCACAGCGGAGGGGAGAGCCGGCCCCACCTGGGCTGGGCTGCACCTGTTCCCGCCCCCTCCAGGCGGGAGTCCCCGCGGCCTGGCCACAGGCCTTCTTTGATGGCCGTGCCCCGCAGGGAAACGCGCTGTGGCCCCCGGGTTACTGCTTGCGGGGGTGATATTAAAGGTCAAAGGTTGTCTAAAAGCCACCTGGGTGGTGTGGAGGTGCAGGTGGGCTGTTAGGTTGGTGGCTGTGGTTGTGAAGCCGATGTCACTGTCTTTACCCAGCAGCTTATTCCAGAAAGGGGGCGTCAGCCTGCCCTTCCAGTGCCGATAGAAGCACTAGCGGGTGATTTTTCCCTGTTTTGCTGTGTTTGCTCTGGAGTCACCAGGTGACTTCCAGGCAGTGTGCAGAAGGAACCGTCCCATTATTTGGCACGTGGGCCGTTTCCTCCACCCGAGGTCCAGGGCTCCGTCTTCACAGTCTGTCCTCAGCACACAGTAGGCACCTGTAGATGGCACACGTGGCGTTTCCTCCGCCCGAGGGCCAGGGCTCTGTCTTCAGCACACAGTAGGCACCTGTAAATGTTTGCTCAGTTGCGGCGAAGACAAGCAGTCAGGTTCTTTTCATTTTAAGGAACACACACTGGGAAAAAAAACCAATCCAGATTAGAGAAGATCAGAAAATCTTACGAAGATTTTACAGTTACTGTTCCTAGCCTGTGGCGTGACCCCTGCGTGCACCGCCTTTTATTCTGAGGGTTGATCCTCATCTAATCTGAACACTCAGATAGAGGCTTTACATGGAGGACTTATTGGGGAGTGCTTGCTCTACTTAGAAGCCTGTCTTTCCCTGTGAAGAGGGCGGGAGCCACGCTGTTCATCTTTGCTTCCCCACAGCCTGGCCAGGGCCGGACCAGAGGTTTTCTCTACATGATGGTTGAAGTGGATCAAGGTCCTTTTGTCGGAGTGATAGATGTCAACTATTGCAGTGGCTTTCCACTGGGTTGAGGGTGACCTTCCGAGATGCAGAAGTAATCTAGGCAAGGTTTTCATAACAACAATAAATTTGGCCACCCAGGGTCTGTGAAGTCACCTGTAGGGTAGCCTTACTAGCTCTCGCTGACCACACCTGCCAGGAGTGTCCAGCAGGCTCGAGTGACCTTGGGCATGCAGTGTTGCTCTTAATTATCTACAGATTGAGCCAAGCTCAGAAAACATATTAAATGTTTGCCTTTAGATGGTTTCTGGTTTAAAGTACATAAGGACAATGAAGCAGGTTACAAAAAAAGCACTTAACATTTACCCTGTTCAATGTTTTACCTGTCTGAGCATACCTTTTCTGTTATGACAACTCTGTAAATGGAAGAAAGAAGTCCTTTTCAACTCAAAGCAGCAATTTCAGTGGCTGTTTCAAACATTGCCTTTCAATTGGAGATAAAATCAAAGAAACAAAACCTCAGGCTTTTTACTGAGGACCAACTTGAATTCATTATTCAATGATTTTCTGTATCCTTTCAACATGTGTTTGTTAAGCGAGGTGCGGTGGCTCACGCCTGCAATCCCAACACTTTGGGAGGCTGAGGTGGAAGGATCGCATGAGCCCAGGAGTTCAAGACCACCTTGGGCAACATAGGGAGGTCTCGTCTCTATAAAAAATTAGCCAAGTATGGTGGCATGTGCCTGTGGTCCCAGCTACTTGGGAAGCTGAGGCAGAAGGATCACTTGAGCCTGGGAGCTCAAGACTGCAGTGAGCTGTGATTGTGCCACTGCACTCAAGCCAGGGCAACAGAGTGAGACCCTGTCTCTGAAAAACAAAACAATAAAAATGCATTTATTGAATTCACACTTCATAGGAGGCACCATGCCGTGTGTTCTGTGGATTTGGTGTTAAGACTTGGTCTCTGCCCTTGAGCTTATAGTGCAGTGAGGAGACAGGAGAATAAACACATGGTAGAAGCTCCCACAGAGGTGGACAGAGCCTTCTGTGGGCGCAAAGGCGTGGCATCCAGCTGGATTGTGGTGGGGGTGGGGCTCTGAGATGGACTTGAGCTTCATTTTGAAGGATGATCAGGACCGGCAAGAACAAGTGAGGGAAAGTGCCTTCCCCCGAAGGGACAGTGGATATAAAGTGACAGGCGTGGTTCCTGCCCACCAGCTCTTGGGAGAAGGGCAGTGGTGGCCCCAGGGTAGATGGGGTGAAGTGAGTGAGCTAGGCTGACAGCAGACTGGGAAAAGCCTTGAGTTCCACCTGGGAGTTTGAATTCACCCTGAGTGGCATGAAGCCTCTGAAGATCTTGGGTTTGTGAGTGACTTGATCAGAGGTGGCCAGGGAGGTGAAGAGGCCAAGGCCGGTTGAGGGACTGTCATGGCACACCCAGAGAGACATCAGCACAGAAAAGAGCAAGACTCAGCCAGGCCCGGGGGCTCACACCTGCAAGCCCAGCATTTTGGGAGGCCAAAGCGGGAGGAACACTTGAGCCCAGGAGTTGCAGGCTGCAGTGAGCTATGATTGTTCCACTGCACTCCACCCTGGTCAACTCTGTTTCAGAAGAAAAAAGAGAGCAAGACTCTGAGACAAGTGGTTGCAGGATGGGAAGAGCCAGGGAGGAAGGAGGGGATGTTCCAGTATTGAGCAGCGGGCAGTGCCACACCCCATGCAGAGTGTGGAGGGAGGGGGCGGGCTGGCACCGTGTGGAGATGGCGATGAGGTTACTGCGAGACTGGGCAGTAAGCATATGTGTTTTGGCCTGGAGCCAAGGAGAGTGTACTAGACGAGAGCATTTTGGGGATGCTGTGTGCCATCCAAGCTGGGGACTGGGTTGGGTCTTCCCAGGAGAATGTGCAGAGTGAGAAAAACGAGACGGAATCCTGAACCCTGTGGACTCCTAATACAGTCTTAAAGTCAGTAAGGTAACAGAAGGCCAGTCAGTAACCCGTTGCCTTTTGGGGGAATGGGGCAGGGTAGTGGGCTTTTTTCTTTTTTTTTTTGTTGAGACAGGGTCTCGCTCTTTCTCCTAGTCTGGAGTGCAGTGTCAGGATCAGTGGCTCACTGTAGCCTCGACCTTCTGGACTCAAGCGATCCCCTTGCCTCAGCTTCCCAAATAGCTGGGACGATAGACTTTTTTCTTTTTTTTTTTTTTTCGAGACAGGGTCTCATTCCCACTGCCGAGGCTAGAGTACAATGGAGGGATCATGAGATCATGGCTCACTGCAGCCTCGACCTCTCGGACTCAAGCAGTCTTCCCACCTTAGTCTCCTGAGTAGCTGGGACTATAGGCGCACACCACCATGCCTAGCTAATTTTTGCATTTTTTATAGAGACGGGGTCTCACTTTGTTGCCCAGGCTGGTCTCAAATTCCTGGACTCAAGCAGTTCTCCCACTTTGGCCTCCCAAAGGCTGGGATTACAGGCATGAGCTACGGTGCCTGGCCTGGCCTTTTAATTTGTCTCTTGGAGTGAAGGATGGAGTATGGGACGGGGGGGATGCCAGTGTCCTTGCAGTGGCCTTCCTGTCTCACGTGTCTATTTGCCTTTTGGGGAACCTCCAGCTTCAGTGTCGCTCTTCTCAAAGGACCTAGTTCACCTGCAGTCTGAGGGTTGCTCGTCTCAGACGTTCCCACAGGTAGGGCTCTGAGAAAAGCCTTCTCAGACCGAGAGACCCAAGGCTGCAGAGCCCTCAGGGGCACCTCACTCTCCTTCCAGGACCCTGTTTCTGTGTGGTCCATCAGCATTGGCAGCAGGTACAACTTTGGAAAAAGTCTGCTGAGAACAGAGGCCACGTGTGTGATGCGTCCCCCACCCCCTGAGTCCTCCACCTGAGGGGTGGAATGGATGAGGCCGGGGAAAGGCTGTGCTGCAGAAGCAGCCCCTATCTGCCCGTGGCCAGCACGTGGTCCCCCAGGGCTGGCTGAGCCTCTGGATAAGGCTTGAGCTGTTATCTACACCCTCCAACAGAACCTGCTCACAGGGGCGCAGGCTTCATGGCCTCCGAGGACTGTGCATATGCAGCCATGGCTTCCTGCAACCCTCCCCAGTGTGTTCCCTTCTTTTTTTCTTTTCTCTTTTTGTTAATTGTTTTTTTTTTCTTTTGAGATGGAGTTTTGCTCTTGTTGCCCAGGCTGGAGTGCAGTGGTGCAATCTTGGCTCACCACAACCTCCGCCTCCCGGGTTCAAGCGATTCTTCTGCCTCATCCTCCCTAGTAGTTGGGATTACAGGCGTGTGCCACCATGCCCAGTTAATTTTGTATTTTCAGTAGAGACGGGGTTTCACCATGTTGGCCTGGCTGCTCTCGAACTCCCGACCTCATGATCCGCCTGCCTCGGCCTCCTAAAGTGCTGAGATTACAGGTGTGAGCCACCGTGCCTGGTCGTTAATTGTTTTTTTTTAAGAGACTGGGTCTTGCTCTGTTGTCCAGGCTGGAGTGCGATGGTGCAGTCACGGCTCACTGCAGCCTCAACCTCCTGGGCTCAAGCCATCCTCCCACCTCGGCCTTCTGAGTGGCTGGGACTACAGGTTCTTGCCACCACACCTTCCTGATTTTTTATTTTTTTGTAGAGACAGTATCTTACTATGTTGCCCAGGCTGGTCTTGAACTCCTGGCTCAAGGGATCATTTCACCTCAACCTTCCAAAGTGCTGGGATTACAGGCATGAACCACTACACCGGCCTGTTCCCTTTTTCTTGCAGGTCATTGAGAACACACCACAGGGGACCTGGGAATCTACTGAGGATACAGATTTCCCACAATCCGAGACTGTGTGTCTGCCTGATTGTTACATAATTTTAATTGGGTGCCACACACCGAGAGAGGTTGTTTACTGGTGGGCCATTCGGTTTCCAGTAAAAGCCCTTCCACTCACTGTGGCATGGTAAATGGAGCTCATCACATGGTCCCTTCAGCCTTTCCTTGAATCATTTCCACCCCTTCCCTAATTACCCTCTGTGATCCCTTTCCCGGCAAGGGTCCTTCTAGCCTTGCTACCTTGGTAAACCTGTGGCCTTAGGATCGAGGTGTGGACATTAACTTTTCTGCTCTGGCGGCTTCCTGGGCTGTCCTCTCCATGTTCCCAGCACTCAGGGGCACTGTCCTTTCCTGGCAGCCTAGTAAATCCCAGGCCTCTGTTTTGGGCCCTTTGGCTTCTTGGTGCCTGTTATGCTGAAGCGTAGAAGTGTCTTAGTCAGAGCCCCAAAGGACACTCACCGGCCCACGTTCTCATGGAGCTGGGTAGCTCTGACCAGACTTGCCCTCTGGGGCCCTGTCCTTTGACCACGCTGTCTCTATCCCTTCTGAGGCTAAGGCTTCCTCACACTGCAAGATCCAGCCGAGGCAGGCCTTGGCGCTGGGAAAGCACCGTGTCACAGCACCTGCACCTTGAATTGGCATCGTCAGTACACCTGACCCGGGCTGGGGTGGGGCCATGCCTCTGTACTCCTCTGCACTCAGGTACCTGGCACACTGGCATTCGGGAAGCATGTCTTGAATGCCTATTAAAATGATTAGGACCGGGCGTGGTGGCTCACGCTTGTAATCCCAACACTTTGAGAAGGCAAGGTGGGAAGATTGCTTGAGGCCAGGAGTTTGAGACCAGCCTGGGCAGCATAGTGAGACTTTGTCTCTACCAGACATAAAAAGTAAATAAAAATAAAATGATTAAACATGCACAACTCCACCTCGAGCTGGATCTCTCCTTAGGTCTAAAGACACTTGCTGAGAACCTGATGTGTGCCTGGCCTTCCAAGGCACACCTGTCACTGGCTTGGAACTCAGACCAATCAAAATGCCTGTGCTGCTGACAGCTGAGCTCTCTTCCTCTGGTTCTCCTCCTGTGTCCTGGGGGTGTTTTTCCAGACCTGCTGTGGGGAGAACCTTTGGGCTCAGATGATAAAGATCCTGAATTAGCAGAGTCCTGTGCCAGCTCCAGCCCCTGCCTTTGGGTGGACCGGACTAGGCTGGGGAAAGAAAGATGTCTGGCTATGAAAGGGTGGCTGGCCAAGGTTGAGGCTCAGCCTGCCCCTGCTCAGGCTCCGAGCAGCAGGCTCAGCAGCCACAGTTAGGCACGTTTGCACTTCCAACCATCACAGGCAGGCGGGCCAACCGGCCCATGGTGTGGTGACTAACACCTCATTAATGGTCATACCCCTTCTGTACCTGGCATGTGCCCTCCATTGTGTGCCTCCGGCAAAGAGCCCACTATCAAGTTCCCCAGTCAGCAGCTACTTGGTAGTCACTGTGGCATGTCGGTCACCATTAATATTTGAAAGATGCCTGTGCTCTGCTTCAGGCTGAGGCAGGCACCCCTTACCTTCCTGTTATGTGAAGATGCCTGCAGGAAAGGTCACACCTAGGGTGGGTGGACTAGTAATGCTCCCTGTTGTTATTTGGCCTTCAAAATTAAATTTGTCTTGGGCCCAAGTGGTTTGCGATTTCTCTGAGTCTCTGCCTGTTTTCTTCTCTGTTCCCTCCTTCCCAGGGTACACTGGACATAGTGTGAGACGCTTGGGTGCAGAAGTCACGGTGTGGTAGCAGGGCTGGGTGGATAAGCCAGCACCACGATGGTGGGTGTGCTGGGCAAGGGTGAGGACAGATGTGGACAGGAGGCGTGGAGCTCTGTGACGCCTTGGCCCTGCCCCAGAGGTCCCATGGAGGCCTGTGAAGGAGGGGCGATTGGACTGAGCAGAAAGCGAAAGGGGACAGGTGTCTCCTGCCACTCTGAACAGTGACATTCCCACAGTGTAGTGTGGGGACTGCAGTTGGCACTGTGTGGCCAGGGCTCCGGAAGCTGTTGTCCGAGGGGCAGGGAGGGGCTGGGTCCTGAAGGGCGGGGGACACCAGGAGAGGGTTTCGGGTGGAGAACGGTGACCGGGTGAAGCCCTGAGTGGGCAGGAGGCTGGGAGTGGGAGCTGAATTGCGCTGGAGTCACATGGAGTGTGAATGTTGTGACTGTACCGGAGACACCTGGGAAGCAGCTGGAGGGACAGGTCTGGACCTCAAAGAAGGATTCTAGGCTCAGGAGAGGGTGGGCTCCATTGGAGAGACAGGCACGGGCGGTGGAGGAGCAGCCGCGGAGAGGTGAGGGGATGCCTGGCAGGGAGGCAGGCGGGATGAGGCCCAAGGCAGCTGGGAGATCTGGCGGCCAGCGCGGCCAGCGGCGGGAGGGCCGGAAGCTGGGTGTCATCTGCTCTTGCCAGCCACTTGGCTCAGAAGGAAAACGGAGAAGAGGTGGAGCTGGAGTGGAGCCTCAGGCCCTGTGGTTTGCTGTGTTTGGGGCCTGCTGTCACAGCACTGGGAGCCTTGGAGAGAGATGGGGAGCTGGGATCCCCAGGAGGTGAGAGCCAGGACTGAGGGGGGGCCTTGGTCTGTGGTGGGAATGCAGAGAGCTGGGAAGCTCACGCCTGACAAGCCCCCTTTCTTGGGGTAGAGTGGGTGGGACGGGGCAGCTGTGAGCTGGAGAGGAGAGGGTGTCGGTGAGGAGTGCTGCGAAGGATGCCAGGTGGCACCGGGGGCTGGGCCACTGGAAACCGCTGAGCAGGCGGCAGGACTTCTCCCTCTCCCCTCGGCCGTTCTCGTGCCTCGGGCTCACTTCCTCGTGCAGTTTATCCATATGGCTGAGACAGGAGCGTGGGGTTGGCGGGCGGGAGTTGGGGCTTGGCAAGACGGTCCAGGCTGAGCTGGCAAGAGAGAAAAGCCAGAGTGGCTGGTGGATGCGGGGAGTCACAGCTCCGAGTGGGAGGAGGGCGCTGAGGGCTCTAGGAGAGGGTATGGGCAGGTGTATGAATGTGCAGCCTCTGGAGTGGGTAGAGTGGTTTTCTGGAATGCCCGGGGACTGGATAAAAAGGTAGAGATGTAAAGGCTTTTAAAGTTCTAGAGGCCACGGAGCTTTCCAGCCAGGACGGTGAACTTGGCCCTCAAGGGAGGGCAGCACAGAGAGGAAGGCCCTGAGCTGGAGAGAGAGGAGGCGGGTGGTGATGGGGAGAGCCCGGCTGCTGCTCGGCCCAGAGGAGGAAGGGTACGTTCGGGAGAGGATGAAGACTTGGGAGTGGTGTGTTTGCTGTAGACAATTTCCAGAGCAAGAAGGCAGGCTGGGAGCAGGGGCCGGGGGTAAAAGGCAGATAGCAAGGTAAGGAGGTGTGGGGGAAGACCAGCGGCTGTGCTCACCGTGGTTAGTGACACTGTCACCATCCAGCCCCGGTCAGACATGGTCCTATAGCTGAGGGTCTCACCAGGCAGTGGGGGCACAGGTCAGGGGAATGGGATCGCCAGAGGAGCATTCTCAAAATGTGCCTGTGCAGGCATCTCCCACCCCTGACATTCTGCATGGGAGGACCAGGGGGTGGCCACCCTACATGCAGCAGACCCCTGGTGGTCATTCTCCTCTCAGCCTCCCGTCCTCCCCTCCCCACCTCACCACCCCCAGTGGATGTTTCTGATGGCTGTGGCCTCTGCACATGCCCTCCAGGCTGCCACACCACAGATCTTTCTGGAATAAAAGCTTGATCTCACCTCTCCACCCCAGTACTCTGGTGGTGCCCTGTCACTATCGGGATGGAGTGGTGAGCAGGCCTTGTTACCCAGTTCCCCACCCCCACTGCTTAGAGCAAGTCTTGTATTTCCCTGCTGCTGAGTGCAGATCCTCCCCCTGCCACCCCAACGCCCAGTCTGCCCTGCCAACCCCAGCACGCTGTAACCGCCTTCTAGAAGGGCTTCCGGAACCCATCCAGCTCCCTGGGGCATGCGACCACCCCGGGGCCTCTCTGCTTCTACACATGTCTACAAAGCCACTTTCTGACCTCACTGTCAGGTGACCGATTTCTCTCTCAGCTCTTCCTAGCTCAGTGCCAGGCACCTAGGAGGCACTCAGGAGAAGGTTCCAGAAAGAACGGGTACACCTGAGTGCACAGACAAGTCCAGTGGCTCTCTTCCGTCGTGGTCCACTGTGCCAGCTCCATTGTTCCAGGGCTGAGGCCTAGGGCGGTGGGGCTATATGGCAGGAGGAGTGTCTGCACTTTGGGCCTCTGCCTGGGATTTATTTGTGTCTCTGAGGCATCCAGCAGACTCTTGGAGGACAGGATGAGGTGTTCCCTGGCCTTTCCCAGCACGTAGGTGGGAGGCCTGGGCCCCTCATGAAGAAATCAGACTTGGCGTGGACTTGCAAGGAAGGTCCCCCAGCCGGAGGAGGCGTCATCCCCTCCCTGGGGCTGAATGCTGGGGCCACCTCTCCCCTCATGCCTGCCATCCACACCCCGCTCCAGGTCTGCTTTTAGGCCCCAGTCCCTGCCCCATCTAGTGTGTTCTTCCAGCCTCCCTCCACCTACTCTCCCAGCACCTCTGTGATGTTGTGAAATATCTATTTGGTCTTTGTCCTTGTTTAGTGACATACAACTCCTGAAATCCTCAGAATCTCCGTGGTGCTCTTTCTGTGCGCTGGTGTTGACTGATAGCTTCCGGGTGGCGCTGGTCACTGGAAAGACCAAGGCAGGATTAGCGGGTTAGAACTTTCAGCCCCACCCCCAACCGCGGGGAGGGGAGAGGTCCAGAGGTGGAAGGTCAAGTTGATTGCCAGTGGGGTAATCAGTTATGCCTACTTAACAAGGGCTCCATGTCAACCCTAGAAGACAGGACTTGGAGAGCTTCTGGACAGCTGAATAGGAGGGAGTGCCTGGAGGGCAGCACCGTGTCCCTCTCCCGTACCTCACCCTAAAGGTCTCTTCATCTGTGTCCTTTGTAACAACCTTTATAATAAACTAGTGAATGTAAGTGTTTCCCTGAGTTCTGTGAGCTGCTCCAGCAAATTCATTGAACCCAAAGCAGGGGTTGTGGGAACCCCAACTTGAAGTTGGTTGCTGAGAAGTTCCAGAGGCCTGGACTTCTGACTGGTGTCTGGAGACGTGGGGGGCTTGTGGGATCTGAGCTATCTCCAGGTAGATGTCTCCCGGTGTCGGGATTGAATTGGAGGACACCCTGCGGGCGCCCGCTGCAGAATGGATTGCTTGCTGCCGGGAGAAACCCCCGCATCTTCTGGGTCGCAGATCCTGTGCCGATTGCGGTGCTGGCGTCAGAGCAGAGGAAAACGTGGTATGAGAGTTTTTCCAAAGAGTCCAGACACGCTTCCAGGCCCTCTCAGCCACCCCCACACCGTCCCTACCATTCCCACCTGGCCCGCTGCTGCCTGTGCCCCAGGGTTTCCGGGCACTCCGAGCTTCCCTGGCAGGCAACAAAGCTCTCATCCCTGGATCTTGCGGATCTCGCGCCCGGGCTGGAATGCCTGTGCTGCCCTCCCCTGCCTGGCGGGTGGGGTCGGTGCTCAGGAGCGGGTGGGGCCTGCCGGTCTCCCTAGCCCACCACCAGGTTTCCTCTGTATCCCCGCAGCACTTGGCAAGGTCCAGGGGCTTCCGTGGGGAGCGAGATTGTTTTGGATCCCGCCAGGGGAGCCCACTGAGAGGAGCCTGCATCTCCTATCACGTGAAGCCCGCAGGGGCCACAGCACCTCCTTCCTGTGGTCCCTAGCTGCGGGCGTTGGCGTTCCCCACCCATGGGGCCCGGCCTCATTTCCTCTTCCTCTTCATTCCCGGTCCCACTCCCAGGAAATGGTGAGGGATTGCTCAGACCAGATGGGAAGAAGTGAGACGAGCGGCAGCTGACGCCCATGCCCTGTTCTGTGGCCCGTGACTGAGGTCCAGCCACACAGAACCCCGCGTCCTTGATAGCTTGTCAGCTGCTGGGACGGGGGCTGTTCTTGTGGCCAGGATGTGTGTGGTGGTCAGGCCAGGGCAGGATGGGGCCCAGGCCTGCAACCCCAGCTCTTCAACCTGGAGTCCTAGCGAACACTGACCTACGTTGGGACAGGGCTGCCTCTTGCCCAGGGGGCTGCAGTTGGCCCCTTGGTGGCATCTGGGAGTGTGTGGGAGTGCCTTCTGTGCTGTGGGCCTCATCCCCAGGGCTCTACCTCCAGCCTGAGCTGCTCTGGCATTTGCCTAAGAAGCATCTGTATCGAAACTGGCTTTGAAAACTTCACAGTGGAGCTTCCCTGGGCTGGAATTCTCTGTTTGTCGCTCGCCCCCGCCTCCAGCATCCCCAAGTGGCCTGGGCTCTGACTGCCACTGTCAGGCCACGGTCCTGTGGGATCCAACCCTGAGCCATCTCTGGGGGTCCCCTCATCTTCTCCACCCTCCCGGTCTAGACTCTGCCTTCCTTTCTCCCTGGCTTCTCTGTCCCAACCCTTCCTCCTCCAGGGCCACCAGGGGGATTTTTGTAAACGCAGATCTGATCGGGTCACCTGCCTAGACTTTCCTCCTACCCCGTGTGGGGACACCCGCCTCTTAGCGCATCCCAGCCCCTCAGCACTGCCAGGGCCGCCCAGCTCGCCTTCGCCCACTCTTGCCTCCACATCTGAGGGGCACCGTCCCCACCCACAGGCTGCCTCCACACCTTTCCGCCCCTTCCACAGCAGCAGGCACAGCCCTGCCCGTGGGGTTCCCCTAGCACTTCCCCAGCTGCCGTGGTTGACAGCCTTCTCTCAAGCCGCCTCTCCCTGGCACAGAGGCGGCACCTCAGTGGAGGTCTGTCATGTGACTAACTGCAGGACGAGGGAGCCGCGGTCGTATGCTGCCTCCTCACGTTTGCTGTGACCTGGGACAGGAGCGGTCCCCAGGAAGGGAGGCACGGTGTCGGGGTTGGTGTTGGCCGTGTTAAAATGTCATCAATGAGGCTAAATGTGTGTTCTGTCTTTGTACATGAAAGAGAGTTTGTTTTCAAATCCGGTTGTTTGGGAAAATCACATTCCCCTCTGAAGAAGCGAGACGTGCAGAGGCCTCGTGACTCAGGCTGTCAGGCCTGGAGTTTGGTGCTGGAGTTTTGTGCTGGAGTTTGGTGTTGGAGTTTGGTGTTGGAGTTTGGTGCTGGAGTTTGGTGCTGGAGTTTGGTGCTGGAGTTTGGTGCTGGAGTTTGGTGTTGGAGTTTGGTGTTTGGGGATGGCAGGTGGTGTTACTAGTGGCAGCCTTGCCGGGGTGGCCTGTGTCTCCAGGACTCGTGGGAGGGCCCTGGTACTAGAAGTGGCCGAGTGCCCTGAAGTCCCAGACCTGCGTGGGTCCTGCCTGTGCTCAGGGACCCTCTGGAGCCTCTCTCGGAGGTCCTCGCTGTCCCAGGATGAAGGGAGATGGAGCAGCAACAGCAGCCAGCAGCTGTGGGGTTGTGTTCCGCCCCGAGGCTGGGGTGAGCTGCTTGTCTGCTGGAGCGAAGGGGCCAGCTGCCCCGCTGGGGCCCCTCCTGCCCCGTTCTCCAGTGAGGATCTACTTCCTCCCACATCCATGCTACCTCCCACCTGCCTCCTGGCTAGAAATTAGCTCAGGGTGCCACACTCTTGACAGACGGCCCGCCTCCCAGCCCTGGCCGCCTTCCTCTTCCTGTGGGCGCCTTCAGGGGGTTTGCTGCCAGGGACGGATTTGGGGGTTTCTTGGAGCTCCCATGGAGTGAGGACATAGGCTGCTGTTGGGTGTTCCTGGCTGAACACTGGTCAACTGGCAGGAACTGCCCTCCCTGGGAAGGCTGCTGGGGCTGTGGCGGGGTGGGGGTCTGCAAGCCTGTAGCCATTTAAAGGGCCCCTCCTCACATGTGGTAGAGCCAGAACTGTGCCCTGTGGCCAGAGGGCACGGTGGTCACATGCGTCAGATGACATATCAAGATAACATTTTGGGGAAATAGAAATCGCTTATACTCATTACTCATTCGCACATAGCTTTTTTTTTTTTTTTTTTTTTTTTTTTTGTGGGATGGAGTCTCGCTCTGTCGCCAGGCTGGAGTGCAGTGTGCAGTGGTGCAATCTCGGCTCACTGGAAGCTCTGCCTCCCGGGTTCACACTACTCTCCTGCCTTAGCCTCCTGAGTAGGTGGGACTACAGGCGCCCGCCACCACACCTAGCTAATTTTTGGATTTAGTAGAAATGGGGTTTCACCATGTTAGCCAGGATTACAGGTGTGAGCCACCGCACCTGGCTGCTTTTTTTTTTTTTTTTTGAAATATTTGGCCGGGCGCGGTGGCTCACGCCTGTAATCCCAGCACTTTGGGAGGCCGAGGCGGGTGGATCACGAGGTCAGGAGATCGAGACCATCCTGGCTAACACGGTGAAACCCCGTCTCTACTAAAAATACAAAAAAAAAAAAAAAATTAGCTGAGCGTGGTGGCGCGTGCCTGTAGTCCCAGCTACTTGGGAGGCTGAGGCAGAAGAATCACTTGAACCCGGGAGGCAGAGGTTGCAGTGTGCCGAGATCGTGCCACTGTATTCCAGCTTGGGTGACAGAGTGAGACTCCTTCTCAAAAAAAAAAAAAAACAAGAAAGAAATATTTGCTTTGGAGCAGGAACAGAGTGAGACCCTGTCTCAAAATGAATGAATGAGGCATGGCCCAATGGCTCACGCCTGTAATCCCAGCACTTTGGGAGGCTGAGGCGGGCGGATCACGAGGTCAGGAGTTCGAGATCAGCCTGGCCAACATGGTGAAATCCCATCTCTACTAAAAATACAAAAAAATTAGCCGGGCGTGGTGGTGGGCGTCTGTAGTCCCAGCTACTCGGGAGGCTGAGGCAGGAGAATGGTGTGAACCCGGTAGGCGGAGTTTGCAGGGAGCCGAGATCGCGCCACTGCACTCCAGCTTGGGCGACAGAGCCAGACTCTGTCTCAAAAAATAAATAAATAATAAATAAATAAATAAACGAGCGAACAAATGAATACAAACATTTGCTTCTGATCTGCAGGTACCTTGAGCTCTCAAACAGGCGTGGCGTTTATGAGGAAAGGCCATGTAGGTCCCTGGAGAGGCTTCCCGGGTGAGAAAGAAGCCGCACTGGGTATGGAGGGCAGCTTGGCTGTGGAGAGAGGCATTAGGAGGGGACGGTGGCCTGTGAGAGAGCTGCCCCTGGCCCGTGCAGTTGCACCTCCCTCTGCAGGACCGGCTGCGTGTTGACCCGCTGGGACCGTGATGTCCCAGGCATTCTAGAACACCTTTCTAGCACCTGGCCTGGGACCCTGTAAGGATGAGAGCATCCTCAGGCAGCTGAGCGGTCCTGGCCGGCCGGGCTGGGCTGAGTGCTTTCTATCAACAGGCTCAGTAAATCCCGCAACAGAACAGGGACTAGAGCCCATCCCTTGCCAGTTTCCCACTGCGCTTGGAATATAATCCACGGGGGCTTGTGGGTGTGTCCGTGCTGCCCTCTGCGCCCTGTAGCGCAGCCAGCCTGTTCCTCCCTCAGCCTTTGCACCTACTCTGCTGGTGTCTGGAGCGCTTCATCCTCAGCAATCCCGGCTGCTTCTTTCTCACTCCTCTGGCTCAATGTCATCTCCTGGGAGAGGTGTGCCCTGAGGATCCTCAGTAAAGTAGCTGTCACCCTCCAGACCCACGGTGTGGACCCCCACCATCTGAAACTGTCTGTGTCTGTAATTCTTGTGAGTCTCGTGGGTGTCAGGTGGAATTTTTCCTATTTTCCTGGAATTGCAGGCTGGGCCCAAGGCTGAGGACCAAAGACAGGAGGAGTGCTTCTCTGCTCCACACTCAGGGAGCTGCTGGCAGCTGGGCTGACAGGTGCCACCTCGGAGAACCAGCGCCACCTCACTCCGTGCCTCTGCAGGGAACTGGAGCCTGGTGGGGAAGCACACTTTAGGTGAAGGCAGTGCAGTGTTCATGGCGAGCAGCGATTCGCTCGGACCCCAGAGGCCACAGGAAGATGGCTTCCCCCACAGGAGGCACCCTCACAGGGCCCTGCTGGCACTGTCTGCCTTGGGCTGCCTGAACCCGGAGAGAGAGTGGGATAGACTGTTCATGGGGTGTCACCCTTATGTCACCTGCACCCCACCCTGTCAGTCCAGAGTGAGGCTCAACCCACAGGGGTTGCTTGGGAACTGTTGCCCGTGAGGAGTTGGGTGTTATTATCGGCTCCGCTCTGCAGACATGGCAACCGCAGGTTAGGGAAGATGCACGGCTTGTCCGCATTTCAAGCAAACAAGTGGCAGAGCTGGACTTTGTGGCCAGGCCTGTCTAACTGCAAAGCTGCCCCGTTTCCACAGTAGCCCCTGCCTCCCCTCTCACTCCCTCCCCGGCCACCGCCTCCGGCTCTGCACCTTTGTCAGGGGTTGGGGGACTGCAGGGAACAGAGGAGGCCTTGTTTGCTGCGTAGGAGCAGGTGCGGCTTATGATGTACAGCAGCAGCCAGCCAGCAGATAGACAACAGGGAAAGCCACTCGGCCGTGAAAGCTCACCTCCAGAGTGTGGGCACTCAAGCCCATAAGTGCTCCAGCCTGGGATAGTTTATGTTTTTGATCAGTTTCCACCTCCCCTTACCTCCTCATCTCAGTTGCCAGTTTAAAGAAAACCTCACTCAGTTGTGAATGCAAGAAAAAGGTTTGGCAGGATATATACCAAAATGTGAATAGCGATTATCTGTATGTGGAAGGGGAGTAGGATTAGAGAGGTAATTTAAACAGAACTCTACATTTTTACTCCCTAATTTTGGTACTATTTGACTTTTTGTGATTTTTGCATTCAAATATCACCAGCGTAATGAAAGACTTTTTTTTTAACCTAAGGAAACCAATCTGGACCTCGTTTTTATTTATGTATTTATTTTTTATTTTTGTTTTCATTTTATTTTTTTTTTCAGACAGGGTCTTGCTCTGTCACCCAGGCTGGATGGAGTTCAGTGGTACAATCAGGTCCCACTGCAGCCTTGACCTCCTGGGCTCTGGTGATCCTCCCACCTTAACCTCCTGAGTAGCTGGGACTACAGGTATGCGCCACCACGCCTGGCTAATTTTTTTTTTTTTTTTTGAGATGGAGTCTCACTCTGTCGTCCAGTCTAGAGTGCAGTGGCTCCATCTTGGCTCACTGCAACCTCTGCCTGCCGGGTTCAAGCGATTCTCCTGCCTCAGCCTCCCACGTAGCTGGGACTACAGGCATGTGCCACCACACCCAGCTAATTTTTTGTATTTTTAGTAGAGACGGGGTTTTACCTGCTGGCCAGGCTGGTCTCAAACTCCTAACCCTGTGATCCACCTGCCTCGGCCTCCCAAAGTGCTGGGATTACAGGCATGAGCCACCGTGCTTGGCCCGCCTGGCTAATTTTGGTATTTTTTTGTAGAGATGGGGTTTTGCCATGTTGTGTGGGCTAGTCTTGAACTCCTGGGCTTGGCGTCCAAAGGTCGTCCCCGTTCAGCCTCCCAAATAGCTGGGATTACAGGTGCATGCCACCAGGCCTGGCCATTTTTTTTTATTTTTGGTAGAGATGAGGTCTCATTATGTTGCCCAGGCTGGTCTTGAACTCCTGGGCTGAAGTGATCCTCCTGCCTGAGCCTCCCAAAGTGCTGGGATTACAGATGTGAGCCCCTTTGCTGGCCTGGACCTGGTTTTTATAGATGCCTTAAGTGGGTTGTTGCCTTGTGTGCACAGCCCCAGAAATGTCGTGCGCTCTTTTTGAGTGAGGGTTTGGGGAACAAGAAAGAATCCAAGGGCTCCCTCGGGTCTTTTGCACACATCCTTGGCTCGGGGGTCCCTGTGAGTCCAGCACGTCGCCGGACCATTCGCGGCAGTAAACACAACTTGGGATCTGCATCTCCCTAAGGGAACTTCGCAAGGTGCACCCACAGCTTTTACTGTTTCCAGTTTAATATTCAACCTGAATCTGGGGCCAGCCGAGTGGAGGCTGGTGCTGCTCTGCCCAGCTCCTGTTCTGTTTAGAAACATGTTTATTGCCTTAAGAAGGAGCCAGTTCTTTCACCCAAACAGGATGGGCCTGGAGTTCCTCCAGAGGCTAGTGGGCCCATAGCAGGGAAGGAGGGATGTAAGCTGTGGATAACCGACCGACACGTGTAAGATTGTGCAGTGTGACCCAGGCGTGGCTGTGCGCATGTGAGTGGACCTGTCGGCCTGACCTTCAGGACCAGGGAAAGGGGGAGCCCTCACTGCCTTCCCTCCCAGGACGAAGCAAACCAATCAATGGTCTTAAGGGTTTCTTTTCTTCTGAGGCCTAGTCCTGCTGTGGGCAAGGTTTTTCCAGTGGGATACATTAAAATCAACTTCGGTGGCTCACGCTTCTAATCTCAGCACTTTGGGAGGCTGAGGCGGGCGGATCACCTGAGGTCGGGAGTTCGAGACCAGCCTGACCAACATGGACAATCCCTGTCTCTACTAAAAATACAAAATTAGCCGGGCGTGGTGGCACATGCCTGTAATCCCAGCTACTTGGGAGGCTGAGGCAGGGGAATCGCTTGAACCCAGGGAGGCGGAGGTTGCAGTGAGCTGAGATTACGCCACTGCACTCCAGCCTGGACGACAGTGCGGCACTCTGTCTCAAAAAAATAAATAAATAAAAAATGGCTAAAATGGTAAATTTTTTGTTTGTTTGTTTGTTTGTTTGAGACAGAGTCTTGCTCTGTCGCCTGGGCTGGAGTGCAGTGGCACAATCTCGGCTCACTGCAATCTCCGCCTCCCAGGTTCACGTCATTCTCCTGCCTCAGCCTCCCGAGTAGCTGGTACTACAGGCTCCCGCAACCACGCCCGGCTAGTTTTTTTGTATTTTTAGTAGAGACAGGGTTTCACTGTGTTAGCCAGGATGGTCTCGATCTCCTGACCTCGTGATCCACCCGCCTCGGCCTCCCAAAGTGCTGGGATTACAGGCGTGAGCCACCGCGTCCGGCCTAACATGGTAAATTTTATGCTATGTGTATTTTACCACACACACAAAAACACGTGTCGAGGTGTTTTCCCAAGACAGTGTCTCGCAGACGTACGTTTTACACTATGATTTTTACTTTTCAAGAACTGTTTTAAAGCAGTATTTGCCTTATAATAGGTAGGTGAATGTTCTAGCTGCAAGAGAAACCGGAGTGGTCTGGTCACTCAACCAAAACCTGCTGAAGCAGACCCCTGGGGCACACTGGGAACTTCTACCATCCCAGGTGGAAAGGTTAGTCTGATGTGCGTAAGCAAACCTTGCACTTCTGTGCGCAGGACGGTATCCTTGGGCCAGGGCAGCCACCTGTTGTCCAGAATCCCACAGGGCACGTCTTACCCACTCCTTTTATGTTTGCCTGAGCCCAGGGGTTGCTGTTCTTGGAGAAACACCAACCACCCCCACTTGACTTCTGGCCCATTCGGATCCAGAAATGTGCAGTTTTAAAGCTGCAGCACCTTCCATTTAGGTCCCAGCTCTCCCTCTGGAAAATGCCTGCTCCTCACCAGAGATTCCTCCCTGGAGCACCTGCCTGAAGCATAGCTTTCAAGCTGGTGGTTTTAGAAAGTTAAGAGCCGGCTTCAGAATTCCGACAGGGTGGGATAGCATAGGCTGTGACTTTCTTAGCACACACAGCTGGTTAAAGAGAACTGGGAACGGGCTGGGCGTGGTGGCTCACGCCTGTAATCCCAACACTTTGGGAGGCCGAGGTGGGTGGATCACGAGATCAGGAGTTCGAGACCAGCCTGGCCAACATGGTGAAACCCCATCTCTACTAAAAATACAAAAACTGGCTGGGTGTGGTGGCGGGTGCCTGTAGTCCCAGCTACTCAGGAGGCTGAGGCAGGAGAATCACTTGAGCCCGGGAGGCGGAAGTTGCAGTGAGCCGAGATTACGCCACTGCACTCCAGCCCGTGCGACAGTGCAAGACTCTGTCTCAAAAAAAAAAAAAAAGGGAGAACTAGAACGAAGCATCTCTTTGCTCAAAGTGATCTTCTCAACTGGGGGTTCCTTTTCAGAAGGCCCCCAGGGTGCAGGGTGGTGTTTAGGAGCCTGGAGTGGACCATGCTCGAGTGGAAAGGTGTTTTCAGCAGGGTCAGCCTCTTTTTTTGGTAGAGATGGGGTCTCACCATGTTGCCCAGGCTGGTCTTGAACTCCTGGCCTCAACTAGTCCTCCCACCTTGGCCTCCTGAGTAGCTGAGATTATAGATATGAGCCACTGTGCCCAGCCAAGGGCCAAGCTCTTGAAGCCCTTCTGGGAACTCTATCTCTAGCCTCTCATTACTCAGAATCTGTGTGATGTATTCCAGTAACTTCATAAGTTCTGTGAAAAGAAGGTATACTCCAAAGTTTGTAACGGCTTCTCAAAAGTCACTTATCTTAAGTGGAAGCCCTTCTAATACTTACACAAAGATTAAGGCAAATAATGTGGCTGCGCAACGTGACTCTCACTCGTAATTCCAGCATGGTGGGAAGATCACTTGAGGCCTGCGGTTCAAGGCCAACCTGGGTGACAGAACAAGACCCCATCACACACACACACACACACACACACACACACAAAATAAATAATAATAATAATAATAAACAAAAAAACAGGCCAGGAGCACTGGCTCACACTTGTAATCCCAGCACTTTGGGAGGCTGTGGTGGGTGGATTGCTTGAGATCAGGAGTTTAAGACCAGTCTGGGTAACATGGCAAAATCTCGTCTCTACTAAAAAGAGAAAAAATTAGCTGGGCGTGGTGGCGCCTAACTGTAGTCTCAGCTATAGCTGAGGTGGGAGGATCACCTGAGCCCAGGAGGCAGAAGTTGCAGTGTGCCGAGATGGTGCCATTGCACTCTAGCCTGGATGTCAGCACAAGACCTTGTCTCAAACAAAACAAAACAAGGCCGGGCACAGTGGCTCATGCCTGTAATCCCAACATTTTGGGAGGCCAAGACAGGAGGATTGCTTGAGCCCAGGAGTTCAAGACCAGCCTGGAGAGCATAGCGAGACCCTGTCTCTACAAAAAAATAAAAAATTAGGCCAGGGCGGTGGCTCTCGTCTGTAATCCCACACTTTGGGAGGCCAAGGCAGGCACATCACAAGGTCAGGAGTTTGAGACCAGCCTGACCAACATGGTGAAACCCTGTCTCTAGTAAAAATACAAAAAATTAGCCAGGCATGGTGGTGCATGCCTTTAGTCCCAGCTACTCAGAAGGCTGAGTCTGGAGAATCGCTTGAACCAGGGGCGAGGAGGTTGCCGTGAGTGGAGATCGTGACACTGTACTCCAGCCTGGGCGACAGGGTGAGACTCCATCTCAAAAAAAAAAATTAACTGGGCATGGTGGTGGACACCTGTCGTCCCAGCTACTCAGGAGGCTGAGGCAGGAAGATGGTTCAAGCCATTCAAGGCTGCAGAGAGCAGGGTCACGCCACTGCACCGCACTCCAACCTGGGCAACAGAGCGAGACCCTGTCTCAAAAGAAAAGAAAACTACACCACATTTGAAAAAATACGTTCTTTAAAATGTGAACCTTGAAACACAGATGCTAAAAGTGTTTTTTTAATCCTGCAGGGTGTGAGATGGCAGACAGGTTTGCAGGAAACCCTCAGAAAGGGGGCTGGAGGATTTAGCCACTCTGTCCTCCCCTTCCGGCAGTCCAGGGCCTCCTCCCGAGCACAGCGGCGCTATGGACTCTCCAGGATACAACTGCTTCGTGGACAAAGACAAGATGGACGCTGCCATCCAGGACCTGGGGCCCAAGGAGCTGAGCTGCACTGAACTGCAGGAACTGAAGCAGCTGGCGCGCCAGGGCTACTGGGCCCAAAGCCACGCCCTGCGGGGAAAGGTGTACCAGCGCCTGATCCGGGACATTCCCTGCCGCACGGTCACGCCTGACGCCAGCGTGTACAGCGACATCGTGGGCAAGATCGTGGGCAAGCACAGCAGCAGCTGCCTGCCGCTGCCCGAGTTCGTGGACAACACGCAGGTGCCCAGCTACTGCCTGAATGCACGCGGCGAGGGGGCCGTGCGCAAGATCCTCCTGTGCCTGGCCAACCAGTTCCCCGACATCTCCTTCTGCCCCGCCCTGCCGGCCGTGGTGGCCCTGCTGCTGCACTACAGCATCGACGAGGCCGAGTGCTTCGAGAAGGCCTGCCGCATCCTGGCCTGCAATGACCCCGGCAGGAGGCTGATCGACCAGAGCTTCCTGGCCTTTGAGTCGTCCTGCATGACGTTTGGGGACCTGGTGAACAAGTACTGCCAGGCGGCCCACAAGCTGATGGTGGCCGTGTCGGAGGATGTCCTGCAGGTCTATGCGGACTGGCAGCGCTGGCTGTTTGGGGAGCTGCCCCTCTGCTACTTCGCCCGGGTCTTTGACGTCTTCCTGGTGGAGGGCTACAAGGTGCTGTACCGCGTGGCGCTGGCCATCCTCAAGTTCTTCCACAAGGTGAGGGCCGGGCAGCCGCTGGAGTCGGACAGCGTGAAGCAGGACATCCGCACGTTCGTCAGAGACATCGCGAAGACGGTGTCCCCTGAGAAGCTGCTGGAGAAAGCGTTCGCCATCCGCCTCTTCTCCCGCAAGGAGATCCAGCTCCTGCAGATGGCCAATGAGAAAGCCCTGAAGCAGAAGGGCATCACCGTGAAGCAGAAGAGGTAGGTCGCCGGCAGCCTGTGAGGGGTACACCCAGGGTCGGGGGCTGGGGCAGGACGTGTCTGGCGTGAGCTCATCCTGCCGGCCTCCAGGCGGCCTCTGCCCATGGTCCACCCAGCCATCTGTGCATGGCTGAAAAGACACTGAAACAGGAAGGGCCTTCCCAGTTACAGCCACAGACGAGGGACATCGGGTCCTATCCTCTGGGGCCAGGCCCACGGCTGAGATGAAAGCTGATGCTGGCCATGGGGTCGCAAGGCATCGTGGGAGGCCAGGCCCACTCCCAGGGTCATTTCAGGGCAGCCTCTGCTCCACCCCTCCGGCTCTGGGCTCCGTGGCTGGTCTCTGCTGTGGCTGCTGGGCGTGGCCTCCCCGCCTGGAGCACAGCCCCAGGGGAGCAGGGTCAGGAGTTCATGGTGTCTGTCCTATGTGGATTTGGCAGCCAGCGCTGTGATGGTGCCACGCTGCGGCCTGTTGGCGTGCAGCCCTCTTTCTTCTGGGCCAGCAAAGGCCTGTCGGGGGATCGGTACTCACACTAACCTCTCTTTGTCTGTTTTATTTTTCTTCTCCATGTCCGTTGCTTTCTCCTGTTTTTCAGTGTGTCACTTTCTAAAAGGTAGGTCTGAAACTGTATCTGCACACCTGGCCTCTGTCTTTCCACCAGGCTGACTCTAGGCCAGCTGCTTGCTCTGGGTCTCAGGGCTGCTCTCGTGGGCCAGCTTCAGCAGCGCTGCCTCTGAGCCGGACTGATGCTCAGGCGCCTTCTGTCTGTCTGTCTGCCTGCCTCCCTGCCTGTCTGCCTCTGTCATGCTATCTGCTGGTGTTTGGCTCACCCTGAAGCCTTGTCTTGCCAGAGCAGTTGCTCTCTGTCCTGATTTCTTAGAGAAAAGTTGCATTGTCCCCATCCAAGCTGGGCACTTTCCCTTCTGTAATGGGTGGGAGGTGGGGCTCCTGGGAACTTTCTCCCCGTTGGGCACCTAGAACCCGGCCCTAAACCGGGGCCGGGGCAAGCAGGCGAGAAGTTCCCTCTGGGTTTACTTCCAAAGAGGCTCTGGGGCATACCTCGGGGGGCATGGCCTGGCCCCAGACGTGCCTTCGGGCTCTGACCCCTGCTCGCTCCCCTCAGGCAGTTTGTACACTTGGCCGTCCATGCAGAGAACTTCCGCTCGGAGATCGTCAGCGTGAGGGAGATGAGAGACATCTGGTCCTGGGTCCCCGAGCGCTTTGCCCTGTGCCAGCCCCTTCTGCTGTTCTCCTCCCTGCAGCACGGGTACAGCCTGGCCAGGTAACACCCCAAGGGGCCAGAGCGGGCGGCAGAGCCGCCCAGCCACGTGTCCTGCCCACAGAGGCTGGAAATGGGCCTCAAACCTCGGCACCTGGTGAGGCCCTGCTTCTTCCTGTGGGGCCTAAGAATCAGGGTCCCTTTCTGGGCTCTGTCCTCCCCACACCACCCAGACTTTGGGGGTCATGGCAGGCGTGCCACAGCTTGGGGCCATGCAGGCGTCGTGAAGACGCCTGGGAGGCAGGATCCCCACCTTGGAGCTCACAGCATTGTCTTGGTTGGGGGACCATGTGGGCGGCAGGTCCTGGCTGTGCTCGCTCCCCACCCTGTCATCCACATGGTGCTCTGTCGGGGGCCTGGGGCATGCTGCCCTCCAGGGTGGTGCTGCCAGGTGCAGCCAGGGAGCCTCCCTCCAGCCTTGGACAGCATGTGGCCGTGGGAGCTCTGGGTTGGGCCTGGGGTGACCTGGGGGTGAGGCAGGCAGAGCTGGTCCAGCCCCCACCCAGCACCGTTCACAGGTTCATAACAACTCAAGCATTTTGGCACAGCTGGAGCCACTTCTCCTGGCCCTGCCAAGGACACCAGCCAAGCTCCAGGCGCCACGTTGGCAGACCAGGGCCTCTTTGGCTCCCACATGCCTGGGCTGCGAGGATGGCCCAAACCTCCCCACCGCAGGGACCTGTTCCTCTGGTTCCTGCTTCCCCAGCCCCTGGCGCTTGGCTCTGCACTGGGGCCTTCCACTGCAAGGCCTCTCCCCTGAGTCACACCAGGGCAGGCTGTCCTGGGGATGGCAGAGAAGGGCCAGGTGAGAAGAACACCTGGGTGAGGGTGTTGTCGGGACCCAGAGAGAAGGAAGCACAGTTCCCAGGTCTTCGCCCCAAGACAGCTGGGGCCAGCGGAGGCTGCAGGAGGCGGCTGGGAGGGTGTGCAGGGTGACAGCTGGCATGCGTGTCTCTACGCCAGGTTCTACTTCCAGTGTGAAGGACATGAGCCTACCCTCTTGCTCATCAAGACCACGCAGAAGGAGGTGAGCAGGGGCCCTGGAGCCAGGGCTGGCTCTGATGGGCTCCAGGGCTGGCTCTGATGGGCTCCAGGGCTGGCTCTGATGGGCTTCAGGGCCTAGGCCTCCTGGGCCAGATCCAGAGTCAGAGCGTGGGTATGGCCAGCACATGGGGCTCATCCCACACTCAGGGCCACAAGGGGAAATGAGACTATCCCCAACACAGCCCCCGCCCACCCTCATTGCCAGCCCCAAGCCAGGGGCAGGGTGCACACACCTGCAACACTGCCTTTCCCACACCACTCCTGCCCTGGGGTGGGGGTGGGAGACGGCAATGCCTGCACCCCCACCTGTGACCTGGGACAGGCCCGTCAGTAGTCTGGAGCACAGGGACGCTCCTGGGGGCCTGCGGGCACAGCCTCACCCAGACCTTTCCCCCAGGTGTGTGGTGCTTACCTGTCCACAGACTGGAGTGAGAGAAATAAGTTTGGAGGCAAACTGGGCT
The DNA here is from genome assembly GCF_000001405.40 of Homo sapiens. Lineage (NCBI taxonomy): Eukaryota > Metazoa > Chordata > Mammalia > Primates > Hominidae > Homo > Homo sapiens. Next base: position 2,499,899 of record NC_000016.10, read on the forward strand.
TCTTTGGGACCGGAGAATGCTTTGTGTTTAGGGTGAGTGGGGCCAAGTGTCCCCAAACCCCCACGCAGACCCTGTAGCTGCATCCCTCCAGGAGCACCCGCCTGCCCTGGGGACACTGTTGGGTGTCGCCATGGCAGTCACCCAGCAGCGTCATCGCCCTGTGTGCTTCCGGGTTTGATCATTCAGCCGTGCGCTGCTCCGGGGCAGGGGGCTTCATCTGCTCGAGCCACCAGCTCCCCAGCCCCTGGCTCGGGCTGCACCCACCTTGGGCTCTGGGTGCAGATTCACGGGATGAAACGGGTTGTGGCTCTGGGGCAGAGGGGCCTGCGAACGCCCGCGCCAGCTCCTCACACTCCCCTTCCACCCCAGCTGCAGCCTGAGGTGCAGCGCTACGAGTGGGTGGTGATCAAGCACCCCGAGCTGACCAAGCCCCCACCCTTGATGGCTGCCGAGCCCACCGCCCCACTCAGCCACTCCGCCTCCTCAGACCCCGCTGACCGCCTCTCGCCCTTCCTGGCCGCTCGCCACTTCAACCTGCCCTCCAAGACCGAGTCCATGTTCATGGCGGGGGGCAGCGACTGCCTCATCGTCGGTGAGCGCCAGCAGACGGGGCTCTGGGATGAGGGTGTGGGGTCCGGGCAGCTGAAGCTGCTGCACCCAGCCCTCCCTGACCGGGGTGGCAGAGAAGAGGCCCTGGGTGTCAGGGTGGACCAGGCATGATGGGTGGGAGGGGGCTGGAAGGGAGAGACCAGCCTGGACAGCTGGTCCTGGGGGCTATGGAGGGTCAACGGTCTGTGCGGTTTCAGAGAGGCCCGTGCAGGGCAGGACAGCTGGGACAGCAGGTGAGGTGCCTGGGTCAGTGCTGATAGGGCAGTCAGGCCGCCACTGACCTGAGCATCCTGCAGGGGGAGGAGGCGGCCAGGCGCTCTACATCGATGGGGACCTGAACCGGGGCCGCACAAGCCACTGCGACACCTTCAACAACCAGCCCCTCTGCTCCGAGAACTTCCTCATTGCTGCCGTGGAGGCCTGGGGCTTCCAGGACCCTGACACCCAGTGACGGCCTGTGCCACGGTGACTGAGCCGTGGTGGGGCGGTGGGCCGAGGCTGGGCTGCCGCCTCGGGCAGCAGAGAGCAGATGAAACCCCCATGTGGTAGGCAGGGTTGGGGGACGGCAGGACCCCATGGCCAAGCCTGGCGTTGCCTGGACCTGCTGCTGCCTCTACCTGGGGTTTGGGCTGGGCTTCCCCAGTCCACCTGCATCTGGGTCAGAGCTGGAGGGCCTGCTGTGCCCCCAGCCCCACCCAGAGCTGGCATAGGAAGTACCTTCCTCCTCCGTGGAGGCTTCCATAGCCCAAGGCCTTGGGAGTGTCTGGGTCTTGCTGCCCCTGAGCCTCTCTAGGCAGCCTGAGCCCCTGGGGTGGGAGTACAACGGCAGTGGGAACGTGCAGCTAAGGGTGGGCCTGTGGTGCCCCCTGCTGGTGCCGCATAGCATCGCGCCCTCCTGAGCAGGGCCCTGCAGCCTGGCTGGCTGGCGACTGAATCCCAGCGTAGATCCCGAGAACAGACTGGCACCCTTGGGCCTGCCCCCTGGCGGACCCCACCCCCTGTCCTGGGCGTTTGCCCCAGTTCCCTCCCCAGGCCTCCTGGGCCACCTCTCACATTAACCCTTCTTGGCTGCCTCTGAGGCTCCCCTGGGCTGCGTTTGGGAGCTGCTGGGTGGGAGGAGGAGGGTGGGATTTGTGCTGGGCTCCACCCCCAGGGAGGGTGGGAGCTGGAGGGGGATGTCACATGTCCTTGTGTTTCTGCAGAGCCTGAAGCTTTTGCTGGGCCTCCCTGCGTGTTCCCATCTGAAGAGGTAGCCCCGGGAGAGGCCCTCAGGGACCGACCCAGACCAGCAAGCTCCATTTCCAGGGGTCTGCCCAGAGAAGCCTGGACCCAGGGGGCTTCTCAGCTCCCCTCCCTTCCAGCCCAGGCCTCCTTGAGCTCCTGTAGCCTCTGCAGCTGCCCATTTCACCTCTTTGTCATTGCAATGACCTGGGGCCCAGGGTCACGCCCAAGCCCCTCTTTGTGGCATGCTCATCTCAGTGCAGCCCCAACTGCTTCTCTGCACCAGGCCCCGTGCCCTCCCCTGGCCCTGGCCACACAGCACCTCCTTGGCCACCTTGCATGGATGCATGTCCTCCCTCTGTCCCTCTTGTGGTGCTGTGGCTGGCCACGTGTCAGGGTTTTCTGTGAGCCTCTCACCTTACAGCCTTTGGGCCCCTGGGCCCCTGCCCTGCCTGAGCCCTGCGCTGGCCAGACGCAGGTAGGTGCCAGGGGAGGCCTTGCCTCTGGGCACTATAGGGGGCAGCCCCCTGCCTTGTGACCTCCCTCCATGCCCCATGACCTCCTTCAACTCGTCTTGAGGGTCTGGTCACCACGGAGGGGAGAAGGGAGACACAGAGGCCCAAGTGGCTGTTCTGGGACCATGGAAGCCTGGGTCACAGAGGCAGGTACCAGCAGTCCTGCCCCCACCCCCGTCCCTGCTGGCCTCCAGCCAGTGCCACTTGGAGTCCCCTGCACCGTGCCACTTTCCATCCCCACACCATTGCCTGCTCCTCCCATGGGGCTTTAGCCTCCCCTGACCATCTGCTCATGTAGCCTCTGACTGGGCGCACAGTGGTGCAGGAGGAAGGACCGGGAACCCTGTGTGGCTTTGGGCAAGCTGACAAACCCGTCTGGAACTCAGTTTCCCCAGCTGTGAAATGGGGCCAGTCCCCATGCCCTGCTGTCCTCCTCACAGGACTGTTGAGAGGCTCGCAGGGGGATGGGGTGAATCCCTCTCACGGGGAGAGGTATGGGAGGGAAGTCGCCACTCATCTCAGCCCACCGCAGCCCTCCAGGCCCCCGCCTGAGCCCCTGAGGCCCTCATCTGTACCGCCAGCTTTGGTGTTCATTAAACATGGTCTTGCTGCATCAACTCCAGGGCTCCAAGCTGAGTCTGATCTCTTCAGCCAGAGGGGCCTCCGGGGGCTTCCTGGGCCTACAGCCAAGCAGGTGTGGGAGGCTGCCCGCTGTAGTGCTCACCCACATTCTATGACTGGAATGCTGCAAGCCTCTTCCAGAGGGAGCCCTCCAGGAGCAGGGAAGTCATATCCGTGGACCATTTGTAGGTTTCCCTCTGCAAACTTCCTGAACTGGGTGGTGATTTTTCTGGCGAGTTAAGTCCAGCAGGTTCTGCGTGGCTGCCCCCAGGGGGCCCCACCCGGGCCTTCCAGTGATCTGGACCAGGAAGACGGATTGCTGCTGGGTCATGATTTCCACATCATGAGCGAAGTTCTTTGTTTTTTGTGTGCATGCAAAATATTGTTTCTTTAAATTTAATATCTTTTCCTAACTTTTCTACTAACCTAGAAGGTATGTGTGATTATTATCTTTTTTATTCTTATCACTGTACTTGTTAGTATCTGATATTAGGTATTCCCAAATAGAACATAATTTATTTTGTTAATGTTCTCTATTTCTTCTTGATTATTTATTAGCTTTGGATGTTAAAAATTAGCCAAAAGTGGCTGCTCTGCCTATGAAGTAGCCATTCTTTGTTTAAAAAAAAAAAAAGCCAACATTTGTTGAAACTGCATAATAAATTATCATTTGTTTTTAGAAACATTCAAAGAATTATTTTTTGATTTTTTTTTTTTTTGGGACAGAGTCACCCAGGCTGGAGTGCAGTGGCATGATCTTGGCTCACTGCAACCTCCGCCTCCTGGGTTCAAGCGATTCTCCTGCCTCAGCCTCCTGAGTAGCTGGGATTACAGGCATACGCCACCACGCCCAGCTAAATTTTTTTTGTATTTTTAGTAGAGGCAGGGTTTCACTGTGTTGGTCAGGCTGGTCTTGAACTCCTGACCTCGTGATCCACCCCCCCCTCAGCCTCCCAAAGTGCTGGGATTACAGGCGTGAGCCACCGCGCCTAGCCTATTTTTTAATTTTTTTGAATAGACCACTTTGTGCTGAATAAATGTTTAACATTTATTTTTAAAACAACAATTGCACCTAATTTAAAATAGTTTATTAAATGAATTCATTAAAGCAGATTATATGCCTTTGGGGCTTCAGAAAATCAGTTTAAGCAAAAGAACTTATGAGAGTAAGTCATTTGTACTTGAATTTTTTCAGAGTTTTAATGAACTAAAGTATTTTAATTTTTCTATTTTTGTAAGCCGCATACTTCATTTTTTGAGTTTTTCAGTGGAATTTGTTTTAAAACGTTTTGAAGATTTCAGAGGCCTTCATATTTCTCTTATCCACTTTCTGAACCCATAAAGCCTTTGCAGTCTCCTTGAGTAGTTTATATTTAGTAATTTAGTTGTGTACCTTTTTATTTTGAAGTAATTTTTGATTTGCAGAAGAGTTGCAGAGACGGTACAGGGTTTCCATGTACCCTCACCTTCCCCCAAGTCAATATCAAAACAAAGAAATAAGCATTGTTGCATTGCTGTTAACTAAACCACAGGCCTATTGAGATTGTCCCTTTTTTTTTTTTTTTTTTTTTTGAGACAGAGTCTCGCTCTGTCGCCCAGGCTGGAGTGCAGTGGCGCGATCTCGGCTCACCGCAAGCCCCGCCTCCCGGATTCACGCCATTCTCCTGCCTCAGCCTCCTGAGTAGCTGGGACTACAGGCACCTGCTACCACACCCGGCTAATTTTTTTATATTTTTAGTAGAGATGGGGTTTCACCGTGTTAGCCAGGATGGTCTTGATCTCCTGACCTCGTGATCTGCCCTCCTCGGCCTCCCAAAGTGCTGGGATTACAGGCGTGAGCAACCGCGCCCAGCCGAGATTGCCCCGTTTTTTTCCCACTGTCCAGGAATCGATTTAATTTTTACAGTTGTTTACTTTCTCACATTTTTACTAAGTCCAGAATATCATCAAACTCACAAAACCACTGGTCAAAAAAACCCAAATGGCCACTAATTAGGCAATACAGCACCTGCCTCAAATTTGGGTTCATATAGATTTTTTTCCTCCCTTTTTGTGGAGAACATAGTCTTGCTGTGTTGCCCAGGCTAGTCTTGAACTCCTGGACTCAAGCAATCCTCCCGCCTCTGCCTCCCTAAATTCTGGGATTACAGGCGTGAGCTGCTGTGCCCAGCTCATCCAGATTCTTGCTGGTTCTCTTTCTCAGCCTAAATGTCTTGTTTGCGTGGAGAAATTATCAAATGAAGCAGGAGTGCCAAACAAGCCTCATAGGCTCTTCACCCTACAACATCTATGTTAGGTAGAAAAGTATGTGGATTTTTAAAAATCATCTGGTATAAAGAGTTTTTAAGAACTATCTTCATCATCTTAGTATCAGATTGTGCTTGAGAAGTTAGGTACAATGTAATGTGATTCATTGCTAAAAACAAAATGCCTCCCACAATTGCAGACTCACTCATTTTACCAAACTATGGAATTTGTCAACACCTTTTCTTGGGACCAAGGAAGCAAAGTCAGTGGATACCGTGTCCTGTAGACATGTCACTTGTGATAAGGCACGGACAACATGAACTGGCAAAAACATTGGCATTTGGTCAAATGCTTATGAGCTAAGGATAGAAGGGAAAAAATAGTTGTGTGAATGATTTTACCTCTTAGTTCTTACGAAGGATGGTTATCGGGCTGGAAAAATGTTTATTGGACTGATGCTTTGGAGCCTCTCAATGAATGTAATAAAAAAAATGTGTAGTGAGCACAAATGTATGGATTTGCAGCACAATCCAACTTTGAAAATGTGAAAATAAGTGAGTTAGTGATATGTTTGGTTGGTGTTAATTTGAGTCCTAAATAAAATCGAGAACTGGTAAAAGAAGGTCACTGTGAAATAACTTGCTATGAGAAGGCTTAGAGGGATGGGAAGTCCTGGACGCCTCTTCTCCAGGGTGTTGGAGGAGAGAGGGAGGCGCTAGGTTGACAAGACCGCATCTGCGCATTGTGGTCACCAGCGAGTCTCTCCACTGAGGCGACAGGTACATGTCTGTCGCATTTGCAGCCGTGGCCGGTGAGAACGGCAGCATTCCCTGATCCGTCTTGTTTTCTTTTGTTCCTAGTGCCTGCTGTGTGGACAGCTACACTCAGCAAAGTCTTAGGGAGACTTAGAGGAGTCACCATGAAGAATCAGTGTCAGACGTTTCATCAGGAATCCCTGTCAAGGCCGGGTGTGGTGGCTCACACCCGTAATCCCAAGACTTTAGGAGGCTGAGGTGGGTGGATTGTTTGAGGCCAGGAGTTTGAGAGCAGCCTGGGCAGCACAGGGAGACTCCATCTCCACAAAAAAATAGTGAAGAACCCCTGTCGTGTGTAAAACACGAGTATCAAAAAACAAACTCAACCTTTCTCATTCAAAATTTCAAAATGAGTATTTCCTTTGAAAGTTTGCGTCTCTCTCTCTCTCTCTCTCTCTCTCTCTCTCTATATATATATATATATATATATAATTTTTTTTTTTTTGAGATGGACTCTCACTCTGCCACCTAGGCTGGACTGCAGTGGTTCAATCTCGGCTCACTGCAAGCCCCACCTCCTGGGTTCACACCATTCTCCTGCCTCAGCCTCCCGAGTAGCTGGGACTACAGGCACCTGCCACCACGCCCGGCTAATTTTTTTGTATTTTTAGTAGAGACGGGGTTTCACCCTGTTAGCTAGGATGGAATTATCTCCTGACCTCGTGATCCACCCGCCTCGGCCTCGCAAAGTGCTGGGATTACAGGCGTGAGCCACCGCGCCTGGCCACGTCAATATTAATGAATGTCTTTTTTTTTGTTTGAGACGGAGTCTTGCTGTATCGCCCAGCCTGGAATGTGGTGGTGCGATCTTGGCTCACTGCAACTTCCAACTTCCAGGTTTGAGGTATCCTCCTGCCTCAGCCTCCTGAGTAGCTGGGATTACAGGCACCTGCCACCATGTCCGGCTAATTTTTGTATTTTCAGTAGAGACCGGATTTCACCATGTTGGCCGGGCTGGTCCCTAACTCCTGGCCTCAAGTTATCCGCCTGCCTCGGCCTCCCAAAGTGCTGGGATTATAGGGGTGAGCCACCGTGCCCGGCCACGTCTTTTTAGTACCTTGTGTTTAATTGTGGATCGGTATAATACAAAGAAAAATAGAATGCCTTTTTTCTTTTGAGCCCTGCACAGATGCCCCCTCCCTGTCCAGTTCCTCCAGTGAGACCGAGGCTGCTGGGGGCCCTCCCTGCAGCTGCTGTGGAGCCTCTGCCTGCCGTCACGTGAGCTGCCTCTGCCCACTCTATGCTCCTGGGTTCCTCTTCCCCAGACTGGCCACGGGGGTGGCCCCTTCCTGCCAAGCCCTCTTTCTTTGCTCCTCTGAACACCTTCCTTCAGTACCTTCAGGGGACTGTTGGGGCAGCACCTGTCCCGGGTCTGAGAGGCCTCCTGGTCTGCTAGCCTGGCAGGAAGCTTGGCCCCCAACACAGCCACAGGCTCTCTGGCACCAGGTTTCTTTCAGTTCCTCTGAACTGAAAGCCTCTGTTTCCCGGCCTTTGCGCGTGCTATTTGCCACTCCTCATGCCTGGGCCCTAGTGTCCCTCCCAGGATTTCCCTGAGCTCCCCGCTGAGGCCGGGTCCGCGTTCTAGCTTCACAGCACCTGAGACAGGTGTTGGCTGGTCTCCCCACCCCCTGTCCTAAAGACTGTCAGTCTCAAGGGGCAGGAGTGCCTAGCACTGCAGAATGAACTGAAGCCCCTGTGGGTTGGTGTGCGCTGCTGCTGTGCGTCCAGGGTGATCAGAGATTCTCCAGGTGTGCTCCTGGGGCCTGTGGTGGCGGGACACCCCCTTCCCACACCCGCCACGCTCCCTGCAGTAACTCTTGCACTTACTGTAAGTGCTCGGACTGTCTTGTGCTTGACATTAGGACACACACTCAGGCCAGAATTGGGCAAGATTGTCCCTGAGCGGGGCGTGCAGAGCGCTCTGGCCTGGGAGGTGGGGCGCAGGGCTGCTTCCTCCTGCAGGCCAGCTCACTGTGGGGCTGGTGTCTGCCCAGAGCTTGGCCAGGCAGTGCCGCCCCCTCCCTTCCTGCCGCCTCTACCAGCAGCCTTCCCTCAGGCTGCTTTCCGGGCCTAGTCTGTGGCAGGTGTCCAGGGCACAGTCTTCCCTCTAGCCTGCCATGAAACTGTTTCATTTTTCTTTTAAAAAAATTGAAGTGAAATTGACATACTATCCAACCATTTGAACGACCCCAGACAGAGGTGGTGGTTGCATGAATGAGCATGTTGTGGAACCACCACCTCCAGTTCCATGGCATTTCCCCACTCCTAAAGGAAAACCTGGCCCCAGCAAGCAGCTGCTCCCCATGCCTCTCTATCTTATGACTTTGGGTTTCATTTTCATGTTTTTGTTTTTTTGAGATGGAGTCTTGCTCTGTCACCCAGGCTGGAGTGCAGTGGCATGATCTCTGCTCACTGCAACCTCCCCGTCCCGGGTTCAAGCGATTATCCTGCCTCAGCCTCCCTAGTAGCTGGGATTACAGGCACCCGCCACCACACCCGGCTAATTTTTGCATTTTTAGTACAGACGGGATTTCACCATGTCGGCCAGGCTGGTCTCCAACTCCTGACCATAGGTGATCCGCCCACTTTGGCCTCACAAAGTGCTGGGATTACAGGTGTGAGCCATGTGCCCGACCAGTCTGTGACTTACTTAAATACAGACTGGATCATGTTTCTCCCCTGCTCTATGCCCTCTCTTCATCTTTCAAGTCCTAATTCAGAGATCACCTCTTCTGCGACCCACCGAGCTAGTCCCAGCACCTCCTTCCCTTGTCCCCCCTGCTTCTAGGAACCACACTTCTGGTGCGGCATTGGCTGTACCGTTGGGGACGCTACTGCTCCCTGGTAGGCTGCCAGGTCTTGAGGGTAGGGACTCTAACTTGTCTTTGTCTGGCAGGGGCCTCACTCAGCACCTGGCACAATAGTAGGTGCTCAGGGAACTGAATGAATGGATCAGGGTCTGAGGCGGGCAAGGGCTGCGGCGGTGAGCCCTGACCCCCTGGGTGGAGTGTGAGGAGGCCGTGTTGGCCTTCAGGGTGCACCCTGAAACCAGACATGGGGTCCAGGCTGCCTAGGGCTGAGCGTTTATCTGACACCCGTTCTGAAAAACCTGGTCGTGGTGCAGGTGCAGCCCCCGGCCCTGGTCATTTGGAAGTTTGTGTCCAAAAAAACCCAATGGCTACTATAGCACCTGTGAGCCAATGGGGTCCTCCACCTGCCCACCTGCCTGCAGAAGAAACGCCGAACACTGCTGCCTAGTGGTCAGGGCCGGCTGGACTCCCTGCCCACCCCACTGGGTCCTCAAAGAGGAGGGCCCACTCAGGCCCTTTTCCATCAACCCTGAAAGCTTGGGGTGAGCGAGAAGGGGGAGCTGCCCTGTCCTTGGGGTCATTGCAGTCGTCTGCCTCCAACCTCTTGCCCCCTCAGTGCCTGCTGTCCAGCGGGAGCAGCTCAGGGCTCCACCTCCCCTGCCGCCCTCGACTTTGGGGAGCCTCCTTGCACCAAGCAGCTTGTACGGTGCCGAGTCCTACTTGCACCACGTTGTCTTTACCTCTGGCATTTTATTTTATTTAAACATGGGAGGCAGAGCTTGCGGTGAGCTGAGATTGCGCCACTGCAATCCAGCCTGGGTGACAGAGTGAGACTCCATCTCAAAAACAAAAAACAAAAAACAAAAAACTTCACTGTATCATTGTTTAAGCCTTAACTTTTAATGATAAGAAAATAAAGCACCTTTGGTCATACCCCTGATGGTACACCTGTGTTCTTGGCCCATTTCCTCCGGCCCTGCTGGGGCCACACATGGCTCTCCTGGAAGCAGGTCAAGAGTGCCCAGTGCCATCTCCCAGCATTGTGCCCCTCTGGGTGTGTCCTCAGGGCAACTCAGAAGGATAGCTGTCTCCAGGAGCAGGTGCCTGCAGGGACACTGTCATCTGCAGATGAGGCTGCCCCCCAGCCCTTTGTGATGGCTTCTTCCGGAGAAGTTGATCTCCCCAGTCACTCTTGGGACTTTATTCCTTGTCTCTTTATCCCCATCCTCCCCTACCCTTGCCGGGGTCTCTGCAAAATGCTGCT